>NC_000020.11:58782241-59399122 GCF_000001405.40 Homo sapiens | reverse complement strand
GGCGGGGGCTGTGGTCAGGGGCTTTCTCCAAGGGGATTGCTTAGCTGGGGATGGCGTCGCTGCTGCTGGTGATGAGGAGCTAGTGAGAGAGACCCCCAGAGACTCCTGCTAGGCAGCTTTCTGCCAGTCCAAACGCAGATCCGATCGAGTGCTGTCTTTCTGGGTGGTGCATCTTTACTGAGAAAAGGGAGATGTGAGGGATTTTTCCCTAGGGATAGAGCCTGTGAAATGTGTGTGTGTGTGTAAGGATGAGAGAGAGAGACTTGCTGCATGTCTGCTTTCAGAGACACAGACAGAACAAGACACAGACATCTTCCTGCATGCACGTGGACACACACACACACACACACACACACACAAAATCTTCCTGCTGTCACAGCATGACTGAGTTTTTCTGTCCGGTGGTGGGGGAGGTGCCTATTTGCCAAGTGTCAGAAACCTTCAGAGAGAGACTTTTCTGAGAGAGAGAGAGAGAGAGAAAGAGAAAGGAAGAGATTAAAAGACTTTCTGATTTTCTGCCTGGAGACACACACATACTTTATTCTGCATACTGAGAAATAGAGTCTGTTTCACCAGTGGCACATATTCAGTGAGAGAAGGGAAAATGTGTGTGTGTGTACACATGTGCGTGCATGTGGAGGGGGTGTGGGGGGAAAAGGGGACACTTTCTCTTCATGGATAAAAACATTTTTTCTCATTGCAGAGAGAAACAAACCAACACAGAAAGGACATTTACCTTCTACACACTCACACACACAATTTTCCTCTTCAACAGACAGAATTTATGCGTATGTTTTTCTCCCTAGTACAAACTTTCTCAAAGGAGCCAGTATTTCCATCCAGTAATAAAGACTTCAGAGACCCACTCTCTGAGACAGAATAATTTTTGACAAACACACACACACCACACACACACACACACACACACACACTTCCCTTCTTCAGGGATTCATTTCTCAGCATGCAGGAAAGTGTGTGAGAGTGTGTGTGTGCATCCATGTGCGTGAGAGAGTGTGTGCACACAAGTTTGGCTCAATCAGATCTGCATCTAGATCAAGTGCTGGCTTTTTGGGTGGTGCATCTTTAGTGAAAGAAGGGAGACAGTTTTTCCAGTGATGGAGCCTGTGAGTGCGTGTGTGTGTGTGTGCGTGTGTGTGTGCACCATGTGTAAGAATGGGGGGCCAAAAGGAAAGGGATTGAGAGAAAAGACTTTCTGACTTTCTGCCTGGAGACACACACATTATTCTACGTGTGTGGAATAACGAGGAATGAAGGGTTTGTTTTCCCAGTGGCACATAGTGAAAGAAGGGAAAATGTGTGTGTGTGTGTGCGCGCGCGTGCGCGCACGCGCATGTGTGGTGTGTGTGTGTATCAAAGAGAGTGTGAGACAGAGAGGAGATATGTTTTTCTGTGTGCATAAAGACTATATATTTTTTTCTCATTGCAGGGAGGAACAAACCAACCCAAATAAACAAAGATGATTTTGCATTTCAGAAGGCAGATCCTTAGCAAATAAAACAGAGGCCGCGCGGCCTAGAGCTGGTCCTGATAGAGAGGCATCTTTCTACCCACACAGGAGAGCACGGCTCAGAGAGCAGTAGTTTTCCATCCTGAAAAAAAAGATACATCTCCTCATTCTGCTAGAGAGAGAGGATTGGGCCTCACACACACATACAGCTGTGTCTGTACAGACACAGCTACCTGCAAGTCTGGCCCTGCAGACCAGGCAGGTCAGAGTGTGTGGGTCTCCTGGTGCTATTTAGAAATCAGTGTGTTCTACCCAGAGGCAGAAGGTAGGGAGGGGGAGAAGCACTTTATCTAGAGAGGCACTCACATATGCATACACACTCACACACACATATGTACATATACTTTTTGATAAACTGAAAATGGCAAAAATGTGTGTGTTTCAGCCCAATTCATTCTTGGTTAAATAAAAAGAATCATTTCTGCCTAAAGACCCACCTGTGTGTGTGTGTGTGTGTGTGTGTGCATGCTGTGAAAGAGAGACAGAGATAAAAAAGAAACACAGAGATTGAGAGAGATGGAAAGAGACAGAGACAGAAATAAGGAGGCGGAGACAGAGAGACACAGAAGAAACACAGAGACAGAGACAGGGAGAAAGACAGACACAGACAGAAAAACAGAGATAAAAGAAAAACACAGAGAGAGAAATAGAGAAAGAGATAGAGGCAGAAAGATAAAGAGAGATAAAAAAGAGATAGAGAGGCAGAGATGGACACAGACAGAGAAACAGAGACAAAGACAGAAACAGAGACAGAGAGAAGGACAGATGACAAAGAGAGATGGAAAAAAGAGACAGACACAAAGACCGAAATAGACACAGAGACAGAGACACAGAGAAAAACAGAAAGACAGAGACAGAGACAAAGAGACACAGAGAACAGAGACAGAGAAAGGCAGAAACAGCAAGGCAGAGACTGAAAGACAGAGATGGAGAGACAGAAAGAAATGGAGAGAGAGAGGTTTTTCTGCCTTCCGCCAACAGAGAGAAGTGGACAGGCTGCAGCTTTAGAAGGGAGGCCCAAGCAGGTGAGTGGCCACTGCTCAGCTCCCTGCCTTGCACAGACCCGGCATGGTGTAGGTGCCTTACAAGTGTGTTTGCGTGCTTCCTCTCCATTGCTCAGAAATAGGTCCAAGTACTAACACGTTGTTCCCCCCAAGTTTCCATCAGACTCACATGAGTCTCAGTTGTCCCCACCTCTTTTCTGGCGGTCACTTTCCTGTGACCAAAACGCCTGGAACGTTTTTGAGGCCCAAGGCATAAAACCATTCCCCAGTCAAAATGTCCCACATGAATGAAGACTGAAAGAGGACCCACAGAAACAGTTGTCACCAGTCACTTTAAGTGCTCCAGAAAGGCCTGGACCAAGGACACAATCCTGTTGATTAGAAATCACTGCCTTTGGCCTGGAATGTTGCAACATGGTCGAAACATGCAATTGAGTTAGAGGGCAGACCCATGCCTCCTCCTGCAGCTGCTGCTGGGCACCAGCAAGGCAGGGTCTATTCTTGGCTTCTCCTGCCAGACCTGAGCAAGGATGCATGGAATCTGGGAAGTGGAGGGGGAGCGTGGGGTCATTGGTGGCTTCATAGTTTTTGTTCCACCCTCGGCTGACTGATGGGACACGCATCAGGGATAACTTCAGGGACAGCCAGCACCAGGGACAGCTTCAGGGACAGCCAGCACCAGGTGCCCCACAGAATGCACTTGCCTCCCTTGAAAATGGGAACAAGAACAGTGGGTTCTTGTATGATCAAAATGGGGCTATCGTGAGAAACTAATGTCATTCAGTCAAGCCTTTAACCGGATGACTTGCTCATAGTAAGTCCTCCGCAAATGGAAGCTACTTTTATCTGCATTATTATTACAAATGGCAGAAATACTGACCGTCCACTCAGTAGTCATTCCTCCATTGTTCCTGTGACTAGAACACTGATTTTGTGCAGCAATCACAGAAAGTGCAAATCGGTCTAAGCCACTGCCATCTTATTTTTCTTTGTTTTTGGTGTAGGGATGGGTGTGTGACCTACTTCCCAACACTGAACTGCAGAAGAAAATCTGCTAGGAAGCTTCTGGAAGAGCTTATCCCCAAGAATAAAGAGAGATTTATAAAGAGAAAGATCTTTGGCTTGTACCTCCTTCTTTCTTGTGTAGGATACTATGGTGTAAGCACATGATGCCTGGAGCTATGGCAACCTTCTTGTGACTGTGAAGATGGCAAGGCAGAAACATGCAAAACACAGGAGCCCCGGGTTACTCCCCTTCTCCAGGCTGCTTGTTGTACACAATTAGTCAACCCCCATCTTTTAGTTACTCAGAGCTGGTAATTTTATCACCTGCAACTAAAAGGATTTTGACTGACACATTTATAGTGGATTAAAGTCAGCATCCTGAAAAACCGTAGATGGATGAATGTTTTGAAACAAGCAACAAGTCTGCAATGGAGTTCCCATTCTTGTAAAATTTCTTACACACAGGGTGAGCAAGCAGTCACCCTGTTCTGACCTCTTGTTTCCCAGAAGCTAAGAGCTAGAGAAAGCTGCAAATCAAGCCAGCTCTCCTCCAATGAGTACTGTGCTAGAGGAAGTCCGCTCTGAGGGCCCTTGTGGCTCTGAGAATCATGTAGTACTGCTGGTCCTGCTGGTCACTGTTGGCATTTATGGAGCACTGGCCACAGCTCTCGGAGCTCCAGACCTTATTTCACACTTATTTCATTTCAGTATTTATTTCACCTCATTTCAGTACTTATTTCACAGGCACTGCATGCGAAGGTGCTGAATGAGCTGCCCACTGGCACAGAATGAGTTGCTGAAAGAGTTAGTGGTCAAGTCCATGTTCAAGTTTGTCTCATTCCAAAACCCAAGTCTCAACATGGTCTTTTGTGAGTATCCCTTAAGAAACTGCCAAGTCTTTTTCTCCCATATGTGAAGAGCTGTAGGGTTTGGAAGCAGTCAGTGGACATCTGTAGATGCAGGAGTTGCTGCAACAGATGAGGTAGGGGAGAGGGGAGGTCCTGAAAAGAGAGAGAGCAGGGGGGAGCATTGGGAGCAAGAGAAGGGGCTGAAAACAATAGAGTTGATCTCTGCCCCGAGAGCCCTGGAGCTGCCATTTGTGCAATGCCGGCTCGGTGCGCCGAACCTTTGGGGTTCATATATCACCATGTTATCCTATGTCATCCTTTGGACAGCCCTAGAAAAATGGGAGCTTACAAAATAGCAGCCTAGGGACCACAGTTGCCCCACAGATGTTTCCTGTGACTGGCGGAGCATTGTCGAACTTGGATTCTGAGCACTTCTGGCTGAGGCCTCTGTCCTGCAGTCTACAGACCTGGAATTCCTGGTGAGCCCTTCATGTTTCTGTTCTACACAATCCACCACCTATGTGGTCCCAGTGGTGGGCAATTTTGGTTACACTCCCCGAGGTATTTATTGTTATCCCCATTTTATAGGTGAGAAAGGTGAGTGTCAGAGAGGCTCACCAAGTGTCAGAGTGACTCACCGAAGGTTACCTGTTCACAAGAGGCAGAACCCAGGTGGGTCTGCAAGCTTATGGTTGTCAGATCATGCTAAAGAAAGAATAAAAGAAGAGAAATAAATTTGAATTTCAAATAAACAACATACTTTTTAATACAAGTATGTCCCATCCAATATCTGCGAAATCCAACCATGCTTCGTGCTCCCCTCCACTGGAAAATGATGAGAAGCAGGCTCCACACCAGTTTTACTTCCTTGGATTATGGCCCCAAAATTCTTTAAAATGCCTTTCATTTCTTCTATGCCATTCTCCTGCCTGCATTCTTCCTCTCCACATAGAGAAAAGGAATCTACTCATTCTCAGCCTCCCCCAGAATACTTGTAGGGCTAGGGATGGGACAACAATTGGTGTTTCCCAGGGGAATTTTCCTGGCACTCCCCAGGATCCCTGGCTGAGCCCATGGCTGACAGCTCTCTTTGGAGTTTTGCAGTAGTCACTATGCCCCCAAGGACACTTAAATGGGAAACATGCACCTGGGGTATGGTACATTGATGGTAACATGGATGGATGGATGGATGGATGGATGGATGAATTGTGATAATTAGATTAATTATTGGATGGATAAATGGATGACTGAATGAATGGGTGGAAGGATGTATGGACAATTAGGTGAATGGATGATTGGAGAGATGGGTGGACAGATGAGTAGATGAAGGATAGATGATTAGATGGATGACAGATGGATGGATGGATGGGTGATAAATGGATGAATGATTGGGTGGGTGGAACGATGGATGGATGGAAGGATGGATGGATGGATGGATGGAAGAAAGGATGAATGGATGGATGAAGGATGACGGATGGATGACTAGACGGATGGATGACTAGATGGATGGATGGATAAATGTTGGTTTGGGAAGAGGGGGCATTTCAGGTTGGTCCCAGCAAGTCACAGGACAAAGCAAAAGGGGAAGGAGAGTTAGAGGCAGAACGGACTTGGCTGTTCTGGGCTGTCCTGAAGAGAGACATGCACATCACCCCACCTTGTATCTTTGTGTCTGGGTGGCTGAGGAGTCTAGTGGTTTCTAATACCCTCCCTGGCATTACTAAGTCAGAAGATGCTGATTGTTGCCTGAGGGCCTCCAGCCTGAAGTCAGTTCCCCAGGGGACCCAGCTCAATAAATTCTCTGACTCTGCTCCTTGCAATCTTCACGGGGGGCGGGACAGCTGAGCAGCTGGCAGGATTTCCAGGAGCCTCGGCAGGGCAAGAAATAGTAATGGACTTTATTGCTTTGTCAAGAACTTAAAATTGCAGTCATTTACACAACTTTATTTTAATTGCTGTAATAAATAATTTTTGGTTAATTAGGATGCATAAACTTATATATCATTTATTCAAAAACTAATTTGCAGTAAAAATTGGTGTGTTTTGCTGTTGGCCGTACTCTGTAGTCATTGGAAACCCTGAGGAGTAAACAATCACACAAACACCAGAAAGAGGCATCCATGGACTCAAATGAGCAGTGTTTTCAGGCCTACTGTGTGTCTTGCACTGTGCTGGTGTGAGGGAATCACAAACAGAGGAAAGCAGAGAAACAACAGCAAAAATTCTTTTTGAGGTCATTACAAAGAACCTTGTAGTTGGGTTGGAGTCTTCTTATCAATTGATCAACTGTGTGCCACTGGGCAGGTCCCTTACCCTCCCTGTGCCTCATCTGTCCTCATATGCAACATGTAATGGTACCTACTTCTGCAACTTGTTAGTATTTGAGTGACAAGGGCCACAGAGGTGGCTCGGCATCCATTAGCCTTTCTTCTAGTAGCTGCATGCTGATGTTCCCAGAGGAATTCATTCCCCTTCTTGGTCCTTGTAGTTGAGCAGGGCAGGGGGTGGGGCTTGCAACTCAGCCCTCAGTCAGTCAGCATAATCCTGACCACAGTGATTGATTGACAGATGGGCATGTGACCCAGATTGTCCAATCAGGGCTACTTCTGAGACTTTTGTTAGAGTGACCAAGGGAAAGACATGGTCATTTTTTCCCATGAGTCTGGGGCTGCTGGGATCCACCAGGAACAGATAGTCTTGGCACCAGCACATAAAAAAGCAGAGCCATGACAGTTCTTAGAGTCCTGTGATGACACTGGAACTACTAGGTCCAGCCAGGCCTGAAGGCAGCTACCCCGGGGCCTTTCAGCTATGTGAGCCAACAAAGTCTAGTTTGGGCTTAACTCAGTTTGAATTTTTCCTTCTATAGACACAGAAAACCCTTAACTAACATAAACACTTAGAACAAGCTAGGCACAAAGTGACATCCAAAAACTGTTCATTAACAATAGGGAAGACTAAAGAAGCAAAATCTGACTTTTAAAGCAGCACCCTGGCCCGCCCAACCTGATCATCCCAGGAGGAATAAGAAGTGGCCCTGGCAATTCAGGAGCTTGTACTAGTTTGGAGCAATGAGATAGACACAAAATAGATGAAAATCCAAGGCCCAATAAAATCAAATGCTGAACCTAGATAAATTAGTACCAGTTGAGTAAGCTGTAGTTTGTCTTTGCACAAAAAAGGGAGAGCTTCAAATTGGCTAAAGTGACTGACAGAAGTTTCCTGAATTTCCCTCACTCAACAAACCTTGATTAAACTTACTGCATTCCCACTGCCTTCTCACAAACTACATCCTCAGAGCATCGTATGTAAGAACAACCATATAAAGTACCACTTTTATTCCCATTTTATAGACTCAGAAACTGAGGCTCAGAGAGGTTAAGTAACTGCCATAGTCAGGACTCATTAGGTTGCAAGTGACAGAAACTCAACTCGAAGCAGGCAAATCTGTTGGCTCATGTAACCGGAAAGTCCCGGAGGAGAGGCTGGGCTTCACATCTGGATCTGGCTGCTGAATATCATCAGACCCCTGTCTCTCCACCTCCCGGCTCCAGTGCCCTCTCTGAGGCCTCATTCCCAGCCCAGCTCTGCTCAGGAGGCCACAGGGGCCACAAGAGCTCCAGGCTTGTGTCGCCTATGTTAGCGGCCAGAGGAAAGAGAGAGATTCTTCTGCACAGATTCTGCCAGGAGCCCAGGGCTTGACACTCAGTGGCCTGATTGGGCCATGTGTCCATCTCTGACCCATGGCTGACTCTGATTTACCCAGCCTGGGTCCTGCACCCACTGTGGTTCCAGGTGGGGAGTCAAGCCCATTCTGAAGGTCGCAGATGGAAAGCAGGGCTGGAGTCTTTGCTGGAAGCAGGAAGAACAGATGTGGCATCGGAGAGCCACGTACCCAGCTCAGGAGCTGCCCAAGGTTATTTAGGGAGAACCGTTTCCTTCTGCTGCCCAGTTTCTACTTTGGCTCAGTGAAGAAGCAGCGTCACCCCTGGTAAAAATGCCAGACGGGGCCCTGCTTCCCATCTCTGTACCCCTTGCCTGCTCCTCACCAGGACAGCAAACTTGGTGGCAGCCAATAGCCTGGGGGCAGAGTTAATGAAATGCAGATCACTGTTCATACCATGTGTAGCCCAGGCTTCTGCTTCCTGGACCAAGCTGCCTCCAGGGCCGCAGGTATCTCTGCTTGCTGTGTTCACACAGACGGGACTCCATCCTCTGGGTCCGAGCCAACTTTCCCACTGTCAGCTCAGGGGAAAAGGCATATCTGGTTTGGGGTTGGAAGGCTGAGGCCACACCACTACCTGAAGCCCAGGTGATGTTCCAGCTACCTCTAGCCCTGGCACCTTCAGGGGGAGGAGGCAACAGCAAATGGCCCCTCTGACCACCATCGGCCTCTGTCTCTCCCTGTCCCCAGCAGGATCTAAACCTCCCTCCCTCCACTAATATGGTGTCCCGAGCACACCAATCGGAGACCACCTAGATCCATCCAGGAGGCTGGAGGAGGCAGAGGCTGGGAGGGGGAGCTTATGAATGGAGAGGAATCGTGTGGGGTCCCAGGGAAGCCCTGAGGATCTGGGCTGGGTCCTGCCCACACGGGCTTCTGCAGCATCCTGTGACATTGGAGCCCGGAGGAAGAAAGAAAGGGGAGTTCGCCAGGACTGGGGTCAGGGATGCTGCTGTACGTGCCCATATGCCCTTGGCACTCAGTTCCAGAACATTCCAACAATGTCCTTCTGTGAACACCAGCGACTCTCCTCTGGGATCTCCCATAACTGGAGGCACCATGGAGTTCTCATGCCCAGAAGCAGCCCTGAGCCAAGGATGGTGGGAGTTGAATGAGACCCCAGTTTCCTTGCCCCACAGCCTGCCCGGCACCATCTCCCAGAGCCCCCTGGTGAGAACCAGCCTGGGTCACTCGCTGCTGTGATGCGCTGAGAGCATTACTTCACTCTTTCCTCTCTACCGCTTTCTCGGGGTCTTAGGGCTGTTACCTGGGATTGCCTCCCAGAGCGGCTGCTTGCCCTCAAAGCCTTGTCTAGGGTCTGCTTCCTGGGGACCCCAGCTTTAAACAACCAGCTACTATTATGGGTTGAATGGTAACCCCCAAAAGATGTGTCCACATCATAATCCCTAGAATCTGTTATTGTGACCTTATGGGGAAAATGTCCTTGTGGATGTGATTAAGTGAAGAATCTTGTGATGAGATCACCCTGGATTATCCTGCCAGACCCTAAATCCAATGACAGCCATCCTTGCAGGAGAGAGGCAGAGTGAGGCCTGACACACAGAGAAGAGGAGAAGGCCACGTGAGGACGGAGGCAGAGGATGGAGGCAGAGATGGGAGGATGCGGCCACCAGCCAAGGACACCCAGAGCCACCAGAAGCTGGAAGAGGCCAGGAAGGAGCCTCTCCTGGAGGCTTCAGAAGGCGCTTGGCCCTGTTGACGCCTTGATTTTGGATTTCTGGCCTCTGGAATGGTGAGAGAACACATTTCTCTTGTTATAAGCCACTCAGTTTGTAGTCACTTGGTACAGCAGCCCCCAGGAAACTCCTAGAGCTGTCTTCTGTCTTGTGGGAGACTCCTGGGGCAATGGTATAGTATTGGGGTTATAACTCATTCACAGTTCACTTGAATTTTATCCCTAAGAAAAGTCACGGGCCATGGGAGAGATTTCAAGCAAAGGCGTGATATGGCCCAGTCGTGTTTTTATTTTTATTTTTGAGGCAGATCTCACTCTGTCACCCAGGCTGGAATGCAATGGCACAATCTTGGCTCACTACAACCTCCGCCTCCCAGGCTCAAATGATCTTCCTGCTTCAGCCTTCCTAGTAGCTGGGACTACAGGCACACACCTCCATGCCCAGCTAATTTTATTTATTTATTTTTTTATAGAGATGGGGTTTTGCCATGTTGTCCAGGCTGCTCTCGAACACTTGGGCTCAAAGGATCCACCCACTTTGGCCTCCCAAAGTGCTGGGATTATAGGCATGAGCCACCATGCCTGGCCTCCCAGCTGTGTTTGGAAAGGGTCTCTGGTTGTTGTGGAAAATGCAGACCAGAGCTGGGATGAAGGTAGGTTTCCCAGGGAAGGCCTAGGTCAGACCCTAAGCTGCTCCTGCCAACCTCGCTTCCAGGGCAGGCAGGCGTTGATGACGGACATCTGTGTTGACAACTGCATCTGCAGCATCCAGCGCCCATTCTGGGCCAGCCAGCAGCTCTCTGAGCAGGTAGGGGCATCCCTGTGAGGGTCCTGACCACCCCAGCAGCCCCAGATGATGCTCCCCATGATGGAGGTGACCCCCTAGCATGTACTTTGTGCCAAAGGGCCTGGCTCACAGCTTTTCAGAAAACCTGAAACCAAAAGGTAATTTACTTCCCTTCTCACCGAGGTCACTTAGCTGTCTGCCAATCATATTTCAGATGTGATCAACCTGGTCGCACCCTCCTCTTCTTGACCTGACTTGCAAAAACCCAGTTGAATGAATCTCCCTCCACCACAGGCAATTTTCCCTTGGGGAGAAAGACAGCTCGTTCTTTTTGACACTGGTGAATGTCCTTTAGGTGTGATATATGGCCTCTCTTTGACAACCAAGGTGGTGCACCCAACCTGAATTTATTCTTTTAATATCTCAGCCAAGGAGTGATTGCTCCATGTTCTTTATTCTCTTTGATGAAGCACTTAAGGGATTACCTGTACCTTCCGAGCTGAAGTGCCGCTCAGGAGAGAAAGGAAAGGGGTATGGCCCTATGAACTAATGGAATTAATAACTTTGGGGCAATTTATCTTCTCTTACTGACTTCCCACACCCCTTCTTTCCATCCCTACTGCCAAGACCCATTAGGGACACCAAGTTGGCAGTGAAAAACTGAGAAGCACTCTAAAAATGTGCAGGGGGTGAGACATTTGGGCATTTCTTTCTTCGTTTTGTTTTTTAGAGACAGGGTCTCACTCTGTCACCCAGGCTGGAGTGCAGTGGTGCCATTATAGCTCACTGCAGCCCCGAACTCCTGGGTTCCAGCCATCCTTCTGCCTCAGCCTCAGATGTGACAACAGGCATGCACCACCACACCCGGCTAATTTATTTTATTTTATTTTCTTGTAGAGACGGGGTCTCGCGTTGTTGCCTAGTCTGTCTTTGTAAGGAAAGAAGGAAACTTCCTTATCCTGTCACTACACAGCTGCAGTTAACTGTACCCTTTGTTATGGCCCCTCTTGAACCAAAACAGGGAGCTCCCACCTGATGATCAGCACCTCCTCAGCATTTTCTCTTGCTACCTCACAAGACGGTAAGCTCTCTTTGGAGAAACACAAACATCTCCTCCCGCCATGCCCTGTCCTGGTGTCCCAGGCTCTTGGAGATGCTCAGAAAATAAACAGAGAGGTGGAACAGCATGCACATGACAGCTGATGATGGATGTTGTGGTGACTCCCAAACAGCTTTCCCCACAAACCCTGGAGCCCTGCACCCCAGCCCCCCCGAGCCTCCTCTCTAGGCCTTCTGCGTTGCCAGAATTGTGATGGACGGTGGGGCCATCATCTGTCCTTCTCCCTGTCCTTCTGGCACACAAAACAGTGCCCAACATGAGGACAATTGGGAGGGGTTGGGAGAAAAAATAAAACTGTTCATGTAGCCAAGAAGCCAGGCGAGAGGATTTATCATGCATTCCTCATGGAGGCCACTCCCTCCACCCCCGACCCCTGACTGGCTCCAGTTTAAACATTCCCTTTTGTGTTTGAGGAGAATGGATGGAATTTGCATGTTTCTCTTCCAACAGCAGCTAGTGTCTGGGGACAGGGTTGCTGTGGCTGACACGTGGAGACAGCCATCATCAGCCAAAGGGAGAGGACTGGAGGGCCCCCAATGACCACCATGGAGCTGAGACAGAGCTTGCTGCTCCTCTCTGACACCTGATCCCCACCACTGCCACCTGTATGGCTATTGAGCCTGGACTAATGGAGAGGAGGGAAACTGAGGCACAGAGGGAGGGGGTGAGTGAAATGGAAAGGTGTGGAGAAGAGCTCCAGCTGGTGTCTGAGCCCAGCTATCAGACTCCCCTTTGACCTGGTGTCTCTCCTTTCTCTACCTGGTGTCTCAGTTTCCCCCCTGGAGTTTGAAGGGCTGCACTTGGTCAGAATTTGCTAAAGCGTGGCATTACGATGACAGGAAAAATCTCTGTCTAATATATCCACAGGCCCTGAACACTCACAACCTTCCTTGTGAACAAAGCTGGACTCAGGCTCGGAATCCTCTTCAGGCAAGGGTCTCCAGCTAGTAACACTTGGTTTCTGTTTTTCAGTTACCGTCTATTAAATACGGCAAGGAGTAATGATTTCCCACTTCTGACCCTGCGTAAAGAAATCTATTTAATGTTTTTAAGAGGTGAATTTATTTAGAAACAAACATGAAAATAGCACAGGTGGAAGTGAAACGGAACAAGCTTTATGGAAGGGGAGCCAAGTTGTGTCTAATTAGGCCGTGATTGTGTCTGTGTCCCCAAATGCAGGACATGAGGTCCTCCGGGCCACCCTCCCTCCCAAGTCTAAGATTCTTTGAGGCTACAGAGATTGGCTCAAGGTTTGGGACAACCAGGCAAGGTTGAACAATAGGCTAAGAGGACAACCTGTTCTGAGCAGATGCCCTGCACGTCCAAAGGTCAGGTTGGGGTGGGTTGTCTGAGTTTCAAGAAGAAGGAACGCGAGACCAGCGACAGCCCCAATCCTGGAACAGGAGTCTCAGCCCCATGCTGGAGCAGACGAGGAGAGACACGTGCTCGAGTGGCCACAGGGCGCTGGCCACCTAGGCTAACTAGGAAGGAAACTAGCTCATCTCTTTGGGTTTTGTCTGAAGCCTCCCTACTGAACTCACCCCCAGCCCTCCCTCCTATGTCTACAGGGACCCTTAGAGAGAGAGAGAACCTGCCCCTTGAATTGAAAACAGCTCACAGCTTTCTGAACTCAAAGCTCCCAGGCAGGAAGCAGCCTGTCACAGCAGAGGGAGCAGGAAGGAATGCGGTGAAGACAGCTGCATGTCTAAGCCTCTGCGATTCCTCCCATTGGCCCTAGGAGGACTTGCCCAGAGGTGCACGGTAAAGAGCACAGCCAGTGCAAATGCACATTTCTCCACCGAATCCAGCACCACCCTCTGTGGCCTGCAGACCTAGGAGTGATGCTAGGGTGAGGGGTGCAGCCCTGTCCCTCCTTGACATCTGCAGGACTCCAAGCTCGTCATCACCATGACTGTGGGAAGGTGGCAATGCCCTGGGCTGGTGTTTGAGACCTTAAGTTGAGCAGAACACCTGGCGGGTTCCTACGAGTGCATCCCAGGTGTGAGGCTGAAAGGGGACCCTGCCCTCCCTGCCCTAGCCCAGAGATGGGGCTGCTCAGGGGCTTGGTGTTCTAACCCATGCTCAGAATCTGGGGAGCAAAGTTATTTCATGGGCCACTGAGGAAGGCCAACATCCAGACTGCTTGGCCTCTGCAGAATACAGAGGATGCTTAAAGAGAGGAGACATGCTCTGCCCCGCTCAGCTCCTTCCCTCCCCTTCCCCTCCCTTACCTCCTTTCCCCTCACCTTGTCCTCATTACCTCCTTCCCCACTCAGCTCCTCCCCTCTCACCTCCTCCCCATCACCTCCTTCCCCCCCACTTCCTCCCTGCTTACCTCCTACACACTCACCTCCTCCCCATCACCTCCTTCCCCCCCACTTCCTCCCTGCTTACCTCCTACACACTCACCTCCTCCCCATCACCTCCTTCCCCCCCACTTCCTCCCTGCTTACCTCCTACACACTCACCTCCTCCCCATCACCTCCTTCCCCCCCACTTCCTCCCTGCTTACCTCCTACACACTCACCTCCTCCCCATCACCTCCTTCCCCCCCACTTCCTCCCTGCTTACCTCCTACACACTCACCTCCTTCCCATCACCTCCTTCCCCCCCACTTCCTCCCTGCTTACCTCCTACACACTCACCTCCTCCCCATCACCTCCTTCCCCCCCACTTCCTCCCTGCTTACCTCCTACACACTCACCTCCTCCCCATCACCTCCTTCCCCCCCACTTCCTCCCTGCTTACCTCCTACACACTCACCTCCTCCCCATCACCTCCTTCCCCCCCACTTCCTCCCTGCTTACCTCCTACACACTCACCTCCTTCCCATCACCTCCTTCCTCCGCATCGCCTCCCTTGCCCCCTCACCTCCTCCCCTCTCACCACTTCCCCACTCACCCTCTCCCCATCACTTCCTTACTCATCTCCCTCCCCACTCCCCTCCTCTGCCTCACCTCCTTCCCCCCCACCTCCCCCACATCCTCCCTATCACCTCCTTCCCCCCACCTTCCTCCCCACTCACCTCCTCCCCATCACCTCCTTCCCCCGCCACCTCTTTCCCCCCTCACCTCCTCCCCATCACTTCCTTCCCCTCTACCTCCTCCCTGCTCGCCTCCTCCCTGCTCACCTCCTGCCCACTCACCTCCTATCACCTCCTTCCCCTACTCATCCCTGCTCTACTCATCTCCTCTCTGCTCACCTCCTGCCCACTCATCTCCTCCCTATCACTTCCTTCCCGCCACTCCACTCCCATCCCCACTCCACTCACCTCCTCCCTGCTCACCTCCTCCCTGCTCACCTCCTCCCCAGTCACCTCCTGCCCATTCACCTCCTCCCCATCACCTCCTTCCCCCCACCTCCTCCCCCATCACTTCCTTCCCCTCCACCTCCTCCCCGCTCACCACCCCCCTGCTCATCTTCTCCCTGCTCACCTCCTGCCCACTCACCTCCTCCCTATCACCTCCTTCCTCCACTCATCCCTGCTCACCTCCTCCCTGCTCACCTCCTGCCCACTCATCTCTTCCCCATCACCTCCTTCTCCCCCACCCCCTCCCCACTCACCTCCTCCTCCACCCCAATCATCAGCTCTCACATTTGAGGATGGAGGAGCTGGAGCTGTCTCCCAACACAGCCGAGGGTTGTTTGCTTTCACGGTGGTTCCAGGGCCACAGAACAGTCCCCTGGCTTGGTGGAAGCACAAAACCTCAGCAGCCAAGAGAGGTGTGTGGGCCAGTGGGACCGTGTGTGGGTCAGAGGGACTGTGTGTGAGCCAGAGGGACTGTGTGTGGAGCCATGTGAGCTGGAGGGAGACCGTGTGCGGGCCTGAGGGGCCTCATGTGGGCCAGGGGCCCCAGAGACAGGCGGCTACTGGAGGCCCCTGCCATTGTCTCAGCTTGTAGCTCTGAAATTCTGCACCTGTCAGATTTCTCTGAGAGAGCTTATTTCAGAAATAGATCCCAGACCTCTTCTAAGAAAAAGCCCAGGCACCCTGAGTGCTGGCTCCTGAGAGCATGGTTCTGTCAGGGCCCTGGAACCAGCATTTTTAGCATGGTTCCTCAGGAGAAAACGACTTTGGGAGCTGGGAGACCTCACTTGAGAGACACGGGCCTTGGGGCTGCACCTGCCCCGCAAACTCTAACCAGGCGGCCTGGAGGACAGGTTTCCCAGCGTCGGTGAGCTTGCTTCCCCTCCTCCCATGCGCTCAGCACCTCAGGAGATGCACACACACATGTGGGGAGGCTGCCACCTGTCTCTCACCACATGGGGACACAGGAGGTACCAGGAGCCAAGCCAACGTGCCAGTGGGAGGTCATAACAGTCCCAGCCTAGAACCCCCTCAAAGAGGGCTTCCCAGAGGAGGTGGGCTGGGAGCTGGGTCCTGAGCAGTGGGGGTTTCAGGCCTGGAGGGGGAATACCTTGAATAGTGGGCACAGCCTGAGGAAGAGGCCTGGAGACTAGGCAGGGCGAGTGTGGCCTGAGAGCGGGATAGGCGCACCAAACAGCAAGATGGCCAGAGACATCTGGAGTGGAGCCACCTCCTGAATTATCATGGCCCCGTTTCCAGCCTTGGAAAACCCCCTTGTGCCTTCCCATCCGCCCCACCTGTGGTAGGGGCACAGGGGCAGGAGAAACATCGACAGGGGTGAGGCCAGATTCTCAAATTGGCCTGGGTTGCAGAGGGAGGATGCCAGAGAGAGTTCCAGATGCCTGGCAGAGCTGTGTAGACAGATGCCCACAGGCAGACACAAGCACAGCCCAGGCCCGCAGCCCAGTAAGGCACCCTGGGGGGCCACCGGAGCTGCAGACATTTGAGAGACAGCCGCAAGGCTCTCTCTAGAAACATAAGCTAATGGTTTCTGCAGCCCGGGTTTCTAGCCCATCGGCCGGTTCCCCTGTGCATGGGCTCTGCTTCCAGAAAGGACTACTTCTGAGAAAGCCGCTGGTCGTCAAACCTCCAACCTCCCTGCGCCAGATCCTTCAATGCCGAAGTTGAGTTACTCGATAGAACAATCAACAACTAATTTGGCTCCCACAACGCTGGTTGATAAATCACGGAGAAGGTGGTTTCCTAGAACAGTGTGTTTTTCGCTCCGAAACAGCAGCCACACAGCTGCAGGCTTTCAAGCCAGAGCAAGCATGCAGGAAATTAAACGCGTCCGTCTTTGCCAGTACCCCGGACCTCTGCTCAGCATCCATTTTAACCACACTTTATATATTTATATATACACAGACATATATATACATATACAAATTACCATGAAAAAGGCTGCAAACCTGACGCTGTAATTATGGGCTGCATCTGACCCTAGCAGGCACCTGCCAGGAAGAGGCAGGGTAAGCAGCTCTGCTACTAGGCATGTTAATTGATTCTCTTATTGAACTTGGTTATTAGCGGGCTCATCTTCCCGGGGAAAGTGATGGGGTCCTCACCTGTCAGACTCGGGGTGAAGCAGGAATGAGGCGGTGATGACTGCCTGCCGGGCCCTGGCCCTCCCAGCTTCCTGCACAGGACAGAGGAGATGCCAGGGAGCAGAGGTCCCTTTCCTGCCTGGGCAGGGGTGGGAAGCCCTGCTCTCCCAGCGGCTGGCCTCTGTCCTGCCTGGGGCGCAGCAGCTTTCTCCCTTGGCCCTGCTGCCTTGCCTTCCTTCCTCGGCTCTGCCCCTTCCTGGGCACCCATCCCTAGGGCTCACCCCACAGTGAGGGTCACTCCTCAGAGCCTTGGCCTGTCGCCTGTCCCAAGAATGTCTTTCTGGTGCCAGGCACTGCCCAAAACCAAAGGGCTGACAAAAACCTGGCCCTTTCCAGTTTCCAGGTCCTCATCCAAGGAAAAGGCGGGCAGGGGCCATCAGCCAGCGATTGGTGGGGAAGGGATTATTTTTCTGGGGCCCTGCAGACACTGCTCTGAGGCTGGGGCACAGGGCAACCCCTTGACTCCATTTGACCTCCAAGGCAGCCCAGGGAGCACATAACTTGCCCTATTTTATAAAAGGGGGGCCTGGAGCTCGGGAATGTGGCAGGACTGGCCAGAGACCACCGGGTTAGGAGCAGCCAGACCTGAAACTGAATCCCAGTCCTGCCGCCAAAGCTCATGCTCTGAACTGCCCTTCAACCTGCCTGCTACCCTTTCCACTCAAAGAATGAGCTGTGCTTCCAGGCTCTTCTTGGGCTCTGTCCACCCACCCGGTGACACAGGGTGTGTGCCCCTGAGGCTGCCTTGTCTCAGCTGCACTGTGGTGTCCAGGGAGCAGAGAAGGGTGAAGGTGAGGTCCAGAGGGGCTGAGGCACAGGGGTGGGCTGGCTTTGTCTCCTCACTGAGTACCCAGGGCCAACACCTTGAGCAGGAAGAAAAGCCCAGGCACCCTCAGCTCCAGCTCTGGACCCAGCCAGACCTGGGATGGGAACCCACAGCCTCTTCACAGCCGTGCACTCCGAAGGATGCTATTCAACCTCACGCAGGCTCAATGTCTCCCAAACACAGCCACTGGCATGCTCCTTTATGATTTCAGCCCCTTCTTCATCCTACCCAGACTACCACTTGCAAGACTGTTTTCTCTAAATCAACTCTAGGTGGACTTACTTTATAGAATTTAACCCACTCCTAGTCAATAATGACCGTGAAATCCCAGACTGCATGAGCAATAAAACATTTTCTAATACCTACCAAGGTCCGTAAACCCATAGCTATGAAAACAAAAAATACCTGCCCACAATCCATCAGAAATCTCCCACCAGTGGTGTGTAGACCTGACCCAGGTTGTGGCTGTATTGGAAACCCTTAGCACGGTGCCAACATGCAGTAGGCACTTCATAAATGGGGCTTCTTCTGTAATTGTAAGATAGACACCAAGAAGGCCTTGGAAGCCGATCTGGACCTGGGAATTGTCTTCTCCAGGACTTTCTCTAATCTCTCCCCATATTCCATATTCCCATCGTACCTTGTTGGCGTTGCTCCCTTCTCAGGTTCCTATAGCCTGCTAGCTGTTTGCGGTCACTCTGGCCTGTTTCCTCCCCCGCTCCCTGAGGGTCCTGTACCACATGTTAGCCCTGAGCCGCATCTCCTTTTGCAGGTTCTCTCGGGACACATAAGAACAGGACTCTGGGACAGTTGACCCACATACCTCTATCTCTGGATTGCAGGGAACCAATCTTCCCTCCAAGTCTAAAGAGATTCTTTGCACCGTTCTTGCTCCAAGGGCCTGAAATCACCCCTCTGTTTAATGACCAGATTCTTCCTTTAGTCTTTCCCTTCCTATAATTGTAGCACAAAATAAAGGTCCTGGAAAGGGGATGAGGTTGTGCCTGGGGGATCTTGGCCCTGATCCCTCCCCTGTCCCTGCAGAGCTCTGAGGATGAAGTGGGTGTTGGAGGCTCTATGTTCCCACTGGACAGTCCTGGGTTCTCCCCACAATGCAGTGATGTTCTGGGAGCTTCCAGTGTGCTCAAGAACCTGTTACTCCATGCAAAGCACTCAGAGACCCACTTCTGCTGCTCTTTCCCAGCACGGAGCTTCCGCCGGTGGGAGGCTCTGGGTGGGACTTTTAAATCATCCATGTTCACATGATCAGGAAGAGCAGAACTGCAATTTACCCCCTAATCATGGGAAACTATGTCCTGGTAAAACATCTATGAAACCAGAACAAAGATCAGGTTCCCTGCCACCATCACCTGCTCTTCTTTTTTCTGGGACCCCACATAGTTCCTTGGTCATGCATGTAACAACCTATGCTTGTAGGTGTAGTTGTGGTGGCCTCTGTTGGATACCTGTCACCACAATAGATTTCAAGCTTCCTGAGGGCAGGAACCACATCTGCTTCCTGGCATATCACTGACTCCTCAGCAGGGAGAACAGTGCCTGGGCATGGTAGGTGCTTGGTGGGCACTTGGTAAAGATTAGAAGGCAAAAGGGCAGTTGTTGAGGAGGTGGTGGTTAGCTAACGAAGACTCCCACTGTACAGCTGGCTCCAGTGTCCAGGGTCTCCCAGACACTAAAGACCTGTCAATGTAAGTTCTTTAGGCTCTTTTTTGGGTTACTAAAAAGTGCTCCCCTACGTTAAGGAGGCCAAATTGGACAATTTTAATTTCCCCCAAATGCTAGTATTCGAGAGCTCTGCAAAACCAGAGAGGTCAGGGTCAGTTGCCTGAATTACTATTGGATGTTATTAATAGGACCTTGAGTTATTAAGAAAAGGCAAAACGATGCTGAGTATGTTCTGTTCACTAAGGCAAGAAACTATGCGAAGTATCCGGCAATGATGTCCATCAAAAGGAAAGAAGTTTCAGTGCTCAGAGCAGTTTCTGCTTCCCCTCACTGGACAACTCACTTATCCCAAACACTTTGTGGCCTCAAATGTCTGACAGAGGTCATTGTTGTGGAGGCTCTGGATGCTTTTGCTGAATTTTGACATTCTTTAACCATGCTCACTTGAACTATTGATTAAAATCAGGAGTTCCCCTTGCAGTTCACTTTTTCAATAATGCTAATTTTAGGAATTAAGTTAAAACTGACAATGTGTCTGCTCCTAACATGTGTAATGACTTGAATCATGAAATTAGATAACTCATGAACTCCAGGATCAAACAGGTAATTGGGCCAAACACTGCCAATAAACTTGGCACCCAACTACAAGAACATGAAGCCCACCACACACTAAGGCCCTCAAAGACCCCTGTGTACACACTGGCTTCAAACCCCCAGCCAGGGGTTTCCTTCAGGGCCAGAAGGAAACTTTTCCAGTTAGGACAAATGAGTCATCTTGTTTTCAAAGTTCTTTGTATTACAAAGATATTCTACCCCAGATTATCATCATTCATTCCAGAGTTTAATATCCTGAGACATCAGGAAGTTGTCCACAGTATCTAAATTAAATTCTTTCTTCTGAAGCTCAGATCCATTTCCTTCTGAGTAGATAATAAACTGCCAGCCACAACTGTCTGTGCAATAACTAGAGATCCATAGATTTTTAGCATTATTCTGATCTAAACCCCTTTCAGAAGGAAACCACACTCCGAAGTGATCAAATGTCTTGAACAAGATTAATGGAGAGGTAAATGCATTGCTGGTCTTAGAGTCCAAGACTCCTGCAGCCCTCAATGGCCTCCACCCCCAGCCCGCTACCCATCGCCCTCTTGCAAGGAGCTTTACAGAGTAGGATAGAGGACACCAAGAGTGTCTGATGAAGGATGGGAACAGCCACATCACAAGGAAGGAAATTACAGTTGGCTTTGAAAGTCTATGAAGAGTTTCCCAGCCTCACTTATAATAAGAGCGATGCAGATGAGGTGTCTATCAGATTGGCTCCGTTACAGAGTCAGACAACACCCTGTGATTGCTCTGCATGAGAAACTCGATGCCCTTGAACATTGCTGATGGGAGTAGAAAGAGCAACTCATGCAGAGCTGTCAGCAGCATCCCTCTAGACTAAAAAGGGGTGTGCCCTTTGACTTGGCAACTCCTTGTCAAGGAATTCATCCCACAAACATTCTCACACTTGCCCAAAGATATGAGAAGAACACTATAGATGCAGAGTAAAAGGGTAATGGCTCTGTAAATTGGGGTTCACCCATACAAAGCTACAGGACATCACTGAGAATGAGTCAAGTCCATCTGCACTCATGCTGAACTGTTTGTCAAACACCCTGTTAATTGAGAAAAGCAAGGTACAGAAAAAAAAATGCACATTATATGTACTTATTTGCATAAAGAGTAAGAGGGTCATTATGCAAAATTATGCATAGAATATGTGTATGAATGGAATATCCCTAGAATGATGTTCAAAAGATTATTATCTATTGTCTCTGAGAAGGGGGACGGGAGAACCAGGAAAGGATAGAAATGGATTTTGGTGTCTCTCTTTTGCTATTTTTTGAAGCTGTTAGCATATGCTTGCACATCTCACGTAACACATTTATTCACACATTGACATGGCATAATATAGCATGCCAAGTTGATCATGGCCTTCAAAATCAGACAGGCCTGGCTTGAGGGCCAACTCTACCACTTCATGCCTACTGGTGACCAAGTCTCGGTTTCTTCATCTGTCAAATAGGGAGAATCCTGGTCTCACGAAGCTGCCGAGAGTTCAGTGTGCAGGAGGCTTGGGTCTTGGACAGCACACAGGGAATGGTGGTTGCTTTGCCAGCTGCCCTTGTGGAAGCAGCCGGGGGTGATTTTCTTTGCCTACATGTGAGTACACTCAGACAGCTGAGGTGTCTGACATGGTTTTACTTTTAAAGGTCAGAAGCAGATCTGAGGATTGCAAGGCCTCATCTGTTCCAGGAAGCACATGGTCTCAGCTGCTCCACAGACGCTTCCTGCTCCTCTTTGCTGGACTTAGAGCTCTCCTGGTGACTTCTCGACCACACTCCAGGATTGTTTGTTATGTCTTCACTGTTCTGCCCGTTTCATCTCGCGTCCAGGCCGTCCATCACTGAGGACATTCACAGAATGCTCCCCTGATCTCCTTTGCAGACAATGTTCAATGTGATCTTAGGCAAGTTTCTCAGCTACTAGCTCCACTTCTCCACTGTAGTTTGGAGATCTGATTTCAAACTTGGTGGCTGTGATACTTAAATGATGGAGTCAGTCTAGCATTGTGCAAGCAATCGAGAAATGGTCATCATCATCGCCATCACTATTGTCACCCTCCTCATCATTCTAAAATGTATTATGAGTGAGTTGGCTTGAAATGTCCCTCATGGGAGCCTGAGAGAGTAAGAAACAGGCAGGGGGCAAAAGGAACCCACGACATGATTTGCAGAGCTCTGGCAGCGTGCCAGGGAGCTGCTGTGAACGAGGCCAAGACCAGCAAGCTGACCTTTCCCTGCGCTTTGGGATTTTTAAGGAGTGAGATATTGAGGTCGAGGGGTGGCCCCCCTGTGGCTCAGGGCTGTCTATCAGGATTGACCTTGCACTGGGCAGTGGGGAAATAAATCGATCTTGCATCAATCACTATAACCTTTCCCCATGCCCGGCTGAGGCTCTTCTTGCCAGGTGGTGGCCATCTTAGCCAGCAGCAAGTGGCCTGGCCCAGCCGACTTGCCTGAGCAGATCCCTGCAACACACACCTGAATGGAGACTCCAGGCCCTTGGGAGTCAGCTGTGGGGCTTGGCTGTGGGCCCTGTGAGGCAAGGCCTTTGCAATCCTGACACGTGGTTCAATGGAGACAAAGGAGTCAACCTGGAGAACAGAGGACCTGCTACCTCCCCTTGTCCTTGCTTGATCCCTAACCGGACTGCTTAATCCAGAAACTGAGGGCTTTGAGGGGCTAGGACTTCCCACGAGGGCTATTCTGAGTGGCACATGGCCCTGCCCTCCCTGGCGGCACTTCTCTTTCTAAGGTGACCTCTGCTGTGTGTACTGAGACCCCTGCTAGCAGCTCCCCACTCATCCCAACTCATGGAGCCACCAGCTGTTTTTTGACTTTGTCCATAGAGTATCCCAGGTGAAAGCAACCAAGCTTAATCATAATACAATACTATCCTTTGTTTCATAAATTAAACCACAATGCCACACCATTACATTCACATAAGAATGACAAGAATTAAAAAGACCATTGAAACCAAGCCTTGGCAAGGATCTGGAGCAACAGGAACTCTCAGAAGCTGCTGAGAGTCATGGGAAATGGCACAACCACGTTGGAGCTTTCTGTTTTTAATAAAATCTATACAGTAATCATTGTGCAGCCCAGCAATTCCACTCCTAGGAGTTTATCCAAGAGAAATCAGAACATATGCACAAATTCCTGATGGTTTAATTCATAGCAGCCTCAAACTGCGAACAACCCACATATTCCTCAATAGCAGGATGGTAAACAGATTCAGGGATGTTCATACAATAAAATGCTAGCGAGAAAAAAAATAACAGGCCAAGCACAATGGGTCACACCTGTAATCCCATCACTTTGGGAGGCTGAGGTAGAAAGATTGCTTGAGCCCAGGAGTTTGAGACCAGCCTGGGCAACATAGTGAGACCCCATCTCTAAAAAAAATTTTTTTTAATTAGCTGGGCATGGTGCTGCACAGCTGTTGTGGTCCCAGCTATTCAGGAGGATGAGGCAGGAGGATCACTTGAATCCAGGAGGTTGAGGCTGCAGTGAGCCATGATTGTGCTACTGCACTCCAGCCTGGGCAGCAGACTGAGATTCTGCAGAAAGAAAAGAAAGAGAGAAAGGAAAGAAAGAAAGAACAAAAGAAAGAAGGGAAGAAAGAGAGAGAAGGAAAGAAGGAAAGAAGGATGGAAGGGAAAAGAAGGGAAGGGAAGAATGGAAGAAGAGAAGGGAAGGGAAGGGGAGAGAAAAAGGGCAGGTGGGTGGGAGAAAGGAAGACATAACCACTTGCTAATACAACACAGATGATTCTTAGAGCCTTAGGTGGAGTGACAGACCCAGGCATGAACGAGTACATCTGCATCATCCCACCCATATGAAGTTCTAGAACAGGCAAAATTAACCTGTAGTAAAGAAATCAGAATATTGTTTGCCTCTGAGTAGCCAGGGTTGAGGTGGTGTGATATCACCTGGAGGAGGAGGGGACAAGGGAACTTTCTGGAGTGATAAAACACCACACATCTTGATTGGGATGGTGATTACATGAGTATATACATAGAATTTATAAAACCGTAAACTTATAATTTGAGTATTCTATTGAATGTAAATATACCTCAAACAAACAAAAAAGTGGGGAAAGAACTTCACATTTCCCAAGGCCAGATTTTTACCCAGCTTCTTTATCAATGTCTCTGAAATTTCAATTGTATTCCCTCTGCATGCAAAGACCCCACTGGCAGGGTCCTTCTATCTTTCAAGTGTATGGACTTAAAAAGTGCATCCTTTAAACCATTTGCAGGAAAAAGGAAGCTGAGAATAGTTTAGAGCTATTCTGAAGATGTGGTTGACATGCATGGAATTGTTCTGTATACATTCACACTTCTGGATGTTTTATTGCCTAATAAGGAGAAAGTTATACATGCCATTTCTCAGCCTTGGAATTCCTGTTGGAGCAATATATCGAGGCAGAGGAGAGTCTGTGTTATCAGTGATGGAATTTTGTTTATGGGGGCAAAAGGTACCCTGGAGCCTGCCTGGTAGTCTGGTGTAAGGAACAGCTCTCAGGTGATTGATGAAATGGCTTAATTGCTCAAGAAGCTGGATGTGCTGGCTGTGCCCTAGCAGGGGCTGAGCCCTCCAGAGCCAGAACACAAACACCTCTGTGGAGTTTGTTGGAGTTGGTCTTGACCTTGCTGCCCATTCCCATCACTGAAAGTTTGCTTGTTCTGCCCCCTACCCCACCACAACTCCTACCCCACAACACTTTTTTTTTCTTCCTGAAAATGGGGTCTTGCCAGCTTGGGGGTTGCCCAAGCTGGTCTTGAACTCCTGGACTCAAGTGATCCTCCCACCTCTGGTTCCCTAAGTACTGGGATTACAGGAGTGAGCCCCACTCCTGCCCCCAACCCCCAAGGAGGAGGAGGAGGCATCTCCTCCTCTTTCCTGAAAAATTCACAAAGAAGTCTCACCTCTTTTGCCTGTTAGAACCTCGCTGTAGCCCTGAGAGATGGGGTCACTAGCTCCATCATGCAGGGAGAATGGTGAGGCTCCAGAGTGGCTGAGTAGAACCCGTGAAGCTCAAACAGTGAAGAGTGGTTGAGCCAGGCAACCACTCAGCATGTCGCCTCCATCGTCATTGCCCGCCGGCCCACTTCCCTCCAACTATGCAAATCCTCCATCTGCTTTTCTCCAGAAATCTCTACTCATGTCTCTGTCCAAGCTCTGTCTGCCTCCTTCCATAGTACAATTCCTTGAACTGTTTACCATTTGATGTGAGCTCATCTCATAACACCTGGTTGATTCTCAACGTTTTTGAAATCTGCTCCTGAATTTGAGTTCCCAGAGCTGAACTGATTTGGGGAGAAGGATGGAATGGGGCCACAGAATGCTTAATAATATGGATTGATTGACTGATTGATTCATACCCTATTGGCAACCTGTTTTATGAGTCTCCTGGGGCATACACTCTTCCTGATTAGCATTTTTACTCCATCAACTAAGGATGCTGTGTATGATCTCACCATGTCAGCTCAAGAGCAAGCTCTAACGAATGTTTACTGTCTGCTTTGGAAGTGTGCATGCTGATCCTGGATCCCAGTTTTGAGAGGCCAAGTTGTGAAATGTCAAATGCCACATGCAATGCAAACACACTGGGGAGAGCCTGTGTAAATCAATTACAATAAGGTCACTAGCATTTAGGTGAAGGCAGTGCTACTGAAGGTGATGAGATCTGGAGGGTTTTGCTCAACAACAAGGTCATTTTGCCTTCATCAATCTATCGACCATTTTTCTCCCTGGAACTAAACAATAAAGTATGTTGCCCAAGTAAAAATGCTGTGGTAAAATATCCTTATCACTCAAGTAAGGCTCCTAAAGTGTCAAGTAGGAGGATGGGGGGAGGGTAGAGACAGATGGCTCTGGAATCATTCTGTTTGTCCTGACGCCATGAAGTTTCTAGCAGGTGCTTGGGTTTCTGAAGTTCTGGGTCTCCTTCTTTGCCTCTAATTCAACACCCTCCTCCTACTTTGTCAGTACCATAGGTTGTTATTATTTTCCTTTCTTGATATTTTTAAAAATCCATGTGCTTGGGAAAGCCGACAGAGCAGAAGGGTGCCACCCTGTGAATGGGAATAACCCTGCCATGTAATAGAGGCCAAGTGTGGCTCTACCTCAGACCTTGGTGGCGTCTTCAGCTCTAGCCCCAACTTCAATCTTAAACCAAAGCCTGAATGAGCCACAGCCCAGCCCAGGCCGGCCCTGGCTGGCCCAGCAAAGTGGTCTCATCCCTCGCCATCACCCCAGATGGAGCTGCCGAATTCACAGAGAAGGCATGTGCTCTTCAAGCAGCCAACACTATTAACTCATGGAACAAGTAAATTAGATTCGTGATGCTAAAAATTAAAAATGATGCTAACTCTTCTTTCAAAATGCTGACCCTAAATACAAACTTAAATTAAAATGCATGGAAGAAGAGGATGAGAGAAGGCTGTAAGGAAAGTGGGACCCAGTGAAATTGGGGGCACGAGGCAGTAGCTCCCCACAACCCCATGCCCAAAGAAAACCCCCACTTTAGAAAGTCCTTAACGTGCAAATTTCTGACACCAAATGGAAGCACCAACATCAACAATAAAAGGTGAACTGTGACTGTAAATAATGTAAGCTTCTTAGGCCCCTCCAGGGCAGAGCAGGGCTCCTCTCTGGGTTGAAGCTGAAGGCACCTGCTCAGTGGCAGAGCCTCTAATTGGGAATGTAATGGGTCTCCAGTCCTGGGCTAACCAGCAGTCCCTGGGGCAGTGACGCAGGCTGCTCCCCTCCTGAATTCGCCTGAGCGCCAGCACAGAGTGGCCCTTCCTCACCATCTAGTTTCATTGTCTAAAAATGTGACTGAAATGACAGCAGGATACTCCCCCCTGGGGTCCAAAGGGGTGACTGTGGTGCTGAAAGGCTCTGTGGACACTGGGCCTTTGGAAATGGCCAAAGCAGCAGCCTCCTTTTCCATGAGAAAGAGCCCCAAAGATTAAGCAGATATGGCTTGTTTTGGCCAAGCAAACTTGGGAGTTGAAGGTATCGGGATAAAGGATGTCAAGTTTCACAGTTCTGAAAACAAGTTCATCTCCAGCCAGCTGAGGAAGTCCAGGCCAAGGTCACAATCTGGTTGTTCAGCTGTCTGCACACACAGGACGGAGGCACCCACGCCCCTGGCTGTGGGCCAGGAGAGGCTACTTTATCTGTGGTTTGTCTTCTCAACATGGGGATATCGGAAGCACGCATGGAAGAGGTCAGGGAGAGAGGAAGGAAAGAGACCTGCATGTGGGGAGCTAGGCTCTCTCCCCCTCTTCCCATCTCTTTCTCATTCTTCCAAGAAACGAGCCAATGGGAAGATTCTGTTGGTCAATACTGGAAAATCTAGCAGTGACTGAAGAGGCCCAATACAATACACGAAGGGCTACGTGGACACAGCGCCTGGGCCATCCGGTTCTGGGAGTCGCAGACACAGGACTGGTGGTGCAGGGTCTCCTCCAGGACAAGGGACAGCATGTGTCACCGCTTCCTCCTGGTGTGAATGTGGGAGCAAGAGAGGTTATGATCTTTAAACACAGGGACTAATTGACTCTTGGACATGTATTCAGTGTGGCCCGGCCTTCCTTTCTCCTTCTTGAGTGTCGAAGACTCATCCTGAATTGGGAGTCGGATTGTCTATCCCCAGACATGATCTGAGCATCAGTGTTCCCAGCCACCTTTCTTATAGGCTGTGCTGTAGCCACAGGGGCCTCCCCTGGCCTCCTCAAACATCCCAGAGCATGCTTGCCTCAAGGCCCTTGCATTTGTTCCTCCTCCAGCAACATGCTTCTGCACGAACTGTATGTTGCTCTAGTCCCAACACAACTGTCACTCCCTTGGGGAGGCTTCGTTAACCTCCCATCTGAAGCACCCCCCATCCAGGCAAGTACCCCTCAGCCGCATCATCTTGTTTATTCTCTTGTTCTATTCTCTTCATAGCACTAGCTGCTATCTGAAATTATCATGTTTATTTATTGGCTGACTTTATTCTCTGTCCCCACATGCTCCCTTGAATGGGGAGCCATATGAAGGCAGAAATCGTATCATTTTGCTTACCATCGTACCCTCAGTGTCTGAAAAATAATTGTTGTATTACTGAATGAATGAAGGGTTGTTTTGAGGGTGAAATTTATAATAGACACCAATGGGTTTTGTGTACTTGTCAATAAATGTCACATTTATTATTGTTGTCAGTTATTATATTACTTATTATAGATTAGGCATGATTCTTTAAATAAGGCATTACCGTTCCTGACTCCTTGTCAGGGGTGGCCAGGCTCTCTCCTCGCCTAAGTCACTCTCCCTCCAGGGAAGCTTCAGGACTCTCCGGTCTACTTTGCCCTGCCTCCTTGGAAAGCCTGTGTCATGCACTGTTTATACTCCCCAGCTAAATGGCCAGTCCCTTGCCTTGTATCTCTAAGTACATGAAAGGCTCTCAGTAGCAAGTTGATGAGAAGTAGGGTGACTATTAGATTTGTGCAAAATTTTCATTAATTTGAATGCGGTTTTGATGGCATAATAGCCATGGTCTATCCATATCCCAGCTTGGCCCCACTACCCCTTCCCAGCAAGGCTCCTGAAGGGGACCTACACATACAAAGAATACCATTAAAATGAGGATGAGGCAAACTTTATTATTACCTGGGCAAGCGTCTAATACCTCCCAATGCAGAGCTCTGGAAGAGTTTCAAGGGACACTATAGCTTAGGCTCAAGAAGTCTTATTTCACCTGGGAACCCAGTTTCAAATTTTACTGCTGGGCATTGCCAAATTGAAACAGTACATATTATATTAAGCAAGAGGATCAGAGGGAGATGTAGTCATTAATTTGTTGAATGCATTCATCCCCATCAAGAAGGAAGATCAAAAATAGTTTGTCATTCACTTGGCATGGACAACAGGGTACATTTACAGTCTTGCCTGAGCACTATATTAATTCTCCTGTTCTCTGTCCTTCTGAAGGAACCTGGATTATAGGGATATTCCACTGAACATCACATTGGTTCCGTGATATCTGACATATCATGCTAATTGGACTGGATGAGCAAGAAACGGCAAGTTGGAACTCTTGGGAAGGCACATGTGTTCCAAAGGATGGGAGAGCCTGACCTCTACAAAGGTCCAGCCATGTCAGTACAGTGGTCCAGTAGAGTGGTCCAGTCATCTGGGGGCATAACAGCACATCCTCTCCAAATAAAAAACAAATTATTGCATCTCATACTTTTTACCACAAAGATGAAAGGATAACACTGGAAGACCTCTGTGGGACCTGAAGATGCATGTTCCATACTTTGGAAAACTACTCCAACTAATTTAGTGAGTGGTACACAAGGCTGCCCATTCCAGTGGGGATCAAAGCAGAAAAAAGCTGTGCAGCAGGTCAAGGCTGCAGCATAAGTGGCCCTGCTGCTCAGATCATATGACCCAGCTGAACTTATTATACTAGAGGTGTCAGCAACAGGAAAAGATGGCATGGCAAATCCTAGTAAGAGAGTCACAGTGTAGGCCCACTTGGGTGCTGGAGCAAGGCCAACTGCAATAGAGAATTGTTGACCATTTTAAGAAGAGCTCCTGGTGACCTCCTCAGCCCTGGTGGAGATGTGGAGCCTGACTATGGATCATCAAGTGACCCTCAGGCAGAACTACCCACAGTAAGTTGGGTTCTCTTAGATCCATCAAGTCATAAAGTCAGGAAGATCCAGGAACAATGTATTCAAGATGGAAGTGGTACTTCGAGGATCAAGCACAAGCAGGAGCAGGGGGCACATGTAAGCCCCAGGAGCAGGAGGAAGTCTAGACTCCCTTGTCATCTACCATGGTGGCACCAGCCCCTCTCCCTTTGCTCAAAGCATTGCCAGCTGAAGACGGGGGTGGTTCCTTTATGATGAGCTGAAAAATGAGAAAAAATCCTGAGTTTGGTTCATGAGTGGGTTAATCGCATGTGAGTGAAAACCAAAAACAGATACCAGGTGCACCATATCACCACTCAGAAGTGACCCTGAAAGACAGCAGTGAAAGAAAATATTCCCAAAGGTACAGCAAAACTGCACAGCTTTGGGCAGTGCACCTGGCCATCCATTTTTGTTTGAAAAAAACAGTAGTTCAATGTAAGAATATACATGGACTCAGGGGCTGAGGTAAATAGCTTGACTTGTCAGTCAGAGGTCTTGAGAACAAAGACTTAAACATTTGGGACAAGGAGGTCTGAAAAAGAGGCTTCTGGAAGGACCCGTGAAAGTTGTCATACAGTGCTAAGATTGTTGTACTATATGTTCAGGATAGAGAGCATCTATCTTGGAAGCCACTAGAGCATCTATCTTGGAAGCCACTAGACAGCCAAGTAGACACAATGAGTAGGCCAGCTGACATCAGCTAGCATTTGTCATCAGCTACTGTTGATGGCACCATGAGTTCATTAATGGAATAGCTATGGTAGCACAGGTAGAAGCTACACATGAGCCCAACAGCATGAACTCCCCACTTACCAAGGTTGATCTAGCTACTGCTACCACCAAATATCCATCCTACAAAAATCTACCCATATCAGTATAGTGGCTCAATCATCTGGGGAGACACACACAGAGCTTCTAATATGCCCTTTAGCTTCTAATATGCCCTTGAGAACACCACCAACCAGCTACTTGGTGGCAAGTTGATTCCACAGGACACTTTCCACCTTCAAAAGGGCAGCAATTTCTCTTGATTGGGGTTAACATATTCAGGATATGGGTTTGCCTTTACTGTGCCTCAGCGAGCCCTACACTCTGAATGCTAACACAGTATTTGATCTGACAGTACAGGATCCCGCATATATCACATTATACTAAGGACTCTTCAGAAAAGGAGTTCTGGTGTTAGGCATATGGTTGTTGAATGCCTGGTGTTAGGCATATGGTTGAATCCTGGAGGAGCCAAGTAAGTGAATCAGAAGGGTGAAGCGTAGTGGATGCTCTGGTGCATGACCTGGGGCCTGCCTTTTGGGCCTGTTGGACAGAAGCCCTCAGTCTCCCAGCTGCTGCAAGTGTTAAAATGTGAGAGCTCTCAACTGAGTCCCTCTCCAGGCATTGCCCTTGGCTGAAAAAGATGCTTCATCCCTAATCAGGCCTTTCCCCCAGGGACAGTGTGCACCCAATGACTGATAATGAGAGCTATAAAGACAGACTCCTTGCCTCAAGACAAGACAACTTGAATGGCTATCCCAGCTCCAGAGCTCCCCATGGGATCGGCAGAGGTTGCAACTCTGTCTCAGTTTGACTCCTCTTGCTGCCTGATCATTCTTTGTTCACTCTTCCATAGGTGTTGATCCTGAAGGCACATCTCAGCAATTTTTCTGCACGTAAAACACCAGCTCAGAATCTGTTGCCCAGGGAAACTGACCTCAGACAACAACCATCTGCTACTCATTTATCAATTCAATATTCAATTATCTACCCAGTCATCCAAACCTCTATCCTAACAACTTTCCATTTATCCATCCAACCATATATCTGACCATCCACCCATATGTCCATCCATCCATCCATCCATCCATCAGTCCATCTGTCCAACATCCGAATATCTATCCAACCATTCAATCACCCAACCTTCTAGTAACCAACATTTTATTTATCCAGACATTAATCCATTCATCCACTTAACCACCCATCCAATCAACCATTCATCCATCTATCCATCCATCTATCCATTTATCCATCATACAAATATATATTTTGCAAGCACTATAGACTAGACACTTCTAGTGGATATAAGGGTAGAAAAGACAGACCTGGCCTTCTTGGAACTATTTTCCTAGTGATAAAATCCAACAAAAATTCAGTACCTATTTTGTGCTGAGCCCTGAAAACATAGACAAAAAACAGTCCCAGGAGGCAAAGGGTTCCCAGTCTAGAGGAAGAGACAGATACAAGTAAGCAACTGTCATAGAACTCCCAGTATGGAGATGAAGGAAGTTCAGAATCTGTAGAAGCATCAAAAAGCCCCTAACCCCAACTAGCAAGTCCCAAAAAGGCTAGCTGGGAGAAATGACGTCTAGGTTCTGACAGGTGAGTAGAAGAAGCCAAGTAAAAACACAGTAGTGGAAGCACAGGCATGTGTACTGCCACTCTGTGTCTAGAACAGTATGTAGCACATGGTAGAATCAATAAGAATTTGTGGAATGAATGCTGGATGAAAGTGAGAGAGGGTGAGAGGGAGAGAATGAAGAGAGGAACAGAACTTTCAGGAAACTTAAAATTCCTGCTTGGCACAGGGTCTCTTTCAGTAACAACAGTTTGCCATTTCTAAAATGAGATGGTAATACTACCTGCCTTATATGCCTGTGACCAGAATTACAGCACTTAAAACACAAGTGGCCTGGAACATAATGATACTTGATGTTTTTATTAATAATTACAAGTAATATAATTGATCACAATAATGAAATAATACCATGTAATAATAATCATTGCTGATAGTACATAGCTATTCTAATTGTCATAACTCGCCATCATTGTAGGTGATATTTTTCTGCACCCAGCTTTGTAAGAGGGATTTGCTCAGGGAGCCCAGAAGAGGCACATTGCCTTGGGATTTCTCTCTCCCCAGTGTAGGACAGTGTCTGAGTGACGTGGAGTAGCCCCCGACAGGAGGACTCACGAGGCTTGAGGAGGACCTGCCGCGTGTCTGGCCTCATGCCACTGGGTGGGTGGCAGTGGAAAGACATGGGAGAGCAGGTGCCCCTGACACAAGGCAGGCCGCAACCCACAGCTGCAGGAGAGAACATCCTCCTCTCCCTTAATAGTGCCATTACGGCTGTCACCCATGAATTTTGCTAAAACCTTTCGGGAAATTGTTTATATTTTCAGCTGAACAACCTCTTGGGGTAATGAGTTTCCATAACAACTAATGGGTGGCCAGCGTGCTTCCGCCCTGGGCTGGGGACCGCGTGCTCTTTGATTCGCATCAGCAGCGGCTGATGGCCCCTCAAGTGGTTCCTGTTTGCTGTCTCCCAGCATTGCGGCAGGTAGGCGGGGTGCAGCACAGGGCACAGGCCCCTGGGCCTCAGTGCCTCCGACGTGCCAGTTCCGGCTGTGGCGGCGGGGGGGTTGCGGTGTGCCTGGGCCTTTGGCTTTGCCCCGACCACCCTCTAACAGGGCTCTGCCCGCTCTTGGAGGTGAAGGGTACACTTGTGCCTGGAAGCTGATGGAAAGGGCTTCTGAATGGACTGCAAGCAACTGGCTCAGTGGTCACCTCTGAAGTCAAATAAAGGGAAAAGTTTGGAGCACAAGAAAATGAGTACATAGATCAAAGTGTCCATGTCCCATGTCCATGTCTGGCATTTTCTCTGCCTTATGTCCCTGATGGTGGGGGAAGAGAAGGGAACAGATTTACAGAGACCCGGACAGCTCACCTCCAATAGGAGCCATATATCCCAGTGGACTGGACGCACCCAACACGGAGGCAGCAGCCGAGACTTACACCGCAAGGCCTTGGCTGGCTCTATTGGGCCAGGACCCCATACTGGGAGTGCGGGGTAGGGGCAGGTTGAATTCAGTTTCCAGAGTCAGGCCCCTGTCAGAGGGGGGAAGTGATTGTGAAATATTTTAAATGCACAGAGATGAGCTGATGGACAGGTCTTAATGAAGGATTAAATGGACACGTTTAAGAGCCTGGAAAGCACCAGGCAGAGTTCCATGGCCCCAGAATAACTGCATTGTCTCTGACCTTTTCTGTCTTGGGAACATGCACAGCTTTAGCTGAAAGAACTGAGCTCATGGCACCAGTTTCAACCCCTCGCTTCCGGGGCCTCAGTTCTGGACAAGGCCAGGTTGTCCCATTGCCCCAGAGGGCCCTTTGGCTGAACTCAGAAGCCTCATGGCACCAGCTACCTTCTTTTCAAATCCAAAGCTGCCTGGAGGTGCCCCCAGCGTGGACAAGGGCAGCCTGAGGACTCCACTAATAGCTATGGGAGGATCACTCACTTTAGGATCAGCCTGCCAGGACCTCTGCTCCCTCATGTGTAAAATGAGCAGCTCCAGAGAGCTGAACCCAGACTCACAAAGTGTCACTGCTGAGCGGGCTCCACAGCACTGCCTCTCATGCATTCATGCACTCACGTGACCTACTCCGTGCCAGGCCAGGGGCTCGGTGTGGAGATGCAGGGCTGGAAGAGCACATCCTGGTGCAGCAGGCAGTTCGTAAGCAGGTAAACAAACAAAAAGAATAAAACTTCAGGCTGAGATAAGGGCTGCACAGAAACTCAAGTAAGTGATACTATAGGAGGGAGACCAGGGGCTGCCTCGCACATGACGGCCCGGGGAGGTGATGGCAGGCCTGGGAATTGAAGAGGACCATGGGGTTGAGCATGGACGGATGAGAGCATCCAGGCAGCACAAACAGGATAGGCAAAGGCCCTGGGGCAGCCACTCCCGTGAGAGTAGCACAGGCTGAAAGAAGGCCAGGGTGACTTAGCAGAGTCTGGGAAAGACTAGCCTGGCATGCGGACGAAGACGGAGGAGGATCCTGCGGCCAAAGTCCCAACTCTGGGTTTCACTCTGAGTTGGGGGAGCTGCTGGGGAATTCTGAGCCAGTTTACACTTTATTTTGTTTGTTTTTGTTTGTTTATCTATTTATATTGAGACAGAGTCTTGCTCTGTTGCCCAGGCTGGAGTACAGCGGTGCAATCTCAGCTCACTGCAACCTCTGCCTCCCGGGTTTAAGCGTTTCTCCTGCCTCAGCCTCCTGAGTAGCTGGGATTACAGGCACATGCTACCATGCCTGGCTAATTTTTATATTTTTAGTAGAGACAGGGTTTTGCCACGTTGGCCGGGCTGGTCTCAAACGCCTGACAAGTGATCCACTCGCCTTGGCCTTCCGAAGTGCTGGGATTACAGGTGTGAGCCACTGTGCCCAGCTGGTTTACACTTTAAAATTCACATGGTGAAGAGCAGATGTTTGACCCAAAGAGTCAATGACCCCTGGAGAGTCTGAGTCAGTCACCCTGGGCAGACTGGGCTACCCACATTTCCACAGAGTCCCAGCTCAGGGCATAGGCTGACAGCTCTGTAGCCCCTGGACCCTCCATCCTGAGGCCCAGAAGGGTGAGCGACTCTCCCAAGGCAACTCCAGGGCTTTGGGCTCCTCGGCATTTTCTCAGCACCAAGGCCAAGCTATACCCACAAAGCCAAGACACAGGAAGCAAAAAACTTTCTGGGCCTCCGTTAATTGTGCCTCAAGCAGGAGGGAAGAAAATAGAGCTCAGAAATGATGAGGGGTCGATGAGCAGCACACAATTGGGCTTAAGAAAGAAAAATCCATTTGTGCTTCTTCTTCTCAGGAAGAGGGCCACGTGGAGTCTGAATCACTCTTCTGGGCCATTTGGTTTTGACTTCAAATCAGAAAATTGTAGTCATTACAACCCCAGGACTGATTGGCATGAAAGGAACAGCAGGTCCGCGCCTCGGCCTTTGTGTGCTCCAAGTCTGAATGGAGAGCATTTCCTCCGTGGTGGGTGGGGGTATCCGCGAGGGTGGTGAGGAGAAAGGGCGAAGGGTGGGCACCCTCAAGGGTGAACGACCTAGCAAATGGCTTTCCCAATGCATCTGAGCCCGGCTCATTCAGGTCTGACATGTGCAGACATACTGCACGCTGTGGATGTTAAAAGGGGTCCTGTTGGGGCTGCGTTCTTCATTCCTGTAGGCCCTGACCCCAAGACCACAGACATGCTCCATTCCCTCACCCCACTGCTTTGTGGTAATTACCCATTGATCATCTTCAGGCTTTAACCTTAATCCCCTTAAGCCTCAGCAAATAGCCCCTAATTCGCAATCATCTGAAATGCTATTGATTTTTTAAAAATTTAACTTGCAGTAAATTTCCACCACCACTGCCACCCAGAGGGAAGCGGGATGATTTCAGGACCCTCCCCAGAGCCATTAAAGCAACCCCTCCCCCCTAAAAAAATCCCGTCTCCCAAGCACAAAACAGGCACATTTCATTATTTATTGTAGCTCGATGACCTTTTACATTCTTAACAGCTCCAAGAACAAAGCCAAATCCCCAGTGTGCCTTAGTTTTGCAATTTGTTATTAATTTGAAGCCATCGGATGTAAAGAGTCACAGAGCTTTCCCTTCGGTGTGTTGGGGCCTTCTGGTGCCCCCCACCCTGTACGTGGTGGGAGGTGGGCTTCCATTTGTCAGTAGATCTCTCCTGCCCCGGCTGTCCCAGGTCAGGCAGCCACGTGTTTTCTGCCCACATTACCAGACTGGAAGTCACAGTGACTCCCCACTCATCCCATTCCATCAGGGTCCACACACAGGAAGGCACTCTGTGAGATACAGATACACACACACACACACACACACACACACACACACACACACGCAGCAGGAGAGCGAATGTGAGCATGAAAGAGCACTCTGCCCTTTGTATATCATCTTTAGAAGAGATAAATTAGCAAGACAACATTTTTACCACCAGCTGTAAGTGTAGTTTAAGGGCTAACTTCGTCCACAAGTGAAGTCTCTCCCATATTAATCACATTCCCAAAGGATAGGGGTGTTTGAAAACCTAGAGAGGCAGGCAGGGGTGCAGCTTTGGAGTTTGACCTTCATGCAGCTCTGTGTGGTCACCTAGGCAAGTCCCTTACCCCTTTCTACGATTTGGTTCCCTCATTTATGAAAAGGGGATAATAATACTGACAACACTGCATAGAACAACACACACATATACAAATAGTGCATGGAAAACGGTGAAATCGGAAAAAGAGCTGTAGCTTGAACCAATGCTAATATCTTGCTTTTGATAATCTACAATCACATAAGGTGTCACCACTGGGGGAACCTGGGGAAAGGATACATGGGACCCCTCTACTATGTTTGTAATTTCCTGTGTATCTGTCGTTATTTCAAAATTAAAATGTTGGGGTTTTTTAAAGGCATAAAAACAGCACTGATTTCACAAGTTTTTAGAGGGAATTTAGGGAGCTAAGTCAATGTTGAGTGCTTACCGCCAAGCCTGGCATCCATGTGTGCTTAATAAATAGGATTTATTTGTGATCTATCACTCTATTTGTTTAAACCCCCAGCAGCTCCTTTTCTCATTAGGAGTGTCCAGAGAATCAGAATGGTGTTTGTTGAAAGGGTGTCTGTCGAGCTTGGCAAAAGCAAAACTTTTCTTTTGTGATGGTTCATTTATTCTCAAGGTTAATTGTTGCTAATTGCACTATTACATTGCCAACAGGAGTGTCAACACCAGCCCAATTAGACGTGCTGATTGCTGATTGGCTCTGGCAAGGTGGGTTGGAAGCCGGTCCTTCAGGCAGTTTGGGGTCCATGAAACAAGACTACCCAAGTCTAAATGAGGGAGGAAGCGTGCGGTCTGCTGGTCAGTGTTGTGCTCAAATTCTTCTTGTTTTCCCTCTTACCCCTTAGGAATTCAAATCTCCTCTGTGCCTTTGCAAAGCAACATCCATCTTGAACATAAATGAGGTTCTGGCTTGATTTCTGGGCTTGGGCATCAGACATCTCCCTTTTGCGGACACCTACAGCTCTGTTCTTGAATTTTGTGATTGCGGATAAGCACCCGCTCCTTCTTTTTAAGTCCTTTGGCAGATAGTCATTCATGCTTACAGGATGACCCAGGCAAAGCTAAACACAGATCTGGGCTCCAATCCCACCATGGCTGTGTGACCTAGTGGAAGTTCCTTAACCTCTCTGAGCCTCAGCTTTCTTTTCCACAGATTGCTGATTAAAACACTTACTTTAGTGTTAACACAAGGGAAAGCTGGGCGTGGAGGTCTATGAGAATTCTCTATACTATTTTTGCAACTCTTTTGTGAATATGAAATAATCTAAACTAGAAGATTTAAAAAAAAAAACAAACCCAAACACGTGCTTCCTAGGCTTTCTGAGGACTGGAGATGGCAAATGTGCGGTGCCCGGCATGGAATAGGTGTTCATCAGCTTTGACACAGTGGAGGGACACGGCCCAACCATCACGCCAGCCTGTACTCTTTCTCTTTCTTTTCCCTGCTGCAGCCTGTGCCACAGATTAGGAAAACACATTGAAGCAATGCTGAAGGGGCAATAGGAGTGGAAGGAGGTTATCGAGTATGAAACAGTACCCTTGATACAGTGGGGAGAGGAGTGTTTCTCCACTTGGAATTATAATCACAACCTTAAACACAAGTTTCGACCGCCAACTGACTGCTGCCTCCCTCTCTCACCAAGGGCTGGAGGCCACTGCAGAGCAAGACAAGGTGGGTCTGGCACAAGATCCATCCTAAATCCAGCGAGAACAAAGAAGGCTCAGCATCCTCCCCTGTGGCTGATCCTGCTATAATGCTCCCTGGCAAGCTCAATGCTTTGTGTCATTCTGGAGCTCGGGGAAAGGTGAAAAATACCATGCATCCATGTTAGCTATTAAAGCACGAGGAGTCCCTGAGTGTATTTACAGGGGGGAGTTGGCGAGGGAAAGGCAATTCCATTAAACAAAGGGCAGGACACAGAGGAAGTTTGGAAGGAGGGTCGATGGCTGAAATGCTTCATCCAAATACAATTCCGTCTCCCACCTGGAGGCTGCAGAAAAGCTGTGTCCAGCAAGAGATTTACAACCCCAAGCATTGCCTCCACTGGGTAATAAACTGTGCTCTCTAATCAATATCAGCGCTGGGCTGTCTGTCTGCAGCATAGATTCCCATTTAGCAAAGCCACTGAGTAATGGAAAACGCAATCGAGTTGCATAATGAGTCTGGGTAATTGGATGGACTGGGCAGAATGGTCCAGCTAAGTATATTCAGTCCGGCACATTAATTAAAAACTTGACACTTCAAGCGCCACCCAAAGTGCCCCATTAATTATTCTGTGAATCCAAAGGTCAGATGTAGTGGATGAGTTACAAGACGATGATAAAATTGCTTGGCTCCGGGGCCATCACAAGAGCATGCATTGCACCGAGGCCTGGACTCACCTGTAGCTTCAGTGGGAGTTGAACAGGCAGCCCTCTTCGCACTGGTGCCCTGCCAGTGCCGGATCCAAGAGGAAGGACTGAGGCTGCCCAAGGTGCTGACACCAGCGCGGCCCTGCTTGTGAGTGAGCTCGCCCATCTCCGCTTTCATCTCAGAGATCTGCAGGCACAGACAGGTAAAGGAATTTGCCCACAGTCAGAAATCAGCAGATGAGAATTCAAACCCAGACCGTGAAGAATCAGAGCCACAGCAAGGTTATTACATGCAAGGAGAAACAAATTTTGTGCTTAAAGTAAAAAGCAGAGTGGCATTTCTTCTGTAATGTAAGCAGCTGTGTGACTTTGGGCAAGTTGCTTCACCTCTGTAGGCCTCTGTTTGCCTGTCTGTAATAAACAGATCCCCCATCTCTGGGACTTCAAAAGAGGAGAGGACGGTCAGCAGGGGTGGCCTGCTCAGAAGGGCCATACTTCATCCCCAATGTCCCTCAACAACTCCAAGGGCAATGCCACCCCAGACCTCACTGCCAGGCCTTCCAGAGTCCAACAAACTCGTGTCCCATGACCACAGCTTGTTCCCTTGATCTATGTGCACCTGGGGATGCTGGTGGCTGGGAGGTGAGTTCATGAGGCCTCAGATCCGCCCTTGAAGTCAGTACTGTCATTCACCCATTCTTCAGACGAGGACACAGAGGCCTGGGAAGAGTCAGCAAGGACAGAAGCTGGGTTCACAGCCCCTCAGGCCAGCTCCAGAGGCCTCAATCTTCACCAGCAATGTGCCTCTGGGCTTGAGAAGATTGGACAGGAAGAACACAGGAAGCTCCAAGAAAAAAGAACTGAAACTGCACCAAGAGTCAATGATCTGCTGCCTCCTCAGACGTGCAGCAATCTGACAACATCCATCAAAATTAAAAGCGCGTGCACCCTTGACTTCACAATGGCCTTCTAGGAATTTACCCTCCCAACGCACTAGTGCACGTGTCTAAGATACAAGGTTCTGCCGTAGCAGAACTGCTTACGGCAATGAGTTTATGGCCGCCCACACCCCCAGCCTCAAGTGAGGAGGCTCCAACTCCACAGCAGGTTGGCAGGGGCTGAGCTGTGCCCCTCCACTCAATGGAAATATTTCCTGGACCAAAACGGAACTGCACCAGGGACCAAGACAGACAGGACCTCCTCCACCCCGTGGAAGGTAACATGGAGAGAGGTCCCAGTGGATCCACCAGAGAAAAGGAATGTCCATCTTATCTTTCACCTAGAGTGGGATCCAGTGCAAACCAGCACACACAGGAGGATCCACTGTAGTTGCTGGAATGTAAGATGGACATACCGTGTGTGTATGTATGGGAAACTTCTGGAAAATGCAATGTTGGGATGAAGGAGGTAGGAGGCTTTTTCTTCCTATTCTTATGTCCTTCAGTCATGGTTCATTTGGTTTTGCACTCTCATGAGCATATATTATTTTATACTTAAAAAAAAGGGATTGCATTTCAAAACTTCCATGACCAGCTCTGAAGTCAGTGGATCAGAGGGAATTCCCTGCTCACTCCTGGAACAGACCCCCTGCCCGACCTCCCTGGGCTCTGAGGGAACCACACCAGGACCAAGTTCAGAAGCTGACAGATGCCAGTCAGTGAGCCCCAAGTCCGTGCTCTGAGCCTAGCTAGCACTCAAGCTTAGGACAGCATAACTATTTATTTAACTGATGGCTGCTGTCTTCATTCAAATGATGCTTGCCGTGTTAGAAATGAATGCCCATTGACTCTGTCACTGTGACAAAGTGCACCTGTGTTTATCCCTCTGCTGCCAAGTCTGCATGTTCAATATTTTGTCCATCAATTTTTAACTTTTTTAAAAAATGGGACTTTGGTGAGGGAATGAAGAGGCCATCACTTTCCCAGGCAGATAGCCTTTCTGCCTCCATCCTCTCCTGGGGTTCTGCTTGAAGCCTGGTAGAGTCACATCCCCATGGGCCTTGACACTCAGAGGCCATGCTCTCCCAAAGCTCTGGCTTTCTAACAGCCAGGGGACACTCCTGCTTGGGCTGAGACTTGTGCAGCTCTAGTAGGAATGTCCCTCTGTGCTTAGAAAACACCCAAAGCTTGCCACGGCATCCAGGCTGCCTACTGCACCCCTCACTCAGCCTTCTTGGGCCACCAGGTGCCCATTCCATGCCAAGCTTTGTCTCCTCAACAAAGTTGCTCTGCTTGAGCCAGTGAATTCTGTCTCCAGGAGGCTGTGTCATGGCTTTGTCTTCTACAAGCTCATGCCCTGGAGGGAAGGACAGAGTGACTCTGACATGTCAGCCCATTCAGTCATTCATTCCTCAACTCTAATAAATTTCCTGCTGAGTGTCAGGTACTGGACTGGATTTGGGGAATCTGGTGATGAACACATCAGATGGGGCCGGGCGCAGTGGCTCACACCTGTAATCCCAGCACTTTGGGAGGCCGAGGCAGGAAGATCACTTGAAGCCAGAGTTCAGGACCAGCCTGGCCAACATGCTGAAACCCCGTCTCCACTAAACATAAAAAAATTAGCCAAGTGTGGTGGCGCATGCCTGTAATCCCAGCTACTCGGGAGGCTGAGGCAGGAGAACCGCTTGAACCCAGGAGGCAGAGGTGGCAGTGAGCCGAGATCACACCACTGCACTCCAGCCTGGGCCTGTCTCCAAAAAAAAAAAAACAGAAAAAAAACACCACACACACACACTCTCCCCACAGGGCTCAGCTCAGTGAAGGAGCAGTGGGAAGGAGAAGGGTTTCCCTAGTGCAACCAGAGCTCCTGGTGAACACCCTTGCCCTGCCTCCCGCCCCACCTCCACTGCAGTGCCAGAAGCAAAATGGTGCCCAGCACAGGCAAACAGCCAGGGCCAGATGGAAGAGAGGGCTGCCAAGGAGCTGCAGACGTTGAGCAGCTTCCTGGGGCTGCAGTATAGGATCCCGGGCTGCACTGACACCACTGCAGGTGGTGTTTCCTGTCCTGTTTCCAGCACTGCCACACTGCCAGTGCTTACTGGCACTCCCTTGGGGACACGTTCCTTGACTCCAGTTCTCCAGGACCTTGTTTGCCCTTAACTTCTCAGGGCCTCTACTTCCTTATTTGAATACTGGGATGGAAACAGCTGCCATTTTGAGTGTCACTGCATGCCTGGCTGTCTGCTAAGCCCTCTCTGTGCCTTGCCCCTGTGGGGCACCCCAGCAACCTGCATGATGGGCTACGCCTTTGCCCCCACAACACAATGAAGAAACGATATCCTGATCCCTCCACCAGGATGGGATGAGGACTGACTGAGATGGTGTGTGAGAAAGCCTGGGCTTGCCTTGGGAAGGCCCAGTGACAGCTTCCTTCCTTCCTTCTGAAGGATCTGCTGGAGGGCACATGCCCGCCCACATCTGGTTAGCGTGAAATACACCATCGATGACCTGACCCTGCAGCTCCCACCACGTCTGGGATGTGGCCTTGGAGGAGTGCCCAGAGGGCTCCCCTCTAGAATTCTAGCACTGTGCCATAAGTAACCCCAGATGCAGGTCCCCTGGATCTTCACAGAGCAACTCCAAGCCCACCCCCAGGACACCACGTGGCAGCCACAGGGGCCAACCTCCACCCTCTGGAGGAAACCCCCTGGTATTTCTTCATGGCCTTTAGTTCCTTAGAATGTGAGCCCTGGTTCCTATGAGCAGGAGGAAACGGAGAGAGAAGAGACAGGACAGGACAGAGGGGAGAGAGAGGAGAGAGGGGAGAGAGAGAGGATAGAGAGGGGACAGAGGAGAGACAGATGGGAGAGAGGGGAGAGGGAGGGAAGAGAGTGGAAGAAGAAGAGGGGGAGAGGGAGAGATGGGAGTGGGGGAGAGAGGAGAGAAAAAGAGGGGAGGGAAAGATAGGGGAAGAAAAGAGAGTGGAGGAAAAGGGGGGAGGAGAAGAGAGGGGAGGAAATGAGAGGGGAGGAAAAGAGGGGAGGAAAAGAGAGGGGAGAAGGAGAGAGGGGAGTCGGGGAGGAGGAGAGAGGAGAGGAAAAGAGGAGAGGAGAAGAGAGGGGGGGGAGAGGGAGAGAAGAGGGGGGAGAGGGAGAGAGGAGGGGGGAGAGGGAGAGAGGAGGGGGGGAGAGGGAGAGAGGAGGGGGGAGAGGGACAGAGGAGGGAGGAGGAGAGGGACAGAGGAGGGAGGGAGAGAGGAGGGAGGGGGGAGATAGGGAGAGGAGGGAGGGGGACAGAGGGAGAGAGGGGAGAGGGGGAGAGGGAGAGGGGGAAAGGGGGAGAGGGGGAGAGGAAGAGAGGGGAGGGGGAGAGGAAGAGAGGGGAGGGGGAGAGGAAGAGAGGGGAGAGGGAGAGAGGCAGAGAGGGAGAGAGGGAGGGAGAGGGAGAGAGGGAGAGGGAGTGAGAGAGAGGGAGAGAGGGGAGAGAGGGGAGATGGGGAGAGAGACAGAGAGGGTTGCATTCATCACAAAGACAACGGTAAGCAGAGAAGAGGAAGCCTGGCCCAGCTCAAACTCCCAACTTCCACAGTAGCTGAGTGTGGTGGGGGAGACAGGCAGAGGTCATTGGAAAGGCCCAGCGGCATCTCCCTCTTGCTTTCCTGGATCCCAGCAGTTACTTGGTGAATGTTCCTGTGGCTCTTGAAGCCATCCCCAAGTCCCAGCGATAACATCCGTGACAAGGAGGGTCCCTTGAGAACTCCCGCTGTCCCCACTCCTGTGCACCATTAATACTACTACTACTAAGGATATTAGAAATAGCCACAGTCCCCGTGGCTCTTGTCCTGCCTGAGGCACGGTGATCATTCCACTGAGTGCTCACCTCAGCCCCACGGGAAGAGGCTGCGTGGTCGCGTCCACTTTTGAGATGAGCAAGCTGAGGCTCCGTGAGTTCCGTGGCTGCCGCCCAAGGTCATAGAGCGAGGAGAGGCAGGACTAAAGTCGTGCAGCGTGGGAGCCCATGGCCTTAACGCCCGTGGAGCCGTGTTCACCCGTCTCATTTACTTTATTCACTTGGCCCCTTGGAGGTGCCAGGCCTGGGAGTGCTGGGGTCTGTGCTCTCTGGGGTGACTGTCCACTGGGAGGAGACCCACCCGCCGCAGCAACTACGTGACTGGAAACACAGCAGGTGGGGCCCATCTTCCTAGGAGGAGTCACGAGGAAGGCCTGCCTCCTGCACTAGAGTGGCTGCACCTGAAACCAGGAAGCCTCAGGCTCCTGACAGCCCCCAGGCTTGGTGCTGGGAGTTACGGAAGCCAAAACCCAGCCTGTTCATATTGATCTCAGCTTTACCAGGTGATGCAATGAATACCTTTGTATAATTGTGCTTGATTGAGGAGGAAATGGGCTTTTATCACAAAAGGCAAAGATCCGATTTTGCATTTTAATTTCAAAGTTTTCTTCATCTAAAAGAGCAAAACAAAAAGCCTAAAGGGGGTATTTAGGATGAGGCAATAAGTGGTAAGCTGAGAGTGGAGGGTGCGCACTCCAGGCAGACAGAAAAGCAGGTAGGACTTTGCGGGGCCCTGCTGGGTGCACGCACGCAGGCATGACCGGTCGGCCCCGTGTACACAAGGCAAATGAGGCACAATGGCACTGCAGAAAATGCCCAGCAACAAGGCCACCCTGTTCTAAAGTGGGCACGATTCAGGCCTGGCCTAGGGTCTGAATCCCTGCCCTGTGACCTGGGAAGTTCTCAGACCTGGTGTCCTCATCCATCAAGTGGGGCAGCCGCGAGAGTTCCATGAAGCCCAGTCGGCCCAGAGGAATAGTGGAGGAAAGCCGCATGAGGGTTGGGAACCGTCTCCTCCCCAGGCTTCCATCCTTTCTGGCCCCATCCACCACCCCAGGCCTCACCTGTCACTGACAGCAAGCAGAAGACACACACACACCAGGGGCGTGCACTGGGTTAGATTCTGTGATGAGAAAATTGCTGCCACCTTGATCAATAAATGAAGCCATGGCTGCCAGGCGCAGAGCCTGGGCGATCCAGAGCAGGGGAAAAGGGCCTGTTCCCCAGGCTGTCAAGCTCCTCATAGCTAGGGAGAATCTCAGGCCACATCTCAAGAGGGGCAAGAACTAGCCAGGCTCCTACTTCTCCCCATGGACGAAATTCACCTCCACGTGTCCATATGCCAGCTGGATGGCACTGTGGGACTCCCCCAGGGCTGTGCTGAGGTCCAAGCCAGCCCCAAAGCATAGGAGAGGTCCTTATGGCTGGGTCCACCTGTCCACACGGCTCACCAGAGAGGTGCCCGTTGCCCCATTGTTGAGACCAGGCTGATACTGCTCCTACAAGCATCTGACCTCTCTCATGTGGCCCGTCATGGTCCCCGAGTGAGGAATGAATGGCCTTGCACCGTCCCCATCTTTTTCCTATCTCTGCCGAATTGCTCCTTGCCCTTCCCTTCCCCTTCCCCCTCCCCCTCTCCTCCAGGACACCCCACTTTAGTTCTGTATATGCCCACAGCTGGGTGGGGAGAGTGGCAAGCAGGCAGGAACATGCCTCCTGAAGGCGGCAGTTGGTCCCCAGCTCCAGCCCATTGTTGCCAGGTGGAGACACAGGACCAGACTGCCCAGTTCCTTGGGAGAAGTCAGGAATCCTGGGTTTTATGTGAAAACTGTGAAATGCACACAGCCAATTCATTACGGGCTTGTTTTTCGGGAAGGGAAGAAGTTCCGGCAGGTGGCTTCCACCTGGACGCCTGTAACACAGCTGCCTAAAGCTGCAGGGACACAGAGGGGCCCAGTGAGCTGCCGGAAATGGGGCAAGCAAAAATATGAGGAAAACCAGCTTGAATGACTAAAGAAATAACCTGTCACACTATCAGGGGAGGCCAACCCCAAGGGGAGCAGAGGAGGGCACGTCATGATTAGGGCGGGAGACCCCGAAAGTCTGTGAACCATCACTGGAAAGAAATAGAGCCATTCAGGGGTGCAGGATGAACTGTGCTCTGGGACAGGGCAAGAGGGAAAAATTCCACCACCAAGAAAGATGTTATCAGCTCTGCCATCTCCTGGGAACTAATTACTAATTACTCAGATTAATTCCAGTGATATCAGCCCCAGGTTCCTCTGAGATTCCACACCGATGTCAAGACCCAGGTGCATAAAGCTCTGCCTTGAAAGGAAGGAGGCAGTGTCTGCATCGCTTCAGATGAAAGATTTCCAGAGTCGTGCCCATGTTGTTATAGCCATGCCCCATTAGATAAAGCAAGTTTAAACTCTCCCAAGCCCTCAGGATCATGAAGAGTTGCTGCAGTTTCAGAGGAAGGTAAAATCACTTTTTCATCTTTTAATTTTTGGGAAACAGGGTCTTGTTCTGTTGCCGAGGCTGGAGTGCAGTGGTTTGATCAGAGTTCACTGCAGCCTCAAATATCCTGAGCTCGAACAGTCCTCCCACCTCAGCCTTCCAAGTAGCTAGGACTACAGGCAGGCACCACCTTTGCTTGGTTGATTTTTTTATTTTTTTGAGACCAGATCTTGCTAGGATGCCCAGGCTGGTCTTGAACTCCTGGGCTCAAGCAATTCTCCTGCCTTGGCCTCCCAAAGTGCTGGAATTACAGGCGTGTTTCTTTGTTTCTTTTTCACTCTTAAAACTTAGTTTCACTTTCTATGTCCTGCACTACAGTTTCCTTGGGCTAACAAGTTGGGTCCAACTCCACGATCTGGCACATGAGACTCACCCAATTTGCTTCTCCTGCCTGTTTCCCTTTAGCCAGCTCAGGACAATAGGCCCCTCCCTGTCCTGGGCTCCAAAATCCTCTGTTAGCACCCTTAATCCGACTGGGTTGGAATATAGGTATTTATTTGATTTTCTTTTCCCACTATATTAGCTAAGGATCTCCTGAAGCGATCACTATTGTGTTCCCAAGAGCCTCATACACCGACTTCCCTCATAAAATACTTAGTGATTGTTGGATGGATGGATGGATGGATGGATGGATGGATGGATGGATGGATGGTTTGACGGCTGGATGGAGGGAAGGGAGGGAGGGAGAAAAGATAAATTGATGGATAGATGGATGATTAATGGATAACTTGATGACTTGGCAATAATTCAGATGGGTGGTTATCACATTTTAGAGTGCAAATTCCTCATCTCTAAAATAAAAATAGTAAGAACATCTCTGAGTTGGGGACTATTATTAGCCCCACTTCACAGATGAGAAGATGTGAAGTAACACGACCCCAGGTCCCACGAAGACTGTCTCCTGGAAACCTTCCCAGAGCCCTCATCTCTCTATGTACTGAATGAATCACTATCCCAAGAAGTTAAAGTCTCATGGGGAAGGAGATGGGCACTAAATATACAAGCACATGAGTCACTGGTTTATGATCTGCCACTGGGTAAGGTTATGAAGCAGCGCAAGATGCAACGGATGAGTTTAAGATGAGAATCAACATGGTGGGGCAGGGACAGGGGTGGGTGTGGGGATGACCCAGATGGTTCTTGGACTCCACTGCCATGATGCTTATGTACTTTGCTTTGATTGGCTCAGGGTCACCCCGATAGCTGTAAAACAGTGACCTGGTCCAGTGGATTTGTCCACACTATCACACCCTGAAAGGGCAGCCTGCGGGGAGGAATTCCTATAAAAGAACCAAAGGCCAACTCTGAAGTTGCCCTTCTCTGAGTCTCTGTGTCTTCGCTGACATCTTCAAGGGCTGGGTTGCCTCCTGGGTGGCCCACAGACCCATACTTTTTCTGGCATGTTAAATGGTTTCTCCGTTAAAGGGGCCTGCTTGGCCTAAGATCCTTGGGGGAGGAGAGGAGAGACACATTCACGAACCCATTGTGAGGCTGTGCAGTCTGCGAGGACAGTGATAAATCATCCAGGGCCTCAAGCACGCTACATTAAATTCTCATCTCACCATTTCTGTTTTTTGCTTCTTACATATTTGTTTAGATTACGACATTATCCCTGGAAAAGGTAAAAGGCCCTTCCGGAGTTTGTTTTTAAGATCCACTAGGAAAAACCTTCAGTGTTCAAATGGAAAAATAGAACCTGGGGTTAATCAACTGCTTGACTCATGTTTGTTTTAACTTGGTGTCCTAGAAAGTCAGTGCTAGAAGCAGCTTTGATGATCTCCTCATCTAAGCCCTGAGCTTTACAGATGGGGGAGCCAAGGCTTCCTGGACCAGAGTCCTACGGTAAACTTGGTGTAACTGTGTGGTGAGGTTCAAGAAAATGTCACTCAAGAAATACCAAAGTGTGTGAAGATTCACTTTTTCAAATGAATTTAGAGTAGGCTCAGGGTTACCTGTCTAAACAAAATCACTTCCTGGAATATTCCAACAGGTTCTCTTGTGAGGGGGAGGACCCAGGGCTCCAGGCGGTTCCCCAGTGTCACACAGGTGACAGCTGTCAGTCAGTCAGATGCACATGCTGGACATTCAGCTTCCAAGGAGTCCCATCCACTGTGCTTGGCTTGGAGTCAGTACCTGAAAACATTTGAGTGAGTGACTATATGAAGCGTCTTGCTCGAGATCACATGCCATTACTGGAAGAGTAGATGTGAACTCCGTGGTGCACAGACACATCAGTGCTCCACCCGCATGCCTCTGATCTCCCTAATGTGTGTCCCCTCCCCACCCGCCACCACCCGGCTTCTGTGTGTTTGCTTCTAACAGCTCACAGTGTCAGTCTTCTTTAGAGGATGATGCCTGTGCTACTGGAATGGCTCACTTGGACTGAGGGCCAGGAGTGCCTGGGAGTCTGGTTTCTCAAACCCTCATCCCCCAGGGCAGGTCACAGCCGAGGGTAGATTGACGCAGAAATGCAGAAGCCCAGCTCCTTTGTCTTGAGCAAGACGAACCTCAAGATAAGATTTATGATCCAGAGCTCCCCACAGGCTCAGGCTGAAGCTGGGACTCAGGTGAAGCCTCACCTTTCCTTGGTCTCTTCCCCTTCCCTCTCCAGTTTCTCTCTGTACCTTCTATCTCTACCTGACCAGTTTTTTGGGGGAGTGCCCCTTTAATGAATCACTTATGCACAGACCTTCATTTTAGGGGCTGCTTCTGGGGAACTTGACCAAAACCAAACTTCAAGTTCTCAATTTCCAGTTCTGCACATGCTTCCTGGCCCACTCAGCAATAGCATGTGAGTCAAATAAATACTCCCAAGGTGAAAATCATGAATTTCTTCCAAATGTAACCCCAATATCATAGGCCCCAATAGCCTGAGGTGATGATGGTCATCATCACCATCATCATTAATTATCATTATCATCACCATCATCATCTTCATTATCAGCATCAATCATCCTCATTGTTACCATCATCATCAATCATCACCATAGTCATCATCCATCATTTCCTCATTATCATCCCCACCATCATCCTCACCATCATTATCATCATCATCATCACTGTTATCATTAATCACCATTATCATCATCTTCATTATCAACATCAATCATCACCATTATCATTGTCATAATCATCATCACCAATCACCACCATAATCATCACCCATCATTATCATTATCACCATCAATATCATCTTCATCATCACCAATTATCACCATAATCATCATCCATCACTATTATCATTATCATCATCAATATCACTATTTTTGTCATTCCGCAGGGCCCTTACTATGTGCCAATCACTGTTCTAATGAAATGAATTAATTTATTGATCCTCACCACAACTCTTTAAGGCAGGTACTATGATTATTATTTCTCCGTACTTTAAAGATGAGCAAATTAATGCTTGAAGGAGTTACATGCTTGGCTCAAGGCCACAGGGCTAGCAGGCAGCAGAGCAGGAATAAGAACAGCTCTGGTCCAAACCCCCTCCACTCTCCTGTGCCTCATCAACCTATAGTAGACACCCATGGGGGCAGATGAACATTTGTGTTGAGACGTGATGCTGGTTATGAACCTCAGTACCTACCCAGGACCCAATCTAGCCCCTTACAGAGGCCCCAAGTATGTCTGGATGACCCTGGAGCCTGCCAGCTTCAGTCCTCTCAAAGGACCCTCCCTGATCGGCCCTTCTGTCTCTGCCACCTCTTGTGCATCTCAGTGTCTTCCCTCTCCAGGAGCTGCCCAAGGGACTCTCGATGTTGGCCAGGGTGATAGATGCATCTGCCAAAGGAGCTGCCTTCCAGTAACCCCAGTTCCACAAACCCTAGAAAACCAAGAGTTAGGATGGATTCCTCTCCCCAACTTGTGGTCATAATTTATCACCTGGGCACAAAAATGGGGCTGCTTGAGCCCAGAGTCTTGCAAAATCCCTGTGGAAATCAATGTCCTTTGTTTGTGGCCTTAAAACCTCTCACCATCCAAACTTTAAATCCAGGCCAGGGGGCTAGTGAGGTAGTGTCACCATCAAGGGTGCTGTCATCCTCCTTCTCTCCTCTGCTAAGTACCCCACACAGACTTTCCATGCCCCTTCTCTAGAAAGCCAGAGCCCCAGTGCTTAACTCATGAAAAGAATCCCTCATCCCAAAAGGAAGGGCACAATGTGACCAAACAATCTAAATGCATTGCAAATGTTTGAGACAACCCCACAGAAAAGGAAAGGTACTGACTTTAGTAACTTTGGAAATGAGTGAAGTCAGTAACACTAAAGACAAAAGGAACTGTACAGAAGCACTTGACTCGAGCTGATAAGGTTGCTTCCCACAGGGTCAAGAGAGGCACCATTGAATAATTCTGTTACTAATATCCATGTCCCTGGCAACTGAATAATGAAGTAAATGGACAGAAGATGGTGAACACCAGCTTTTCACCACTGGAGTGAGATAAGCAAGGGGTGGAGGCCAAATGATCCATGTGGTGATGGATTAGAGTTGGAGACATTAGTGTGAACTCACGTTGAGCTTTACATGGATACAGGTGGTTCCAAATAAAAATATTTATAGATCTGTGCATATACATGGGTTAATATGCACAATCGGATCCCCTTACTCTGTCAGCTGAGATAGTCTACAAGCAACAGCATCCCTATAGCAATGAGCCCACCTGTACCCAGATCTTGGTTTCTAATATCATTGTCCAGTAAAAGGAACAAAGGACCCTTGGGAAAGTAGCTTCTTGTAGGACTGATACAAGATGACCTTGGGGTGTCTTATAGTGCCAGAAAGTAAGGAAATGGTAAAGCAAGTAATAAAGATCCCACTAACAACGATGAGACTATGTCAAAGGGACACAGGAGCCAGCTGAAAGAGCTCCCCGTGCCCAAAGCTGGGACAATTTGTGCAATAAAATACATAAAATGTTATTGAATTGTAACCCAAAGTAAAAATAAATATCCATGAGACCACACTGATTAAATAAATGATTGACTAAGTAAATAAATTCGAGAACAGAGATAAATCTCCCAGGCAGAAGAATTCCAAATAGTTTATGTAGATACTGTGCCCTCGGGGAGATGGAGGATGACCGGCTACTTCTTAAGTGTGGCTGCACAGTGACCTTCCTCCAAAGTGTGTAATGAAGGACCAGACCTAATGTTGGAGGACAAGAGGCCCTCTTGATACTTCAGACAAGATCTGAGGATGAGAAGGAATTTGCAGACTTGGTGCATGGTGGTGGAGATGTAGGGAAGCACATCCCAGGCACAAGTAACAGCATGGGCTAAGACTCTGAGGCAGGGAGGAAGCATCTTTGAAGGAGCAGTGAGAAAATCAGGGATGGGACTCAAACTACAATGCACAGATACAAAGTGGGCACCATCAATGAGAACAACACGTGCGTAGGCTCTCACAGGGTTCCAGAGCTCTCCAGACAGACAAGCTTTATCCATAGATTGGGAGAGGTCCCGAAGGTTCCTGGGGAGGGTTAGAAGTGGGCTTTTGGGAGCTCAGGGTGGTGGTTATTTAATAACCAGCAGGGAAGGCTGCACAATTCTAAACGGGGGTAGGGGAACAGGAAATCTTTCCGTAAAAGGCCATGTAGTATGTATCTTAGACTTTGTGAGTCACATGGTTATTAAAACTACTCAACTCTGCCATTGTGTCAAGAAAGCAGCCACAGACAATTGGCAGATGAACAGGCATGAATGTGTTCCAATAAAACTTTATTTGTGGACACCAGAATTTGAATTTCATATCATTATTTGTATCAAAAAAATATTCTTCTTTTGACTTTTTAAAAATCAATATCACAAGCCTTATCAGAGAATTGGTCTTTTATCCCAAAGGCAAGAGAGCCTTGAGTGCAATTTTGGAAGCAAGTCCTGGACCCAGGCCTCAGGCATGTACTATTCCGGCCCTCGTGGTGCCGGGCCATGGGTGATTCTTTGCCCTAGATCATCCCTTTGGACTTTCCAGAATCCCACAGAATGGCATACAGGAGGAGAGGGCTGTGCTTGTGGGTCCCGCTGCCCAGGGAGACTGGGAGAGCAGCGAGGGACCGTTTGCTACTGGCGTGGGATTTTGCATTTGACTCTATTCTATTAGGTTGGTGCAAAAGCAATTGCCATTTTTGCCATTACTTTACCGGCATTACTTTAATGGCAAAAACCGCAATTGCTTTGGCACAAACCTAATATTAGGAAAAGCTGAGAGTGAATTACAATTTGGTTGGCTCTGGAATGGAGCTGGGGTCTAAATTCACATCTTTATCCAGTCACCCTTCACTGCCCCCACCACACACACACACACACACACACACACATCTGGTCTTGATCAATCTTGAAAGAATGAGGGAGAGGAGGCAATTTTCCCCCAGAAGGGAATCACCAGCCACAAAGTAAGCTGCTTATAAAGCACATTTGTGGAAACAGTGTCATGGTGTGGAAACAGCCTGCCTTTAGAATATGAGGTGTGTGATAATGGCCCCCCAAACCTGCTCCTTCTCTGCACACCTATGCAGAGAAGGAGTATAGGTGGTCTTGGCTGTCACCCAGCAGCACAAACCAGAATCTGGCAGCCAGGCTATGGTGCCAGTTGTTTGGCCAAACACTCATTGAAATGTTGCAGTGAAGATACTTGTAGAAATGACTCACCTTTGCAATCAGTTGACTTTAAGGAGGTTACCCTCAATAATGGGGATGATCCTCAGCCAATCAGTTGAAGGAGCTAAGAGCAAAAACTGAGGTTTCCTAAATAAGAAGGAATTCTGCCTTGAGACTGTGACATAGAATTGCTACCTCAGTTTCCAGCTTACTGGCCTGCCCTGCAGAGGTCAGACATGCCAGCTCTCACAGTCATGGGAGCCAGTTCATTATATGTGTATGCATATCCTACTTGGTCTGTGATATGGTTTGGCTGTGTCTCCACCCAAATCTCATCTTGAATTGTAATAATCCCCATGTGTCAAGGGCAGGGCCAGGTAGAGATAATTAAATCATGGGGGTAGTCTCCCCCGTATGGTAAAAGTAATTGAGATCTGATGGTTTCACAAGGGGCTTCCCCCTTCACTTCGCTCTCACTTCTCTTCCTGCTGCCATGTGAAGAAGAACATATTTGCTTCCCCTTCTGCCATGATTGTTAAGTCTCCTGAGGCCTCTCCAGCCATGCTGAACTCTGAGTCAATTAAACCTCTTTCCTTTATAAACTACATGGCATGTAGTAGGTATTCAGTGAATGGTGACTATTTTTTTCAGTGAATTCAGCCATGATTTATCCAGAGCCTATAACATGACAGGTCCCGGGCTAAAGCACTAGGGTAGGGGAATCTGGGGAAGAAGCTTACCATGGCCTCCGTCCATGATCACTGTCCTTGTATTCTCATGGTCAAATGCTCCCTCCCTTTTACAATGACAAAAACAAGGTTCCAAAAGTTAAGCAACTTATCCAGGTTGACACGGTTCTTAAGAGGCAAGAACCATACCTGACCTAAAGTGCACAGACTTGACAAGTATGCTACAGTTTTCTGCACAGCCTTTTTTCTTTCAGGAACACTGTTCTCTTGCTTCTTTGCCTAATGGGGAAGGACAATTATTACCCCTATGTTACCAAGGGAAAGCTGAGATCAAAGAAGTTCTGCAGGATGGCACTGAGTCCAAGCTGCTACTCCACTGCCCACCTTCCCCCAAGGCCTCCGTTCGTGATGCACAGCCTTGGCTCCCTAGGACCAAGCCCCCAAATCAGGGAAGAGCATTCACATCTCCCCCACTGAGCCTTGCCTTTCCAGAATGGCGAGGTCCTCCCAGCCGTGTGTTCCATGAAGGGAGCTTTGCTGTTACTTGTATTAGAGCTGTTTTTGGAATCCTTGCCTCTATTGCATTTCTCTTGCCTCAGTGCAGCCCAAGATGTTCATTTCCATGAGCCAGGAACCCCCACAAAGCGCTAAGAAATAGAGTCTGAGCTATAAACATGCCCAGATGTTCTCTTGCTGCTCAGCCTAGAAGCTGAGGGCCACTGCAGAGATTCTGGGCCACGTGCAGTCATGACGTGAAGCTTATTTCTACCGGAAGTTTTTTAAGGTTGTTTCATTAAACCCCTTATTGACTCTGGTTATGTTATTACGGGAACTGACTCCACTAGGGCCAGGGTCTACACTCTGGATCCAAGATCAACTAGTAATGTGACTTCAAGCAAACCAGCTCTTCCATCTGAGCCTTGATCTATTCACTGTTTATCAGTCTGCTTTTGCTGCGTAACAAACAAGCCCCAAACTTAATGTTATGAAACAAGACACACTGATGATTGTTTGTGAGTCTGGGGGTAAGCAGGGTGGTTCTTCTAGACTCTCTGGACTTACTCATCTGTGGTCAGGTGTAGTTCAGATGTACAACTCTGCTGTACTTGGCTGGGCTCTCTCTTGTGTTTGGGGTTTGGCTGGCTGTCAGCAGACGAGATTGGCCTTGACTGGGACAGCTGGGTTCTCCTCCTCCTGGTTTCTCACCCTCTGCAGCCCAGTCCAGGCTTGTTCTCATGGTGGCTAGACAGGGTTTTGAGAGCTCAGAATCAAGCAAGTCTCCCGATGTGTGGAACTCTAGGCTGGCTATCATTCATTTTAGGCTGGCTGTCATTCATTCTAGGCTGGCTGTCATTCATTTTAGGCTGACTGTCATTCATTCTGCCCCTTGACCAGAGCAAGCCCCAGACCAGCCTGTATTCAAGGTCTGCACTTCTCGATGGGAGATGCCACGAAGTCACATTGCTAATTTTACAGCTACAGGGAGAGAGGAAAACCATAGAGACTGGTAACCAGTCTATCGTCATCTGTACAGCAGCCATTGGCTTTTCTTTTTTGTATTTTTGCTGTTCAGCACTCATTTCCTCTTCCTCACACTGTCACACAGTGGCTGGAATGAAGAGCCTTCAGCAGACATGCCTACACTTCTGTGGGATTCTTCCCAGAGGTGAACAGCTGGATCAAAGAACACATGAGCTTCAAGTCTGGGCCCCAGCTCCCAATGACAGGAGGCTTTGTTCTGACTTCTGCCGGCAGAGTGTTGGGGCGCCAACGTCCCCATGCTCTCACTAGTGTTCTACAGACAACTTTCAACATCCCTGGGATCTTGTCACCCTCTCAATCCCTCAGACAACTTAGCCTGAGTGTGACCCAAGGCTTGCTAGAGTGGCACGGGGAGGTGCTGAAGGCTCGTTCCAATCCCCCAAAACTCACAGGCACTCTGCTCAAGGCAGCACCAGTGACCAGAAAGGCAGGCAGAAGTGTCCACTTCCAGGACTGTCTCTCCAGGCTGATGGAGGCTCACCCTCATGCAGGCGACAGAATCTGAGAGCTCACTGTCAGCAGGTTAGGAAAGCAGAGAGGGTTGGCACTAGGGCTGGGGTTGGAGGAAAAGGGGAAGGTGGTGACATTTCGAGGTCATCTTAGCCTTTCCCTAAAGCAGTGGGTCTCAGCCAGAAGTGACTGTGCCCTCAAGGTGACATCTTTGGTTGTGACACCTGCCCTCAAGGTGACATCTTTGGTTGTCACACCTGCCCTCAAGGTGACATCTTTGGTTGTCACACCTGGAGGGACCTACTGGCATGTAGTGGGTTGAGGCCAGGGATGCTGCTGAACACCCCGCAATGCACAGGATGGCCCCACCACAGAGGACGATCTGCACAAAATGTCAGGAGTGCTGAGGCTGAGAAACCCTTGCCCAAAGAAATGGCGACAAGGCCAAGCTTGTGGACTCTCAAGACAAAGGTCCAAAGTCCAAGTCAGCCTCGCCCACTTCCTCCTGAATTTTACTACTTTCCCCAGTTCCCACATCTGCAGAAGGGAGTCAGCGACCGTCCCTTCCCCAGGGGAATGTGGTGAGGTTCAGTGGGACAAGGCGAGCTGAGTGCACAGCCCAGGGCCAGTGCGCAGAGCTCAGTAAAGGACGGCGAGTGTCAAAAGCCATGTCTCCAAGCACATGCCCAAGTGTCTGCTCCCCACAGGGCTGAGCCAGCTCACATACCTGGCAAAGGAGCGACATGGGCCCAGTGCAAAGCAGATGCTGCGCCACCCTCACGGCATCCCCAGGAGGGCACTCCTTGTTCTCATTTCCTTCCCCAACAACACACTCAGCTGCTGGGGCAAGGACCAGGTGCAGATGAGAGGAGGACACACGCCAGGGCCCCGGGCCATCCGCACGGACGTCCAGTGACCTCCTCCAAATCCAAGCCACCCTGTCAGATGGCGGGCCCCTTGTCACCTTGGCTGCCTGGTGGCACCTTGTTTCACAGAGCAACCTGGGGCTGCCCCAAAGCTCTGCTCAGCTGCGAGGCTCTAGACTTTCTGAGAGAGAACTGCGCTCTGCCTAAGCCCAAGGCAGGAGTAGCCAAGCTCCCCCTGCAAAGGACACGAGAGCTGTCGCAGCCGCCAGCCATAAATCTCTCGGGAGGAGGATTTTCCTATGAGCACACAGGCGCTGCGGGAGGGCCGGGCTGGGAAAGCAGCCTCCTTCTAGGTGGCTCAGGCCCTGCATGCAGCCTCTGTCCCCTCTTGCTTGCTCAGCTATTGTTCCTGTGCCCACCTACACCCCCAGGGTGAAACCAAGTGAGGGCCTGTCACCACCACCTCAGCCTCAGTGCTTCCAAACCAGGCTTGTTCCCTAAGGCCTGCAGAGGAAGCCCCAGAGCCTGTCACATGACTGCATGAACCCCAAACTTGCTTCCCCTTTCGTCTCCTGCTGCTCACTAATGCTAAGTCCTCTCCCTTAGCAACAGACACACACATGCATGCACACACATTCATACACATGCACACTCACATGCACACACACTCACACAAGCACATACACACTCATACACTCACACATTCCTACACACCCCCTCATGCACACTCACACAAGCATGCACTCACTCATATACACTCACACAAGCACACGAAGCACATACACACTCACACACTACACATGCCTACAGTCACACCCCCATACACACATGCACACACAAGCACATACACTTATACACTCACACATGCATACCCACCCACACAGTCACACACACACTCACACAATGCACACTCACACAGCACACACTCATATACACTCACACATGCATACCCACCCACACACACATGCACACTCACAGCACACGCACACTCATACACATGCACACTCACACAGCACACACTCATATACACTCACACATGCATACCCACCCACACACACATGCACACTCACAGCACACGCACACTCATACACATGCACACTCACACAGCACACACTCATATACACTCATATAAGCACACACACATACACACAGGCCACATACAAACACACATACACTCACATGCACACACACACAAGCACACAGACTCAAACACATACACATATACTCTCACACTCATACAAGCACACACATGCATGCACACTCACACACATGCACACACAGACACACATACTCATACTCACATTCACACGCACAAACTCACACAGATGCACACACTCACACTCTCAAACACACTCCACCCCCAAATCCTAGCCATGGGACTGCATACATGCTTTCCCTCTGTCTCAACGCCCCTCCGTCTTGGGGTACACCTCCTCATCCTTTGAGGCCCTACTCAAAGGCTCCTTCCTCCAAGCAGCCTTCTCAATGCCTGCCGGGATACTGAGGCAAAAGAATGATCACAGGGAGCTTGCACCTGCTTTTAAAACCCTTATCATATCATCGAACCCTCACAAGAACTGCAGAGAAGGAAACAAGGCACAGACAGGTTGAATTACTTGCCTCAAGTCAAAAAGCCTTTTGGTTAGGAGCCAGGGTTTGCACCCAACGCCCCTCCTCTAGGCCTGCAGGCTTAATCGCCACATGTGCTGTGGTCTCTAGAATGGATTAGCCCCCTAGGGCTCTTGCAATAGCTTCTCATCTCTTAGTGCTTTGACCACGCTGCAGAAGGCTTCCTGGATGCCGCTACCCGTAGGATCAGCTTCTAGAAAGCGAGGATCAACCCCAGAGCACCAGGGCCGTGCTCCATTGGCTCTGCAAAATTGTTACCACAAGGCCCTCTTGGCTCCGGTGTCCTTCGGAGCTGTCTGAAGGACTGGCTGGAAGACTTCCTTTTCATCAGGATCCATCTCCCCAGCTGCTCCCTAGCAAACACCCTCAGTCTCCCCATGCTGGGTGCAGATGTTGTTTTGCTACACAGTGAGCTTGTCCCCACATAGCTGAACCCTGACACCCTCCCTGCTCATCAGCGTCCCATCTCTTCTCTTGCAACACACCATTCTTTGCAAAGATGACATCTCTGGGCCACCCAGTCTGACACAGGGCATGTCTCAGTAACCCAGAGAGTCCTTCTCCAGCCAGCTTGCATCCCCGTTGAGATTTGGAAAGGCCCCAAAGTGACTTATGCTCCACACAATGGGGCTGCCCATCATGATGGATGTGACATTGTTTCATAGCAGACACATGAAAAGATTGCAAGGCAGATCCCCTTCTTTTTGTCTCCTTCTCATTATTTTTATTGATAACATGTGCCTAGCACACATTATTCTAAGAACATATAATGCATTATCTCATTTAGTTCTCACAACCATCCCATGAGAAAGTGTTATCACTATCCCTACAGTGCAAATGGGGATACTGAGGCAGTGATCAAAGAACTTGCCTTGGTCATTCAGAGGAGTGGGGCCAAGTTTCCAGCCCAGAGCACTTAGGCCTCTGCAGGCAGTGCCGGCAAAGATGGTGCCATGCATGTGTGGGGTGAGGGCTGGCTCTTGCTAGTGGTGGATTAACACTGCTTCCAAATACTAAAGTCTCTTCTGAATGATCCCAGCCTGCATGTGCAACTAAAGGAGGGTTAACATTTACCAGACCTAACTTGCTGCTCCTACCCCCACCCACATGGGTAGAATCTCTGGGGCTCCCCATGGCCATCTCGAGGAGTGCAGATAGCAGGTCCACTGGCCATCCTCTGGCCCCACCAGCCTTTTCAGGACAAGCCTCCTCCACCTTCTTCCAGAACTTCCACAAGAAAACAAATGTGCAGAGTACAGCGGTTGCTGAGAAGGTAACATGCTTGGGCCCCAGGCGCTTCTGCCTTCCTTGTCCCTCTCCTCCATAAAAAGGATTCCCAAGTCTATGTCCAGCAGCACTGGTGTAAAGAGCACATAACCCAGCTGCTTCCAAACTTGGCGTGAATGTGGTTCCTGCAGAGCCCAGGAAGGTGGCAGGGGGCTGGATGGGTCTGTTCCAGGAGTGAGCAGGGAATTCCCTCTGACCCACTGACTTCGGAGCTGGTCATGGAAGTTTTGAAATGCAATCCCTTTTTTTTAAGTATAAAATAATATATGCTCATGAGAGTGCAAAACCAAATGAACCATGACTGAAGGACATAAGAATAGGAAGAAAAAGCCTCCTACCTCCTTCACCCCAACATTGCATTTTCCAGAAGTTTCCCATACATACACACACGGTATGTCCATCTTACATTCCAGCAACTACAGTGGATCCTCCTGTGTGTGCTGGTTTGCACTGGATCCCACTCTAGGTGAAAGATAAGATGGACATTCCTTTTCTTTGGTGGATCCACTGGGACCTCTCTCCATGTTACCTTCCACGGGGTGGAGGAGGTCCTGTCTGTCTTGGTCCCTGGTGCAGTTCCGTTTTGGTCCAGGAAATATTTCCATTGAGTGGAGGGGCACAGCTCAGCCCCTGCCAACCTGCTGTGGAGTTGGAGCCTCCTCACTTGAGGCTGGGGGTGTGGGCAGCCATAAACTCATTGCCGTAAGCAGTTCTGCTACGGCAGAACCTTGTATCTTAGACACGTGCACTAGTGCGTTGGGAGGGTAAATTCCTAGAAGGCCATTGTGAAGTCAAGGGTGCACGCGCTTTTAATTTTGATGGATGTTGTCAGATTGCTGCACGTCTGAGGAGGCAGCAGATCATTGACTCTTGGTGCAGTTTCAGTTCTTTTTTCTTGGAGCTTCCTGTGTTCTTCCTGTCCAATCTTCTCAAGCCCAGAGGCACATTGCTGGTGAAGATTGAGGCCTCTGGAGCTGGCCTGGGGGGCTGTGAACCCAGCTTCTGTCCTTGCTGACTCTTCCCAGGCCTCTATGTCCTCGTCTGAAGAATGGGTGAATGTCAGTACTGACTTCAAGGGCGGATCTGAGGCCTCATGAACTCACCTCCCAGCCACCAGCATCCCCAGGTGCACATAGATCAAGGGAACAAGCTGTGGTCATGGGACATGAGTTTATTGGACTCTGGAAGGCCTGGCAGTGAGGTCTGGGGTGGCATTGCCCTTGGGGTTGTTGAGGGATGTTGGGGACAAAGTATGGCCCTTCTGAGCAGGCCACCCCTGCTGACCGTCCTCTCCTCTTTTGAAGTCCCAGAGATGAGGTGGTCCGTTTAACTACAGACAGCCAAACAGGGGCCCAGAGAGGCAAAGTAAGTTGCCCAAGGTCACATAGCCCATCACATTATGGAGGAGATCCATATTCAGTATTATTACAATGTTCACTTTTTCATCTGATTTTAAAAGAAATTAAAACATTTTCGGCCAGGCGCAGTGGCTCATGCCTGTAATCCCGGTACTTTGGGAGGCTGAGGTGGGCGGATCTCCTGAGGTTAAGAATTCAAGACCAGCCTGGCCAACATGGAGAAACCCTGTCTCTACTAAAAATACAAAAATTAGCTGGGCATGGTGGCACATGCCTGTAATCCCAGCTACTCGGGAGGCTGAGGCAGGAGATCACTTGAACCCAGGAGGCAGAGGTTGCAGTGAGCCGAGATGGCACCACTGCACTCCAGCCTGGGTAACAGAGCAATACTCTGTCTCAAAAAAAGAAAGAAAGAAAGAAAAAGAAAGAAAGAAAGAAGGAAAAAAAAAGAAATTAAACCCCGTCTCTACTAAAAATACAGAAAAAAATTAGCCGGGCGCGGTGGCGGGCGCCTGTAGTCCCAGCTACTCGGGAGGCTGAGGCAGGAGAATGGCGTGAACCCGGGAAGCGGAGCTTGCAGTGAGCCGAGATTGCGCCACTGCAGTCCGCAGTCCGGCCTGGGCGACAGAGCGAGACTCCGTCTCAAAAAAAAAAAGAAATTAAAACATTTTCATAGGACCCTAAAAGTTTCATGGGCCCTAGGCCCTGTGCTCACTGTGCCAAGCGGGTAAGTTGGCCCTGAAGCTGCGCCAGGGTTTGCAGCAGAAGGAACCACAGAGCCCTCTCCTAAGCCTGACACCTGTCTGCCTCCTGTAGGCCCCATGTCTGCCTAGCTGGAGGGAGGAGCTCACAGTCCACCTCAATCAACCTCAGTGGCTGAAATCACACCACAGCGGTGGACAGGGAAGGGATGAACTGCATGCTGTACTCCTCCATCTTCTCTGTCCTCTTAGGTACCCTCGCCCTAAACTCTTTGAGCCCCCAACCAATGGCCAAGGGGTATCAGCTCATGTAAGTCAATGCCACAGGGAATCAATAACCCATCAGTTCCCAGAATCAGGCTGTGAATTCCAGCCTGGGCTTGGTCAGGCTCCCGTTCGCCCATCCAACATTCCAGGATTCAGCAACAGTTGGCCACTTTCACAGAGAAAGAAGGTGCTACAGAGAACCTGGCACCAAGCTGATATTGAAACCACACCAGGGTCCTCCCAGCGCAGCCTCCACTCTGTCCCCAGCATTTCCTGAGCTCTTCTGTACTCCCAGAATCTGTGAGGAGCACCCCACTTTAGGCAAACATGCTCTTCTTAACAAGTTATGTGTAAAAGGAACTTGATATGAATTCTGTGTGTTCCTGAGACTTCAGTCTCACATTCTGACTTCAAGTTCCTCTGACCCGCAGACTCTCTGTCAAGGAGTCAGCGCTGATGCTCTATAAATCAGCTTTGAACTTCGGAGAGGCCCACACATACGGCCTAAGAGTCCTTCCTGCACGTGAGGAGTCACTTCCAAAATATCCATTCCAGGCCAGACTATAGCCAAACAAGAAGACTACATTTTTATTGCTTATTTTTTCTCACTCCAACAAAATCTTCATGGACAGTCTTCAGAGGATGTCTTGATTTTTGCTGGCAAATGTAGAGAAATATGTCAGATTATTACTATCATTTAAGCAATGGGTTTTTTCCGGGTATTTTGTGATTTTTAAGTAACATTATGGTAAATATCTTTGTAATCAAAACTTGGGGTATGAACATTTTCAAGTTCTTCAATCATTTTGACAAACTGTTTATATAATAACCAATTCCAACTTACACTTCTACTGGTATGCTGTGAGAATGTCAATTCCTCTGTATTATTGCCAGGTTTTTAAAAAATGCCAAAATTCATGTTAGTATTAAAAAATTTATATTTTTTCAATTAGGGAATAAAGAGATGAACCACATCAGAGACAGATGCCCATTGGATCATGAGGAAGTAAGTCGCCTCGATCTAGATTACTAGATAAAATACAGAACACAGTTAAATTTGAACTTTGGGTAAGTCGTGATAATTTTTCAGTGACTATCCCATTATTACACGGAACATACTTCTACTAACATTTTATGTATTGTTCAACTGAAATGTAAATGTAACTGGGTTTCCTGGATTTCTATTTGTGAAATTTGGCAACCCTACCTCAATTCCCATTTGTGAGCATGTACATTTTATCTACATTTTCCTTTCAAACATTAGTGTAAAACTTCCTACCTTTACCATGTACGCATACTTATGCTAAGACCGTACTCAGTACTTGCTCTTCGCTGATGAATGTCTTCCTCGGTAATCCTATATGTCAGTACCATTATAAGTAGTATTAATTTACTTAGAATACAAAAGCATGTATTATCTTAAAAGTTTCTGCAGGCCAAGAAATCTAGAGAGGCTTAGCTGGGTGGCTCTAGCTTGGGATCTTTCATGAGGCTGCAGTCCTCCAGTGGTCCACCTGGCACATTGGTGCTGACTGTTGGCAGGAGGCCTTGGGTATATGATCATTCCCGTTTTACAGGCAGAAAAAGTGAGGCTCAGAGAAATTAAGGAACCAACCAGGCCAGCTGGGGTAGAAAACAAAGCTGCCTGAATCTAGACACGAGCCTTAACAGCTATTCAGTTTCATCGCAGGTGAAGAAGTTTTTCCATGTGCATCATAAAGGAAACAGTTGTAATTAGCTACTTTAAAGTGCTACCGTGTGTGACCTTAAGTATTACTTCAAGTACAATAAGAACTAAGAGAATATGGTCCATCAGAAATCTGGTAGACCTGGAAAAGAACCATTTGTAATTACCCTATTAATTTATTACATAGTAACAGATACTTTGAAAAGGCCAGGAAAGAGTTTGTTCCTGTTAGAAGGCTGGGCACATCCCATGCAGTCAGGATTATGCTCTTAATTTGCTTTTTCATAGATAATTCAGAAAGAAGCTCCAATCCATGCCGTGTCAGAACAATTATACACTCTAAATTTATGGAGCCCACATTACCATGTGTTGACCGCAAACCCTGCAGGTGCAGAAAATGTGACGTCAGAGGATGATTTAATTGAGGCATCAGGGAAAACAGCACAAATTCTGCTGTTCTGGGCTTTTTTGGTAACTAACCCTGAGCCTCTGGGAGGCTTCCAGGCTGAACACCCATCTCCCTAATCCTTTCAACAAATGGTCTCCTCCCATTCTTCTTCCACATTTCCCAAAACTCTGAGGGAGAAATGGCTGGGCCTCCGTGACGAGGGTGGGAAACATGTGGTCACTGGAACAGGTGGTACCACCTGTGGTTGGCGCTAATTCCAGGCCCACAGCTGCTGCCCAGCTGCAGAGACCCAAATCCCAAGGTTTTTTGAGGATTTTCCCACCATCTGGGCTCTGAAATTCCCATGCCCAGAAGCTTCCTTGTGAGCCAAAGTGTCCCACTGCAAATGTTACCAGTGTCCTCAGGGGATCCCTTCACAGTCCCGTCTTTCCCTGAGACATTTCAAACCTCTCCCACAGGGGCCCCCACAATTATGTCCCATCTGTCTTCCAGCAATGACTGTCCATCAGAAGAGGAGCTTTCCCCCAGCCCCATCCAAGCCTGGATCAAAAAGAGCTTGGGACTCCTCCAATCATATTCTGTCACCCTTTGCTGTCATCATGGCTTTAGTATTCTAACAGGGGAAGAAAAGCATTTTAGAGATCTGAGAAAAAGCCCTCTTCCCATCCTTCAATTGTCTTGGTTATTCACCTGTTAGCTATATAACAACACAGGCACTCAACATAAGACAGGAGATGAGGAAGCAGTTTTCTTCTGAAAGAGACCCCAAAAGGGTGCATACATTTCTATGCTTTCTTTTCCTCACAGATTCTCTGCCCTTGGAAAAGCTGGGCTTGCATCATTAATTGATTCATTCAACAAACTTTCCCTGAACACAGACTTGATTCTGAGCTCAATAAGAGCAAACATTTATCAACCTGTCTGGCCCTGTGCCAAGCGCTTGATGTGCATTCAATGCGCACGACGACTCCGTGAGGAAGGTAACCTTGCTCTCTCCAGGTCACAAAAGTATTAGAGCTCAGAGAGGCTAACTTAGTTACTCAAACAACACCTAGAAAACAACTGGGGAAAACCAGAGTTACAGAGCCTGGAGCCCGAGCTCTCACTCGCCAGCCTTCGAGGCTTCTGATAAAACACGAGGGCCAGGGTGCGCACATTGATGCCACGCCGCTCCATGTGGTAAAAGAGCATTTTAGCAAATGTGCATTTTGCATCATTGCCATTTGACATAGATCAAGGTAACATCGATTACGTTGTATAGAACAGACAGGATTTGAATATAGCAAAGGAATATTTTCTGTGAGGGCTAAACATTTCCTTGTAATATTGAAACACAAATAAATCATAGATTTGCTAGTCAGCTGTGACGAAGATATAACTCCAATTCTCCCCCTCGTTCTACATCCACACCCTTTGTAATGTGATTTTATGGCCCCTGCTATCAAGAGGTAGAGTTTATTCCCATGCAGCTTGAATCTGGGCTGCTTTTTGACTTGCTTCAAATAATAGAACATAAAGGAGCCAGGCCTTGGAGACCCAAGTCTCTGAACGTAACACTTTTCTCCCCCGCTGGGCCCCTCACCCCCACTGTGGGGGCAAGCCAGGCTACCCATGAGGACAAACCAGGCTACCCTGCAGATGAGTGACTATGTGGAGCAGAGCCAAGTCACCCCAGCCAGGGCCACACCAGACCAGCCAGTCCCAGGTCAAGCTACCAGCTGACGGCAGATGCACCAGCTAGCCCAGTCAAGATCAGCCCAGCTCAGCCCAGATGAGCAGAAACACTCATTTATGGGGGAGTGGTGGGAGGGAGATTATTTTTTAAGCCACTAAATTTTGGGGTGATCTGCTGTAAAGCAATAGCTCACTGACACAAAGCTAACAAAACATCAAGCATTTTGCTTTCTCTCTTGATTGATCATTTGAATTTAGGCAACACTTGGACCCACACAGAAAAGAACCATACGGCAGCCCAGAGCTGCTTTAGCCTCAGACAATTCCTAACAGTAACAAAGCTATGGCTTAGGAGCCTTCCAAGGGCCTGTATCTGAGGGCCGAAACAAATAGAATCCATTGGCTCCAAAATACAAAACAAAGCAAAGCAAGGTGAAAACAAAAACAACCTTGCAAAATAAAACTGATAACTGCCTCATTACATGCCTTCAAAACAAAACATTATGTCAACTAGTCAACTGTGACTCTATTAATATGTAACCATATGAATTACGTATAATTTTGTGCTCACAAGCAAAATAAATAACTTCTTTTTAATGAAATCAAAAAATTTAAAAATCATAAGAAAATTCAAATTATTATTATCTTTGTCAGCCGGACGTGGTGGCTCACACCGGTAATCCCAGCACTTTAGGAGGCCGAGGTGGGCGGATCACTTCAGGTCAGGAGTTTGAGACCAGCCTGGCCAACATGGTGAAACTCCGTCTCTACTAAAATTACAGAAATTGGCCTGGCGTGATGGCGCACACCTGTAATCCCAGCTACTCGTGGGGGCTGAGGCAGGAGAATCACTTGAACCTGGGAGGTGGAGGTTGCAGTGAGCTGAAATCACACCACTGTATTCCAACCTTGGCAACAGAGCAAGATTCAGCCTATATATATATATATTTTTTTCTTTGTCACTTTTACTGAGCCCAATTCCACATAATTTTCCCAGGAAATATGGTAAACATTTTGGAAAATCTTACAGTCCTCCGATAATTACCTAGCATGGGATGCATCCGCGTTTTCATGGCATCGCCGTGCCGTGGCCTGAAACCTCTGAAAATGACTGCGCCCAGGGCCTGCAGAAGTCTTACAACAGCTCTGGAAAAGCTTCTTCTGCAGGCTCATTGCACCCGATTGCTGAGAAAATGAGAACTGCGAGTTCCCCTGAGGAGACAATTAGTACTGATCTGAATCAAGAAACACCAGCATGCCTTTTGATGAACACATGTGGTGGCTCCTAGAGCCTACGTCCCCAGACAGGAGAGCCTTGTCAGGTAGCAGGTGTCTACACTGCGCCGATCCAGCAGGGACCTGCTTCCCCTTGGGTTCCGTTGCACTCTGTCAGTCCCTGAGCTCCTGGGCCGACATCGGTCTGTTTGTTTGCTTGCCTTTTCACTAGACTGTGAGTCCCTCAAGGCACAGACCATGTGGTGCTTATCTTTGTGTCTTCCTTCACTCAACAAATGTTTACGGAGTGCAATCAAGTGCTAAGTACTTGTCTAAGTACTAAGATTACAGCAGCAAACACAACAGACATCAACTCTACCCTCCCAGGGGAGACGAACAGAGGGGATAAGTTATGTTTTAAAGTGACAAAATAAGTATGCAGAAGATAAACTATTTACAAATTAACCACGAGGTCTCCAGCCTTGGGCCTTCCTCTCCCTTTGGCTTTGTTTTCTACTGCCTCACCCTCCCCACCACCCCAGAGGATCTCTACACACTGGGCCAGCTCTCCAGACCCTCTGGGAGGTAGAACTGGGGAAAAGAGCTGAGGACAAGAGGCTCTCCGGTAGGATTCTGCAAGACATGGTTAAAGAGGTGTCGAGAGAGAGGGGGGAGCAGCTGCAGGGGTGAAGGAAGCAAGCAAGAGAGAAAACGGGAAAATTTTACCAAGCATGGATCATCTTCATCTCTCTCTTTGCAGCATGTGGGAGATTAAGTAGAGCCCTCACGTCACCTTTTGGTGCCTGGACTGTGCTTCTGTGTGGCTCGGCTTTGAGACTGGACAGTGGGCGATGGCCTGCCATGCTATCCTGTGATAAGTGCTATCAAACACAGAGCCATGGAGGGGCTGGACCCAGACCAGGAGGGGATGGAATCTATGCTAGCCAGGGGATGTGGAGGTAGGAGGAGAAGAAAGAAGAGCGTTCTAGGCAGAAAAACAATCTAACTGAAGGTCACAAGGTGGACAGGAATTCCGGCAGCTGCAAGGAGCCTCTTGTGGCTGGAGTTTCAGGAGCACTCGGGTGCCATGAGCCTGCAGAGATGAACAAGGGCCAGATCACGGAAGGCCTCATAGCCCTGTGAAGGAGTTACCCTCACTTTGACTTAAGTGCTTGGGAAATAGGAGATTCTTAAGAACTGGCTTTTTTCTTTTTCTTTTTTTTTAATGCTGACTTAGTATTTGCCAAGAGAAAAGGCTCATCCACCACAGTTCTAAACTCAAGTCATATCTGAAGCTGCCTGAGCCACTAGGAAGTGCCTCTGTTATTAAATCACTTTGGAGAATGTCCAATAGCAATTCCAATGCAGACTGATGTTTCCTTATCTGAAACCTATACCTATAAGTAGGGATCCCTGATTCCAGGTCCCAAGGTTAATCAATTAATTACCAGGAAGAAGGGTCCCCTGGTTTTTGATCCTAGCAACCAAGTGAATGCACATTTAAGATATTTAAGGTTGAATTTTTGAACTCCAGATACTCTGACCTCAGGTATGACTGGGATATGGTTGTGATAATAATTCCTTGGGCATCCCTGTCATGATGTCACTCGCTCACTGGCCGCTGGCTTGTCATTGCATTGTGATTTGGGAGCAAGTCTCCTCTGACACTTTCAAAAACAGAATGCAATTTTCCCATTAAATCATCTCTTTCGGCCAGGTGTGGGGACTCATGCCTGTAATCCCAGCACTTTGGGAGGCTGAGGCGGGCAGATCATGAGGTCGGGAGATTGAGACCATCCTGGCTAACACGGTGAAACCCCGTCTCTACTAAAAATACAAAAAATTCGCCGGGCGAGGTGGCGGGCACCTGTAGTCCCAGCTACTCAGGAGGCTGAGGCAGGAGAACGGCGTGAACCTGGGAGGCAGAGCTTGCAGTGAGCTGAGATAGCGCCACTGCACTCCAGCCTGGGTGACAGAGCGAGACTCCATCTCAAAAAAAAAAAAAAATCATCTCTTTCCCCTACTTATAACATTAGGCTGTCTGCTGGACCACAGGTTACAGAGAGAAATAAAGGAAGATGTCACCAGGTCTTCTCTAGTGAGAAACATGGACAACACATATGGTTGGAAAGAAGTATCTGATAAGCCTGTTGAGATGCATTTCATATTGGAGGCTGGATACTGATGGAAACCATCCATGGCTTCTCTTGGAAGAAGCATTTAATCTGCGTTAATTCTAGACAGGCACACTGTCCTAGTCAAGGCTCTTGGGTTACCAGGTACCTCCCAATGGCCCTTGATGGGTTTTGCTGCTCATTATCCATTTTCCCTTCCTCTGGAAAAAGCATCCAAACTTCCTTTGGGTCCAAAAGCTGAGTATGAGAGCCTAGGCCACTCCTTACATGGTAACCTTCAAGCCCATTGATTAGCTCAGGATGGACACAGTACCCACGCTGGCCCAATCACAATGGAGCCAGCACTTACACAGGAGTAACTGGGGACAAAGCTCTCCCCCTGCCCTTGGACTTTCTGTTCCATACCCTGACCTCTGGCTTGAGTTCAGTCACCAATGGCCAATGATTTAATCAATCAGGCCTAGGTAATGAAACCGCCATAAGAAGCCTTAAGTAAGTTCAGGGAGCTTCGACGATGGCCAACCCATGGATGTACTGGAGCGTGGAAACCTCCTCTCCCAGGGCTTCATTCTTTGCCTGTTTTCCATGGGGCTGTTCCTGGGTCACACCCTTTATAGGAAAGCTGAAGTTGTATGCACAGTACTTCCCTGAGTTCTGGGAATTGTTCTGATGAGTTCTCAAACATGGGGGTATAGCTTAGATTATGGAACCCCCAAATTTGTAGTAGGCTGGGAAGAAATGTGGATCTGCTGGAAACCCCACTTGTGTGGCTGGTGTCTGAAGTAGGGGCAATCTTGCAGGATTGAGACCTTAGCTTGCTGGCTCTGATGCTAACTCCACATAGATAAAGTCAGAATTGGGTTCAGTTGTTGGACACTCGGTTGGTGTTGTAGAATTGGATAACTGGTGTGGGAAAACAACATGTATTTGGTGTCAGGAAAAAAACCCACACCCTCGGTGGCAAAGGTGGTGTCAGAGGAAGACAGTGTTATAGGCCAACTTGTGTGAGAAAGTAGTGAGAAGTGTTATATGCTAACTTGTGTGGAAAAGTAGTGAGAAGCAAGACTACATGTTCCTGTTTGCTCCTACTCACACAATGCAGATGAAAAGGTACTCCAGACAGTCATGACAGTGGTTTTCTGGGGGTGGAGGTGAGGCAGGGAGGACAGGACAGGGAGGGGGCAAGAAGTCCCTACGTAGAATGTTTTAATAGTTTCAATTTTTCAATCAAAGAGTTTTACTTGCTCAATGTTTTAATTAAAAATACCTTCTCCATAAAATTATTCTGAGCCTTCATTCCTCACCCTCAGCTGCCATTAACTAATTATACAGTAGTACAGGTAGGCACAATGTGTTCAGGTGAGGACCAATTTCTAGCTATGTGGCCATAGGCTGGTAACCCCTCTGTGCCCCGGTTTTCCTCATAATCCATAAAATGAGGACACAAATAATACAGACATCATGGAATTACGTTGAGGGCTTAAAACAATTGCATATACTTCGAACAAATTGGAGACTTATTCTTGTGTGTCCTGGGCTCCTCACACACACCTTGTGCAAGGAGAGATCCTAGGAAACACCGTGGATTGACTGACAGGAACAAGCTTCCCGGAGAAATGTAACCCCTCGATAACCCACAACTGTCTCTAATGACAGTCCCGGGTTTTCAATACTAAACTCAGACTCAAAAATAGGGGAAAAAAGAAAATATCAAAATATTCAGGCAAAGGAGAAATGGAGAAAATAGGCACTTCAAGTAGTTTAAACAGGCACTCCAGAGATGCCAGAGAACAGTGGAGTGGCAACGTTGGAGGAGGACACTAAGTCTTCCAGAAACAAGTGGAGGAAAGAGGCCCTTCAACTGAAAAGTCAAACCAATTCTATCTGGTATAAATTGAATGGAAATCTCTGCCTGGACACCTTATACTGAAACTGCAGAATGTCTAGGATAAAGAGAAAAACATTAAAGCCACCAGAAATTAACCTATGATTTGTCTCAGAGAAAATTTCTAACCAGCAATAACTGACCTCAAAAGACAATGAAATAACATCCTCCATCTAAGGGGCTACTACTGTCAACTTAAAATTCTCTCCCCAGAAAAACTATCATTTATAAATTTCAAAATAAAGATATTCGCAGATAGACAAACACATAGAAAAAAGAAGAAAAGGTAAAAGAAAGAAACTGAGGCTGGGAGAGTTTAAAGCTGGTTTCCCTAAAGGACATGGTGTCAAATCCAGGTCTCCAGACTCCACAGCCTTTTTTTGCTGGGCTTCAGCTGAGGCAACCTTCACAGGTGAACAGGATCCCGGGCTCAGAAGGGCTGGACGCCCGTGGTTTAATGCACGATCTGAAGTTCTTACTCCTTCTAAGCCAGGGGCCCTACAGTTTCCATAGCCAATCCTGCTCATAAATCCATAGACTGCTCCTTCATTCCTCCACCCAGATGCCAGAAAAGCCTGCCACGTCTGGGCCTCGGACTGCCCATGACTCCTGGAAGTCCTTGGCTGTCCTCCTCTGCCTGGGGCCTCCGTGGCACCTGGGCAGCTCCTGGACTCCAGGACCTGTTAGTGCCTCGAGTGAACGCTGCAGCTCCTGCTGTGTGCTGCCCCACATCCTGCAGAAAAAACCCAACGCTCTCAGTCCATCAAAGTCAAAACTCTCTAAGATGACTTTAATTAAAACAAGAGGCTCCTGGGTTTTCTCAGATCAGGTAGCCATCAAACTCAAACCTACTCCTCTTCTTGGATTTCTCTTTGCTCTTTGGCTGGGCCTGTCTTTGTCCAATTCCCTGCCTCCCACGGTCTCTGATTCTTTATTCAAAAGGCAGGTGGAGAAGGTAGGAAAGGAAGTAAGAAAGAAAATGAAGGAAACCCCACTCTTTCCGAACATCCCCAATCCCCCAAGACGTCTTATAAGCTTTAAAGACTTGCAGGTGTGATCATTGCTGTCTTCTGGTTATCAAGAACTCAGCAGCCACACCCTTTCCCTAGAATCCTGAGCCCCCAGCAGTGCCCTCTCACTAGAATCCTGAGCCCCCAGCAGTGCCCTGTCTCTAGAATCCTTAGCCCCCCCAGCAGTGCCCTCTCCTAGAATCGAGCTCCCTCGCAGTGCCCTCTCCCTAGAATCCTGAGCCCCCCAGCAGTGCTTTCCATAGAATCCTGAGCCCCCAGCAGTGCTCTCCCCCTAGAATCCTGAGCGCCCCAGCAGTGCTCTCCCCCTAAAATCCTGAGCCACCCATCAGTGCCCTCTCCCTAGAATCCTGAGCCCCCCAGCAGTGCTCTCCCTAGAATCCTGAGCCCCCAGCAGTGCCCTCTCTCTAGAATCCTGAGCCCCCCAGCAGTGCCCTCTCCCTAGAATCCTCAGCCCCCCAGCAGTGCTCTCCCTAGAATCCTGAGCCCCCCAGCAGTGCTTTCCATAGACTCCTGAGCCCCCCAGCAGTGCTCTCCCCCTAGAATCCTGAGCGCCCCAGCAGTGCTCTCCCCGTAAAATCCTGAGCCACCCATCAGTGCCCTCTCCCTAGAATCCTGAGCCCCCCAGCAGTGCTCTCCCTAGAATCCTGAGCCCCCCAGCAGTGCCCTCTCTCTAGAATCCTGAGCCCCCCAGCAGTGCTCTCCCTAGAATCCTCAGCCCTCCAGCAGTGCTCTCCGTAGAATCCTGAGCCCCCCAGCAGTGCCCTCTCCCTGGAATCCTGAGCCCTCCAGCAGTGCTCTCCATAGAATCCTGAGCCCCCCAGCAGTGCCCTCTCCCTAGAATCCTGGGCTGCACAGGCATCTTTGGCAGGGCCACAAGGAAGCCTCCCTATTGCTAGGAAGGCACAATGGCCTAGGGGAAGAACCAGCTCTCTCCCCAGGTTTCTCTCTTCCTGACTGCTGTGAATGTTTTATCTTCTTGGAACGGTCCCCAAACCCCACTTCTTCCTTAATATTCAGGCAGCCCCTCATCTAGCTCCATAACTGACTTTAGATGGATTCCACTTCCCAAACCACAACTTCTTCCCGTCCTCTCCAGAGGTCCATGAAAAGTTGATGCGCAACCCCGCACATAAAGACAGTGAGGAAAAAAACCCACAAATCAGAGCAAACTTTAGGTTTTTTATTAGGCTTTTGACAGTACTTTCTGAGTATTTGAGCAATTGATGGGTTTCTCTCTGATACCATCTTGCCACGGTGCCAAACAGCACATATGCATTTTAAAAATGTAATTCAAGCTCTAAGGAGTATGAGTTTGTATTCAGAATGCAATTTAAAATCTACCTACCTATCTACCTCTCTATACGTATATACAGTGACTACTTTGAACAGATCCACATAAAGGAGTTGGAGTGGAGAACAGTTTCACAATAAATAATCGCTTCTCTAAACTGTACAAAATCCTACCAGCAAATCAGCCACTTTCATTTCCTCATGATAGGTCATCACTTTTATACCTGTAATAACTTATGAAATACACACAGAGGATTTAACATTTGGTCAAGGCCAATGCTCTGTCATACACCATCTTAAATGTCTCTCTACGGGGCCCTGGACACCCACTCAAATGCCGTTTCCTATCTCTCTGTGACTGGGTTGGGGAGATGGGCAGCCCTCCCCTGCGCAGGCGACTTTACATGGTGGGATAACATCTCCACACTCACAGTAAGCTCGGCTCGGTGGGAAGAGCGCAGCTGAAAGAGATTTTGAACTGTCAGACGGTATAAGTTGTTGCCAATTTATATAAACAGGAATTTACATAATTTACAAAGAATTTGTGTTCGTGACTTATTTTGAAGCCATTCCCCAAAGATCCACATTTACTCATGAAAGCAAATATTCAACCTAATAGCCTTGAGCTGGGGCTGTCTTTACAGTCGGCTTCCTGCAAACAAGGCCTGGGAACTCCACTGTGTATCGGCCTGGTGTCTATACAGAATACAGAGGGTCAGTCACTGAACAGGAACAAGCTCTGTATTGCAGATACTAACTTTCTCATTTTCTTGTCACAAACATCAAGGATCCTTTTTTCTTCTTCCTTCATTCTTTCGAGATACATTCTTTTGGTGGGTATCAAGCACAGCTGAAAATTTCTCTGCCAAAATCCCATAAGCTTCAAATTCATAAACTCCTGTAGAGCTATGATCTGTGTCTAAAGCCGACGCCTCGTGGCCCTCACTGACATACACCATGCAGCCTATTCTAGGCAAGGATATGAAAGTCGCATGCTTCTGCTGCACGGGCATTTTGCATTTATTACAAGATGGACATGTGTTTACATTTGCAAAGAGTTAGCTTGGAGTCCACTTATTCTCCAAGAGAAGTCATGTCAAAAGCCAGTAAGTGGCTTTCCAACTTGCCAAAACTCTCCAAAACCAATTTCCTGCATGAAACCGGAGCTGCAGGCGTCATGCTCTGGGGCACATCTGGGATCATTTTACTCATTAGGAAAACTGGGGTCATTCGGATTTGGGCATTCTTGCCGTGGGGGGGGGGTATTGTTAAGTGGGGACTCTTTGGGTGGGTGTTCTGCCCCAGGCAAATTCACTTCTTGTCTATAAAGAGGTGGAAATCTGAACTGTGTGTGAGCAATGACAGAAGCCTCCCGAGACCAGGATGCTGCAGGCCTGTCCTCCTAAGGGGCTCCTTCCTGAAAGAGGCAGCGGGGGCAGGTAGATGGAGCGAGGGCGAGTCCACTGCCGGGCATGAGCTTTGGATGGTGGAGGTCTAAAGCCTGCTTGCTTTGTTGGTCCTTGACTTCAACCTGTCTTGGGGAAAGGGGGCAAAAGAAAAAAAAAGAAAGGTATGTTATGAAAGTGTAGCTCTGTAGTTCTGTGAAGCTGAAAAAGGGAACGTCTTCCCACTGCCTCTCCAGCCTGTTCCCTGATTGGAACTGTATGTACCCTCTTCCCAGTGCTTCTCAGCAATTTCCGAGCCTACCACCAGACTGGAAAAGTGTGAAAAGAATAACACCAGCAGACAAGGCTGCTAGGGGCCCTCCCGCAGCCTGGCCCCATCTTTGATTACCACAAGCTAAGGATGGTGACAGCTTCCACTCTGAGAATGTGAATCTGGGAATTACTAACTTGAATCTTGCAAGAAAGCAAGAACATTGGCTTAATAAGAGACTTTTTCTTCCCAAGTAAAGCTTCTTACTAGAGCTTTACATGACTCATAGAGACCTGGAAGAACCACTTTTCCAGGCCCTGCTGGGACATCTGCACCACCAATTGCATCTTTTGAACATGTGACATAGAACAGTAATAATCACCACAACAGCAAAAGGACCGGTGTGCTTCTCCTATATAGGGCTCCCTTCTGGCCGTTCCCTGAGCACACTCTAGGGCGTTTGCACTCACCGGTTCCCCTACCTGAAATCCCTTTCCCTCACTCATCCCTATGGCTCCTCCCAGCCTTCCTTCAGGTCACCTGGTGAGAAAGATGAGGCCACGTCAACCCCATCTCAAACTGCAACCACCCCACGCTTCCTACCCTTGCCGTGTCTTTCTGTTATTCTTTGCAATCTCACTTTAAATTGTACATGTTTGCTGTCTGCATCCCCACTAGTTAAGCTCTATAAAAGAGATCCTATGCCTTGTTCCTGCTATGTCCCCAGCATCGAGAATGGTGCCCAGCCCGTAGCAGGTGCCCAACAAGTCTTTGCTGAACGAATGCATAAGCGAATGAATAAATGATGCAATGGATGGATGGGTTTAATTACATCCCGCCCTCGCTGAGAGGAGCTTTGGTTTGGGGTGAGGAAGAGAAAAAGAGGAAAAAGAATGAAGAGGCAAAGTGGGACCATCTGGGTCTGACTCATGCTCTCCCGGGCTCTGTCTCTTCCGCCTCGGCCCTCCTCCTCCCGCTCCATTTTTATTATGGTTGCTGACAGATCCCTCTCTGGACTAGACTAGAAGCGATCTGCCACCAATTTGGAAAGCTCCTGTATACTGAGCATGGTTTCATCTTCCCTCGATCAGTCTCTGTAGAAACCCAAGCCACCTCCAGGCTATTATTATGAACATAAATTACCATCCCATTGCAGATGAGCTGCGGAGTCATTAATAATGACTTCTGATTGATAGAATGACAAATAAACCCAGTTTGACTGCAGGAAACCCTCAGGATCTCTCATACAAAAAAGACAAGTGGGTTAAAAAAAATAATACAATGAACTGGAGAACCAAGGGACCCTGCTGTCAAGCTGCTGTAATTCACCTCTGCCCAGAATCAGCTGCTGAAAAGAATAAATGATTTTTTTGACGAGAAAGACCACATGTTGCTAAGGAAGCAGAGGCGAAGTGTGGGTCTGGGCAGAGCAGCCTACAGGGCCTCTGAGAGCGGTGGTTGACTAGCTTTGTCCAGGCCAGGTGAAATCCAGGCAGGACATCACTGCCCAGAGCTACAAGGGATGCAAGGGCTGGCTCCCAGGACACAGAGCAGGGTGGCCAGGGACCGACAAGTGACAGCAGCTGTCCACAGCTTCAGCCCGCTCTGCCCCCAGAAACGGTCCACCAAAGGCACCATTGCTTGTGGGTGCAGCATCCCATGAGATCTGGGGTTCCCACTGGACCAGACCAGATGCCATCCCCTCAAAACACCCTCCACCCACCCCCGAAGGAATGACACGTCACATCTTCACCTCCTTTGACACAGGCCTCTGTTGGCACCTCTCACCTTCCCTTCCTCTTCTTTGTCTGTTTTTTCTGCCGTCCTTGAATTACTGTGGGGAGAGAGCTGGTTTTAATCAATCAACCTGCCTTTCCCTGTGGCTGGTTTTTCGGTGTCAAATTATGACTTCCTCTTCCCCACCAATGAGCACATTAGTGCGTTCCCCAAGGACTGCGTCTCAGGCACAGTTTCTGAAGGCTGAGCACTCGGTGGGTGGATTTCTACCAAAGTACAGAATATACTCACCACTCACTTATTCATCGGATGTTTAAAAGCCCAGAAGGGGGGAAAAACCATGCAGTTCACACTGGGTTTCACAGACGGCAGATCCTGGGGTCCTGAGCGCTACCGTCTGCCTTGTTGGGGTGTTGGGAGCTCACCCCTGCCTATGTGTCTTTTGTGTGCATCAGGGCAGCTCACCTACGCCTGCTCCAGGAAGGGTTTTGAAAGGGCCAATCTGCCTCACTGGGTTCATGAATCTTGGCCCGAAGTTAAGAAAAAGATGGAGTAAGGAGCATTAACAGGAATACCTGTTATGTGAATACCAGCTCAAAGCCCCTGGGTCAAACATGGAGTCTGCCTGTTGGTTCCATTCAACGTGATTTGCAAGCTTCCCTAAGGCAGCCAGGACAGACCACAGGGTCTCAAACTTGGGGGCCTCCAGGGGCTACAAAGTAAGATAAATTGGTAACAGGTAAATGGATATTGCACATCCTACTCAAACGTGAGATGCCCCCACTCAGTTCCAGCTGAGGGTGGCCAAAGAGAAGGGGGGCTCTGAGACCAGATGGTCCTACGTGCTGGGTTCCCCCCCCTCCCAATAAGCCTTTTGCACTCTTATCATGGGCTATTTTCGAGAAGGCTAAAAATACGCATTTGGCAGGGGTTAATTCTTCAATCTTTTAAGTGTTGGCAACTTATTCAGATTTTCACAAAGTGCTGTGCAGGCCAGAAAAACATATGTCTGGAAACCAGATGTAGCCACGGCCACTGTGAAGCTTCTGTTCCAAAAGGCAGCAAGGGGGTGGGGACGCTGCATCTCCTGCCCTCCTGATGCTGAGGACCTGGGTCTTTTCTGGGCTCAGCACCTCCTTTCTCTGGCCCACAGGACGACAGTAGGTCAGGATGTGACTGAACTATCCTACACCCTCCTTTGAGAAGCCCCTGGCCTGGCCTTGCCGAGGGTTGATGCATATCTGCAAATGAGTGAAACTGGAGGAGGTGTCATACCTGCTGACGTCCAGAGTTTGGGTGCAAAAGTGCAGGCAGGCCTTGTCATATCTCCCCACACAAGCGCAGCGCAAGTGTGGCCGATGTGAGAGCTGCAGATTCCCTGGAAGTGGCCCCGCAGACCTCTTGCCCCGGAAGCTTCCTCTGTAGTTGGACAGTCCATAGGGCACCGTCTGTCTGCAAAGCACAGGGTAATGTTAGGTGAGCACACCCAGGCCTCCCTGCTCAGGGGCCCCCAAGGGTGTGGAGCGAGAACCACCGCCTGGCTGAAAAGGTCTCAGAAACTGGTGTTCACAACCCTCCCCACTACAGCTCTGGGTCTTAGGAAGGTTCTGGAGTGAACTGTGCACCCCCTGCCCTCCACAACCCCCAGGAAGAGAGTTGGGGCTGAGGGCATGGAAGGACATGGAGGGTCTGGGTAGCTGGGCAGCAGCCAGCACTCTTGGAGCCCAGCAGGCGTCTGGGCATGTGTGCCTGCACTTGTGAGCCCCTTAGCCTCACCCAAGGCACCAGCTGCAGGTGTGGCCTGAACGCCCTGGGGCTCTGCGATCTGTGAACATGGGTGGGCTTTCATTCTCTTCAAGACCAAACCACGGCCGGCCTAGCTCCTCCGGGCCGGGTTCTGCTCCTCGGCTCTGGAAGTACCATCTGGGCCTCCTCCTCATTCCATGGAAAGCCGAGAAAGAATTAAAGACAACCATAGCACCTGTTCCAGAGGCTTTTCTTCCTGTGCCAAGGGCATGTGGGGCAACCTACGTGCTGGTCTGGGTCTTCGCCCTGATCAGATCACCTGCCTACCCCGCAGCCTGAGGCCAGACCTGAGGTTTCTGACTGAATTTCTTCCATGTGCACAGCAGTTTGTGCTAATGAGAAGATGGGAAATGCAATTACAGTCATTAGAGATGCATCCCGGCCTTTGAAAGTTGCTTCCTCAAAGAGACAAACATCAGAAGGAACACTCCGTGACCTCTGAGAGGCGGGTGAGGGCCTGGCCATGCAGCTGAAAGTGGAACCAGCCTCAGAAGAGCCGCGTGATGAAGAAGGCTTGAAACCATTGACCAATTTCGTTTATGGTTGGCGTTGGCAGGAGGAGTGTGATGGTGTGGTTCAGAGCAAAACCCGTGGAAGCTGGTTCTAGTGAGTGTGCACATCCAAATCATCACTTGCCAGAGAAAAAGGGGGTGCCTGCCAGGCAGTTCAGCGGGAAGAAGTTGAAAGCAGATCCTTAACTTACTAGCTTGATTTGAGGAACAAATTACTAATAGCTAGAAGAAACATGTGGCCAAAGCCACTTTTCCAATAAACATTGGTTTTCTTGCTAGTCCCCAGAGATGAACCACCTTGGTTTCCATGAACCCCACTGAGTAGTACCAATTATCCACTTCAAAGGGAGTCCTGACATCCCCTCTGCATTTTCTTTTTTCTTTTCTTTTCTTTTTTTCTTTTTTTTCTTTTTTTTTTTTTTTTGAGACAGAGTCTCGCTCTTGTCGCCCAGGCTGGAGTGCAATGGCACGATCTCGGCTCACTGCAACCTCTGCCTCCCCGATTCAAGCAATTCTCCTGCCTTAGCCTCCCAAGTAGCTGGGACTACAGGCATGTGCCACCACGCCCGGCTAATTATTATTATTGTTATTATTTGTATTTTTAGTAGAGACAGGGTTTCACTGTGTTAGCCAGGATGGTCTCCATCTCTTGACCTTGTGATCCGCCTGCCTCGGCCTCCCAAAGTGCTGGATTACAGGTGTGAGCCACCATGCCCAGCCCCTCGCTGCATTTTCAAAATAAAATCAAATTGAATTTCTTTTCATTTGAAACACACACCATAAAGCCTTTTTGCGACAGTGAGGGCAAATTGGGCCAGGAAGCCCCATAGTGACCTAAGGCTTGGAGGGAGTCCCCCGCCCCCGCCTCCCTGCTGGGTTGAACACAAGAGCCTAAAACTGACCCCACCCTGTTCGTTGACTCTTGTTCTCCCCACTAACTCCCTCCCACCCAAGTTCCTCAGAAACAGAGGTGGTGGGATCCCTCCAGGCAGAGACAGGCCCCGCTGATGAGCCATCTGTGCTCAGGAAACGGAGACAGAGGGCAGGATCCAGCCCTGTATTGAGCTGAACCCTCCTTCAAGCCCGTTTTTTCTCAGGAATGGGAAATGGGGGTAGGGAGTGCAGCAAGACAATGTAGACATTGTTTTGAGGCAGAGTTTGGCAAAGGTGTATTTTTCCAGTAACAGGGCCACATTAAATCTCTGAGTGTTGACATTAAATCAATCCCCCCATTTCTTGGAGAAAATTACACACAAGGAATAACAACGCTCCCATTTCTCCATCAATAGTGAGACCTGCAATTTTGAAACTGCTGTCAGCTGATTATGCATTTGCACATGTAGAGCCCCTCAACTTGAGCCAAAACACTCCAAAGTGTTTTAAGTAAGGAAACAAGGCAACATGGTATTTGTTAATGAAGACAGGCTTAGCACTTCCCCGGCCGCCAAGCGCGGTAAAGTGCTGGTGTGCAAACAGGCTCTGGCAGTTTAGAGAGGCACGGCCCCCTCCCCTGCCCTACAGCCTTGAGGCACAGAAACCCCTCCACCAAGGCCTGGGCCTTCCGGGTGTGCAGTCTGCTGACCGACCCGTGCGGAGGTGAGGGAAGCTGACGGCCCAGCAGAGCCTGCCGCTGACATTGTAGAGTCTGGAATGAGAGTTCGCGATGGAGGCCCACCTCCCACAGGGCTAATCATTTAAAGGTTTCAATCGATCTGATAAGCCCTGAAACGAAAAAGTGTTATCTCCTGTATCTGGACAAATGTGGCTTCCAAATGCTGCCTTGCAGGTCCAGCTTTTAATTTAGAATCCTGGGCTCCTGGCCACTCCGTATCGACATGTGGTGGAGGCCCAGTACCTTCTCTGCTATCCTGCGCCATCCCACACCAGCGCTGGCTTCAAGCACTCCCCGTGCATGCCCCAGGCTGCTTCCTCCAAGCTCCTTCCACCCTACATCCTGTAAGCAGCTGTCACCCTGCAGGCCTGGAGATATGTACCTGGAGCCCTGCTCATCCCCAAGTGTCAGGCCCTGGAAGTGGTCTTGGGGATGCGTGAGTAGGGAATTCCAGCCCCTGAATACCTGGAACATGGTCTTGAAGAGGGAGCATATGGCTTTGAGTCCCAGACTCTTACAGTGGGGTGGGAGGCATGGCCAGAGTGGCGTCAGAGGCAGTCCTCTAACCCACAGGGCCCAGAGTTGCAGTGTTTCTTACCCAAGTCTAAAGGCAGATTACTGGATCCTCAAAAGAGAGGGCAGGTCTTTTACTTCTTTTTTACCCACCATGGGCCTCACACAAGGCCAGGCGAACAGATTATTGATTGAGCAACTGGTAATTCATGGTGAGATCATTCTAGTCTGGCGAGACAGGATTCTTTTCACCCTAAAGAGTTCAATAACCACAAAAATCACTGAAAGAATCTCCAACATTCTTCAGCATCCACTATATACGTGGTATCAATGTAAGTGTCACAGGGACACAGAAAGGCACATCCCTATGTGTCCATGCCTTCAGGAGTTATATGCTGTTGGACTACGAAAACAGGTAAAGGAAAAAAGGCCAGTAGGTACAGGTATGTGCAAGGTACACACAGAGACACATGACCTGGTAATACTGCTCTTATGTTACATGATGATCACTTCACCCTCTCAACAACTTCCTGGTCGACAAAAGTGTGGCTGGACAAAGCAAAGGAGATACTGCATGGAAAATACTTAGCAAAGTGCCATAAGCAAACAGTAGCTACTATTGTTATTTATCTGGTCTGGGAGGTCAAGTGAGTTGTATCAGAAAAGTCCCACCTACTAAGCTTGGCATTTGAGATGTTTGACTTAGCAATAAAGAAGGGTAATAAGGAGCCCAAGGCCACAGGTCACCTCATTCGACACCACCTTCTCACCGAGCTCTGACGCCAGATTACCAGCTCATGAGCACTTCTATTTCAGTAGTGATAACGTACTCATATCTCATGAGCATTCATATTTCATTTGTGGCCTGCTTCATCGCTGGCTGTTTACTGAGTAGTGAACAGGAAAGACCTAACGGTGGACCATGAACGTGAAGTGAAATTGGCGGAGAACCTTTGACCAGCATGCCCTGCCCAGTGGCTGGGGCCTACCGCTCTATAATACAACGGGGTTTTCAGAATACAATCCTTTATACAAGTAGGCAGCTCTTCCATCTGTTCATGTCTCAGTTATAAAACAAAGCTCCATGCAAAAGAAAAGCAGGTGAGAAGATTAATCCAAATATCCTTAGAAAAAACAAAATGCCCTCCAGCACACTTACATACGCAATCTCTGGTGTTGTGTGTGTTCATCCAATAAATTATCACTCAACTTATGTATTCAGAACATTCATTATTTGATTGGTGTGGTGACAACAGAGTCTTTTTTATCAAATGTTTCTTATTTGTCACGTTTTCCCAAACATCATGTATAAGTGTTATTAAATATTAAATTCCCCAATCTCTCATATTCATTCTTCATCTGCAACACCACACTGAAAACGCTTTATTTCTCTCTACAAGAAGTTTTTAAATAAGGAAAGCTGACTTTTGTTTTAAAGATTCTGTTTTTAAGTTCCGTGTTGCCTTTTCATGAATGAATTAACACTCTCCATCTTTCTGATCAGGAGACTGGCCTGTATATCTGAAGTTTAAAGAAGAGACACAGATATTCCCACTGACCAGATTCTAAATTCTTAGGAAAGCTTATCAAACTGTCATTCCCTATTGAAAACCCAGTTTTTATTCCACCCCCCACAACTGAATAGCATTCAACAAATATTTGCCAACTGCTTTTCAACATGCAGGCGCTGGACTAGACTCCGGGTAAAACTTATGTAAAGACAGACAAGGGGCGGGGCCCTGCCCTGCACACATACACTTTTAATCCAGTACTGAGGTCAGCAAATTGGCATTTTTGTCAGCTTTTTTCAGTCAACAGTGTTTTGTTTTTGTTTTCGTTTTGAGACAGAGTCTCACTCTGTCGCCAGGCTGGAGTGCAGTGGCGCAATCTTGGCTCACTGCAACCTCCGCCTCCTGGGTTTGAGCGATTCTCGTGCCTCACCCTCCCAAGCAGCTGGGACTACAGGCACACACCACCACACCCAGCTAATTTTTTTGTATTTTTAGTAGAGACAGGGTTTCACCATGTTGGCCAGAATGGTCTCAGTCGTTTGACCTCGTGATCCACCCCCTCACCCTCCCAAAGTGCTGGGATTACAGGCGTGAACCATAGTGTTTTTTGTTAAATCCGGAAATTTCACATAAACATCCCGATTTCCAGCTTTTCTTGAAGAATTGGAAGTTGTGCTAATACCAACCTCATATTCCAGCATGGCAGCCGGGTAATGATCTCAGAGACTGGGCGTAAACCCTCCATTCTGCCCCAGTCCCCACCATTTTCAGTAGTTTTATACCTGGCCCCCTTCGCTCATCTTTTTTATGTGTCTGGCCCTCAGGAGCATCTGAGTTTACAACTCCTAGTCTAGTGGTTTATTCCATAAAGCGAAGGCAGATAGGTCAGATGACACATGAACAAAATGAGTACCTGATACTATTTTCCTCTTTACAGATAGAGGCGTTGTTTCATTTAAATAGAGGTGTTGTTTTCATTTAAAAAGCCCAGCTGGTGACTTGAGTGTCTCCCCAACAAATAGAACATGTTCATGTCACACTTAGGATACATGTCAAGTTGATGATCTGCTTCCTCGGTTCACATTTTTCCTTCTGAACTGGGAAAGCAGAGGCAATATTGCCTTTTGGCCCAGGGGACATATTGTACAGAAAGCATGGCTCTGTGACTTGTCCTGTGGCCAAGAGGAGGAGAAACAACTGTTTCCCACTGGCAGACAGTCAGGAGGCAGCCCCCAGCTGCCAGGCACCAGCAGTCATTGGATACTACCTCCTGCCATTCCCTGGAGAAACAACTTCTAGACCCTCGCATGCTTTCTAACTACAGCTCAATTTCAGACTTTATTACATTCCCTAGAAGGCACCACTCATCAACTCTCCCAAGCTTAGAAATGTCTGCCTGGGCAGGGAGGAAAATGTCAATCACCTTTATTTACCATCTGTAATCTGAACCAGTCAGAACGTGGCTCTAATGACTAAGACAGGGTGAAATAGAAAGATTAATCCAAATACCCTTAGAAAAAACAAAATGCCCTCCAGCACACCTACATATGCAATCTCTGGTGTGGAAGTGGCTGACTATTCAAAGGCCCATGAAAGTGACCCTTTGCTTCAGCAAACATCCAGCAGACACTGCTACGCACAACACATGGAGACAAAGGGGAGGGATAGGACCAGGAACAGGAGCACCTGCACTCCAAGGACTGAGAAGCAGGGAATTCTCTGGAGCCCGAGGCCAGCATTGGTTATTTTTGTCTCCTAGGATCCAGTCTGCCACCTTCTCTTTGGAGAATTATCCGCCTTCCATTGTGTGAGGTCTCTGGGGGGCAGTCAATTGATGGGCCTCACCTACCACTGCCTGAGGACTGGTCAGGAGACCTAAACTGGGCCAATAGGACCCACTCTCTCCCAAGACTCCTAAGAGGGGCAACTCGAGATCAGAAAACACTCTGGAGCTACAATTTGCCAAGCAGCCCCGCCCCTCCTTGTCCATTTGGTGCACCCCTAGACCCCCAATCCTGTCCTAACACCTCTCCTTTCAGAGCCTAGGGCTTCTTCTTGCCTCCAGTCTGTGAGCTTTCCCGTGTCCTTCCAATAAACTCCTCCTGTGCTTTGCCAGCTAGACTAGGTTTCTGTTGCTTGTGACCAGTGAACTCTGGCTGATCCTGGACCTCACTTTCATGAGATGGCAACCACAGACTCTTGGGTATAAGAGGAAGGCTTGTAGTCTCCCCAGCTGTTGAGGACAAGGAAAAATTTTCTTCACTGCGACAACACACAGAAAAGCATGTTCAGAATCAGGACAAACCCAGCACAGTAAGCTGGCTGGAGTCCTTTCCCCCAAGTGTGTGCACTGTGAAATGTCTGTCCTCCACAGGTGGAAGCAGGCTATGCCCCTCCTTTCCCCCAGGTGTGCCCGCTGCCCACTGTCTGTCCTTCAGCAGGTGGAGGCAGGCATGCCATCCCTTCCTTCCCAGGAGGCTCAGAGCCCACCCCCGGACGCTCATTTGACCACCTCAGAAGTTTCGTCCTCTACTGAACTTATTCCTTGCCCGCTCATCAAATGCTTATGAAAGTCTGCTGTGGGCCAGGCCTTATGCCAGACAGCCCATGGGGTGCCCTTCCAACTTCCAGGAAAGAAAATAGGCCAGGAAACATAGCTCCTCAGTGACCTCATTATATAAGCAGAGAACACACACAGGCGCTTTCTGGTTCTAAAGAATATTATACAAAGCTTATGCTTCCTAAACATCAGAACAGTGAACCGGCAATTCATAGCTTTCCTTCTGCTGCAGAAAATTCTCACGGCTTAAAGTTGGGAGGACCCAAGGCAGACCGTTCATCCCACCACCCCACAAGGTGGGAAGTCCATCTCCCGCAGCCCTCAGAAAGAGCCCATGATTCTAGAATATTTGGAAATACCAAAAGCAGTGAGCAATGTGCTGTGGGTTAATTGTTGCCTTTTTAAAAAATTACTCTATCCCCCTCCTTTCCCCCTCAAAAAACCTTTGGATTTACCCAGGACTTGGCTGTTTGAGAATTTTAACAGTATCACATACATTTTCAAAAAGAATACTGAGCATTATCCCCTACCAATCAGATCTAAGAATGAGGGCCAGTTCCTTCGTTTCATTTAAGAGATGGTGTCTGGCCCAGGCACAACCCCCTGGCTCAGCAACAGCAGGACCTTGTCCAGCCGGAGCCACTGGTTGTGTCTGCCCCATTCACCTCTCCATCCAGGGCAGCTGACACCATGTCTGGCTCAAAATCAAGTCCCAATATCTCAATAATAAATACCTGTTAAACGAATGAATGAATAGGGTCCAAATGAGCCATCACTGCACAGCCCTACCCAGTGTCCCAAACATATGACATTCTTGGCTGACTCAATGGATCTCTACTTATTTTGTCCTTCATCAGCTGGTCTTTGAGGGGTTTTCCTAGAAAACCTTCTAGATTACTTGTGGCCTCTAGATTACTTGAAGTGGAAGAATTATGTCTTGGCAATAACTCCTGCAGGCCACATCAGCACCTTGGTGGACAAACTAGGCTGCGTAGATGGGTAAGGTACCAGAGCAAAACAGAGGCTTTACTAAGCTGGAAGACCCAGGCTTCTAGTCCCAAGGATGACTCATTCACAGGAAAGGTGGGCACCTTCCTTCTGGCCCTGAGAAACAAAAGGGCTGGCTGGGTCTCTCCAGGGTCCCTCTGGCTCCAAACTCCACTCAGATGTTTCCAAAGGCCCTCACCATCCCTTGAACATCCTTAAATAGCACAATCACTGGAGAAGGCCTTAGACCTTTGCCCCAGCGCTAACACCAAACTCAAAGTGAGGTGCTCCACTCCACCCAAGATAAGTGGTTCCCAGGATCTCATCAACTGTATTTAGAAAGCCTTAGCCCAAACTGTTTACACTCTTCCATGGCCTATTACCATAAGGCTGAGATTAAAAAGAATCTCAAAGTCGCAGCATTTATCATCTCATCAGCTCATTGGACCATAGACCTATTCCTCCCCTAACACAGGCACCTGCACACTTAAGGATACTTGGAGGAAGCACCAGGGGGTCAAAGGAAAGGAGAACAACAGAAAAATACCTCTGGTTTTTGTTATGTGGTGCAGGATTTTCAAGACTTATGGCTAAAAAAAAAATTAGAGAAACAAACTCCTCCAAAACTTGGGGAATTAAGCCGTCTATGGAATCCTACAGATTAGCAGTTTCCCTCCATCTGGTACAACCAAAATGCATCAAACGAGTTAGGCTAGAGTTTCTCTCCCCAGCCCCCAGTGACCCTTCTGAATTCCAGGCCGAATGTAGGCATGAGAAATCCATGGCTGCCTGGCCCAGCCTCATTATAACTTTATGCAAAGCTGCAGACAGACAGGGCTCAAAATAGTTCCCAGCAGTGGAAAGAGAAGAGGGAAAACAGGGAGCAAGTATTTTCATAAGGATGGGGTTATGTGCAAAGGGATTAAAAAAAATGCCGACACCATGATACATGCTTTGAATAATTTAAAGAAAGCAAGAGAAGACACTCTTGCTAATTTTCAGGAGATACCAGGTTAAGGATGGAAAAGATCTTCATGAGCAAGACTTATGCTTACCATCACAATGACCGTAAAGATACGCTCATCTTCCACCTAACCTAATTGTCTGTGTCCTTGTGTAATGCCCTTTTGGTAGCTCTGTCAGAGGTGTTCGAACCAGAGCAACTCTATCTTGAATAGGGGCTGGGTAGAATGAGGCTGCATTGCCAGAAGGTGAGGCATTCTTACTCATTGGATGAGACGGGAGGTCCACACAAGACATTGCTCACAAAGACTCCCACTAATAAAACAGGACGTGGAAAAAAAAAAAAAACATGGCCAAAATCCACCAAAACCAAGATGGCAACCCAAGTGACCTTCTGTTGTCCTCACTGCTCATTATATGCTAATTATAATGCATTAGCCACTAAAAGACACTCCCACCAGCGCCATGACAGTTTACAAATGCCATGGCAACATCAGGAAGTCACCCTATATGGTCTAGGAAGGGGGAACCTCAGTTCCAGGAATTCATGAATAACCCACCCCTTGTTTAGCATAGGATCGAAAAATAACTGTAAGTATACTCAATCAAGCAGCCCATACCACTGCTCTATGGAGCAGCCATTCTTTTGTTTCTTTACTTCTCTAATACATTTGCTTTCGCTTTACTCTATGGACTTGCCTTGAATTCTTTCTTGCTCGAGGTGCAAGAACCCTCTCTTGGGGTCTGGATCGGGACCCCTTTCCAGTAATAGCTCCAATAGATTTATCACTTACCTCAAACTACTGAGTCTCTATTAGAGACACAGGCTTTATCCTCAAGCAAGATGCCAGGGCTGGGATTAGGGTGAGGCAGGTGAGGTAAGTGGAGCAAGCTCAGGGCTGGATCCTGCCTTTACTAAAAACAATATTTGGTCGATTATGAATTTTTTTTTGCACTCATTTTGGCTTTCTGAAAATAGTGCATTACATTTTACTTGTTTTTTCCTACTTTCTGGTGCCTCCTGAAAGTTTGTACATGAGGGAGTGCCTCACTCACCCCAGTCTATTCTCAGCCCTGCAAGAGACCCATGGAAATCAGATTCCTAAAAATCCAGAAAAGTTACATGGACCTCTGCTGTCTCATGTAGTTGCTTCTGACTCTCGGCAAAGCAATTTGCGCTCCCCAAGTTGTGGGGCGAAACTGTCCACCAGCGGGCCAGTCATGTTTTTGGTTGCGTCTGTCGGTACTTTTGTCATCAATGCATATGAAATGAAGCTGTTTCTGGTTTTTCAATTACTGGGCCAGGGACCAGGCCTCCCTGACTGTTCTGTTCCTGAGTTACTGTTTATTAAGAGCTCCCACCAAGTCTGCCCTGAGGAGGCCACAAAAGAAGAAGAGGCCAGTGCTTCCAAGCCTGTGAATGTCCCCAAGGTCTCCCAAAGCTCTTGGCCCTCCTAAGACTCTGAGGTGGGGCAGATGAGAAAGAGAGCTGATGCCTCATCCTGTCTGTCTATTCTTGGGAGGTTTGGTGGGTGAGCCAGGATTCCGAAGCCCCCAAAACTATGCGGACAAACAATTCATTCACATGTGGCTGTCTGTACTCAGCCATGCTCTGCAATTTATTTTCCGAGTGCAATTAATTTCTATTCCAAAGTGGGCAAAAGTCTGTGTGTATGTGTGTGTGCATTTCCAATTTTGAGGAACTCTGTTTCAACTGAAACATGACAAGGAAGGAGACCAGGTCACTTTCTCATGCAAAACAGAGACCATCCACTTCCAATACACTGGAACGCGGGGTGGTGCCGTAGACAGGGTCACCCTTTACAGCTCCCCCTCTGAGGTTTGGAACTGGAATTATAAAGCAGAAGCATTGTTTGCCTCCCAGCTTCCTTTGTTTTAAATTCTTGCAGGAACAAACATGACCAGACACATCAGAGCCTTTCATGTGCCTTCAGATTGAAGGCCAAGTTCCTCACTGTAATGGCCCTTTCATCTAGCACAAATCCAAATTCTCCCTCGGGGTCACACAGGGTCACAACCTCTTTGTACCAAGTTTTCTTGCTACAAATCAAACTGCCTTCCAGCCTCAAGTCCCTCTGTCTCCCAAGTGGAGATTAGTTGCATTCCACCAAGTCTGTTTTTGTTCCTGGACCACTCACACTTCCTGCTGACTCTGGGGCAGAAAACGGGCTTTCTACCTGTGCATCCCCAACAGAAAAGTCCTCGTAGGACTGACCTTTCCAACAAACTGCGAAACTTAGCCCTAAGTCTCCCCAATTTTAAAGAAGTATCTTGCCGTCCAGTGTTCTAAGAAATATGCCACTCCAACTCAAAACTGGTACCCAAAAGTGTGCTAATTTCTAAGGAAGAGATAGAAATGGTTATGTGAGGGGAAAAACCTCCTGAAACCATGATCAGTCAGAACCTCAAGCTCAGGGTCCCTTTTAATCTGGCCAACACCCTCTTCTTTCACATGCCCGTCTCAAAAGCACATCATGAAATGATGTTTTCTAAATAGATGTCTGTGGGATTTCCTCGATTGCTTCCTGGTGACTCCCAGTTGGTGACACCCACTTCAGGTCCTGGGCAATGCTGGGTGAAGTCAGAAGTGAGGCTACTGGTGCCCCATGGGGTCCTCAGCTGCAAATTACAAGGCATTATATCTACTCTGCTGGACGTACCAAGGACATGAGAGCCACAGATGCCTCACAGAGCTCTCAGCATAGGTGTTTAACAAAGAGGTAAACAGATCATTCCTGTTCTCCTGAACTGAGACCCTAATCACCCCAATCACCACCCCTACCTCCTATTTCACAGACACAGCCCCAGACGGGTGCCCGCAAAGAGCGCCATGCCCCATTACTGAAAACTTTCAGTGATTTACCAAGGGGAGAGGGAAGCAATAGAAAGCAGAAAGGAGGGGCTGGAAGGGCGGGACTGAATCTCAGCCCAGCCCAGCAACCTTTGACCACAGAGTCTTTATCAGGCTGCTTATCAGCAACAGCAGACAGCCAGGCACACCTTTTCCCAGAGTCTGTAAGCTTTCTGCTAATTGAGGCTAACAGACCGTCCTGCAGGGGACAGGGTGGACAGGTTTGCTCCGGGGCACTCCAGGAGCTAAGATCAGAGTCAGAAGGTCCAAAGAGGTGGACCCCAGCAGAACTTGAGCAAGGACTTTCTACTCACCAGCCAGCATCCTCCAATCACAGGATTGGATATGGCAGGAGGACTGGTTTTGGCCCAGGAAGGGCTTCTGCAGGGCTGGAGGTTGTGTTGTTATCATTGTGGCCACCATCTTCAAGACGTTGAGTGTTTACTAGATTGTAGGCGCTGTGCTAACCACGCCCTGTGTACTTTCTTGTGTCATCCTGAAAACATCTTTCCTCATAGAGTGCTATCTATTCCCCCACTCTCTAGATGGGGACACTGAAGGTCTCAGAGGTGACATCTCCTAAGTGGCAGATCCAGATTTCAGCCCAGGCATTCGAGCCCACAGTTTGAGCTCTTAACCCCTACAAAGGGATCTGTTCCTCCTCCACGTGACAATTTGGATGAGTGGGCCCCAGGCCCCATTCCTCTCTAAACCCCAGGAGTCTCTAAACCAAAGTGTGAAGCTGGATCTGCAAGAAGAGATGGATTTGAGCAGTCCCACCTCCTATGTCTGCCCTGCTCCCGTAACCACACCAAGAAGCAAGAAGACAGAACAAGGCACAGAGCAGCAGCCAAGAAAAGAAAAATCCTGCACCAGGAATGAGACTCATGGCCTGGGGGTCCCTCGCCCTCTCGCCTAGACTCAGCCCCCTCTGTCCCAGCATCTCTGACATCAGGACAAACCTTCTGGTTTGCTTGGAGTGCACACTCAACCAGCCCCTCTTACCCACAGAGAAACCACCAAGGGCTCTGGTAGGCTAAAGGAAAATCACATGCTTCTATGCAAGCCAAGGCTACATTTCCAGAATAAAATTTAGGACTTGTGATGGACCAAGGATTTGGGTTTTGCCCATGTGTTAACATATGTTAATAAAAATAATCTTGCAAAAGGGTAAATATATGATTACATAGAATTATATATATGAATCATCACTATCAAAAAGAACAAAACCCCAGCCCTAACAATGTAACAAGACCCGATCTCTACAAAAAAAAAAAAAAATTACTAAATTAGCTAGGCATGGTGACACGCACCTGTGGTTCCAGCTACTCGGGAGGCTGAGGTGGGAGATTCGATTGAGCCCAGGAGTTCAAAGTTGCAGTGACCTATGATTGCATCACTGCACTTCAGCCTGGGCGACAGAATGAGACACTGTCTCAAAAAGAACAAAACCACCCTTAATCAGTCACGGATGGGGAACCATGTCTTTTATTCATTCTTGGGTCCCAGAGCCCCATTCAATACTGACCCAGGTGAGGCACTCTGGGAAAACATATTAAATGAACGAAAGCAGGAGTCATCTAAGATGGCATATTAGTCACCTAAGAAGCCCATGTTGGGAACATGCACACAGGAGGAGGCTTACAGGGCAGGCTTCAGGGCCAAACTTCTGGGCTGGCAGCCCAGTCCCTACTCACAAGCTCTGCAACCTTGGCCAACTGACTCCGCCTCCTGGGCTCAGCTTCTTCCTGTAAACTACAGGGACAATAGCATCCAACTAATGGGGCTGTCAAGCTGATCCCATGAGATGACATGAGGTCACAGTCATGGTCAGCCATCCTCACCATCCATGATTAGTAGCAGACTATTCATGACCCCTTTCCAAAACCATGATGGCAGAAAGACTGGCCCTCTGCCTCATATGGCCACATGTCCAACAATGATACTGCCAGGTGTGGCTCACAGGTCAGGGTGACTTTTGTTTTTTTGAGATGGAATCTTGGTCTGTCACCCAGGCTGGAGTGCAGTGGCGTGATCTCTGCTCACTGCAACCTCCACCTCCTGGGTTCAAGTGATTCTCCTGCTTCAGCCTCTCCAGTAGCTGGGACTACAGGCACATGCCACCATGCCTGGCTATTTTTTGTATTTTTAGTACAGACGGGGTTTCACCATGTTGGCCAGGCTCATCTCAAACTCCTGACTTCAAGTGATCTGCCCACCTCAGCCTCCCAAAGTGTTGGGTTTATAGGTGTGAGCCACCGCGCCTGGCCCAGGGTGACTTTTATCGGGATCCCAAAATCACATTCTGGTGCTCAGCTGGCTCCTCATGTGCAGGAAGTTGGGGTTCCAGATCCAACCGTTCTATTGGGATGTTCTAAAATTTGGAATATCTCTTCTTGAGACCATGCCAAGATGCCTTTCTTGAAGAACACAGAAGGCAAAGCCAGAATCTGTGATGCTGCCCTTTTGTGGTAGAATACATTAAAATACAAGTTTAAATGTTTTGTTAATGCTTTTTTTTTTTTTTTTTTTTTTTTACTCTTTATGCATTTAGGGGAGAAAAAAACTCAAAAGAAATGGCATTCCTGCTGGATTAAGTTTAGTGTGGCTTGATCCAGGGCAGCCTGGGAAGCCGGCCTGGGCATCTTGATAGGAGCTGATCAGACTGTTGGGATTAGGAGAGACTTGGCAGCTCACTGTCCTGGAGCGGCTGATGTCTGCACCTTCCAGAGGGTCACAGAGAGGCAACAGCACCTCCTGGCTCAAGGCCACACAGATAGTCATGGCCAGGACTCAAGGGCAGCACTTCTGGGTTCTGGAGTCTTCTCCACAAGTCGGGACTGCAAATCCCAAATTTTCCACCATGATCATGATTCCCAACATCCTGCCCTGTTCTTTTCATAACTACATTCCTATCTGCCAGCCCATGTGTGTCAGATTTTGGTTTGGAAAACACAGTCACCATCCAGCATCACAATGCCTCCCTCAGATGTCCTTAGAGGGATGAACAGATGGCAGGATCCCTCAGCTCATGGGGCGGGGAGGAGCACAGTGGGGCTCTTTGCTGGGTGCTTCACAGCTCAGTCAGCCATTGGATAAACAGGTTTTCAGTCTTCAGCCAGGCTCTGAGGGGCTGGTCCGCCATGAAATGTGGTTCGAGCTGACATCCCCGTTATGGGTCACTTTAGGTGTCAACTTGGCTAGGATACTGTGCCCAGTTGTTTAGTCAAACAGCAGCCTAGATGTTGCCCTGAAGGTATTTTTGATATGTGATTAACATTTAAATCAGTAGACTTTGAGCAAAGCAGCTGACCCTCCAAAATGTAGTGGGCCTCATCCAATCTGTTGAGGGCCTTCACAGAAAAGACAGGTTCCCGAACAGAAAAGAATTCTGCTTCCAGACCTCCTTGACATCAACTCCCTCGGGAATTTTCAGCCTGGTGGCATGCAGATTTCTGGCCTGCCAGCCCCCACAATCATGTAAGCCAAATTCTGAAAATTGCTCTTTGTCTCTCTCCATATATATATCTCTGGAGGGACATTGCCCATAACTTCTGTTTATCCTCCATAAAAGTCCATGGCCCCCAAGAGCAACCAAATATTTCCTTTGGCAACCGCACTTCTGATATATGCATAATCTGCAGACATGCACACACCCTGTTGGTTCTGTCTCTCTAGAGAACCCTGACTCCTACAGGCCCCAGCTACCTGGTATCTGTTTCTTCAGTCTGCTCATAGAGGACAGCCGCAGTGTACAAGGACATCAGCACACGGACCCCTTGTTCACCACCTGTCCCCTTACTATCTTATTCTTGGCAACTTATCCATGACAATAGGATGGGATATGTTTTTCTCTGATTTGGGACTTTGATTTTGTTGGCAGTGGTGGGATGGCTTGGGGACTGTGGGGGACAGCCAAGGAAAGGCTAATGGAAATCATGCTATCCCATTGATGAACTGTGATCCCAGCAGCCTTGACAGGGTAAGTATAAATTTGGTTCCTCTTTGGGGCGATGGACTTTTGGGAAGATATCACAGAAGTTATGGGCAACATCCCCAAGAAAAACTCTCTTGCCCACCCCTGTCTACAGGGATGTGCAGGCCCCTGAAGAGCAGCCAGGCACCTGGAGAAAGAGGCCTCCTGTGTGGGAGAAGGCACTGGAGATTTAGGGGCTCAGCAACAGCAAAGATGAGCCAGAGTACCCAGGTGGCAGGACTTAGCCAAAAGTCAACCAGCATTTCCTGAGCATCCATGCCATGCTGGGTGCTAACAGAAAGGGCCGACCAAGCTCGGGTCTGGAAGGACTAAGGAGGGGAAAAAAGCAGGAGGGCTAAAGGGACAGCCGAGGAATCTCAGACCTTCTTTCCAAAAGAGACTTAAGAGACCAACTAGTCTCTTGAGCCTGAACTAGACAGTTAACTTCCCTTGAGGAGATGCAAAGCGGGTCTCGGTAGTAACTCCCAATATGACTCCTGCAGCATCTCAGATCCTCGAAGGGAGCAAAAATGACCGTACTCAGAGCAATTTCCATCAAAGATCAACTAGGAGTGTTGATTCTGTCTTCACGCAGCTGGATGCGCCATGGGAGGAAAGGCTCTGAAAGGTGAAAAGCACCCAAAGTTCAAGACCCCTGACTGAGGCACAAGAATCAAGGCTCCTTCTCGTGCCCAGAACAGCTGCCGCTGGGACAGGGAGAAATCACACCTGGTGGAGAAGTTTGGAGAGGGAGACCAGTCCATGAATGAAGAGGGCGTGACAGCAGGAGAGGGGAACATGTGACAGGTGGGGTTGTGATCTAATGGGGAGACAGAACCACTAGAAAAGACTGTGTCCCTCACTTCCAGTGCCTCTTTTGCTCAATTCAGTGATTTTTTAGATTCCTCCCCATCACTCCTGTTCCCTGTCACCACAGCCCATTTTCTCAAATTGCAGTCTTGCCTGAGATATTTTAAAGATGACAACAGACCTATCTACACATCTACAGAGTTTCAGGAAGGAAGGGAAGGAGGGAGGGAAAAGAAGGGAAAGGAAAGAGGGAAAGAAGGGAGGGGGAGAGGGAGGGAGGGCAGGAGGAAGTTTGGAGGGTAAGAAAGAAAGGAGGGAGGCAGGAAGGGAGGGAAGGAGGCCATTTGGGAAGTTCTGCCTCATAAAAATTATTTTACCTGTCTAATTTCAAAATGCTCAAGTCTGGCTATTGTCGTTTTTGTTTCCCAAGTAGCTCAGGGGATGCCCAAACACCAGATTTAATCCTTCTTTCATCATGTTTAAATTGAACCAGTGTCGGGAAGGAAGGGAAGAGGTAAATCACACTTCAGGGGGAAAGTTATCAAGTTGGCTGTCCTGGAAAAAGTCAGAGAGCCACAGCTTCATTTCAGGACAAACTCGAAATCATGAGACAGGACTTCAAACAGATCGCAGGATGCATGAGACAGAATTTTAAACAGATCACAGGGTGTTGGTTGAGACTCTCAGACATGTCTCAAGTCATCACTTCCTCCCCAGCCAGTGCTCCGGGGTTTGGTAAACAGGCAACGAATGAAAGAGATGGTTTCCAAATCCTCTCCCACCTGCCCACCACCCCAGGTTCCTGTCTGTAATTCCATTAGCTTTCTTCTTTCTCCTTCTAGATTCACAGCTGGGGATTCTGGCCAAGACAAGAACTCGGTTCCTGGTGACTGCCCAGTGCCCTCCATTCTATGAAGTGAATTTGATCAGAGCACAATGATGCAGGATAAGAATCAGAAAGGGCAGTGCCAAGGTGCAGGGGCTACAAGGAAAGGTGACTCCCCTCGCTATCTGAGGATAAGAGGCAATTGATGATGGCCCAACACTCACAGCTTCTATCTTCCCCACAAAGGGAAAGAAACAGGGAGGCACCTCCCATCCTCTAGGTGGACACAGCCCAGCCAGCAAATCAGGGTATCACGACCAGCTACAGAATTTATGGGACCCAGGAGAAAATGCAAATGTGCAGCTCTTTGTTCAGAAAGTATTAAGGATTTCAAGACAGTGACAGCAGGACTTTAAGCCGAGCCAGAGTCTTTCTGAGTGCAGGACTTTGTGCACGTGTCCTGCTGGCTCAATGTGAAGCCCCTGCCTGCCCTTCAAGCATGGTGGGGTGATGTTCCAGATCTATCATGGATGTGATTAGAGGTCTTGTCCCCTGGTCTGAAAGACATTCCACCCCTCAGGTTTACTACCCTCGTCTGCACTTCATTTTTGAGGTGCCGATGACACAAGGTAGGTAAGTGAGCCCCATGAAAGCTGCTACCAAGGGCTCAGAGGTTATGGGGCTTGGGGATAAAGGTGACCGTGAGGAACCTGAATCAAGACGGCTCCGGGACACGGTGGCAAAGGTGCCTTTCCAGGCTTCCAGGGGCTTGCATTCACAACCATCTCTGAGTTCTCAGCTAAGAATCCCTAATAGGGTACAAGCAAGAGTCCCAAGAGATCCCATGAACACCCAGGGAACAGAACTTAGAGGTGTCTGATCCAAGTCCCAGATCTTAGAGATGGGGAAGCCAATGCCAGAGAGTTGGTGACCCAGGCAAGGTCAAGCCCTCTGTATGGCCTGCAAGATGATGTGCCTGCAGGAGGGGTTCCCTGAACACTGGGAGTCATCAAAGCCTCCCCCTGTCAGAGCCACACTCTCTCCACATGGCCCCAGGAGAAGGCTGACTTCCCCACTGGACGAACCCCAAGACAAATTCAGGATGGTGCTGTCTAGGCCCTAGGGTAAGAGAGTTTCTAAGGACTGCAGGAGAGAAGGGAAGGCCCTCTGTGACCATGGCAGTGGGTGACTGGAGCCAGCCTGTGGAAGGCCCAAGGACGAGCTGATGTGAATTCACCCTGCCTTGGCATCCAGGGGGGCCCACAGGAAGGAAGGGAGCCCATCCCAGGGGAATTCTACCCCGAGTGGACTGTGCAGGTTCTGTCAGGCTCAGCTAAACCCACCCTTAGACTCCCTGGAGACCAGGATGCTTTCAAGGAATTTTAAACCCCTTGGATCCTGGTGGGGTCAACAGTGAGTATGAGCCCCCTTGGCCCCTGGGGAATGAGATAAACTTTCGGGGCTTTCTCTATCTCAGAAAAGAGGCTCAGAGAGACATCTCAGGTATCTAATCCCCCTGGTCAGTTCACTTCATTCAGAGGGAGGGCTCCTCCTTCCACAGGATCAAACTCAGGATTGAGTTTCTCTTGGGCCAGGCCCTCAGGGGGGATGTGGGTCACACCCCTGACCTGCAGAAGAGACCTGGGCTGGCAAGAGGCCCCAGCAAGAGCTAAAGGCTGTGCCAGGGCAGGCTCTGGGCTAACTGAGCGGGGCTGGGGTGGAGTGAGGTCCTCCTGGGAATGAGCAGATGTGGGCCTGGTCCGGGAGCCACGTTCCTCACCACAAAAGGCTGACTTACTCGGGAGTGTTGATCCAAATGATGTCCAGGTGGCAATAGTAGACACACTCCTTGTCCTTGTAGGTGAAGCACGTGCAGCGCCTGGATCGGTGGTGCTCAGGGGCCCCCTCGGCCGCCTGCTCCTGCCCAGGGCTTCCAGGGCTTGGACCCTGCAGTGCTGTCGGGGCCACAGTCCCCTCGCCAGGGCCAGCCACAGTCTCCTCGCCAGGGCCAGCCACAGTCTCTTCACAGTCCCCCTCAGATCTGGCTGCAGTGGGGGCCTGGGACACGCCGCGCCTGCCAGCATCCCCAGACTGGGAGCAAGGCACGAATCCTGCAGAAGGCAGATTGAGGGGCTCCTAAGCTGAGTGTGCAGACCCCTCAACACCCGCCACCCCCAAACACCTGAGGAGGGGGGTGGAGCAAGCAAAATGTCTGCAAAGTTTCCAAAGCTCTGCGCAGTTTCTGAAAAGTTTCCAAGCTATCTGCACACTCTGTGAAAAGCTTGCAAGCTATCTGCACCCGTTGAAAACTTGCATGCATTTTGCATACTTTCTGCAAACTTTGCCAGGGTTTGGCACAGCCTCTGAATAGTTCGCAAACTTTCTGAAAAGTCCCCAGTTTCATGAAAAATTGACCAAGTCGGCCCAGGCAGCAGGTCTCCAGCCAGTGCGCGGGCTGCAACTCCCGGAGCCCGTGCGGGTAGTCGTTGCGCGCCGCTTCTGCTCCCCAGCCCTCCCCCAGGCGTCTTCACGAGTGCAGAGCCCAGGCAAGAGTTTGCTCCCCGCGACGCACATCTTCTCCGCGCCTCGGGTCCCCCGCCCTGGGTCCTTTTGTGTGCGCTCGCGCCAGGAGAGGCGCGCCGCCCCGTGCGCTTACCTGCGGCGGAGGTCACTGTGAGCCCGAAAAGGAGCCACAGCCCCGGCTCCATGAACCTAGATCAGGCGCCGGAGCACCGGACCAGGAGGACGGCCGCTTGTGGCCGCGAAAGGGCACTGGGGCCGGGTACAGCTGGCCTCGCCCTCCAGCTGTGGGGGTTCGAGGCCGGCCGATCGCTCGCTGCGTCTCCAGCTCCGGCCAGGAGTTGGCTGCGGCGGTCATAAACTTTCAGAGCGCGCTGCCCATCCCTGCGCGGAGCTGGCCGGCTGTGGCTCGGGCTTTTCTGGCTTCTGCACCACCCCCGTCGCCTCCCCGCCCCCCAGAGGGGCTGGAACTGCCTCGCCGGGCCTTTGAACCCGGGCGCACTGGGGGTCGCCTCCCAGGCGCTGGGGGGAGCTGGCCAGGAGCGCAGCGGCCCGAGGCGCACCCAGGACAGCGAGGGGCGGGGGCGGCGTGGCGTGGCGCGGCTGGGTGGGGTGGGGTAGGGTGGGGTGGGGGCCGGGACAGCTGCCAGCTGCCGGAAGGCCACGAGAGCGCGCGCACACACGCACACGCGCGCTCACACTCACAGGCGCACCCCCGCCCGCCAGTTCGCCGCTCCGGAGTAGCAGCCCCCCATCCAAGAGCAAGAACAGATGAGAAAAGGCTGTGCTCAAGGGGTGTTATCTTTTCTATCAGGGGCTGAGGGAAAGACACATTTCTCATTGTTCCCCGAGTGACACCTTCCCCTTGAAGAGCCTGCTTGCCAAGGAACTCGGTGTACTTTACACTCTTGACTCACGCCTCGGGCTGGCTCCCTACCTCTCCCAGGAGTTCAGAGCCTGCGTGTGGGGCAGTGGCCTGGGAGCAAAGTCAACAAAGATCCTGGGTTAGCGGTCCTGTGGTGTCCAGGGCTTCCTCAGCCATCTGCACAGGTTGGGTGGCTTCAGGTGAGAGTCGGGCTCCTCTCCCTAAAGGCCAAGTTCATTCACACAACCGTCCCTACCAAGGGAAATGACCTCCCAAGAGAGCCCCCTACTTCCTTCATAGCCTTCCAAGTCCTGTGTGTGGGAGGCTGTCCCCATCTCCAGCTCAGATAAAAATGTCTGAGACTGGGAAGTCCTCCTGACTTCTCAGGGCACTTGTGGTCAAAGGACCCTCCTTTCATAACAGATGGGGTTGGGGGAGGGGCAGTGCTTCACATCTGTAATTCCAGCTCTTTGAGAGGCCAAGGTGGATGGATTGCTTGAGCCTGGGAGTTCAAGACCAGCCTGGGCAACATAGCGAGACCTCATCTCTAAAAAATGGGGTTGAATTGGGTCCTGCCCTCTACTAGCCTTAACGACCAGCTTCTGAAAACTAGAAAGCAGCTGAAGTGACCAGAGCAGTTTCTGAGGACAGTCCAAAAGAGTGCTACAACATCCCCCTGGCTTGATAGCTCAGGACACCTGTCCTCTGAACACAGCTGCTGTACCAGGAGGAAGCCCTAACAAGCCCACCTGGAGAGATCACCTGGAGAAACCTACGTGGAGAGAAACCGAGGCCTCCCAGCCGACCACCAGTGTCAGCCACTGACCTGAGTGAATGTGCCTTCCGATGATTTGAGCTCCCAGCCCTCAAGACTTCCAACTGAGGAATAGCTGTCCCGCTGTACCCTGTCCGAACTTCCCACCCACACAATCCATGAGCATAATAAATGGTTGTTTTACAGCACTAAACTCTGGGTAAATTGGTACAGAGCTGCAGTAACTAGAGTAGCACTCAAGCTTCCAGCACTGAAGCTGATGCTGAAGTTCTCCATCCCCCCACTCCCATCCCATCCTGCCTAGCCCTTGAATCCAAGTGTTTATTTGTTTGTTTTTGCACTTGATGCTTTGAAAATAAGAAAAACCCAAGACTCACAATATCTTCTGTTCCTGCTGGGCTAGAATTTGGATCATTTTAGTATTATCTTTGTTTGTTGGGGCTACTATAACAAAACGCCATAAGCTGGGTGGCTGATAAACCGCAGAGTTTTATTTTTCACATTTTTGGGGTCTGGAAAACCAAGATCAAGGTGCTGGTAGATTCGGTGTTTAATAAGGGCTCGATTTCTGATCATGGATGGTGACTTCTCACTGCATCCTCAGTTGTGGAAGGGTCAAGGCAGCTCTCTGGGGGTCTCTTTTCTAAGGACACCAACCCCATTCATGAGGGCTGCAACCCTCATGACTTAATCACCCCTCAAGGGCCCCACCTCCTGACATCATCACCTTCATGGATAGGATTTCAACAGATAAATCTGGAGAGGACAAATATTCAGACCATAATAATTACTATCTCTTTGGAATTAAAATTTCCATCTTCAACAAAATAAAAAGTTCTTGGATTGGGGGATGGCTGGAGGAATAGAAAATATACTAATCAGCTAAAAGGAGAAAAGGAGTAGGAGGAGGTTTCCGGGTACCATGTTCAGACACAGGAGGTATCATGGCTGCTTAGACCACTCTCTGGGTCTATGGCCTTCAGTAGCTTGAAGCCGACCACCACTTGTCTTCACTGGGACTAAAAATCAACAAACCCTGGATGAGCCTCTCAGGCACCAGGAGGTGCTAGCCAAATACCAGGATGGAGCTGGCCCTGCCCTCTGGGTCTTCTACTCTAGTTGAGGTAAGGAAGTTCAGAAATAGATCGCCAAGGATCCAGGATGCTGAGAACATAAAACGCCGCACAGAGCTAAGAGAAGAAGACAGTGTGTTCAGCTGGATGATCAGAGGAGGCAGCATTGTCCTTGGTCCCTAAAGCAAGCCGGGCGCCATGATTTGAGGCAGCAGCCTGCAGTGACACTCGCCAACACCAGCTCTCAAGCGAAAGAGCTCCCTTTCCTACTGTTCTTCTGGCTTCTGACGATGGCCAGGGCAATGACTCGATGTGTCTTTAACAGCTCTCGAACAGAGAGAGAGCTGTACAAAGGGATTTTTGAACAAAGGGATACAAAAGGAATGTAGCAGGCCATAGGCTTGTACAAAGGGATAGCAGGCCATAGGCTTGGAGCCTTTGTCAGGCTGTGGAATCGGGCTTACTGTGCATGGTAGTGATTGACATAAAATTCCTTTCTAAATTAATACACTTAAGTCAAGTAAAGGTAACCTCAATTACAATATGAAGTAATTCATTGTAAAGCCGGCTTGGAGACTTGGCAAGATCACAAAGCCTTCTGGGTTCCAGGCTAAGAAATGTGCAAAGGAAATATACAATTCATGTAACTCAATGGCAAGCTGGTGGTTTCCATCATTGTTTTGCCCTTGTGACAACTCAACAAAATTTATGCTAACATTATCCCCATCTCACAGATTAAAAAACTAAGGCTCGAAAAGGTCAAAGTAACCAGCCTACAACCATGCATCTATTAAGTGGCAGTCTATCAGGATTCAAATTTGACTCCACATGATTCCAGGGACAGAGTTCATAATGCTTAAGCAGCGCTGCCTCTGGAACTCATACCCAAGGTTTTAATGGTTCCCATTTTCTTCTGTGTATCATTGACAACTCACTGCCTCTCCATCTGTCTAGTTTCCATTCCATAATCTCTGATGGAAGGTCATGTAAAGGAATGATGACCTCTACAGAGGACACGAATGAATAGGCATTCTTCTCCGCAGACGTCTGCCAATATTCCTTGATCCTCCTTCACTGCCTCAGCATCCAATGTGCCCCTAGGAGAAGTCATGTATCAGGACACTGCTGGGGCTCGGCCAAGTGCACGGCTTGGTCATTGTGTTTATTTTTCCTCAACTTTTTCCAAGTCAGCAGATGTGCGACTGATACTTTGAGTCCTTACCACTTACATTTTGATTCAAAACCCAGCCATTAAGAATGTTGCAATTTATCTCAGATAAGCATCCCCTCAAGTTGTCTCTTTATGTGCTTTATGATTCTTTGAAGATTGTTTTTCCTTTAATTTAAGGGATTTAAGGGAGAGTAACATAATACATTATGTAGTTTTCCATCATGCTGGAATTTCTTCTCCCCACCCACCCACAGCAGCAGGAACTCTGGACTTACTCAAAAACCAAGTAATTAAGTGCTTTTCCATGTTGTCCAACTCTTAGCTGTGTCTTCCCTCACTGGCACGTGGTTCATTCTAAGATGCACTGGAGGAAGTGCCAGGCTCCAAATCCCTTGCTTTACAAATGAGGTACACTGTGTATAATATTCTCCGTGAAATAAAATGATCACAATGCATTCTGAACTTTAGTGCTATCAATAAAATGTGTTCAAAGCCTAAGAGAAATCGGGTGATCCCAAAAGCAACAAAACTTGTTCAAAAGAGTCCTGAAGTTTTTTCCTGTGTTTTCTGCTGTGGACATTTGCTGTTGTTGCCCTGCCAGCATCCCCATCCCTCCAGGTCTGGTAATGGACCACATCTTCCCCTGGGGAACCACCCCTCCCCTTCTCTGTCCAAGTGGTTTCAGGGGACGCTCCAGGGCCAGGCTTGTGACTATGGATTAACTAATCAGACCATACATCATCTTTGAGATAGGAAGAATAATGGTATCCCCAAAGATGTCCATGTCCTAATCCTCAGAACCTGTGAATATGTCAACTAACATGGCAAAAGGGATTTTAAGGGTGTGATTAAAGACATTGAGATGGGAGATGACCCTGGATTATCGGGGGTGGGGGGCGGTGGGCAATGTAATTTTTAAAAATGTTCTTTTAAGAGGGAGGGGGAGGGTCAGCGTCAGAGAAGCTGTGACAATGGAAACAGAAGTTGGGCTGGTACAAGGCTATGAGCAGAGGAACACAGGCAATGTCTAGAAAATGGAAAAGGCAAGGGAATGAATTCTTTCCTTCAGCCTCCAGAAGGCACATAGCCCTTCCAACCTATTTTTAGACTGCTGACCTCCAGAACTATAAGATAATCAATTGGTATTGTTTTAAACCATTAAGTTCATGATGATTTGTTGCAGCAGCAATAAGAAATTAATACAACTTTAAATATAGTGATTTGTCCAGAGATAGGCCCATGAGCCAAGCCTGGCTGCTCAGGACCCAGGAGATTCAGTTCTGGGACTTTGAAAAGAGGCTCTTCTGTTTTTCTGGGGAGCCGCTGAGAAAATCAGATGAAAGCTTGCTGGTGCCAGCAGTACTTGTCATCATGAGGTGAAAAGTCTCTCCGGGAATGGTGCCAACACAGAGTAATCGGTAGAAAGTAGAAAGTAGAAGTAGGGAATCAAGGCTAAGTCATAAGCCCTGGACCCAACATGGCTCCTTGGACCTTTCACCTACATCAGCCAAGACATCTCCATCTTTGCTGACACCAGTTCAAGTTAGGTTTCTTCCACTCGCAGTCAAAAGCATCCCGATGTGTTTTGTCTCAACTTACTGTGAGAGTGGAGTAGGCTGTAAAGAACATGGATGCTGCTCATGGTAATTGTCTCCAGAACCAGCAGCAGAATGGCTATGTTGGTTCATTGGTCAGGGAATGAGAAGAGCTACTGAAATAAATGCTTAGTTTTTTTCTAGAAAGTCTGAAATTTCACAGTTCTAGCAGGCAAGACATAAGTGCTCGTTCAAAACCATCTCTGGTGGGAGTAGAAACCATGCAGGGAAGAGAGAAAGAGTGGCCATTTGGACCCCGAAGCAGCACATTATACAACCATCCAATGCAATGCTAACCTGGAGCCTCATACCCATAGACAGACCACTTCCTGATGGAAGGGCACAGATTCCATCTCTCAACAGCACCCAGCCCTTGGGGGAAAAAGGTAAAGGAAGTCGATTTGTTTTTGGAATCTCTTGCATTTTGGTATTTGTTTTATTTCAGCAATGCCTCTAACTCATACCTTTCCCATCCCTCCCAGGAGCCCTGACCCAGACCGCATGCACGCACACACACACACACACACACACACACACACACAGTCTCAACTTATCTCAAACAACATGTGTGTACTTTAACTGGAGCCTTCAATGCCTCAGCCAAAGTTGGGAATTTCAAGCATCTCAGCAGATACATGGGAGAGATGCTTTTGAATAAGTTAAGTCAACATGCCACAAACACACCTGTGTGTTTTAATTACCTTGAAGTAGCCTTGACTTTTATCAGAGGAATTTTTCACAAGCTGTATCCCTTTAAAGTTCATATAGTGATGAGTCCCTGTGTCCACCAAATGCAGCCAATCACTGGATGTGGAAAACTTTCCAGCAGCTGCCAAATACCTTGATCTGTTTGCAGAATAAAAATATTCACATAAGCACTCCTTCATTCTCACCTCATTGCATGAAATCCTGACCAAAGCCACTTTAAGTCCCAGATCAAATGCTGCCCCTTCTAGCAACCTGATTTGCCTGTTTAAAAAAATAATATGTTGAGATCCTCCTGTAGCTGCTCAAACATTTAGACTTGCAGGAAAGCATAATGGCCTCACTCATGGGCTTTGAAGTCAAACAGACCTGGATCAAAATACTGACATCCCCCTTGCCTAGCTGTGTGACCTTGGGCAAGTCACTGCACCTCTTTGAGACTCAATTTCCTCATCTGTGAACTGAGGATAAGCGTTGTCGCACAGATTAAATGACAGTGAAGCATTGAATATAGGACCTGGAGCAAAATAAATAAGCATTGGATAAATGTTACCCAGCAGTGATAGTAGTTTTAGTAATTATGGTTATGTGCAAACTTTTGCCTCTCACCAGATTGGAAGTCCTTTGAGGATGGTGTATGAGTTATCCATTGCCACGTAATGTGCATTACAAGTGTTCCTCAAACTGCAATGATGGTCAGCAAAGCATCCAGTGGCTAGGCAGCTCTGTGGACTGCCTAGACCCCCTGCTGGACTCAGTCGTTTGTCTGGGGATAGCTGCTGGAGGATCCGGGTTGACCTTGACTGAGACAATGAGAATTACTCACCTCTACTCCCCAAGTCTCTTTTCCTCCAGCAGGCCAGCCAGGTATGTCCTTCTCATAGCAGGAGAAGGGGCTCCAGAGATGAAAGCTTAACACACGGGCCCCATGCAAGCCTCTGTTGGCTCCATGAACATCCCAATGGCCAAACCAAGTCCCATGGCCAAGCTGTTGTGACTCAGGAGGGCACACCATGGCAAAGGGTGTAGTAAGAGAGGTGTGAAGAATTGGGGCTATTTGCAATCTACCACAAGCAGGAAATGAAGTCCTACAACAGCCTAAAGTGCTGTCGTGGTCCTGAGAAATCCATTTGTAGATGCTGGCTGAGCTGAACATGAAGTTGGGCTCCAAACCTAAGTTGCCACTCTTAAACATCAAAAGCAGTGGTTAAAAATAGAGGAATTTATAGAGTGCAGGTGATTCATTGTTGTTGAGGCTTGTGGGTCCACCCCCCCACAAAAAAAAACAGCTAGCTTTTTTTCCTTACATGAAACTATTTAAACTTCTGTCCCCAGCGCTAGAGAAAAAAAAGATATTGAAGGTTCTGCATTCCTAGTATGTCACCTACTTTTCCTCCTCCCTCACACCTGGGAACAGTTCAAACTTGAAAGAGAAGTAAGGAAATGAACGGTGAGAGGGCAGCAAAAACCAATGGGACGGAGGAGAAGCCACTGCGGGTGGGGGAAGGAAGAACAGAAATCTAAGCTGGCTGCCGGATTCTGGAACTTTCAAAACCTAAAATAAGGAATGGACTTCACAGAACTTCTCAAGCTAGGGCACAGACGCATTTTCTTCTGAAAGAAATTTCACAATTGTGTTTTTAATGAGCTCAAACCACTTTAGCAGGACACAGTTAAACAAAAGAGTAACACAATCAAGCCCGGAAGTCATAATTCAGATTCAGAAATGCAGGGGGGGCAGGATTTGACCTGGTACCTTCTCAGAGACGTAGGACTCCGAGAGAGCAAAATCTCCTGCCGGAACGTGCTGATGGATTGGGGAGGAAATGGGAATCATTTGGCTTTAAAAAAAAAAAAAAAGAAAAAAAAAACCTTAGAATTAAACTCTTAGTTACTGAGATGTCGCAACTCACATCACTATGAAAGTCATGTAAAAGGGTTCTGTGTTTGTCCCTTTATTCATTCAACTACTTATTAAGCACCTACTGGGAGTCAGACACTTTTTCTAAGTACTAAGATTACCCCTGGGAACAAGATGGTGCCTCCATGAGATGCCTCCAAGAACTAAGACAAAACAAAGAATTAACTAATATGACATTGGGCTTGATGAAAGAGACAGTAATGGGAAGGGCAGAGAAAGATGTGTAGCGTGAAGAAACTGGCACCATTTTGACTGGAGTGAAGAGGAAATTTGAGCAGAGACTCAAAGAGGCGAACCCACGCAGTCATGGGAAGTGTTCCACACAGGTGGAAGTACACGGTAGGAATGGACTTCCTGGGTTCTGGGAGGAGCAATACGGCGACCCTATGAGGGATGCTCCGCTGCACCATCAACTCTCTTTTCAGATTACAGGTCAAGGACAGCTTCTTGGGGAAAACTCTGACCTCTCAGGCTAGGTTGAGTCACCCATTGCTGATGCTCCGGAGAAGACCCAGGACTTCTCCTTAGAGCATACTTCAGCATTTCTGAAGATACCACTTTCTCTGATCCTGTTTCTGGGCTGATGTGGAGAGTGTCTGTCACCCCTGCGACATTGCTAGAAGCTGCAGGTCACCATCTCCTTGTCCACCGCTGTGGTCCCAGTACCTAGGCTGGGGCCTGACAGGTGGTAGATGCTCCACAGAGGTGCTCGCTGCCCTCCCCGCATTCTCTTGTTTCATCTTCACAGCTCCACTGTGTGAGTGCTGCCGTTATCCCCACTTTCCGAATGCAGAAACCGAGACTCAGAAGGGGAGGTGGCTTGCCAGAGCCAGGCAGGTAGGCAAGGGGTGGGGAGAATGGTGGGAATCACGATTTTAACCCAGGTCTTTTTGACTCCAAAGTCCGAACAGCATGCCTCACCCTCTGGACAGGTGTTTAAACAGGCATGTGCATGTCACCCAGTCAGAGCCAGTGACTCATCAGCAACGTTGGTTGGAGCTTCCAGGAAAGAGATGCCATCTGCCCCACTGGAGAGCCTCGGGTTGAAGGCGAAGCCGTGGAAGACGGACCAGAGCCTGGAGGGGATCAGGCCTGCAGTGGCATCGTCGGAGGCACTGCATCACGCCTCACCTGAACGAGACATGCATCCGGGCACCCCAATCCCTATGTTCTAAGCCCATTTCCATCTATCTTTCACTTGGAACAACAATACTTTCTAATTGATAAAACATGTTAGTGTTGGTTATTGTCATCACCACTGGGGTGGTTGTTTTTATGGAAATTAAACACATAAAGTAGGTTAAAATATGGCCGTACTGCATATATGTTACCAGAGCTGGTTATATATCAAGTGTTCTAGAGAGGTTACCCTTGGTTTCCTCTTCTGCCCTAGTTCTCCAGTCTTCTCCATATGTAGCTTAGCTACCCTGCTAGACCAGCTGTCCCCACTCCCTGCTGTGGCCATCAGGACCAAATCAGCCCAGAAGGAATGAGATGCCTGGTGAGGCTCATAATAGGAAAATTCTAAGCCCATATCTGCCTTTTCCTCAATAGCATGAATAAGGGATTAATTCATGCCAGACGCTAAAGTCAGGCATATGATGGCAGTTAAGCCCACAAAAGATGAGTGACTGCCGCTCCAGCCTGAGCAATAGAGTGAGAACCTGTCTCACAAAAATAAAAATACATATAATGAAAGCACAGAACTCCATCATTAACATTCTAACAAGATATGACTGTGGGCTGTGGAGTTCCTGGCTGGCCTTCTCTTTCTGTGTTGGGGAGGTGTTAAAAATATGCTTTCATCAAAGGGAGGCTGTCCTGGGGCAGTCGGGATTGGAACAGAAGGAGGCAGCAGCCTTGTCATTATGCGATTTAGTATCAGTGTCATGTCCATGCACCTTATAACATTATCTCAGGCTCCACTCTTGAGCTTGCCTGCAGGGTAGCTGGTGGCAAGGGCCTGTGCATCACAGCTTGGGTTCAGATGCCACTCAAAGTATTCGCTGTGAGCATATTGCTTAGTTTCCTCCTTGGAAAAATAATCACCATAATGATACTAGCTAGCTCGCTAAGATCCTGATTGGGAGGACCTTAAGTGAGATACATGTGTATGATAATATGCACATCCTAATAACTGTACAAAAATAAGCTGTTATTATTTTTGTTACAATGACCACAGTGATAAAAATATTTGGGGACCCACCCTCCCCAACCCCGCTCCACCTGACTGGTTGAGTGGCTGGCCCTAGTTCTGTTCCATGTTTATGCATCCAGCAAACACTTGAATACCTCCTCGGTATCAGGCACAATGCTGACAGGCCTTGCCCCTACCCTCTAGGAGTTTATATTTTAGCAGGGAGGCAACATTTGTCTGGCCAAAGTAAAATGACAAATGTGACAGTGGCTGGAAGGACAAGTCCAAGGTGTTAGAACAGGGCAATGCAACCTTGGTCCCTGAGGAAGTGCTCCAGTGCTGAGAGGTGAAGAAGAGAACAGGTAAGAGGGAACATCCCGTTACATAGGAGGGCAGGTCTGGGCAGCCAGTGGGAGAGCAGCTGCCAGCATCTGGCTGGCTGGTGGGGCTGCTTCTGAGGCAGGACTCAGCTTCAGGCCTGAGGATTTCCAGCCAGTGTCCCTCCACTCTGGCAAAGGCCAGGCAGGTCTCACCAGGACCTGGGTGATCACAGTTGAGGGTGTGGCCCACGTTCCAAAGGGCTACCTGAGTGCTGCCTGGCTGCTGCCCCAGTGAAGTGGTGAAGCGCTGCCACCACCCCTCTGTTCCCATCGCCCAACGAAGCCTCCTTCCCCCAACAAGAGCTCCTTGTTCACTACAGAGCAACAGAAGCTGTCAGGCACTACTAGAGGTTGACTCTAAAGCAACCCTAGTTTGCAAAAAATCACTCCTTTTGCAAAGTAGAGGAATTATTTGTAAAGTGAAAAACTTTGTATCATGTCTGCTGCAAGGAGACCGAGAGACAGTCTGGAGGCAGCTCTAGCAACAGTCCGTCTCTCAGCTGAGAATTCTACTTTGGCTCTTGAAGGACATCTTAGGAGGAGCTTTCCACGCAGTGATTCCTGAGTGTGACGCAAGCACAGGCAGGATGCAGTTTACCTTCCACATGGCCAGATAGAAAACACCGGAGGTGGGTTTCTGCAAATCTGTAGATGAACCATAACCCATTATTGTGTTTAAAAGCCACAATTTCTTGAGTCTCCACTATGTGCCAGGCACCACACTAAGCTCTTCCATATCTGATCTCATTTTATCTTCATGTCAACCATTGGATAGGTACTCTTACAATCCCTTGTCGCCATCTGGGGAACTGAGGTCTGGACAAATTAAGTACCTGGACTCGGGTCATAAAGCTACGTAAATGGGGGTGTGAGGGCCATAATTGAGGTCTATCTGATGCCAATGCCAGGCATTTCATCGCTGTCTTGCACTCCCTTCTCTGTGGTAGCATGTCCTTGCCCTGGCACATCCCGCTGACGACAGGGGAGCCCCTCGATTTCAGGTACATGCCATCAACACCTTCATGTCCTCAGCTTCTTGCAGTATCTGGCAGGTGTTGGCACCCAACTGAAGCTCATCAAATGAGTTTGCTGAACTGAGCAAACATCTGCAAGCATGTGAACAAGGAGTGGTTGGTGTCAAGATGTCCTCTAACAGATGGGGTTTCTTTCAAATAGAAATGAACCCAGCCCCTTCTCTAGAGGAGAAAGCAGGAATCCCCTGCCTTGGGGATCTGTGTGCCTGTCACCACCTGAAGCCAACTTAACAAGGGCACCACCTTGGGAGCAGAGGCTGGGAGCATGCAGGTGGGATCAAAGGACCCTATGGCAATGCTGCCTCATGTTATGAGGCTTTCTCCGGCCACCCCTCCCCTCCATTGCCTCTGGGTCTTTGTTCAGAAGCAAGGCACACCACCTGTAAGGCAGCTACAAGCCCGTGGAGCTACTGGGGCCAGCCGAAATGTCTCTGGTTTCTGTAGAGGCCTGAGGGCTCCCCAACCTCCTGGCTAGACTTGGGGATTCCCCAGGAGGTGGAAGGTCAATGGGTCATAACTTTACATGACTTCCAAGCATCACACATGCTTTGTGAATAGCTGAGCTATTTGCAGGTTTGGTCCTGTTGACTCATTCATTCATTTACCTGTGGGTTCCACACAGGGGCCTGGCAATGGCCCACCCAACACAGAGCTACACAGACCTGGAGAGAACACAGGCCCTTGATACCATGACTTTGTGAAGCTGACAAAGGTGATCTGGACCCTGAGGGAGCCTGCCCCTGGAGAGGAGGAAAGAAGGAAGAACAAGACTGAGGCCAGAATTGGGGGAGGGGCAAATAACACCTGCAGGACCTCATTGGACCCTACAGTCAAGAGTCCAGGGCAGTGGTGGGTGACAGGGGCACAGGAGAGCCAGGGACAAAGCAAGATGGGACCCTGGGTCCCTAGAAAAAAGTCCACAGCCGGAAAAGGAAAGAATAGAGCCCAGTGACGGAGCAGAGGCCCTGCAAGAACCCAGGGGCCCCCAGGGTGGTGGAGGGGAGAGTGTGAGCTTTGTCCCAGTCTTGCTGATGGTTTTCAGCCCATTTCTTCCTCTGTACACAAAGGTAAGGCAAGATGCGCTCTGCAAAGAAGGAGGTCTTCCCTGCTTTCATTCCATCAGCAAATTTACTAAAGACCATCTGTGAGCCAGGTACTGTTTTTGGCACCAGGGAACAAGATCCCAGCCCTTGTGATGCTTATGGTTCTGGTTGGGGAATAGAGGCAATAAACAGGTAAATAACATGGTAGAACAAAACTACAGACTCTGAAAGTTTCCATAAAGGGATTGGACAGGGTGAGGCCACATCGAGTAACTAGGGGGGGCCGTTTACAATGGGTGGTCTGTGAAGGCCTCAAAGGTGGTTGAGGTTTGAGCAGGTCCCAAGGATGGGAGGGAGCCAGGCATTTACATCCCTGAGGAAAAGGTATTCCAGGCAAAGGAGACTGCAAGTGCGAAGCCCCAGGCAGGGCTGGAATCAAGCTTGACATTTGACAACCCTTCCTAGGCTGACAGGGAGTGTGTTAGCATGGCTGCTATAACATACTGTCACAAAATTGCTGCATTTAAACAGAAATGTATTCTCTCACAGTCAATATGAAATCAGGGTGTCGGCAGGGCTGCACTTGCTCTAGAGACTCCAGGGGAGAAGCCTTCCTGGCCTCTTTCAGGTTCTAGTGGTTCCAGGTTGAGGGCAGCATAACTCTAATTTCTGCCACCATCCTCACGTGGCCTGCTCCTCCCCATCCTTTCTCTTTCTCTTTTCTTCTAAGAACATTTTTCATTGGATTTAGGTCCCACTCCTATCCAGAATGATCTCATTGCTTAGTGTAATTACATCCACAAAGATCCTTTCTTTCAAATAAGCTCACATTCACAGATTCCAGGTGGAACCTGTGGATATCTTGTGGGAGACCACACTTCAGTCCACTAGAGTCTGCTCTCTGGCTCCCAAAAATGCATATTTGTCCCATGTGCAAAACATCCCATCCCCACCAGCTCAACTCATTACAGCATCAACTCTATGTCCAAAATCTCATCTAAATATCATCAGGTCAAAAGTGCCAAATGTCTTCATCTAAATCAGTATGGGTGAGACATTTTGTACGGTCCATCCTCAGACAAAATTCCTCTTCATCTGTGCCTCTGTGAACCTAGAAAGCAAGCTACCTGCTTCCAAAATACTGTGGCAGGACAGGCAAAATACAATGATAGGATAGGGTAGACATTTCCAATCCACAAGGGAGAAATTGTACTAAGTAAAGGGGTCACTTACCCCAACCAAATTAGAGATGCAGCAGGACAAATTTCAAGAAGTTGCAAGGACTTGGGAACAGCACTCTGTGGTTTTCCACTCCCTTGTCTAGGCTAGGTTCTGCCTCTTTGGTTCTTAGCTCCATCCTCCAGGCCCAGGCCCCACCTGCTGTGACTCTCAGCTCTGCCCTCTGGGCCCTCTAGCTGCATATAGAGAATGGGTTGTACTGATCTAGGATAAAAGCCAGGAAACTGGGTGGGATGCTTGTGTAGGCCAATAGGAGATGGCTTAACCTGGGGTTATAGTGATAGGGAAAAAAGCATTGTGGTCAGCTGAGATTCAGAAAATATTTTGGGGGCAGAACCAACTGGATTTTGCACAAATTGAAGTTTAGAGGCAGGAGAATACTGATGAAAAGGAATCAAAATGCCTTCTAGGATTTTGGTGGGCAACTTGGTAAGAGGGAAAGATGTGGAAGTTCTTTAAAATGTAGGAAGTTCTGTGTGAGTGAAGGGAATTCTTCATACCCCATAGTCCTTGCAGCTAGAGAGTAGGCAGCCCCTACATGCAAGATAAGGTCATATCTCAAAAGCCTTTCCTTTAGTGCTCAACTAGTTTCTATTCCAACCTTCATCTCTACTTCAAACTCAAAGCGCCATTTCCCATAGAAGAGTTCTGGGGATAAAAAGAGGAAAAGAGTTATTCTTGGAGGCCTTCCCCATAACCCAGCATGCTGAGAGGGCCTTCCCCCAGCTGCTGGGCCCTCTGCCCCATCCCACCTTCATTCTTTAGACACACTTTTCTTGGCTGGACCACCCCAACCCACTACCACCAGCCCAGCAAATGGACTCCGGGCGTTGGTTACATAACCCACTCATTTTTCACTGAGGTAGGAGATGGGACTCCACTGTGGAGGTGGGGCTTGGACACCAGACCAAATTGAGAACTAACTAAAACAGGGACAGGGTAGAAGCTGCTTTCCGTAAGACATGCCCAGCAATGTGCCATGTCAGTTTACCATTGCCTTGGCAGCACCTGAAAGTTATCGCCCTTTCCGTGACAGCAACCCAGTGATCTAGAAGTTGCCACCCTTTCCTAGAAATTTCTACATAATCTACCCCTTAATTTGCATATAATTAAAAGTGAGTATAACTATGACCACAGAACTCTGAGCTGTTGCTCTAAGCTCACTGCCTATGGGGGAGCCCTGCTCTACAAGGTGCAGTCCCTCTGCCACTGCTGTGCACGGCCCCTTCAATCAAAGCTGTTGTTGAACACCACTGGCTCACCCTTAAAGTCTTTCCTGGGCTAAGCCAAGAACCCTCCAGGGCTAAGCCCCAATTTTGGGGCTCTCCTGCTCTGCAGCATCACCAGGCCTATAGCTCAACACCACAGTCATTTTCAGTTTGAAATCACTCTGGCCTCTGTTGATATGGCTGCTCTCAACTGGTTGAAGACAAAAGGAATCGACAAACTAAAACCCTTTGGGAGGACCGGGCACAGTGGCTGACACCTGTAGTCCCGGCAGTTTGGGAGGCTGAGGCAGGCGGATCACCTGAGGTCAGGAGTTCAAGACCAGCCTGACCCACATGGAGAAACCCCATATCTACTAAAAATACAAAAATTAGCCATGCATGGTGGTGCATGCCTGTAATCCCAGGTACTCGGGAGGCTGAGGCAGGAGAATCACTTGAACCCGGGAGGTGGAGGTTGTGGTGAGCCAAGATCGTGCCATTGCACTCCAGCCTGGGCAACAAGAGTGAAACTCTGCCTCAAAACAAAACAAAACAAACCCTTTGGGAAAACAGATTAACATGGAAAAGTACAAACAGTATACACCCTCCACACTTTGAGGAGTCTAGGGTGGCTTTCAGCTGCCTGCCATGCATGCAGATTTCCACATTTTAACTCTTGTTTTAATTTTTTCCAAATGTTCTTTATTGTGGAATATCTGATAATATAAGTAGTCTTTAGGGGCTTCCTACAGCTGACTCTTAATAAGATAAACTGAAATAATGCTGACCACTTCTAGGTGCCCGGCATTGGCACACAGTATCTATAATACACAGCAGCAAGGAAGATCATAGTATCCCTTGTTTGCAGATGAGGACACTGGCTCAGAAGGGCTCAGTGGCTTCACTAGTCTTACGAGAGAGGGTGGGTCTGGAGATTTGGACTCAGCAGTTGTCAGCAAATGGATTGCATTTAAAGCTTCAGGATAAGCTTAGCCTGGAAATAAATGTGGATGGAGAAGAGATCTGAGGCTGAGACCTGAGGTGATCCAAAGTTTAGATCCAGAAAGAGAAAGAAGATCCAGAAAAGGGGACTGAAAAGGAGAATCCACCTGTGATTCAACCCCTCTGGGCCACGCTCCCCCGATGAGTGTAGCAGACTCCAGTGGCTACTCCACATTCTCAACAGCTATTTATCCACGGGCTTATCTGTTTGCTCAAAACACTTATTAAGAAGTGAGCAATGGGCCAGGCACTGCCAAGATGCTCACTGGCTAGAGAAGGAGGCTGGTAGAGCAAAATCATTAGAATACTCATAATCGTCCTACAACGTGCTCAGGATGGGCAAGCTTCAAATGGGGATCAATGCAAACCCACTTGCCAGGTCATTTATGCTAATATAGCCAGCCTGACTACATTGATCAGATTAGCCCCAGTAAATAAATAAAGCCACTAGGCAATGGCAACACACAAACTAGTGAAAACAATCTAGAAACCATTCTCAAGAAGTTTGTAATCTGGTGGAACAGTGAGACAGGCACAGAGAACATGGATAACACAAAAATATGGCAAATTCAAAGAAAGAATGCATGAATACAGTAAAAGTTCCTGAGGGCATGCCCAAGAATAAACCATCAAATATATGTGAAATTGATTTTCAACAAGGATGCCAACCCATTCAATAGAGGAAAAGACAATCTTTTCAACAAATGGTCCTGGAAAAACAGGATATCCACATTCAAAAGAATAAAAGTGGACCCTTAGCTAACACCACATACAAAAATTAGCTCAAAATTGACCAAAGACCTAAATGTAGGAGCTACAATTCTGAAACTCTTAGAAGACAACATATGGAGAAAGCTTTTTCCATGCTAAATCCATGACAAAGGATTTAGCAATGATTTATTGACACCAAAGGCACAGACAACAAAAGAAAAAATAGGCAAATTGGACTTCATCAAAATTAAAAACTTGTGCATCAGAGGACCCATCAACAGAGTAATAAGGCAGCCCACAGACTGGAAGAAAGTATTTGCAAATTGCTTATCTCTTAAGGGATTAACATCCAGAATATGTAAAAAACCAAAATGCAACAACAAAAAAGCAAACTCAATTAAAATATGGCAAAGGATTTGAAGACTTTTCTCCAAAGAGTATGTACTAATGGCCAATAAGCACAGGACCAGACGCTCAACATCACTCCTTATTAGGGAAAAACAGATCAAAACCACAATGAGATACCACTTCACACCCATTAGGATGGCTATTATCAAAATAACAGAAAGTAACCAGTGTTGGTGAGGATATGGAGAAATCGGTACACTTGAGCACCACTGGTGAAAATGCAAATGGTACAGCTGCTGTGAAAAACAGTATGGCAGCTCCTCAGAAGACTAAAAATAGAATAATGACAGCCGGGCAGGGTGGCTCATGCCTGTAATCCCAGCACTTTGGGAGGCCAAGACGGGCAGATCACGAGGTCAGGAGTTCAGATCAGTCTGGCCAACATAGTGAAACCCTGTCTTTACTAAAAATATAAAAAAATAGCTGAGTGTGGTGGTGCGTCCCTGTAATCCCAGCTACTCAGGAGGCTGGCTTCCCGCCTGGCTTCCACAATTTAAAAAATACTTTTCTTTAAAAAAAGGGTAGTGGGGAAGCTTCCTGTCTTCCCCAAGAAAAGTTACCAAGGGCAATATAGCCAAGCAAGTTGATCTTTCAGAGCACTTTAGTTCAAAGCCAGAAAGGCATCCAGGGAAATCCTGAGTCTTTGAAAAAGTCATTAAGGCAAAGCATTTCTTCCTTCTCTTTGCTCTCCTACAGAGCATACCTGTCTTCGGTGACCCTGCTCAAAATCTTTCTCCCACCAGCTCTTGAAAGGGGAAGTGCGGCCAAGCATGTGACCCTGGATAGGGCCTCCTGACATTCGATCTTTGTTCATTTTGCCACTTGATGCCCACGACACAGCGAGGCACTTGGAATGTGACAGGTAGATGCTGTGTGAGTCATGTGCTGGGATCAGCTGCAGCTTTTCTGAAGGCAGTCTTAGGGAGAATGGAGGCAGGAGTTTTAAAGGTCATAAAAATTTCAAGCGAAAGAGATGCTCCAAATCTCTTAGAAAAAATTGTCAACAGAAAAGAAAGGAAATAAAGGTCACATGATTATGAAATGGAAGGGCACAAACCCCAAGGTGGCATTCATTTTGCATTTAAGTCCTGTATCAGATTGCCAGCATCCTCTCTGCGCAAATGCGAAGCCGAGGTGCCGCAGTGGGGCTATGACCCCAAGGATCAAACTACGCCACTTTGTTACAGACTGAACTCTTTCTTTCTCTGGGAGGAACATCGCAAACTTGGGTCGTGTTGGTTCAATAGATGCATAGAGGCTGATGTCCTGGGAGGAATGGTCTCTGCACAAAGGTAAGCAGATACTACCATTCCGTTTCACACCTGCAGCAGAAGAAAAAACATCTGTGCCAACTTCTGACTGAGAGTCCTCTAGCAGGTCCTCTCCTTTCCTTTGGGGTCACCTGAATTATAATGTTTAAACTTGTCTTTGGACAGAACCAACCTCTTTTGACCAGCTCTTTTCTCTTGAGGGAATCCTAACCTTAATTAACCAATAGGTATATGTGTGAGGGTTTCCATTCCAGCTTGGGTTTTGTTTGGAAGAAATATGTTATTTAATGACTTTTTGGAAAATATTTCAAGTTAAGGGATTCTTTTGATGTTCAGATACATTAAATAGTAAACTGTTCCAGAGAGCTGTGAGTGACAGGAAACAAAATTATTTACTATTTACACAGTTTGGGGTTTAACTTAAATATTTATTGTGTATCAGCCCCTTAGATTTCCTTGAAAAATCTGTTTTGTAATGTATGTTTACATGGGTTCGTCTAAGCAGGACCTCAGATCAACCACTGATTTGATCAAATCAGTTTAAAAACAGGGCATATTGAGCAATTGATCTTGCTGGGGATTTTGTTGTTGTTGCTGTTTTCCTGCATTGGCTAATTAATTTAAAATCAGTCTTTGTATGTGGCACTGAGGGATAGATGATCACCTCCTCTTGTTGCCTGACATTTTCTCTTGATACAGCCCTCCTTCCCTTATCCCCAAAGTTTGTGTGTTCGGGGTAGGAAGGAGGGAGGAGAGATGATTGGAAACTTACCTCAAGAGATTAAAAAAATTCTGGGCAAAGCAGGGTTAATAAAATTTAAGACAAAATAGAACGAGTGCAGTCAGTTATGCGATTTTTAGATTTGTTTTTTGCTATAGGTACATTTCCCCAATGGAGTCAAGAATGCCGACACTTCTGGCAAACAGAAAAGCCTTGTGGGAAAGGCTGGGTAAGGATAGAGTTGCTTTTTACCTCTGGTGAGGTTATGTAGACTGGGTGCCTTTGTTCTGTCTCACAATAGAGTTATGAATAAGATCTCATGGTTAGCAGTAGCCTTAGACATGTGGGGAAGCAAGCTATGGGCTGCATGAGGAAATAATTACATAACCCAAAAAGGAGGCCAGAGGTTGTCTAAGTAAGCTTGGAGAAACAATAATTCCAAAATAAGCTGAGACCAACTTTGTAGCGTAATGAACATTCAAAGCTGTGCAGATTCAACAGAGGAGATGGCTGTGTCATTAAGAAATTATGTCCAACATCAAAAGCCAATTAAAAAATGAAGGTGATGAAGGTCTGGTCCCCTCTGGCTAACGTGGCTGGAAGCTACAACCTTGCAAGGCCATTTCTGAGATTTTCACACCTGCAAAGCAAAGGGAAAAAAGCATGCATTCTAGTGACAAAATCCAATTAATTACAGGATCTGTTATAAACAGTCAGCTGCATAACTTTGGCAGAAAGCAAATTCGTCATCTCGAGAGGATTTTGCTGTTCTAAATAAATAAGTGCGATTAGGGTGATGAGCAAACTTCTACCTACTTCAACCTCCTTCATTTTGAAGAGAGAGAAGGACAGAGACAGGGTGCAAATTTGAGCAAGATGGGAAGCATTCAAGAAGAAATTAAATAACTCCAAACAGAAAAGTGGGTGAATGGTGACTGATGGCTTTGGATGAGTGAAACCAATTTATCTCCCAGAAGCCCCTGGAATGCACATGGCTTGGCTCCACTTCAGCATTTGAGGATGGCAAATCTCTTCTAAATCATAAGTAGTTCGGGCAGCAAAATCTTGACTTTCATTTCATCTTATTTCATGTTTTGGTGTTCTCATCCAATCCAATCTTTTTTATAGAAGATGGTCAATAAATCATTCAAAATTAGAATTGTAGATTTATGTACATCAGTGGTACTCAGCTGGGGATGATTTGACCCCCAGGGAACGCTTACCAATGTCTGCAAACATTTTTGATGGTCACAACTAATATGGAGGGAGTGTTGCTGGCTGCTGCGATCTAAAGGGTAGAGCCCAGGGACCCGGCTCACCATCCTGCAACACACAGGACAGCCCCTATAAAGAAAGATCTGGCCCTGATGTCAATATGCCAAGGTTGGAAAACCCTTGTCCAGTGGACTGTGCATTTTAGAGCATTCAGCGGGCCAGACAACAAACCTTCCTGAGCAACCCTTTCTACGCCAAGCACTGTGTATAATACTCAGAGGAGACCGTGGCTTACAAAGGACAAAACCCAACTCATAAGCTCAGACAGAACGGGGAATCCATTGGCCCTAGTAACTAATACGCATGGCAGGAACCTTTAATGAGTTAAGTATACCTGGTTCCACACATGGATTCTGTTCAGATGCACCAACATGTCTACAAATGAAAGCTCAGGTTTGCACCTTTTCATGTGTGTTATCCTTTTGAGGCCATCTGCCTTCTCCAAGCAGAACTTGTGTTTCTCATCAATGGAGGAGGAGGAAAAAAGAGCGTAGAGCCCTCTGATTTTCTATTATCTTGTAGATTTGCTGTAAGACTGTTTAATGTTCCTCTGGGGTTTGAACTTTTCCATGGAAAACAGTGGCTAACATAAATGCAATTTGTAAACAGCATAAATTTAAAACTTCTGGAGCTTGAGCACATGCACTGTGCAATATGGTGCCACTTGGAGATGTTGCATACAGCCCTGCTGGGCAGCACAGTGCTGAGAGGCTCTTTGGTAAGATTTGGAGCATCTATAAGTCCTAAGAGATCAGGCCAAGCGTAGTGCTAAGCTAGCATCTTCCACTTTTCCTCAAAAGTAAAAAAAACAAAACTGGTTTTCCCTGTCTCCGTGGTTCACCTACAGCCCTAAATGTGCTGTGGGCTCTTTACTGATTAGAAGGGTGTGACTAAATATGTTCCAATCATTGAAAAGAGCAAAAGGCAATGTGCACACATACACATCACTGCTTCTTCCTCAGCCACAGAAACCATTGGACTTCAACCAGAAGTTCATTGGAGCAAAAGAACCCAACAAAACAAGCATCAGGAATTCTTTAGATGCCTTCTTTGAAAGTATGAAATTTGCAGAATTGAAGCAAATTGCTGAGCTGTTTCCTAAGAGATTTCAATGGAAAAGCATGAGGACATGATTCATAGGAGTTCTGAGGAGACACGCTGACCATGTTGTTGGCTTGGTTGGAGGCTTGTCCTTTAAAAAGCACCTATTTCTTGTAAAAAATGAAGGAGGTTTTTCCTCGTTCTGCACAGCCAGCCACTCAGTGGCCGCGGGACTTCCATGGCCATACGTTGGGCCTTTGGAGCCTTGCAACATTCTGAGACTGTGAGCTTCTTGAGGGCTGGGGCTTTGGCTTTGCACCTGTGTGTACCCAAAGGTCTTGGACATCAACTTAGGTTGAGTAGAACTTTCTGAGAAAAGCCAGTCAAATGTCACTGTCCTCATTGTCCATACAAGAAAACCAAGAATTGGCGTTTGGTGGGATCCTGCCACATTACATAGGAAGGTCTTAAAAGATCCACAGCAGATGTCTGTTTGGGCCACATTGCTCCCCTGAGAATCTCCTCCCTTCTTGTGGTTCACTTTCCCCGCTGCGTGCTGAGCCATCACTCTCTGAAAGACTCTGTCCCTTTGTTTACTGGGCTTTTCATCCCCAGCCAGAAATTGCCACAGTTCTTCGCTTTCTGGTTTTCTACACACCCCAGTTGCCAACAGCTATAGCCCTAACTCCAAGCAGGAAGTGACCGCTGGAAAGCAGCTGAACAAAGCAAAGGTGATCAAGGTCACTGGATGGGAGATGAAGGATGCATCGACACCTCAGGCCGAAGGGTCCTTGAAGACAGGAATCAGGTCTGATTCTTCTTTGTCTGAAATCGACACATTACCTGACAAAGTCAAAATCCTCAATAACCACTCACTCAACCCATTTGTCTAACCATGGGTTTGCTGTGTGCCCTAAGCACCTTACTTGGGTGATGTCACTGAATTCTCAATATAATCCTATATGATCAAGGCCAACATTACCATTGACAGCCTGGACCTCTGATAGGCTAATGAGAAGCACACTTCCCTTCTGACATCTTCCTCCCCAAAATCAATAAGCTCAGTCTAATACGAGGAAAACATCTTGCAAAAACCCAAATTGAGGGACATTCCACAAAACACCTGACTATACCTTTTAAAACTGTCAATGTAGGCCGGGCACAGTGGCTCACATCTGAATCCCAGCACTTTGGGAGGCCAAGGCAGGTAGATGACTTGAGGTCAGGAGTTTGAGACCAGCCTGGCCACCATGGAGAAACCCTGTCTCTACTAAAAATACAAAAATTAGCCAGGCGTGGTGGCAGGTGTCCGTAATGCCAGTTACTCGGGAGGCTGAGCCAGGAGAATAGCTTGAGCCCGGGAGGCAGAAGTTGCAGTGAGCCAAGATCACACCACTGCACTCCAGCCCAGGCAACAGAGCAACACTCCACCTCAAAAACAAACAAACAAACAAACAAACAAACAAACAACTGTCAACGTCATCAAGACCAAGACAAGTCTGAGAAAATTGTCACAGATCAAAAAGGCCTAAGAAGAAAACTAAATGTAAGGTGGTGTCCTGGATGGGACCCTGGACCAGAGAGGGACATTAGGAAAAAATGAGTGCAGTTTGAATTAGCCATGGAGTTCAGTTAATAGTAATGTGCCGATGTTAGCTTTGCAGCTGTGGCAGACGCACTACAGAAATGTAAGATGACATATATACAACAAGAGAAGAACCTGTGTGAGAGGCTTACAGGAACTCCCTGTACTTTCTTTGCAACTTTTCTGTAACTCTAAAGTGACTTTAAAATTAAAAATGTATTTAAGTAAAAACATTTGTTAAAAAAAAGAAAAAATAACCTTCTAAGGCAGCTACTATTGTTTTTCCCAATTGACAGGTAAGGAAACGGTCCAGGTGAGTTCAGAATCATTGTCTCCTAAGCTGATGATCATTCTAGTATCTTCTGGGACCCTGCTTTAAGGCTCCTGTTTACACCAGGGCCCCTGAGAATTAGATCATGAAAGATTTCCAAGGGATAGTTTCTCTGCTCAGAATCATGAGTGACCCAAATCGCTGGGAGGGGAGAGAGGGAAGGAGCTTGTGAGGTCTGGCTATGAAAGTTTCACACCATAATTGAATCGTTTGAACACTCCCAGGGAGAAAACGTCTGGAGATTGATTTAGAGGGGCATTCGGGGACTTCTTTAGAACCCTGTAAGTCTTGGATGTCTGAGTGGGATGAAAAATGGTTCCAATTCAGTGGGGCCCAGAAGGCAGGAAATCTTCGGGCATAACCTCTAACACCATAAAGACACCAAACTTTCTGTCCCTCTCAAAAGTCAAAGGCCCACAGCTGCTTCCAATCAAGGAAAGCAAACTATCCAGGGCACCACATGCTCACACATTCCCACTGCTGGCCCTTCAAGCACAGTTCCTTCGCACACCCAGTGCAGGGAAAAAACCACATCCTTTCAAGATCCCTGGCCCATCTTCCTCCCTTTCTTCTCCTCTCTTTGATAATGCTGTTGCATTTCTCATAGTGGGCGGGGGGGAGGGTTCCCCAAGTCCTCAGATGCCTCCGGCATCACACACAGGGACTTCACGAAAGGTCCCCTTTGTCCCAGTGCTCACCTCTACCAGCTAGATTTCCCCATAACATTCAGCCTTATACATTCGCATGCTATCCAGATACACAGTGGACTGCAAGGCAGACGTCTCTGTGTTTGACCTTCCCAACATCTGTTCTCCCTGCCTCCCACAGCAACTTGGTCAACACTGCATCCCCCATGAGCTGGCTCTCATCTCTGAGGTTCTCATAAAAAAGGTCCCACCTCCCCTGTCCAGTCCCAGCTTATTCACAGTCCCAGTGAATGCTGGACTCAGGGAAAGGGAATATGAACCAAGCATATTTGACTTGGATTTGCCACTAACAAACAAGAGTCCTGAGTGCTCTGCGAACAAAGGGTAAGTCCTCCATGATGTCTCCCAGATTGCCTGCGTGGCTGCAGGTCAGTACCCATCGCACAGCTTTAGCGAAGTGCCTGCCTCTTTCATTTCCCAAAGTACCCCATGTGGACCAATTACATGACCATGTTACTTAGGATACCACCTTCTTCCCAGAAAATCACCACCAGCTGCTTGATAAACATTCTTCTCACTATGTTCTTCTATACTCAACTTAAACACAGTATTGTTTCTTCCTTATTTCTACAAAAATGCAAATATCTGGGCCGGGCACAGTGGCTCACACCTGTAATCCCAACAATTTGGGAGGATGAGGTGGAAGGATCACTTGAGCCTAGGAGTTTGAGACCAGCCTGGGCAACATAGCAAGACTCCATCCCTACAAAAAAAAAATTTTTTTAATTAGCTGGGCATGGTGGTGCACACCTGTGGTCCCAGCCACTCAGGAGGCTGAGGTGGGAGGATCACTTGAGCCTAGGAGGTCGAGGCTGCAGTGAGCTGTGATGGCGCCACTGCACTCCAGCCTCTGGGCAATAGAGCAAGACTTTGTCTCAAAAAAAAAAATGCAGACATCTCATTAATACTTGTATACACTTTTATTTTTGGACCCAGTCACCCTTCCGTGCCATACTTATGGGTTTACTTGTTCTTTTGGACACTGCAGAGTATCCATTGAATGAACACACAATGGCTTATCTAACACTGACTTTTGGATGGACGTTTAGGTTATTCCCACTCAGTCACTGTTACAAACAGTGCTGCATCCTCCTACAAAAGTCTCCGCGTGCTTGTTTCTGTAGGACAAGTGTCTAGAAGTGGATGGCCATATTACCTGAAAGGGAAAATGTGCAGTACCTCCCTGGGGACAGACCTCAAGTGGCTCCAGCATCACTCACCTTGACCCAGGGTTTCCGTGGTCACTCCGCACTGGGACTTTGTAGCTTGTCCTGTGAACACAGAGCTCACATTCAGTGGGCACCTCAGCGTGTCAGGCTCTCTGATGCCTCTTTGCTTCTAGAATTTCATGAGTGTTTAACTCTGTGAAGGACCTGCAATTATAACCCCATTTTACAGATGTAGAATTGAAGGTCTGGGAAGGTAGGTAATTTTCCCAAAATCACGTAGATGATACATGGAAAAATACAGACTCGGCTCCCTTCCTGCCTAACTCTGGAGCCCGGGCCCATCACCCCCACTGTCCCTCCTGGCAGCTGTGTGCCTTGGAGCTGGTTGCACTGTCACAGTCCCCTCCATCCCCATGAACTCTGTAAATGCCACCTCCACAGAAATTGATTAGAAATCAGAGGAATTGGCCAGGCGCGGTGGCTCGCACCTGTAATCCCAGCACTTTGGGAGGCTGACATGGGTGGATCACTTGAGGTCAGGAGCTAGAGACCAGCCTGGCCAACATGGCGAAACCCTGTCTCTACTAAACATACAAAAATTAGCTGGGCATGGTGGCAGGTGCCTGTAATCCCAGCTACTTGGGAGGCTGAAGCAGGAGAATTCTTGAACTCGGGAAGCGGAGGTTGCAGTGAGCCGAGACACACCACTGCACTCCAGCCTGGGAGACAGAGTGAGACTCTGTCTCAAGAAACCAAAAAAAAAGAAAGAAATCAGAGGAATTGGTATGGGGTTGGGTGTGAAGTTTTTTTTTCATCTGGTTTGAGTTATGAAATCAGGGTCATGTTGATATTTTTCATGCTGTACTCAGATGACAGTGATTATTTTCTTTCATTCATTTATTTTCTTTTTGTATCAGCTTCAGCTCTGAAATCCTCCTCAGTACAGCCTTCCTGATCTTCCTAAAATTGCACAGGATGAGAAGGATTTTCTGTTTCCTAAGCAAGTCGGCTCCATTGGGGTGGGTCAGACACTTCCACGGTCTTTGTCTTTTGGTCTATTTTGTCCACAAACTTTTGGCTCCACAGAGAAAACACATTTCTGCAATGCTCCCATAAACTTTCACAAACTGGATGCCTCTGAAGCCAAATAAAAGCAAGTTGTGCCCTCCTGGGCTGTGAGAACCATGTTCCCAGCCAGAAGACACATAATGAGAAAACATGAAAGATTTTACACGCAAACTTGGCTTTACTCTCCCTCACTTTTGTTTCCTCTCTGCGGCTTTCTTTACTTTTCTTAGGATTTCTAAGCTGCTTTGTGTCAGGAAGGATGAGCAGCCCCTCACAGGAAGGACCAGTGAACACACTTGACCTTCTTGTGGCTCACTAGTGTCATCCTGCAGCACGCCTAAGAGGAAGTGGCAGGCGCCATGCATCAGATAGAAGGCTGGGAGGAGCATTCTATATCCAGAATGTGGCCACACCACCCTTGTCTGGGAGGTACTGAAGATTCAGCAAACACATCAAGGACGTAATACAAAAAAAAGGCTCACCCATTAATCTCCCTCCCCCACATCTCCCAGGTTTAAAACTTGACCTTCTGGAGTGTCGGCAAACTGAGAAATCCAGCAGACTCCCACGCATGAGGACTCCGGAGATGACCACAACGCCATGACCAGCCGTGGAGGCAGCTTGGGGGATGGACGAGGCTAAGCAGGTGAAGCTTGCCTGCTGAGTAGTACACATGAGTTAGAAGTCAGGAGTTGCCAAGGTGAAAACCTAGCAACACATCGGGTTTTAACAACATAAGGCTTGAAAAATATGAAGAAACAGGCAAGATATATAACAAGACCATGTATGTACATAAAAAATACATGCCCATAATTTATTTATGGTGATAGACGTCAGAAAGTGGTTACTTCTGGATGGGGGAGATAGTAATGTACTGATGGGGCATGAGAGACCTTTCTGGGTACTGGATGTCTTCTGTATCCTGATCTTGTTGGTGGCTGTGAGTATAGACATATGTGAGGTCCATCAAGAGATACACTTAATATTTGTATATCTATGTGTATATGCATACAAAGCAATAATACACATTTTGCAAAAATGAAAACAAATGATTAACGCATCTGTATGGTGGTCAGTGGGGCAGAGGGAAAAGGGACTGGAGTAGGATATTAATAGGGATAGAAGGATGGATGACTGGTTGGATGGATAGATGGGTGGATAGATAAATTGATAGATAAAACTAGTTGGTGGAGACGGATAATATTACCATTCTTGACCCAGCATAGCTGGCAGGGTTCTAAGTTGCAGCCATCAGAACTGACTCCGACTTGCTTAAGCATTGAAGGAATGGATCAGCAGGACATCAATGAGCTCACAGAACTGACAAAAATGTTCGTGCATTGGACTCAGAAAGCAAGCCAGTTCCAGGGAAGCTGAGTCGCCACAGAGACCACGAATCTGGGCCCCGCAGCCGGCTCTTCTGCTGTACACTCAGAACTCCACCTTCATGTCACGAGCAGGCTCCAGTGGTCCCAAAGTCTTTACCTGTCACTCCCAAGATTCCAAGTCCTCACTGACAGTATAAGATTGGCCAAGCAAAGACAGGCGGTTGAGCCATTGCCACAGGGAGGCAGAGGAGGAACAAGAGCCTCTACTGCCCCTTGGCTCTGGTAGGGACTGACACACTAAGGGGATATCCCCCAAAGAGGATGAGTGTGCCCCACTGCTCTGACAGAGCTGGGAAATGAAGACTGGAGGTGCACGGGTCCTGGGTTAGGCTGTAAGGCCAGCCCTGGCCAGCAAAACCAAATGCACTTGTCAAATGTGAAGCTCCAAGCAACTCTGCCAGGAGAAAAACCACGGAGATGAAGAAAAGAGGGGTGTAGACTCGGAGTATGCGATGCTTTCAGGCATTTGTCGCACGTAGGATGACCAATCATCCTGGTTTGCCTGGGACTTGGAAGTGGGGGATCCCAGGACACTGGACTTTCAGTGCTAAAAGTGGGGAAGTCCTAAGCAAATCAGAACAGATGGGTCACCTCACCGTAGTGAATAGCTCCATCCAATTAAGGAAAAGAACGAAGCTCACAGAAGACCCTGCTTGGATCACTCCCCAGAGCTGGGCCTGCACCTCTTGATTCTTCAAGGTGAATTCTCAAAAAGTTTGACATAGTTTGGGAATGCAATTTTAAAAATTGTTGAATATTAATGACTTCTTGTCCCAGGCACTTCTGATTAAATCTGGAGTGTTTCTCCATAATTTGGGGCGTGATGGTGAGGAAGTAAAATCTCTGTACTGTCCTGCTGGCTCCAGCCCGGGCAAAAACTCCATTCCACACAGTTAACAGAGTTAAATCCGTGAAGTACAGAACAGGGCCTTGTAAATTGCAAAGCACTGTGCAAATATAAGTAAGTTATCATCATCCTGGTTTGTGAGGGTCTCTTGTGGTATTGATGATTTTTTATATGACAAAGAGCTATGCTTTTTTGCGCTGAATTAATAATTCACTGATGCTAATTAAACAAAGAAATCCAGGTGCCTGTGTCTTAAAAACAATCTCATTTCTTCCCATGAATTCTAATGTGGCTTTCCCCCACTTCTCCCTTTTCTCTCCCCCCACTCCCTTTTTAAAGGGCAAATGGGAAGAGGTAAGTTGCAAAGTCTGTGGAGTATTTTGAGCTGAAAAGAGTAAATGGTATATGGACTTTTTTTTTAAGAGTGAGAAACACTCCTGTGTCTGCTCGGCCTCCTGGTGTAGTCCCAGATGCAAGTCATTTCAATCAACTCCCAACCTTTTTGGTCACATGAGATAAAGCAGGAGAGGTCTACGCTGAAGTTATATTTTCCACATTCTCCCTTCAATGTACCCGCTTTCTTTGTTGTCTGCAAACGTGCATGATGGTTTGGCCTCACCACAAGGTGAGGAGAGCTGCCCTGATAGCCGGGGGATTCTAATGGTTTCTAGGTGATCAGACAGACATAGTCTTCCTCTGTGAGTGGCTGCAGGCCCTGTAGATGCTTTAGAACGAACACTCAGGCAATCGAAGAAATGTTCAGATTATGAGTGGCTATTTCCAAAGCCCTGTACATGGATTTCAAAGAGCTATGCCAGTGCTTTCGGTAGGAAGTGAACTGACCATCGGAGAATGGGGTGATATCACCTTCATCACAGAAGGACGTCCAGCTGCTCACGTTGGCCTAGAGCCTCCTGCGGCCAGCACTGTTCTGGGTTCTCTGCGTGAACCATGGTGTGGTGGTGGGGACACAGACCCTGAGGACAAGCAGCTGGGTCTCAACGCCAGCTCTGCTACTCTTAGTGACGTAGCCTTGGGCAAGCTCCTTAAACGTTTGTGCCTTTATTTCCTCATCTATGAAATGGGAATGAAAATAGCACTTACCCTGGAAGGTTGTGTTGAGGAGCAAGTGACTTAATACAGGGCTGCTCAAGGTGTGACCTGAGGTCCCCCAGACCCTGTCGGGGAGTTTGGCTCATGATCGTCACAATAATGCTAAGATATTGGCCCTTTATACTCAGATTCTCTTAGAAGCTCACCGCGGAGTTTTTGAGAGACTACATGAAATGTGATTTACAACAGACATGAAAGAAGATATGCAGAACGTGGAAAACAATGCCCTGTTTTTACTAAATCCTTGTTCTGAAAAATGTTTTTTATTTTAAAACATGTAATGGGTTTATTATTGTTATATTTTAATGAATTAACAAGTGGTTTCAACTGCTTTCCATTTTAATTTATAATACAATAAATATGGGTAGCTATTTTGTAATAGAGACTGTGTAACAGGAACTCTTTGAGGTTCTCAATCACTTTTAAGGTATCCGAGAGCCGTATGCCCCCAAATCATGAATAAACACTCCAGGTTCAATCAGAAGCAGCTGAGGAAATAAGTCATTCATATTTAACAGTAGATGCAAAGCACTCAGAACAGTACTAAACAGTAGGCATTAGTATTTCATTTAATGCAATAAACCTGGGAGATGGTTCTTCCTGTCCCCATTGTATAGAAGGAAAAACTGAGGCATGGAGAAATTGCAAAGCCAAACAGATTCACAGCAGAGCCAAACTCAAGTCCAGGTCTGTCTGAGTAAAAAGCCTGCGTGTTTAGTCACAGATAGAATTGATTCTAATTCAATCCTTTTTTTTAATCCGGTGATAGAATTGATTCTAATTCAATCCTTTTTTTTTTTAATCTGGTGGCTAGTTGACTATTAGTCTGCCTATATGAGGCCTTTGAAAGGTTTGTTGAATGAATCAATGAACGTGCTAGAGTTCCAGCTTAGGCAATATAATTCAGCAGACCTTATTTTGTGCCTACACTGGGACTGAAATACACTTTCTGAGACCGGGGACATGTCTTTATTGACCTCTAGGACTCCGATGTCCAGCACAGGCTGGACTCACAGTAGCTATTCAATACGCAAACAAGCAAGACAAAGTTTTTTTTTTTTTAATTTTGGGGGGGGGGGTCTCTTCTCCGTGAAAGTAAAAGTATTTCTTGTTAAAGAAAAACCTCAATAATTCTTACAACAACCCCAACACAAAAATCTTGTCTTTTGTTTGAACACTAGAGGAAAAAACTCTGGAAGCTTAACAAAGGAGGATCTTGCAACACTGTATGCTAAAGAATTCCCATTAATTAGGAGAATTCCCTTCCTAGGCTACCCCTAATCTTATCTTGACATTTAGTGAACTCCTGAAATATCATTTAAGGCCACACACAATCCACCTTTTGTCCCTCTGACTTTCAGGGTAGAAAATGGTTGAATGCATCCAGAGGTATTTCATATTCAAGGCAGATCTGAAATCCATTCAGGCCAGGGCTATTGCAAGCACTTTGCAGGAAGAAAAAGAACATGTGCTTCAAAGAGAACAGATAAGGTGGGGCCCTCACAGATTACGGCTTTACCCCCCACCCATGGCACTCACCCCCCCGTTCTCTAATTGCATTTTTTACAGGGTAGTGTGGTTCTGCTCAAGTGCATACACACATGGGGTACAGCTCCTGGTCTGCACGCTTTCTCCTCTCTGGTGCACCAGGTAGTCATTTGAAATTCATATGTATGTAATTGAAAGCTACATTTCCTCTCACTGCACATGAAACCACCAGGCGTGACCACAGTGGTGATTAATAATATACCTTCCCCTACCCCCTAGCTCCTAGGTTTAGGATAGAAGTCAATTAAATTTCCACCTTTATGTTCCCTCCTGCTCCAAAGCATATTATTTTATTCAATCTGTCAGTAATTTCCAACAATCTGGTTATAAAATCAGAGCACAATCTGTAGGGGTTTTCTTTCCTGCTCCTTATAGGCTCTTTCTCCCCCAGATAAAATAGTAATGAAATCTGCACAATGCCATTCTGATTCTTCAGCATTCCTTGCATGTCCCCATGTCTAGGGGTCTCTCTTGACAGAGGACTGCTTCCTCTCCAGCTCTGTTATTGTGGCAGATGTGTTGCACGGGAGGGGACGGTGGCTTGACTTTCTTTGCCACTTGTGAAAATTGAGTTGTCACAGCCCAGGGAGTCCAAGATCACTTATAATCTGCCCTGCTGGGAAGCATTTAGCTGTAGGTCAGCTGTATAGGCCAATGCAGGTACCAGGACAGCTGGGACAACAAATGCATCTTTGTTACCCACGGGCTTCATGCTGCCTTTGAGCCACTGGTGGTTTAAGATGTTAAATGCCCTTCATTTGCAACAGTTTCCTTAATTAAAGACCAATAGGCACCTTCTGTTCCCAGGCTCCAAGCCTGAAATGTTATCTTCTGAAGACACTTTCAGGACAGGACATTTTGAGGTGCTTTTCCCTGATGTGCTCCTTCTTGGATATGGACCTTTTTCATAAGAACCAAATAAAAGACAACTCGTAGACACCAACCCAGGAATTGGGTTTTTAACTGGATGATCTCTATGGGGGAGAGCTCAGCTACTAATTGAAAAGTTTAAGCTTTTCAAACTTTATGTTAAATAAGGACCGCAACTGATGAACAAAATAAAGCAGCCCAAGCAGGTGAGGAGTTCCGAGTGAAGCCCAAGCAAGGTTGCAAAGTCGTTACAGCCTGTTCTTCCTCAAGACGGAAGAGGTGTGTTTTTCAAATGTTCCTCCACTGTTCTCTCGGAATGAACAGCGAGTGAGAGACAACAAGATGGGAGTAGAGAGTGGCAGGGAGAAACACCAAATATGAATCAAAGTTTCTAAAATTGTATCAGATCCCAAGTCCTTTAAATTCTCTTCCTCAAACAGTCTGGAAATTTCTCAAAGAACTTAAAACAAAACTACCACTTGACCCAGCAATCCCACTACTGGGTGTATACCCAAAGGAATATAAATCATTCCACCATAAAGACACATGCATGCATATGTTCATCACAGCATGAATCACAGTAGCAAAGACATGGAATCAACCTAGATGCCCATCAACAGTAGACTGGATAAAAAATATGTGGTACATATACACCATGAAATACTACACAGCTGTAGAAAAGAGTGAAATCATGTCCTTTGCGGCAATACAGGTGGAGCTGGAGGCCATTACCCTAAGCAAATTAACACAGAAACAGAAAACCAAATACTACATGCTCTCACTTATAAGTGGGAGCTAAACACTGAGTCCACACGGACACAAAAAAAGGAACAATAGACACCAGGGTTTACTTGAGAGTGGAGAGTGGAAGGAGGGTGCAAATCAAAAAACTACCTATCAAGTACTCTGCTCATTACCTGGGTGACAAAATAATCTGTACACCAAACCCCCATGACACACAATTTACTCATGTAACAAACCTGCACATGTATCGCCTGAATCTGAAGTAAAAGTTGGAAACAGAAATTTAAAAAAAAAAAATAGAAAATAAGAAGGGAATTAAAACATTTCACTGCAAAAAACCAACACAGGTGGGGTGCAGTGGCTCCAGCCTGTAATCCCAGCACTTTGAGGCCAAGGCAAGAGGAGCTCGAGACCAGCCTGGGCAACACAGGGAGACACTTCCAGTACAAAAAAAAAAATTAAATAAAAAAATAGGTGGGTGTGGTGGTACATGCCTGGGGTACCAGCTACTCAGGAGGCTGAGGTGAGAAGATAGCTTGAGCCCAGGAGATTGAGGCTGTAATGAGTTATGATTGCACCACTGCATTCTAGCCCGGGTAACAGAGGGAGACCCTCTGTATAAAATATATATACATATATATATATATATATATATATATATACCTCAACACAAAAGAGATAGTAATGCAGGAAATCAGGGACAAAAAAAGCTATAAGGCATATAGAAAACAAATCACAAAATGGTAGATTTTATTGGTAATTACTTTAAATGTAAATGGATAAACATTCCAATCAAAGAGATTGACAAAGTGCATTAAAAACATGATCTATCTACATGTTGCCTACAAAAGACTCACTTTAGATCCAAAGACACAAATAGATTGAAAGTGAAAAGATATTTGTACATCCATGTTCACAGCATTACTCACAATCATGAAAATGAAGATCAACCCAATTGTCCATCAACAGATGAATGGTAAAATGCAGTATATACACACAATGGTATATTATTCAATTTTTAAAAGAGAGGAAGTTCTGACATATGCTACAACATGGATGAACCTTGAGAACATTATGTTAAGTGAAATAATCCAGTCACAAAAAGACAAATTCTATATGATGCCATTTACATGAGGGAGTAGAGTTGTCAAATTCTTAGTGACAGAAAGTAGAATAGGGGTTTCCAGGGAAATAATTTAAACAACTCCCCAACCCCTCCTTCCTGAAAGGAGAGGGAGGTCAACTCTTCCTGAAAGGACGGATTGGGGAGTTGTTTAAATGATTACAAAGCTTCAGTTTTGCAGGATGAAAAGAGTTCTGGAGATGGATGGTTTTGCAATGATATGAATATACTTAATATCACTGAACTATATGCTTAAGAGTGGATAAAATGGTAAAATATATATTATATATATGTTCATATACATTCACATATATTCATATAACATAAAATTTACCATCTTATCTATTTGAAAAAAATAAGAAAAAATAAAATTCTGTTTCTAAGTAAGTCAGAAGAGAAACTTCTTTCTCTGTAAATTCCATAGACCCAACAGTTTTCAGCAGGTATTTGGACTCATCTGGATGTGGTCTTGAGACTTTTTTTATCTTTTCACCTACAGGAAGGCAAAAATTACAAGATGATTCAAGTCATCTACTCCTTCATCCAAGGGTTAATGGACTGCAGTTCTCAAATCTTGTGGTTGACTGGCCCTGTAAGTGTTTCATTTCACAGTTTGGATTATTCCATGGAGATGAGGTTTGAGAATTACAAAGCTCAGGAAAATGGGATACTGAGACAAAAACCCAATGAGTCTGTGTGGAATATTGTGCAGCTCACACTGAATGAAGCTATTTTAATTTTAGTTAGCTCCCATTTTCAAGAATAATATAAACCTTGTAGGTAGGAGCGTGCATTTCAATTTTAAACTAACTTCTAGCTTTCTGGTCCCAGCAGAACCTCATTCCTAGATCTCCAGACACAGTATAGATTTTTTGGTCCCAGTGTTTAGGATGAAACTCCTGAGCTCTGCCTGTGCAATCCCCAGATCTTGTCTCATCTCTTCCTTCTCTCCCCTCCCCACTATCCCTGGGCCACCCCCATTGTGCTGCCAATTCCTCCAACTCAAAGCTCCCTCCACCTGGAAAACCCATTTCTTTTTCATCCTAATTCATTCCTCAGAGTTCAGCCTAAACATTCCCTGATTCTGTTGGTTCCTGGTTCCCCCAATTATCTTCTCTCATCTCACTTGGTGTGGTCTCTTTCTAGTATGCATCAAGTTGTAAATAAATAATGTATAATATTTTGTTTAATGACATCTTCTCCATCAGGTTGTGCCTGGCAGATGGCAGACACAAAATAAATACATGTTGGATGCATGGATGGAACAAAAGAAAGAAGGAAGGAAGGAAGAAAGAAGGAGGGAAGGGAGGGAGGAAGGAAGGAAGGAAGGAAGAAAGGAGAAGGGAAGGAAGGAAAGAAGGAGAGAAGGAATGAAGGGAGGAAGGAAGGAAGAAAGGAAGAGTGGAGGAAAGAAAGGAAGAAAATAAGGAAGAAAAGGAGGGAGGGAGAATGGAAGGAAGGAAAGAAGGAGGGAAGGAATGAAGGGAGGAAGGAAGAAAGGAAGAATGGAGGAAAGAAAGTAAGAAAAGAAGCAAGGAAAAGAGGGAGGGAGGGAGGAAGAAAGGAAGGAGGAAAGGAAGGAAGGAAGGAAGGAAGGAAGGAAAGAAGGAAAGAAGGAAGGAAGGAGGGAAGGAAGGCAGGTCAGTTCTCAATGGAGCCTCACAGTAGTGAATGCTATGATATGCCACCCAGAGCCCCTTTAGTGAAAGATTGTCAGCAAGCAGCCTTCAGCAATCTGTCCCTTCAGAGATTGCTTCAGTTGCAAAGAGCTGCCTCCCTCAAGGTCACAACTTTCTCAGGTAGCCCCAGGCAGCCCACATCCAGTGACTGATGAATGCAGGAGTCTAAAGTCCTGGTCTAGCCAACTTTAAAGGCCCATTCTAGCTGCAGAGCATCCCATGGGTTGGCCAAGGCTGCTGTTGCCTGTATCCATTTCCTCCTCCTCTACACAGATGTGGTTGTCCATGGTAACTCCCTAATAAACCCCTGGCACACCGAGCTCCATTTCAGAGCCTACTTCCCAGAGAACTCAACCTGAAATATTCATAATCTCTAGTAATCTAAGGCCCTCTCCTTGCAAATGGGTGGCCCCCAAACCTTAGGATAAACCAGTCGCAGAGAACTCAGGCTCCCAGGGGGAATAACACCAAGTGATATTCCCAGCTGCACTTCTAAGTTGAGCCAAAACAGTTTTTGCAAAAACCTCAGAAAAAAATGGCCTTTCTAGAGCCACTGTTGGAATCAGTAATGAGACATCTAGAAGTTTCTTTCACATGATTGAAAGAAATTTTAAGAGTAGAAAAAGTCACAGAAAGTGTAGCCTGGTGCCTGGCAATACACTAAATATCCAATAAATGTTTGTTGCAACAATGAAAGCTTCTTTTTTCTTATTCTCTGTTTCTCCCCTAAGAATTTAAAACTAGAAGATTATAAGACTAACACATTCAGCCCCATGCAGTTATTTTCTCCGAATCACTTGTTTTTAGCACAAAAGGGATAACTACTTGTGATGTATTTTTCCATTATTTTCTTTGTGCAGGAGGTTTTTAAATTAATTTAGTCTCTTTCTGCATCAGGTTGTCTTGTAATTGAAGATGTGAAGTGTTTGTCTTCCAAAGGCTTTCTGGTGATGTCTTTTTTGCTGTTAACATCTTCTTTGTCTATGCCTGTGATCCCTGCCAAATTGCCCACGGAACAGCAACTCAAGTGCATAAATTATGAGACCACATAAGCACCGGGCACATCTATTTGAGTCTAAATGTCTTAGGAGAGAAGTTTTCTTTTTGCAAAACAAACACAATCAAACCTTGATTAACTAGAACATTTGGGGGATGAGCAGTCTAGATAATTTGATTTTCTGGGTAATTTTCAGTTAACCAAAAAGTCATCAAAATTTTCAAACCCTGATGCAGAAAATCTTGACAAAAATGTCCTTCTTTCCACTTCTAGGAAAGACAGTAGAGCATAATGGAAAATTTTGGAAGCAGAAGGTGGTGGTGTCATGGCAAAAATGTTGGAGTTTAGGGGTGAAGTCCTGGTGTCAGTCACCACTTTGCCTCTCACTCAAGCTTGGGCAAAACCCTCTGGTCCTTGATTTCCCCTAAAAGGAAGAAGGAGCAAACCGATACTCTCGATTTTCTCAACTTGATGCCCAGCATTGGTGTTCATTCTTTTTCATTCCAGTTGGCTATAGAAGTTTGTAGAGCGTTTGGGTTGCATCTACTTTCACAGCAAAATCCTATCCTTCCCTATGTAAATATTTCCTTAGTGTCTACTCAGTGTTCAAGTGTGCTTGGGGATGGTAAAGCAATAAACAGCATCTATTCCCATAGACGTGTCATCCTTTCTCCTGGCTCTTTCTCCTCGAGGTGGAATGGAGCAGGGCAGGGGGATGATTTTGGGGTTTAAATTTTCATCAGTTAATGTCCTGCTGTGTGTAGGCTCTAGAAACATGTCCTAATGCAGCTGTGAAGAAATACCGGACTGTGGGCCCTGGACTCTGCCTCTGGTCCTGCCAGGGTACGTCTTTCTCTCCACTCCAGTCTCATCGTCAGCATGAGGGCTGAGCTGTTTCTGGGGCCAGCACTACACTGTCACCCTAACTCCTGAGACCAGAGCTTCTCAACCTCAGCACCTCTGGCACTATAGACTGGATACATCTTTGTTATGGGAACTGCCTTGTGTTACGCACTGCAGGACGTTGAGCAGAATCCCTGCCCTCTGCATACAGATGCCTGGGAAATAAAATTGCCCCCTCTGAGAACCACTGCCTTAAAGCATGATATCTTAATCTTTCTTGAGAAAAAGAATTTGGGAATGACAACATCAGTCATCAAATATTTGATGTTTCCTCCCAAGGAAGTTAGGTCTGAAATAGTGTCGACCTGGGTTTCTTTGCTATGTGGGATCAAAGATGCCTTCATTTCCTTTGTGCTGAGGTGCCTGGAAATTACCTTTTAGCAAAAGTAGTCCCAAGTTACGATGCTCAGGTAGAGAAGACACTGACATGGATTGAAGCTACCAGGAGGATAATAAAAACTATAAGCACAAGACTAATGGGAAGCATCTTTCAAGCTTCTGTGCTCCACGTAAGGAGAAATGAGGCTGCTGGCATGAAACAGAGGAGGAGCCACATCTTAAGGCACAGAATGATTTCTTCTTCTCTACTGAGGACAATTTTTAAACATTTTATTTGCATTGTTTTGAATTAGGGTAAAGATACACTTTCTAACATTCCCTTCACGTTCTTCACCCTTAGCACCATCTGATATTATGTAGTTTACATACGTGTCTGCCTGACTCCTGAAATGACACTTCCTCCCCGGCCCCCAGATAAAAGCTCCATGGATCCTGTATGTCTTTTTCACTCCTGTGTCCTCATGTGCCTACTACAGACTTAAGCACTCAACAACTATTGGCTGAATTAACAAGATGGAGTAAGTAATGGGAAATAGTTGCTAAATTCTGAAATGGATCAATAATGCCATTGTTCATCTCTGATAATGAGATGGATCTTCATAAAGAAAGGGGTTGCGGCCAGGTGTGGTGGCTCACGCCTGTAATCCCAGCACCTTGGGAGGCCGAGGTGGATGCATCACTTCAGGTCAGGAGTTCAAGACCAACCTGGCCGAAACATTATGTGATTATTCCTTTGAGACCAAAATCCTTTGATTTGAAATGTCAATTATTTAACTGTACAGTTTGACCAAAGAAACTTATCCAAGAAACCCACAATTCCATCTGTGGTCATTAGTTCTATTGTCTTGGAGAAAAAATGGAGACAGAGCTCTGCTTAACAGGAGCTAGAATAACTAGGGAACCTAACAGCAAATACACCGTTTAGGTTAGCTTGATGGTTCCCCGAGTGCACTGGGTAGACCACTGGTAATTTGAAGATGATATTTAACTGGCACATGAACAATTTTTGATAGTTTTACTACATTTTAATGCATATTTGAAAATAACTCGAAAATTCAGCAAGTTTTCATAGACATTATTGCTTAGAGCAATAATTGCTTCTTTAACAGAGATAACTTAAATAAAAGTATTAAGTAAATAACATACCCACATGTGGCATCTTGATGCATAGGGCAAAAAGCATTAAGATGGTTCTCAAATGACTGAAGTTTGGAACAAATAGATTAATTATAATAATGGCGATTACAGTTTGATGAGTTTGGAAAAAAAGCTATTAAGAGCCATCAATTAGTAAATCTGTTCCTTCCGTATCCTCAATCCCACTTTTCCCTCCAACGAATTGTGCCCCACTGACTTCAAGTGTCTTCAAGAGGTATGTAAATAGACTAATAATATTGTGTTGGGCTGTAAGTCTACCTATTCCTGCAAGGAGTACATAAATCACCTTCATAAGAAGCTATGATTTTGGTTTAAGGACATGGTGAAACCCCGTCTCTACTGAAAATACAAAAATTAGCCCGGTGTGGTGGCGTGCACCTGTAATCTCAGCTACTTGGGAGGTTGAGGCAGAAGAATTGCTTGAACCAGGGAGGTGGAGGTTGCAGTGAGCCAAGATCACACCACTGCACTCCAGTCTGGGGCAACAGAGTGAGACTCCATCTCAAAAAAAAAAAAAAAAAAAAAAGAAGGAAGGGGTTGGGCTATATTATTTATCTTAGACTCTTTCTTTCTTCCCTATTTACTCTCGGTGAGCCATTTTCATTTGTTTACTCAGCAAAAGTGCACTAATGCCTGCTATGAGCCAGGCACTCTTCCAGCAGCTAAGAAAACCAAGATAAAGACACCATGGGCTCTGCCTCCAGGGAGCTCCCTTTTGGGCCATATACATAGTCATCTCATTTCCTAACTCATCGGCCCTAGTCCACCCAGTTATTTTAACAAGGGGAGGACTTTTGAGGAAGTTTTCAATATGTTCAGTGTGTGTGTGTGTGTGTGTGTGTGTGTGTGTGTGTGTGTGTGTATGTATGTAAGGAGGGTTCCTTCAGGCAAATATGTCCAACTAGAGTATTCGCATTTGTGGTTTACACATCATGTAGAAAAAGCAAGGCTAGATATCTGGCCTTTCATGTATGATGGAGCCAAGAAGCCTCAATCATGCTGCATTAATACCCCATTGCACACAATATACACACAGAAGGCAACCAGATCTCTGTGGCCACAGACAGAACTGGGCCACTCTTTCCCAGGTGCTGCAGGTACAAACCTCTCATTCCCAATAGGAATGAGATATCCATTCACTCATACCTCACACGGAAAAATAATTCACCTATTTCTGGGCTGAAATGGCCATGGACTAATCCCAAGATGCTCAATGGTAGAGGCTGTTGAATTTGCCTCTGGCAGAAACTGAAGGAAACTGAAGGCAGACTGTGTCTGTCACCGCTGGAAACAAAGGTCACAGATGCCACTGAGCAATTCTTTCTGCATACACAGCCCAAAGATCAACAAGCTGACACTAAGGAGACTTAAAAAGTTGCTCTCTGTGGTTCTTAGTACAGCCAAATCCATTTCCCTCACATTTAGAAGTATGGAAGCAGTTATTTCAGCAGAACTTATGTCGGTGCTTCTGGTTGGGCATGAATTCCTAACTATGCATTCCTATACATCATTCTGTACTCACCGACTAATCAGCCAACACTCAAAACACCAAAACAAACAAACAAACAAAAAACATATTTATGCAACAAAACATTATGTGATTATTCCTTTGAGACCAAAATCCTTTGATTTGAAATGTCAGTTATTTAACTCTACAGTTTGACCAAAGAAACTTACCCAATAATCCCACAATTCTGTTTGTGGTCACCAGTTCTATTGTCTTGGAGAAAAAATGGAGACAGAGCTCTGCTTCATAGAAGCCAGAATAACTAGAAAACCTAACAGCAAACATACTGTTTAGGTTAGCTCGATGTTTCCCCAAGTGCACTGGGTAGACCACTGGTAATATGAAGATGGTATTTAACTGGCACATGAACAATTTTTAATAGTTTTACTACATTTAATGCATATTTGAAAATATACTTAACTCGAAAATTCAACAAGTTTTCATAGACATTATTGCTTAGGGCAATAATTGCTTCTTTAACACAGAGATAATTTAAATAAAAGTATTAAGTAAAAAATATACCCACATGTGGCATCTTGATACATATGGCAAAAAGCATTAAGATGGTTCTCAAATGACTGAAGTTTGGAACAAATAGATTAATTATAATAACGGCGATTACAGTTTGATGAGTTTGGGGAAAAAAGCTATTAACTGCCATCAATTAGTATACCTGTTCCTTCCATATCCTCGATCCCACTTTTCCCTCCAATGAATTGTGCCCCACTGACTTCAAGTGTCTTCAAGAGGTATGTAAATAGACTAATAACATTGTGTTGGGCTGTAAAAGTAAGTCTACTTATTCTTGCAAGGAGTACATAAATCACCTTCATAAGAAGCTATGATTTTGATTTAAGGATGTTTTCTCTGTTAATGAATAATGCTAAATGTCCAGAAAACATCAAATCCAAGGGGAAAAGATTCTGGATTATTGCACTGTGGTTCGTGCCCTCCTGTGGCTTCAGAGTTTCGCTACATTTAAGAATCTAAAACCAGATTCCTAAGTTACAGACTATAAAATATGGCAGATAATGACAAACGAGCTATGTGTGAAAAGGAAGCACCACAAGAAAGTGAGATCATTTGACATGACCTAATCCCTTTGTTGAGTGGAATGGGATACCAATACGGCCAACGAGGCATTGGGTCAATGATTAGGAATAATCAGATGTCCAATTCATAAAGCATATGATTTGCAGGGGTTTTGGTTAAAATGTTAACAAATCACGTGAGACATTTGCATTTTAAGTTTTATTTTTATCAAAACAAAATAATTTAACCATATAAAGAAAGAAAGTTCAACAAACAACCAAGAAGCCAATCATTTCCCTGATTGTGAACAACCAATTGAGTAGTAAATCCTGAACAGTTGACCGCATATACAAGACATTCCGTCATCCTCTAGTGCTCCAAGTGGCAGAGGCTGATGTTTTTCCCTGGTTCCTATTCTTCCAGTGGTGAAGTAATGTGCTCAACTGTTCCTATACTTCTTCAGACCAAATTATGTATATTCCTACGTAAGTGCAAAGCATGGATGAAAAGAATCATACAGGGTAGAAATCCAGCACATAAGATTTTCTAGGTTCTGACCCTTATATTTAATGGGTTCTGAAAAATAAGGACAATAAATTGTGCTTAAATATTGAGAAATGTAGTGTTTCAAAAGCCAAAGTGCCTCCCTACATGAACTATGGGAAGAACAACTGAAGTGAGGAAAAATACACAAGCCCAGCTTGCTGCAGCAGTAGAAATATGATCACCCATAGAGCCAGGCAGGTCATATTCTCCTCACCATATTAAATTATGTCTGGGGAGTTGAGCAGCAGCACATTCCGATAATGATGACAGTTTCCATAACTATAAAGATCTGCTGCACCAGGCAAATTCTGTGCAAAATGCAAATTTCTGTGCTGGGGAAAAAAATGAATAATGTGATCATTCTAAGTAATGAATGTAAATGCAAGGAAATACTTTTTGGCATGAGACTGCAAATTGTTTATCTTTCATGCCAAGAACTGTGGTCACAGTGCACTTCTGCAAGGTTCCTCTTCCGGTCTCAGCTTTAGAAGAGTGATTTCAGGAAGAAAAAGTCTGTCTTGCCCTAGGTTACCCACCATGCTATTGGCAGTGTTTCCATTAAAATTCAGAGACACCCTCCTCCATCTTTTTTTTTAATCACTTGGCAAATGAACCATAGGTTCTCCTGGTTACTGTGAGATGTGAACCAAAGGGGATTATTAGCTTTGTCTCAAATCTCAAGGGTTAAGCCTAACAGGAGAGATGAGCTGTTTTTCAATGTGTTTTACAAGAAGGAGGATTCCAGTTGTCCACCAAAAATCACATGACTTTGAGTCACTTAACAATGTAGGTTGCCAAGGAGGGAAGGATTGAAACCTCTTCCCTCCATACATCTTTAACGACAAGATCTAGCTGGGTGTAGGTACAGGTGGAGAGAGAAACCTGGTGAGTCTTGAACATCATGGGGAAATGTCACTTTTGATATTGGCAAAAAAAAATTCAGTGCCCTTCCCTTAGTTCATGACAGCATCCCTCTAACTATTCTCTGTGGAAGAAACTGAGGCATCAGTTGGTTAAGACCCTTACCTAAAGATATAATAAAATTAACACTGGGAAAATTAGCACTGGGGAAAGAAGGAAATCCCTGATCTTTAAACTCTGGTTTGCTTTGTTCTAAAATAAATTTGTTTTTCCTTAACCATCATGCAGTACACACTTGCAGAGTATAAAACTGTGGTAGTTATCAATTGATAATACTGACATTTTATTTTTAGTAACCCAAACTGGGTTCTAGGTTGTTAATGTTACCCTTAAAATGTATTCTTATAATTGTATTTCACTTTAAGAAAACCCATAGGAAAATTAAGATTTATAAAATCAGAGATTGTTCATTGCTTTATAAAAAGATTCTTCATTTAAAAAAAATCTTTACCTTAGGATGCTTTTAAAGAGCCAGCTCCCTTAGGGTCATTCAAAATACATTTTTAATTTTTAAAAAATCCATTGACATACAGCTTTTTCACAAATTCATGTTGATATAAAGTAAGGTACACTTGTAAACATTGCCAGCCACTAGGCAAAGACCAGGGAAGCAAGGTGGCTTCGCTACCTGCTTTACCTTTGTAAGAGATACAGGGAGTTAGAGACGAAATCAATATTCCGCCATATTTGACCTAGGTTGGGATGTGACAGCTGGCAACGGTGGCTCCTATAGGGACAGAGCTTCCACCATCATCCTGAAGTTGGTGCTGTTTGGAGCTATGACTTACTGATTTACAGCCAGTGACCCCGTTGATTCCACAGTAGCCACCCAGAAAGGAGGGGTCTGGAAGACAGCTTTTTTCCCCTGACCAGTGCCTCCTAAGACAAAGGAGCCAGTTCAGCCTACAGATAGGTTTTCTCCATTCCTACTGGAGAGTTCTGGTTTTGCTTTTAATTTTTTGAACTATGAGCCACATGTATAGGCTGGATGATTGCACCCTAAAATCTGGAACTCTGGGGAAAAAATTAGATGGAGCTTCTTCAGGCTCAGGTTCTTCACAGCAATAATTGGTGGAAGGTGCTTGTGTTTCAGTTCCTCACTGTCCCCACCCAAACTTCTTGCATGCAAGGCCTCCGTGGCAATGGTTCCCCATGGGGAATATCTTCAAGCCATTGAGTCCATGCATTTTAAGGAGAGAGCAGCTTCTCTATCAACCATTCTCAGAAAAATTGGAACCTGGAGATACATTCGTCTTGTCCAACTCTCTTATTCTCACTTAGGGAAACTAAGGTACAGAAAGACTCTTAACCAAGATTTCCCAGCTAAAGTCAGGACTTCAATCTCCATCCAAGGCTCAGACCATTTGCCTACACTGCCTCTCTCATTACAGTGGCATGAATCCTTCGAAAAGGGAGATAATCACCACATCGCTTTTGTTGGGTTTAAAAAGTACACTAAGTCAATGTCCAACATCCTTTTTACCTCCCTTCTTATGTTTTTCTTGGCTGGGCCTGAAATCCTTGGATATTTATGAGTGCATATGAAATGGTCACAAATATATGCTAAGTAACCAGGGAAGCTGGTCTGGCATTGAAGTTTTCTATGAAAAACACCAAAATTGGAAAATTCACATGAAGATACTTGAAATTTGACCATACTTAGTCACAGGCACAGACTGACTGAAGTGTATTCACATGTGTGAGATGCTCTGCATTGCTGCTGTGTCTCTGAAGTACAAGATGTCATATGAACATCATTACATCAAAGTTACACCAAAAGAGCTCAGCTACAAATTTCAAATTGTACAAAATCATACCAAAAGCAAGTATAAAATTTTATTGAAATGCAGCAATGTAAACCTCTTTAAGTTTCTCCTCTCCCGTGGAAGGAGAGGGAGAGGAAGGCAGTGGAACTGAGGCTTTGCCCCCCGGGCTGGCTGACGTAGATCTGTTTTCTTCTGCACAGGGGCGCACCGGCTTGGAATACTGGGGAATTTTCTCTGTGCAGTTCTGACGTGCACAATACAGAGGCTGATTTAATTTGACAGCAAAGTAACACTAAGCCCCGAAAATAAAATTACCGAGATGTAAAACAGCGTCAAAACTCCAATTAGTTTTGTATCCTTGAAGCTTCTGAAGGAAATCTAAAAGGCTCCCGTCACGACGAGCAGGCATCAGTTGAAGCTGTACAGATTACTAAAATGTAACCCTCTAATTGAAATTGCTCAGAGCACAATATGACAAGAAGAATCAGAGGAAAATAAGTGAATTTTTCCCTCTCAAAAAATGACTCATTACAGAGAGACAGTTCTATTAACTTTTAACACCGTTCCTTTGCAAGAACTAGAAAAACCGACAGTCTCAGAGATCTCCACAGCAAACGCACCAGGCACAAGAGCATGTGCTTGCATCATCTGACCATAAATAAGCATTGACCATTTGTGCAACATTTAAAAGTAATCAGCATGTCACCGGATCATAGGCATTTTGAAGTGTATTTACAACTCCACCAAGGACGTGAATTACTCTGAACAAGCTTCAGTTTTTTAATGTATCTGAATTTTGTCTCCAAAATGAACAGAAGTATCTTTGTGCCCAGTTCACACCCCCGTCTCTTTGTCAAGCTACTCCAATTATCCCAAGTGTGCTCTCCACCTTGGAAGCAAATCCTCAGTTTACTAATGGAGAAAGCCAGTTGCCTCGACTGTGTGGGGTCCACTTGTGGAGAAATGTGTTGATGGTGGCTTTCTTGGTTAGTGCCATTTGATTGCAGAGAGGCAGTGGGGGACAGGTGCAGAAGACGAGGCTGGGAGTCAAGGCCCAGTCACTGTGCACGTTGACCATTTGCAGAGTTTGCTTCCTTGCCATGTCTGCCCTGCCTGGCACCATTTGAAGATGAGCAGAGCACTCCCAAGGGGAGCTGGGGAACGCTGCGGCTGAGTTGGGGGTCAGAAGTTGGTTGGAGTTGGCTTGTAAATAACTCAAAATGGCTTTCCTAATCTGTAGGTGTTTCACAGATAGAGTTTAGTTCTTCCGCCAGCCTGACAACATTTACTTGTGAAGCGTCAACAGTCTTTTTGACCAGACACCATGTTTCTCTGGAAGCTTCATATTTCTATAACTAATCGGTCTTCATCGTCGCTGCTGGTGTCACTGAACTCTACTCGAGTTTGCTTTCTCATTCCTTCCAGACTCCTCTTCTTGAGGGATTTAGAAGGGGCTTCAGGAATTTCTATGGGCTGCTCTGGCTTAGAAGGAACCACAGAATCTTTCCGAGTGATTAATCCAGATACCTGACGTTTCCTACCGTCACTTCCTAAAGAGGGGCAGGGGACAGTCATTTCCCCACACCCATACTGGCCTCTGGAAGGAAAAAACGTCTTGTGTCTCCCTTCCTTGTGGTGTGAACTAGCTGAACTTGGTCCTGAAGCTGGTATTTCAAGATGAGTTTTTTCAGTTGACTCCAGTGGAACCGAATCTGAAATTCTTTGTCCAGATGAAGGTCTCCCTGGCAAGAGGGTCTGTGCTCTGCCCTCTTCTGTGACTTTGCTGTCTGGGGAGCTTGATGTCAGAGTCCTCCCTGCAGTCTGGCTGTGGTCTCGTGATTCAGCACTGTGAATTTCCTGGGCTATGTGATCTGTTCTCACTGGCAGAGAAATACAAACGGCAGCCACAGAGGTAGCAATGTCATGGTGGGGAAAAGTTCCTTTGGACCCAAAGGAAGAAGGCCTTTGAGCATCTGAGAAGATGTATGGTTTGGGATCTGTTGAGACTGAATCCTGGGAGGCCAGCAGCTGAGTCTCCAGCAACCCAAGGTCAAGACCTTTGCCAGGGGGTAGAGGCACGTCATTAACCACTGCCAGGCAGGTGTCAGATTGCAGAGATAATCCTGATGTGGCAGCAGTGCTGTGAGTAGTACAGTCACCATGCTCACCAGCAGATGGAGAAATATCCTGCAACAAAGTGCAAAGGAAAAAAAAAGTGGGGGGGGAGGTTAATTGGTACAAAGAAAAATGTGGTCAGAAACGTGGTCCTCAATGAAAACAGGTCTTGAGGTCTTAATGATTCTTTACCAAGGGTGAACTTCAATATGACGCCCTCAATAAGTTTCCATTAATAACTAATTGGTGCATTAACTCGAATAAAGCTCCTGATTGATACAAAATAGGTTGCTGACGTCCTGTGCTTTTATCTGGCTTTGTGAAAAACAAAACCACTCAATTATCTTACCAGTTCTCAGCTTCCTTTTTTAAGTCACTACCGCTCATGAAGCGGATGTACTATTTTATAGGACTGTGTATTGAAGGGTTTTTTGGTTTTTTGGTTTTTTCCGGATGAGTGTTTTTCCAAATGTGGTCTGGATACATATTTTAGTGGTTTTCAACACGCAGCCCCACAGTCTGTCTGGGGGGGCTTCATGTTGCAGTGGCATCTGTCAGCCATCTCTCTATTCAGGTGTGCAGTAATAACATACTTGGGGTTTTTTTTAAAGAAACCATCAGAAATCATCCCAATGTTTGCACTACCAAAGCTACTCATTCGATACAGAATGTTTTGAGTTATTTGTTTGTCTTAATGGGCTTTCTGTGCCACGAATCTTCATAAGGTGATCCGAGCAAGTTCTGCCACACTGAACAAGAGCAGCAAGAACAAGCAGGGCTATACATCTAGACCAGGAATAGGTAGAGGCAGCTCAAAATCATCATGCCCACCTTCACAGTTCGTTTGTCCATTTCCCTGACAATTCTTGAACTTGTACCAAGAGAGAGGGTTCCTAAGGTTTGTCTGCAGTCACCTTCCTTCTTCTCTTCCTTCCCACAACAAGGAGGTGATTCTGAGGTGGCACAAGATGGCTCCTCTTGCAGATTCAGACCTGCAAGGGGAGAGGCACATTTACATATGACTGGAATTATAAAATTAGCAAAGAGTAATTTCCTGGGAGGTTGTCCATGACTTCTTGATCGCCTCTGAGCTCATTAACCCTCATCTCACAGGGTGTGTGCAAGAACTCAATTTATCTCCAACCAATTCACATTTGGTCAAATAAAATATATCCACTCTATGAAGGAAGGAAATGGCAAAACCAATTCTCAAAGTAGAAAAACCCCTGAATGATACATATCATAAAATATATCTATATTTCATGTTGCTTCTTCTCATCAGAGTTGTATTCCTGGTCATGTCTGTTTAGGTAAATTTTAGATCAGCTTGAATTCTCTGACATACTACCAAGTAGTCAGAATAGACGTTTCACTCGATGCATGGTGGGAACCCAGAAATATAAACCAGGTCTTAATTCCCACTAGAGTGCTGGGCAGCAAGGGATGAGGTTGGCTTTTGTGATGCTGTTGTTTTGTTGTGGTGGTTATTGTTGTGATTGTGGAAGGAAAGAAGGGCCCTGACAATATCCACAAAACAGCACTTCTCATACCTGTCTTTCCTTCATCCTTCACCCGCACTGATGACCTGGCATACCAGTCAAAAGGATCACAAAATTTCAGAGAGGGCAGGTTCCATCATGATATGAGATCAGAGAAATATCTTAAAACGACTGTGTCACTAGAGAAGAAGCACTAGACCCACTTTTAAATTTGCTTTTATTTTGATGAAAGGTACACATGTGCAGTCTGAAAAGTCAAGCCTAACTGTGTATTAAGAAAAACTGCAACCCCTGCCAACCCATCCATCTTTTCCCATTCGGGAGTCTTTTGACTTTTAGCTCCTTCATGTCTGATAACATTGTTATAGAACTACATTTTGTGGAAGTAGTAGCTGTGACTTCTCATGGGGAGAGAGGAGGGTTTCCCTCTTCTTCCAGCTCTCCTCCTCTTCAAACTTCATGACCCCCCACACAAGCACACATTCCACCTCTCTATCTTCTCAACAGTTCTCTAACCCCTATGGCCTGTTTTCATTTAGGCGAATATTCCATGTTTATATTAGTATGTTTAGGAGAATACCTGTCAGCACTGAATCTTGTAGTATACTACGATTACGTTGCCTTTCTTGTGAAAACTGCTTTCCCTGGGATTAATGACGATTTTGCTTTTTAAAAATTTTGCTGAGTTTTCTATGGACTCATTTCTAAAATCATTTTCCAACCACCTCTCCAATTGTCTGAGGTTTCATTTCATTCTGTGAGAAATGTTTCCTTGAAACTTTCTGATTTGCTCCAAGTGGACCATGTTTCTCTGCAGCATGGCTGTGCCCCTGGGGTCTCCCTTCATCCCCGCTGTGCTGATTCTCTTCGCCTCTTTCCTGGTTCCTGAACCTCTACAACTTCTTTTTTCTTGGTTTACACTCCTGCTTTCCTAACACAAAACTTCTAGTAGTTTCATGAGAAAGGGTACATGAAGTATAACTCTTTAGATGTCATTGGCAGCTTGGCTGGGTATGACATTCAAAATCGGAAATCATTTCCCTTTGGGGTTGCAGACACGGCTCTATTGCGTTCCAGTTGTTGAAAAGTCTGGAGACAATATGATTTATGATTCATGGTCCTTTGGATGAAATCTTTTTGTATGTCGTTCTCTGGAATCCCCGAGGCTCTTCTTTATTTCTGGTGTCACCACAGCCTGGGTCGATCTTCATTCATTGGCTGGGCACTCAATCAATTCTTTCAATCTGAATCATGTCCTCAGGTTTTAGAAAAATGTGGTTCTGTTTTTCTTTTTTCCTTTTCCTTCCTCATGTACAATGCATTGTTTTGAAATATACACACATTGTAGGTTGGCTAAATTAGATTATTAATAACATATGTATTAGCCCATAGGCTTATCTTTTTTTGGCAAGAACACTTATACTCTCAGCAATTTTTAAGAATACAAAACATTGTCATTAACTATAGTTACCATGTTGTACAATATAACTCTTGAACTTACCTGTTATTTCTGATTTTTTTTCCCTTCTGTTTTGTCTTCTCTCTCTTTCTAGAATTGCCCTTATTGGGTTATTGGATCTCCTAGTATAATCTTCTATTTTTCTTATCTTTTCGCTGTGATGTTCTGTTTCTTGGTCTTTTTGCTTCACTTTTGGGGGAATTTCCTCAACTTTATATTCCAATGAGTTTCTATTTCTGCTATTATGCTTTTAATTTCTAAGAGTTCTTTCCCATGTTCTTTTTTTATAGCATCCTGTTCTTACTTCATAGCTCTAACATCCTCTCTTTTACCCCCGGCAATGTTAATAATGGGTTGTTGTTGTTGTCGTTGTTGAAGTTTGCCTCCCCCTACATAGTCCCTCTTCCAAGTTCCTTTGTTTCCATTGGTTTGTTTTTATTTCTCTCTTTAGGTTGGTGGCTTTCCTGAGAAATACAGCAATCTTCGCTGCTTATGTTTAGGAAATGGGCACAAAAAAGCTGACTTGGTGTTCTTTACAAGTGCAATCTGTCAACCATGGGCCCTACTGTTAGGTTATGTGGTTGCCCTGTTTCAGTGGGAACCCTGAAGTAGTTATCTGCAGGTCTCCACGTGTACTGGTCAGCTTCTACAAGAAGAGTCCTCGGGTCTCCTGACTGGAAAATAGAAGCCAGGCTGCCGGCATTCTGGAGTCAAAATTAGAGAAGAGATTCTGGGGGCTCATATGCAGTATTCACATTTGCTCAAACCCCATTTTCAATCTAGTCCCCTCACTCCCCTGCTGAACTAATTATGCCAAGTGTCCCCCAGCATTTTGTATGCTGTCCAGAGACTAAGCCCCTAGTCTTCTCCAAGGGTGAGGGAAGTTACCAAGCTCTGAGAAGTAGAAACGGAGTGGGAATGAAGTCTGATTGCTTCTTAGTCTTTCAATCAATCTTGTTTTCAGCCACACCTGGTACCATGAATGTCTGAGTTGTGGGGAGTCTTCTCACTGTTAAATCAGGATTCCATTCCTTGGGGTCAGCTACATCAGTTCCCATTCAGACTCTGCACTCCAGTTTTCAAACTGGTGGCATCATTTCTTCTCCAAGTCGTTTCTCCTTGTGAGCTTATATATTAAAAACACCTTTAATTACTAACCTCTTGTTGGTTGTTAGAGAAAAGCTGAGGTAAATAAATGTGTTCCATCCTCCATCTTAAACCAAAAGAACAGTTCCACTTCTTATATCTCAAGGGGTAAGTTACTAGATTACCAAGTGTGCTAATCCTGAGCAAATCAACTTTGAAAATCCGTAGAGAAGTGCACAGTTTGGGAAAGATAGCAATGCTTTTTTCTTCCACACAATCTTTCTTGACCCTCCCGTGTACTCAGGTAATCTAATGGCACAGAACCAGGCTTTTGGTACTCCATTCACCTGTTCAACAACCACATCCTGGGCCCCTTCAATGACCCAGGCACCATGCTCCACCTTGAAGAGTCTGAGAAGAACAAAACAAAGGTGACGCTGGCCCTCAAGAGCTTCTACTGTAATGGGGAAAGAGAAGCAAAGACAAGGAAGCAGACGCCTATTGTGATGGGGTCGCAAAGGAAATAAATCGAGGACGGGGATATTACCGAGAGTGAAAATGAGAGTATTACAGGCAGTAACAATTAACAGGAGGCTATTCCAGACACTAATGAGAAATGGAGGGGAGCATACTACAGACTCATGATAAGCAGGGGGTAGTAAAGAGAGTAATGAGGGGGCTTAATCCAAAGAGTAGCCAGGGAGGACTGTTTTATATAGTCAAGGAAGACTTCTCAGAAAGGCGACATCAGAAATGAGACCTTCAGAGTGAGAAAGAACAAGTCCACAAAGGATATTCTAGACAAAAGAAGGAACAATACAGAGACCTTAAAGGGGAAAGCAGCTTGCGGGAGCAAGAGACCCATGGGGGGCCAATGTGGAAGGACAGTCGTGAATGCAGGGGCAGGGGCAAGATGATGGTGGGGAAGTCAACAAGGACTCAGATCTTGTGGGGTACAAGTGACTGTGGTAAGAAGTTTAAATTTTGAAGCCAAACTCGGGAGAGAGGTGAGGAGAGGTGGGAAAAACAGTTACAAGCTTACTAGGATAATCCAGGGGCCAGATGAGATGGCTTGACTAGGGCACCAGAAATAGAAAGGGAAAAAAGGGGTGGATTCAAGATATGTTTTCATTCTCACCCATGAAAAATTATCAAAAATTAATGGTGATGATATGCATTTCCTTAGCCTCATCGTTCACCAAGCACAAGTGCTCACTCTAAGTGAATTAAGCTCTGTCCCCACAGTGACAAAACAACCATGCAATTCATTCAATTCAATGAAGAAGTAAAACCAATTAGTGTAGAGAAAATAATCAGATTGGCCAAATGTCTTCCCAACAGGTTGTTTTGGTTTTTAAGCTTAAGTAGAAAGGTCATGTGCACATTTGACCAATAACTTCTGACTCATCTATGAAAGTAAAGGAAGAAAATCCACTGATCTAATTTGTTTTTGACCCTGCAGTCTACAGAGAAAAGTGAATTATCTTTAATAATTGTGAAAAATGCTCAAATAATGTCACTGAAGTGTGTTAAACTGATTTGGATTATTGAGGAAGGACACTAACTTGCTTTTAAATGAATGGCCCTTTTCAAAAAGGAAGTAGTTCCCTGGCCAAATTTTAAATCACAGAATGTGATTCCATTGAGGCTTCAGCATCACACTGTATGAATCACTTCCTACATCCTCAGAAATTACAAACTCCACTGTCTTAATGCCATCTTCAGAAATTCGATCGCTCTTACACAATTATGGGACTCTTATTAGAGAGACCATCTCTCATCACAGCTCTCTGTGCCGTGCTGTTCTTTCCCTGATTAAAGGCTGTGTTTTTAATAACTTCCCTCAGAAATAATTGCCAGACTGCATTTAGAGGAAGAGGCCACTTAAAGTGTTACAGCAATTTTAAATGTGGCCATCTTGAAAAGGCTACAGGAAACTGTAAAATACTTAGAAAGAAAATGAAATAAATAAACAACATGATGAAACTTACAACATAACTGTAGACATCTTTAATGCCAAATCTTCTTCCAGCTGCCTAATGTCTAGGCCTTATTAAAATGCTATAAACGCACTGCTCAAATATCATTAACTAAAAATGTAAGTAATTTGATATATTTCTTTTGGTTTGTCCCAATACACCAAAACTCCATGAATGTGGATTCCAAAGACTGAATTATTATTTAAAAAAAGGGTTAAAAATGAGTCTATAAAATCAACCTTCTAAGCAAGCTGCAAATATAAACAAGAATATAGGAGTAATTTCCTAGACTATTAATTAATCTGTGATTAAATTGTTTAGAAGCATCCCGGGAATTAACAGATCCACAATGTGCTAGCAATTACTTATAGAAAGCTGGGCAGATCTCTAAAAGTAATAACTTTGTGGACAGTTATTTATTCAAATATTTTTAAGCCTGTTTTCGAGCCTATGTTATTGAGCCTAAATATTTACTGAGCACCAAGCACAACCAACAACCGTGCCAAGAACTGTGCTAAACACAGGGCATTTGTTCTGTGGAAAACGAGGCAGACACACCCACATGATAATTATAGTTCAACGGGGGAGAAATTCAGTAAGCAAATAATTATATAAAAAATTCACCAAGCAAATATAGTAAATAGCATGAAAGAAAAAGCACGAAGGTGCTGGGTGGCCATGAAATAGGACCCCAACCCAACCTGTATCTATGGAAAAGAGCAAAACTATGCACACAGTAAATCATCTGACATCACCCCTGTCCTGGATGGCTTTCTAAGTCTGAATCATCTATACATGTAATTATTCAACCAATTTTCTTTAAGTCTCTGTTGCATACCTGACGTTATGCTAAAGTTTCTTTGACAGTAAATTCATTTGTTTCTGCAATCCTATTACATTTTTTGTTTATGAAGCCTCTTTACGAAAAAAATGGCTAAAAATGATGGAAGAAAGAGGTTTTATTCCTCTCAGGCAGAGAGAATGGGAGACGTTGGATGTCAATGCCAATCAAAAAATAATCAGAAGTCAGTGGGCGGTGAGCAGTGAGAAGCAGCTCCGACTTCAGCTGCACAGGCAGGGAGGGTTGGGGGAGAGGACCAGAAAGATGGATTTATCAAGTACAGCCTCGGGTATTTCTGCACTATCCTAATGCAATCTTTTGAAAGTTTGCCTCTAAGTAATCATAAACTAATCTTTTACTTCAACAACCATTTTTCTTAGTAATTTTCATCTCTTTTCTATTTCTCTGATGAAAGGCAATCAAGATAACCACCCTCCCCTCACAGAAATCCTGAATTCAGTGCAAAGCGGTGTTTAAAATTTTGCTTTAAAAATTCTGTCATGTCCAGACATCAAGTGTGTGCCCTTAAAATACAGAGTGAAAATAGGATTATGAAATTAGAGAAGGAAAAAAGACAATAAAAAAGAAAATGCCATTTGAAAGATTGAAAGCCAAAACAGAAACTGGCTGATATACTTTGTGTAACATTCTTTTAAAAGTTTCTTGTTGCTAAATGAAAATTGTCTATGTGGGTCTCTTCCCTGGGACATTATCGATATACCTGAAACAGCTTCTCATCTTTCCTCAAGATTTACACCCTAGAATGAAGGAGAAATTATTCTGTTTCAGCAATTTCAGAGCACTATGACTTCATAGCTTTGGGGATAGTTCTCCATTAATTCTAATGAGAAAAGATGTCGGAAGTCCTGTCAGAGAAGGAGAGTGAAGGCACAGAGAGAGAAGAGGGCTCTGGAGAGACCCCCAGACCCATCCCTGGCCTCTTGCTGGCTCCAAATACCTCAGAAATCCCTTCAGAGGAGGATTATGTGAGCGCAAGGAGACAGACTGCGGAGGGAGAGGTGAGCTGGCCCAGGCCCGTGATGAACAAACAAAAGAAACCACCGAAGAAAACCAAAGTGAACAAAGCCAATGTCTACCTTTGTGCCAGAGATGTATTCAACCCTCTTCATACAGTATTTAGAAATTGTATCTTTTATGTGTGTGTAATTAGGTAAAGGTTTTACTTCAGAAACCATATGTAATCACCGTTGTCTCTCCATTTCTGTTCCTGAGATGAACGTGTTTTGATCACTTTTTCCTCTCAGATACTTTCTCCAAATTCAGTGAATGGGGCTGATTTGAAACATTTCAGTGACTTTAAAGCTTGGTCGTGTACAGAATTCAACAGTGTTCCTTCATCAAATGAAATAATGAAAACTGCCCAGGAACAGTCTTTGAAAAGTTTATTTCAAAATTGACTGAGGAAAATGCATTTTGTGGGTTTGTTAAAAACCAGTGGTTCCGAAGCAAGGGTGATGTCTGGAGAAATTTTGGGTGGTCCTGACTCGGAGTGGAGGGGATGCTCCTGGCATGTTGTGGGTGGAGACCAGCAACCCTGCTACACATCCCACACTGCAACAAATAATGGAGTGTCGCCAAATGTCAGCAGTGCCCAGGTTGAGAAACCCTAGTTTAAACCAAAGATCACAAACTCAAATGCTACAGGAGCCAGACAAATTGCTAATTCGGGTGCCTGCCTGGGGATGGCCAAACAGCAAGCCCAGGCCCCAGGGGCGGCTGACCCCTAGCTCCAGCCAACTGAGACAATGAAGGCCGGAGGGTCCAGCTCACCAGATCTGTTTGTTTTTCAGGAGAAAAATCAAAATCTGTATTTCACATGCTTTCAAACATTCATAACTAATTAGTTTTCAAAACGACAGTAGCATTGTGCTACCCAACACATCTGTGGCCTGAATTTGAATGAGAGGCCGCTTGGTGGTGACCTCTTGTTATTTAAGAAACTCACATGCGCCGCCCACTCTGATAGCAAAGCTTCACCGTGGCTTTGTTTGCTCTCTTGCTGAAGCAAAGTTTCTTTTTAAAAATACTGTTAAAAATATTGATGGGAGAGTAAGTCCGTTTTTGAAAAGTAATTTGGTGGTATCTTATAAGGTGAAATAAGTAAGTATAAAACCATTGATCCAGCAATTGCTCTTTGGGAAATCAGGCAAGAATGTGTACTGCAGCAATAGTTGTGGTAGGAAAAACAATAGGCATCAACATAAACATCCATCAATAAAGGAAGGGATGAACAGATAAATAGTAGTACATCCAAACTAGGGGATTGTATGCCACTATTAAAACAATCTATATACGTATCGGCCTAGAGTTATATACAAAACATATTAAGAAGAAAAGAATTGGCGATTACTACATCTGGTATGAGCCTTTGTGTAAAAAACAACAACAAAAGGTGTCTGTCTGTATTTGTTTATGAGTGGAGAAAGATGTAGAAGGATGTGTGCCAACCTAACTCTGATGGCCTCAGGGGCAGTGTGGCTGGAAGTTGTCAGGCTTTCCTTGGATAAGTCAATGCTACTTTCTTTTTTGCAACAAACATGATATTGCGTTATCAGTTGGAAAGAAAAATAAGAGACACATAATCATATTGGTTCTAAAATTCAAACTCAAAATAATGAGGAAAACCCCCAAAGTGTATTATACCTGAATATGCTCAGGCAAAACTAAAAGTCAAATCAGTCCTCTTACCAGAAGATCAGAACAGGTTGCTGAAAGACAGAGATAAATCCTCACACACCAGTAACTAAAATTTAGTTTTTCAGGCACAGAAAAACTGAGAGATTCATGAAAGGAAGAGAAAAATATATTTTTTCCACCTCTAGCCAAATCTAGAGTATTTCTGTACTATCCTATTTTTTTTGAAACTTTGCCTCTCTCAGTAATAGTTTTAAATCTGTTTTTTTTCCCAGAAACCACTTTTCTCTATGGTTCTCATTCGTCTTCTCTTTCTTTGATGAAAGGCAATCAGTTGAAGAACACTTCACTTACCATTTTCTCCAAAAAAACATTTTTAGTGGGGAAAGTATGCTTAAAATCTTTTGGTAAGTCAAAACTTTAATCATGCCCAGACAAGAAGAGAATGCGCTAAAATAAAGAGAGGATAAATTGTGAGGAAGAAAGAAAACTAAATGAAGGGAAAAAAAAATTGTTAATATTATTTGCATTCTTCAGTGCCAAAATTGAATCAGGAGAATCTACTTTATGGATCATTAATTTCAAACTTTCTTAACTCTAAATGAAAATTGTAGAGAGAAAAGTTCAGGTTTTGGGATATAATTGATGTGTTTAAGCAATTGCCTCATCATTTCTTAAGATTTACACTCTGGGGAAGGAGATGTTATCCTGTTTCAGCAATTCTGTAAGCAATATTACTTAACTAATGGCTTTAGGAAAAGAATATCTCCCTATTAATTCTTACAGGAAAAATAATGGTACAGAGCCATTAGTTCTAGTCAGAGAAACAAGGAGGGAGTGAGTGGATGAGGGAGTCCTAGGGTTCAGGCTGCCATTTTGTTTCTCCTTGGGAAAACATTTTGAGGCGATTTGTGACAGAGAGATGGGGCACAACAAACACCAAGGGTGTCTCCTCCCACCTCCCTCTGTCTACTTATGGCAGAGTAACACAAGTGCAAAGGATAAAAAGAAGAAATAACTCTCATCTACTTGATTTCAGAGAATTACGTCACCATCCTCACATAATACTTAGCTATTCGACCTCTTCAACGTGATTAGGTAAACCTTTTACCTCTAAAAGTACCTGTCTGAGCAGTTTTCTTTGCTTTTCTATTTTTTCAATGAAAGGCAGCTGCGTTGATAACTTCAGCCTCAGAGGAATTTTCCTAAACTATGTTAGTGGGGGAAAAAAATCCAGTTAAAATATTTCAATCACTTAAAACCTTAGGTATGTGCTGAATTCAAAAGAAAAGATTCCATTAAGAGGGAAAGTAAATAAGACAACGGGAAAGAATAGAGGTCTCCCTCATCCCCTGCCCTGCCTTGCCCTGGAGTTAAATACAGGTTTATTGCTAATAATTAAGAAGCTCTATTCTATGTACTTGTTGTAGTATACACGTAGCTGAAGATAAAACAAAATAGGACAGAATTACACAATGATTGGTATTGTGGTAAATGCCACAGAGGAGATGGGTTATGAATCATCCCATCTCCACACCACCAGGGCGCTTCATCTGCTTTGAGAGTCTGAGGTGACCAGCCTGAGGAATCGCTAAAATGCCACCTCACAAAACCATCTAAGGAGGGTTGACTTGGTGATGAAGCCTCAGCCCTGGTTCCTCAGAGAGATGTGGCTGAAGGACTCATCGAAAGAGCAGAAAAATACATTTATCAAAATCTAGCAACCCATACCAGGGTACTTCTCTTTCCTAGTGCAATTTTTTGAAAGTTTGTCTCTTCTAAAGTAATCATACATTTTATTTCAGAAATTACTTTTCTTAGTGGTACTCATTTCTCTTATTTCTTTGATAAAAGGTAATCAATTTAAGATTTCCCATTTAGAGATTTGTTTTTCTTTTTCCAAACAATATTTAGCGGAAAGTCATATTTAAAATCAATCGTTAATATTTGTGCCTAGACCACAAGTGTGTATCTAAAATTTAGACAGCAAAAGGATATATGAGGAGAAAAAATATAATTAGTGAAAATACCTTCTGAAATATATGATGCCAAAATTGAAATCAAGAGTATCTACTGTTTGAATGATTATTTTCAATGTTTCTCAATACTGGATGAGTTCATAAACAACAGCCCATTTCTTGAAATATAATTAAGGTATTGGAGAGAGCTCATTTTTCCTCAAGATTTGCATCCTTAAAAAGGAGAAATTGATCCATTTCAATAATAATAGCTGGGAAGAAAGATCTCCCCTTCTCTCCTTCATTAATCCTGAGGGGGGAAAAATGGGCTCTTGTCAAACTAGAAACAGAAACAAGAAAGAAAATATTAGAGTTGGCGTCATCAATTTTGGTTTTCTAATCACCTTAGGAAAGAAAACATTCTAAGTCCAGCCTTTGTGAAGCAACAAATATTGAAGGAGCATTTAGGGCTTCGCTCAAACCAAGACTTCAGACGAGTAAAACTTAATTCGACAAGAAAACCAGCAAAAGACGATGGGGGAATATTGTTCTGTTTTCATAACGTGTTTAGATATTCCATCTCGTGGAGTACTTAGGCGATTGTACTTTTCTTTCTTCTCTTTCAGTTCTCTTATTTTTTGTGGCGTAGAGGAAAGTGAAGCATTTGGAAAGCAGAAAACTTCCTTTCACCCAGATATTTCTTCTAAACAATACTAAAGGAACAGTCAATTTGAATATTTCAGTAATATAAAATCCTATTCAGGTACCAAATTCAACAGCATTTCTTCAATACTGTTTAAGACAAGAGGACTGAGATAAAGAGGAAAGAAATAAACATTGCCCAAAATACTCTTTAAAAACTTTCACATACAGAAATTTACTCAAGAATCTACGCTTTCTGGCTTATTTTACAAGTGTCATTTTCTTATAAACGTTTCTTACAAAAGTTTTCTTATATATGTTTCTTATAAACGTATAAAAGTTTGTAATAAAAGCAGCTCAACCGGGTGGACTGTGGGGTCACCGAAATACTTTCAACTTGGCTTCTTTTCTCAAGATTTCCACCTCAAAAGAGAGAGTACTTCGGGAACTGCAACCCTTAGCAATGCAGCTCAAGTGGCATTTTTTTTTTTCAGCAAAAGCCTCTCAATGGTTTCTGTGGGTTCTGATTAAAAAAAAATAGAGGGGGCCGGTTATGAGTTCTTTTAGACCAAAGCAAGGAATAAAATATCAAGACTTAGCTCTGCTCTGCTATGAAGAGATCATGGAGACTTGAACCTCAAGGTCGCATGTAACTTGGAAGCTGAGACGTGGGGTAGCAAAGAGGAATGGAGGAATAATAGGAAGAGAGGGGCCAAATTCTTACAGAATTCTAAGAAGTCTCTCCTTTGTCCTCACACCAGCTGTAGAAATTATTTTACAATATAAAACTTTAATTATAGGACTTTTTTTTCTTTTTTACCTCAGAAACTATCTCCTAGACGCACAGTAGCATCTCTATCTTCCTGTAAATTTCTTCAGTCTGGTTAAAATGCATTAAAAATTTACAAGCTCAGTTACACACAAACCCAAAAGCTTACCTGAAAATACAGGTAGGACGACAAAAGCAACATTTAGGAAAGAGAGGGAATAAAAAGGAAGAGTATTTCCCTAGAAATATTTTTATTTATTTATTTATTTATTTATTTTTTGAGACGGAGGCTCGCTCTGTCGCCCAGGCTGGAGTGCAGTGGCGCCATCTTGGCTCACTGCAAGCTCCGCCTCCCGGGTTCACGCCATTCTCCTGCCTCAGCCTCCGGAGTAGCTGGGACTACAGGCGCCCGCCACCACGCCCGGCTAATTTTTTTGTATTTTTAGTAGAGACGGGGTTTCACCGTGTTAGCCAGGATGGTCTCCATCTCCTGACCTCGTGATCCGCCCGCCTCAGCCTCCCAAAGTGCTGGGATTACAGGAGTGAGCCACCGCGCCCGGCCCCTAGAAATAATTTTCAAACCAACCAAATCAATCAGTAAATCTCATTTCTAGATGTTTTTAAAAGAGCAGCAATTGATGTATTATTAGAACTGCCTAGAAAGTCCATTTTTGAGGTGTAGAAAAAGCCTTTACATCTTTCCTGAAGGATTCTATTCTACCACTCACAAAAGGAGTCTCTTTGGCAATTCTAAAGCAATAGAGGAAAGGACATCTATGATCTGACAGAAAATGGGAGGTAGCCTTTAACCCTTGTCCGAAGAAGAGTGTAAACAATGTCAAGCATCCAGAAAATTCCAACTGCAGAAGGGGTGGAGAATGCCGCAGGAGGGGAATCTTGTGGCAGGCACACAATTCCGCACAGAGGATAGACAGCAGCTGGGGGACTGTGGGGGTAGGTGGGGGTGGGGGTGAGAAGAACAGAATAAAAAATACACAAACCTTCCCCAAGGGGAGAGAAGGTAATCTTTAGAGTCTTCCACGCTTCCACTTCCCTGAATCCTCCCCTGGGGGTGGTCTTAGGCAGGGGTGGGGGCTGGAGGAACCAGTTCACCATAGCACAGGGCTGTCTACCTGGGTATTTTCTTGAGTGAGACAAAACTGGAGAAGTAAGACTGTGCTGCCCCAGAATCTTCTCTCAATAGAAGTCACAAGGTCTGCTTAAAATGCTTACAGATGGCCGGGTGCGGTGGCTCACGCCTGTAATCCCAGCACTCTGGGAGGCCAAGGTGGGCGGATCGCCTGAGGTCAGGAGTTCAAGACCAGCCTGGCCAACATGGTGAAACGCTGTCTCTACGAAAAATACAAAAACTAGCCAGGCGTGGTGGCGCGCGCCTGTAATCCCAGCTACTCGGGAGGCTGAGGCAGGAGAATCGCTTGAACCCAGGAGGAAGAGGTTGCAGTGAGCCAAGGTCACTATACTCCAGCCTGGGCGACAGAGCGAGACTCTATCTCAAAAAAAAAAAAAAAAAAGTGTTTACAGAAAGAAAGAATAACTAAATCAAGGATGTAAAATGAAAGTCACATAAAAGATGAAAGAAGGGGGGAAACTTGAACCGTAAGCAGTTGTCATCAAAAATGTATTCGAGAAATCTTCTTGGCTTATCTTTTAAAATATGTTATGACTAAATTCAAATCACAAAAGAATACACAGCTTAAATGATAATGCAGTAAACTAACATAATGGTTTTGAAATCAAGTAGTTTACACTGTTTCTATGAACACTGACAGAAAAATAATGAGAAAATTGCATGAACATCCAACAAAACCTGAGGGCTGGAAGCGCTGGGAATGGGTTTGGTTTGGTTTTCTCACTCAGGCCATCATAAAAATTTATTAAAGAAAAAAAAAGTCAATGTGGAGAAAGGGGAAGAAAAATGGGAAGTGGGCCTGTACCCCAAAGGATGCTGGGTGAGGGGAACAAAAGAAAAATAATTGTCATATCTACATGCTTTCTATCACTTCATGGAGTCTTCAACTTCTCTATGCAAAAGCAACCTTCAAAACTTCTATTTGGGGGAATGTATTCATCCATTTTACCTCCAATATTCCAATATTTCTCTCATAGAGAGGAAAACACAGCTACCATTTTCCTTGCTGAACCTCTTCCGGCCCTGCGTCTGCTGTGTGTGACTGTCAAGTATGCTTCGTGATTATGAAACTTATCTCAGGGAAAGAAATCCATACCCAGGCTCTAATAGATACAAGGGGGAGAGGACGAGAGGAGATGAAATAGCATGAGGTGGATAATAAAATTTAAAATAGTTTTAGCATAGAAATGTACCCTGTATATAAGATCTCATCTTGGTGCTCATTATAGCTTCTGGGTGTATTTTCTAAGCCAGAAGGGTGCAGCTTTGATGCTGTCTCCCTCACGAATCTCAAAGAGAAAAGAAAGTTAAGCCTTCTTCTTCCATGTATTAGCTTTGAAAACAAAGAAAGCAAATGTGGCCTTTCCTTTGTGGCAAAGTCAAGGTTGGACAATCTAGGCGACTGGCTGCTCCTCTCCTCTGGTCAGGGTGTTTGGCTAAAGTGCCCCAGGTCTTGAAAAGGCCAGGCCTTACCTAAGCCAAGCAACCCCAGGCAGAGGGGTGGGCAGAGACCACATGAGAAGTAGAGAGGAAGAGAGAGAGAAATCGAGATGCACTGATTCCAGAGGAAACTGGGGGGTCAGGACACTTGGTGGATGGGAACCAGCTTCCCAGCTCTTCAGAGGTAACCAGTTTAGTGTTTGAAAAACAGAAGGCCCAGAAATCAACCCAGCTGTGAGAAAGGCCCCAGGCCGACTGAGCAGGGATGAACAGGAATGCCCAAACTGATCAGGATTAAGAAGAAAAAATCAGATTTGGGAAATTTTCAAGCAGATGAAGTCCCCCAGAGAGGAATATGCCAGAAAGGACGAGGGTCCGAGGTCTCTACCGCTTTGCCTTAGGGAAGGGTTGGCAGATAAAATATGGATGACTGGTTCCATATGAGTTTCAGGTGAACAACAAATCATTTTTAGCATAAATATGTCTTATGCAATGTTCAGGACATACTTATGCTAAAAAAAAATTACGTATTCTGGGAGTTCTGTATTTTTATTTGCAAAATCTGGCCATCCAACTTTAGGGAGGTGGAAGAGGAAGCAGGGCAGGGGCTGGCCGAGCTTAGACGAATCAGTCTGAAGACGTCAGTCCTGGCAGTCAGCACCTCCTCCCAGCTCCAGGCACTACAGCACTACAAGCTGTACATCCAAGGATGGCTGCGGGCTATGTTTTGGGATGAGTAATTATCATCAATAAAGACATCTTCATGGGGGGAGCACCTCACAAATATCCCAAGCATGGAAATGGTCCTGACAGCCCTCAAAGGAGAATAACTTCCATGAGCTCCCGAAACTCAGCAGACAAAGCTCACAGTGGCTCACGCCCATAATCCCAACACCTGGGATGCATCACCTGAGGTCAAGAGCTCGAGACCAGCCTGGCCAACATGGTGAAACCGCGTCTCTACTAAAAATAGAAAAATTAGCCGGGTGTGGTGGAGGGCACCTGTAATTCCAGCTACTTGGGAGGCTGAGGCAGGAGAATCGCTTGAACCTGGGAGGCAGAGGTTGTAGTGAGCTGAGATCGCGCCACTGCACTCCAGCCTGGGTGACAGAGCGAGACCCTGTCTCAAAATAAAAAGCTCACAAGCAAAAGGTAAGACAGGGATAGGTCTGTGGAGAAAACCAGCATCCCACAGCCCTGCTATCCTCTTAGGAAGTTTTTATTACCACCATGAAAAATAACCTTCTAAAAATCTACTTTGAAAAATCATTAGTCCATCTCATCTCAAAAGTACTTCTCCCACTCTATCCATTTTCTTCCCCAAATGGCCCCCTAACTAGGAAAGGCTTATTAGGTATAGTTCATTATTATGAAGGTTCTTTCTGGGTGAGAAACCTTAGGTAGCCTCTAAGAAATGAGACTGGGAAAAGATGAGGGCAACAGAAATGGCATGATGTAGATAATAACCTTTAAAAGGGACATTATGTGGAAATGCGTCCTGGAGTTCCGGATGAGGTGGCCACACTCCAGTAATTGCAGGTTCGGGAACATTTTCTAGATGAGAGTTTTGTTATGCTCATAACTTCTCCCTCAATTTTAAAAGGAAGAAAAAAACGGGGGGAAAATCTTTTTCTTCTTGTCTTAAGCTGGGATGGGGGAGAAAAAGAGCATAAACTTTGGCTTTTATTATTAAAGTTGTCAATAGCATGGACTTCAGAGAAGGGCAGGAGTTGACTTTTTTCCACAAAAAACATCTTTGTCATCCACTTGAAGGCAAAGGGCTCATAAGAAAATGGCCCTAAGCCAGGCATGGTGGGTGGTTCATGCCTGCAATCCCAGCACTTTGGGAAGGGGGATCACTTGAGCCCAAGAGTTAGAGACCAGACTGGACAACATGGTGCAACCCCACCTCTGAAAAAAAAAAAAAAAAAGCAAAAAACTAGCCAAGCGTGGTGGTGCATGCCTATAGACTGCACCACTGCACTCCAGAGTGGGCAACACAGTGAGACTCTGTCTCAAAAAAACAAAAAACAAAAACAAAAAAAGGATAAAAGAAAATGGCCCCTCATGCAGAGGAGAGGAATCGGCCCTTAAGGTGAAAGCTCTTCAAAGGGAGAAATCAAGCAAGCCAGGAAGACCCTTCTATATTCATTTGTCCTCTGTACCTGGGAGAGGAGAGAGATGAAATATAAGAGGACAAAAGGGCATGTTTGGCCCAAGAGACTCGTTGGCTAGGCAGGGATGGACAGACATCCTGTGCTTTTTGTTCCTCACCTGGCTGCACAGAGGCAGAGAAAGATGCAGCCACATCACCAGTGTCTCCTGACTTTGGAGGGATCTCGAACAGAACAGGAAGGAAGAATGAATTTACGAGGATGTCAGACACACTTGGGAGGCCACAGTACATCAACAGAAGGCAAGGGACTGACAGAGGTCCAGGGTGAAAAATTGGTATCCTCTATCCTTCCTGTCTGAGACATTTTTAACCTCACTATGCAAAAGCAACCTTCAAAAATTCTATCTTAAAAATTATTAGTCTATTTACCTTGGAAATATTTCTCCCCTACATGTGAGGACCCAAGGCTGTCTGTCTTTCAGCACTGAGCATCAGCTGGCCTTTTGCTCACTGGGAGAGAATCTGCCATGTGCTTCACTCTTTTGAAGGTTCTCTGAGGGGGAGAAAGCTATGCCCATCTGCTAATAAATACCAGGAGAGGGGATGGAAGTTGACGAAATAGTACAGGGCAAATAATAAAATATAAAATAGGTGTCAGTGCAAAAGTCTACCCTACGGTTCTTTTTTCTTTTTTTTATAGGTAGCACCTCTCCACTGATTATAGGTCCAGGGTATATTTTCTCAGCGAGGATTCTAATATAGTTCATCTCAAATATTTTCAATGAAAATAAAAGTAATTTATGTCTCCAATAAAGTTCTGGTTTGGGTAAAGACTATAATGAACTTAGTCTCACACAGCAGCTCTGATAAGGGCCTAGGTTAACTCTGCTCTGGAAACACTAATTGCACCCTGCATCACAGGAAACATAAGTGGGGTGAGTGGGGAAACTCCTGGGGGCAGGGGGCAGAGGTTACAACGAAAGGAAACGCATGCAGCAGCAGAGAGATGAGGCAGGTACCAGATACTTTTGGCAGAGAAAAGCAGAACCCCTGTGGGTCAAAAGTCTCCCAAGAGAAGCAGAAAATGACTGTGGCCGGGTGCTCGAGGTCAGCATCACAACAGGGAAACATCATGTTGGCAGCGGGGACCCTGGCTGTGGCACGATGAAAATGGCACTTCATCCCTGTGGTCTTCCTCCTCAACACCCACAGCCCCAGACTCATCATGAGGAAAATATCAGACCTATCCCAGTAGAGGGACATCCTACAAGGCACCTGACCAGTCCTCCAAAGTGCCATAAAAATAAGGACAGTGACTGAGAGCCGGGGCTGAGAGGAGCCTTAGGAGCCACGATGACAAAATGTCATGCGGGACCCTGAATGGCAAGAAGAGGGCATTAGGGAAAAACCAGGGGAATCTCAACAAACGGTGAATTTAGGTAACAATAATGGGTCAATAGTTAATGGGTCATTAATTGTAAAAAATGTGCCATACGAATATAAGATGTTAATAATAGGGGAAACTAGGTGCAGAGTTTATGGGACTTCCCTGTAGTATCTTTACAACTTTTCTGTACATTTAAAACTGTTATAAAATTAAAAGTTTATTAAAAACAACAACTGCCCAATTCCTTAGGTGCTCTTCAAAGGATCATGAAAACTCCTTTCTCTTGGGGAAGGGATTTGTGTTTGCAGGGGGGATCTTTCACTTCTGTCGCGTTGAGTGTCTCAAAACCTAGACTGTCTCTAAAACCCTTCTGGAAGTCTACACTGTCTCCCTTATTCTCTGGGACTTGGACAATACAGCTCTTCCTCTAGGATGTTACCGTCAGGGTATCATTCCTTCCCTGATAGGCCGTGAAATCAACACATTATTTTTTCAGTTCTCTCATTTCAAGCCACTTTCTTTAACAGTATTTGGGGTATTGTACTGTCAGGACAAACTATCTAACGGGCAGAGCCCAATGCAAATGAAAATGGAGGGCCTTTACTCAACATTATTAAGAATTTCAGGCCCACACAGGGGAGCATCAAACTGAGCATGGGACCTTGGTCACACACCCATCAAGATGGCCCTGGATATTGTTCTAAACTCTAGTTTGGAAGATGTTTATTGCTTATTATGAAGCAGTTCTTAATACCAACCATGACAACCAATCCAACAACTCTGCAAAGACAGGAAGAACCAAGGAATGAAACTCTCATGAAAGCATGTGCAGCAAGGTGAGGCTGTTCCTTAAAGACAAGCCCCACCTGCCAACAGCACTGCACCCCTCTACGTTCTGTGGCTACCCCAAGGTGGCCCACCATGAGCCCTGGCTGACTTCTCTTCTTAGAAAGGAACCTAAAAGCCCATAGTAGAAAAAGCTGCTCATCATCAGAAGTAGAAGAAGCAGACAGGAGAGGATGGCCCATCGGGGTTGTTTTCTCTTCTATTCCTTTCGAGTAGGTGGGGATGAGGGTGGCTGCATGCCTGTGTGCACATGCATGCGTGACCCACCCTAGGATCAACTCCTCAACAGCAGGCATGCAATTGTCAGATCAGAGTTGTTAGCTCTGATCCCCAAGAAAATTAGAGAGGGCTTGAGAAAATTCTTTAAGGTTCTTGTCCTGATTCCTGTCATGTGTTTGGGATAAAGCAGAGGAGTGATGTAGGTCTGAAAAATAAAACTTTCAAATGGCCACAGTCCCCTAAAGGGGACATGATACTTCCATATTTATTGAATGCAAGGTATTTTGGATGGAGAAGAGGTTGGATGGCCACTTGTTTACTCTCCTTCCACTGAAATAATCATTTATGGAGGCTTTGGCTTTCACAGAATCTCAATTCTTTGCTGTTTCCTGATAAGACTGAGGTTTTTTCTTGTGTGTGTTTGTTGGTCTGTCATTTGCTTTGCGTTTTGGCTTTACTATTGTCCAGTGGGGAAACAGACCCTATTGAGTTCCCCTTCATTCTCAGGCCACCTGTGTTCTTGCTACTCAGATTTTTTCCCCCACCACACCAGGAGGGACCCAAAGGCAAATGTTGGGAGAAGAACCTAGGCCAAAATGGTGCACCTTGGCCATGATTTGGGTGAGCTCACTGCGCCAGCCACTGTCCTGTGCCCAGTACTGAATGGGAAGGGAAGAGACAACAGCTCCTGAGCCTCTGGGTTGTAAAAACAATGATGACTCTCAACTTCATGCAGAGGCAGGTAACAATGCAACCGCTAAGAACCTGGACCTCAGAGCCAGTTGCTGGGTTTAAATCCTGCCTCTGCCAACACCAAGCCATGTAACCTGGGGCAAGTCTGTCTGTCTGTCTCTGTCTCTGTCTGTCTCTCTCTCTCTATGTGTGTGTGTGTGTGTGTGTGTGTGTGTGTGTGTGTGTGTGTGTGTGTGCCTCAGGGTCCTCACCTATAAAATGAGAGGAATCCCAGAACTTCCTGCAACAAAGATGGAGAAAGTTAAATGAGTTGATACTACAAGCACCGAGTTTAGGATCTGAAACGTAGTGCTCCAAAAATGTGGGGCTGTTATTCCTGTTAGTGCTGTCTTTATGACATCATTGTATGTTGTTATCTGATTCACTCATCTGTGGTCCGTGGCTCATCTCCCACTAGCTGGGATATCAGCTCCAAGAGTCATCTGCCATGATCATCAGTTTTTCCAACACCTAAAACACTGTGTGGGGTACAAAATAGATGCTCATGAGATAGCTACTGAAATTAATGAATGAAAACTAGTCTGACTCCAAAACTTATACCATTGACTATTTTTCCACTTCAAAATCTCAAATACAATCCCTGCACAGAGATGTTTTCTCCTTTAATATGATTGTAGATCCTGTTGGAAGGTCTATCAAAGGGTTAACTAAGTGCCCAGTGTCTCGGGGGTCCCAGGGCTGAGGCGGACTCTGGGGAGAATTCACAGATGGACAGGCTTTACGGAAAATCTCCTTTTCTGATTAATTCACAGCAGTTCTTTCCTCCTACCCCCATGAGCGAGATCAATAATGATTTGACTCTGCTCCACTATTCTCACTGATTATAATCATATTTTAAAACCCTGATCATTTTTTAAACTCCATTTAATGTCAGTTTGCACTTATCAAGCGGTTTTTTTCTTCTTTAAAAAGGTAGTTCCCTTTAAAAGCTAAATATGAATTTTGAAGGTATTTCCAAGAAGAAATGGATTAAAGGTGTCCATACATTTCAGCCCTGTTTCAGCAGGGAGTGTTGCTGTAACGGAAAGTGAGAGCCAACCCAGGTTTGTGTATTCCTTGTGCCAGAGTTTCTCTTCTCTCGTTACATACACTATTAACTTTCTGGAAGGGTGTACGGGTCTATCCATAAGATCTCCCTCAGTGATCAGTGGGGTCCACTGGGAAGGAACAGCAAAATATATACAAATAATGGGACACTTCATGCAGTGGTGACAATCTCTCACGCCTTGTTCTGTGTAAATCACAGCAAGGTGTTTTTACTTCTGTTATTACCGTAGCTCACCATATAATTTGAGAATTCTTCAGTGGGCAATAGTGGAAAAGCAGCCATAACTGACTGGAAGTGACAAGGAAGAAAACTAACCTCCCCAGGTGCAGCACCCATAGCTGCCTTGACAAAGGGGAGACCTTGCTCCTTCTTTTACAAACGGCAAGGGGCGGACAGTGGGGAGAAAGTGCAGAGAGGTTTCAAACAGAAATGTTTGAAAGCGGAAGAAATTGAGAGCAGTGTGCATCTCCAGGCTCATAAACATGAACATGGAACATGGGTGCTTAGGCATAAGACTCTTGAAACAGTATCACTTACTTTCTTCAGACAAACAAGCAAAAAGACGTTCTTCTCTAACTAGAATTTAAAAGTCTGTCATTTTTTTTTAACTTGACTTTTTACACCGTGCTGGGGAGCACAATAATGAATAAGATTTTACTACTGCCTCGAGAGACTAATGGTTGAAGCATAAGGGAAATCTTAGCCTGAAAGTGGTGCCTGGAAAATGTCATTCTGGCATGAAGACAAACTGAAATTAGTCTTTCTAAGGAAAAACACATGTGGACTTTCACCTTATCTAGATCTCTAGCTCATGTGGCAGAGCATGCAAGTTGCCTATTTCTGATCCTTTTCCTCAGTAATAAGAACCTATTTTCCAGCTACAGTACATTGTTGTTCTGCTGAAAACTACATTTCCCAGGTTTCCTTACAGCTAAGTATGACCGGGTAACTCATTTCTGGCTAAAGCGATATGAGAGGCAGTGATACATGCAATATCCACCGCATGTCCTTACAGGGAAGTAGGTACTCTCTCCTTCCTCTTTTCTTCTTTCTTTCAGCTGGAATGCCGATCTAATGGCAGGAGCTGGAGCAGCCATCCTTGACCACAAAAAAATAAGGGGAAAACCTATGGTGAAGAGAGCAGAGGAACAGGACAGAAGAAACCTGGCCTCCAGCACACAATGGAGCTTCCATAATAGACCCAGACTGCTCTCACCCGGTGGTTATTTGTGAGAGAAACAAACTTTATGTATCTATTTAAACTCATTGGCATTTTCAGTCTTCATGAGAGTGCCAAAACTGTATTGTACTTAATACCATGGTAATGTGAAAGGTTACAGTGTGAGCTCTAAACTTTAGCCTAGTTCCTAAACTTTGGCTATCCCCATATCTCCTTGGTAAATTTGCTATGTCTGTCAACCACCAAATATTAAGCCTTCATTGTTTTGTTATATCTGCAAATTATCTGGACCAGGCATCAGCAAACTATAGCCTACAGGCCAAATCTCTTTTGCATTCTGTTTATGTAAATAAAGTTTTATTGAAATGCAGCCATGTCCATTTATCTTTAAATAAAGTTTTATTGAAACACAGCCATGTCCATTTGTTTATTTCTATTTATTTATTTATTTATTTATTTTTGTGAGACAGAGTCTCACTCTGTTGTTCTGTCATCCAGGCTGGAGTGTACTGGCTTGATATCAGCTCACTGCAACCTCCATCTCCTGGGTTCAAGCGATCCTCCTACCTCAGCCTACTAAGTGGCTGGGATTACAGGCACCCGCCACCATGCCCAGCTAATTTTTGTATTTTTAGTAGAGGTGGGGTTCCATTTGTTTACATTTTTGTCTGTAGCTGTTTTCTCCCCACAATGGTATTGAATAGTTGCGACAGGACAGCATGGCTAGCAGAGACAAAAAAAATTTAATTATCTGGTCTTTTACAGCAAAAGTTTGCCAACGTATGATTTAGACTAGTAATTACATTCAAGTGTTTAATGAATTCCTTTTTTCACTTAAATAAGATTATTTTAAAAATTAATTTTATATTATTGTCTCAGATGGAAAACTAGTATTACATGCTGGGGGAAGACACTGTGAGATGTCAACCTACCCTCATTCTCCCCTTTCTTTCTCACCAGTAAGACTCCAGTGATGTTTAGTGCCCCTCTAGAATATTCTTTCTCCAGCATTCCCCAAAGCCAGGCTAGTCTTGTGACCCAGTTCTAGACAATGAGCTGTACAGAGGAATTGCTGGAAGCCCTCCAGAGAGCTTTTGAAAGGCATACCCCTTAGGGCTTCAGGTTCTTTCCTTCCCCCCTGCCTGAAACACAAGCATGGTGCCTCACCCTGCTGCTGCGATCATGCCACCCAAAAAATTAAATGAAAAGAGTAGGGGTGGGTGGGGCAGGAACAGAGAAAGGTCCTAGGTCAATGGTAATATCCTGGACCAGCTATAGTAACCAGACCACCTATACCCAGACGCCTTGTTATATGGAAAAATAAATCACTTGTTTATTAAAAGTTTCTAGCAAATGTGTTCTAAATTGCTACACATGCCTAAAGTAGAAGGTATGGTTGACTGCTTGGGGAAAAAGAGCTTCCATTCTTCACCACTCCCCGTATTCATGCCCTATGCAATGTGATTTTCAGGGTCTCCCATCAGGACCATCAGGAGGTGGGGCTGATTTTCCCATGCCTCAGATCTCAGCTGGTCTTGTGACTCTCCTTGGCCAGCAGAATGCAACAGAGGTGATGCCATGCCAGTTCCCAATCTAGGTCTCAAGGGCCTTGCACTGCTAGGTGTTTAGCCAAAAGAAGGGAAATCATTATACCAAAGAGATAGTTGCACTCCCATGTTTACTGCCACGCTATTCACAACAGCCAAGATGTGGAATCAACCTAAGAGCCCATACCTGGATGAATGGATAAAGAAAATGTGGTATGTATACACAATGGAATATTATTCAGCCATTAAAAAGGAATACAATTCTATCATTTGCAGCCACATGGATAGAACTGGAGGTCATTATGTTAAGTGAAATAAGTCAGGCACAGAAAGAAAAACATCACATGTTCTCACTCACGTGAGACTAAAGAAGTAGATCTCACAGAGGTAGAGAGTAGAATGGTGGTTAACAGAGGCTGGGAAGGGAAGGAGAGGGGCAGATAAAGAAAAACTTGTGAAGGCGTACAAAAAATATAGTCAGAAAGAATAAAATCTAGTATTTGATAGTACAGTAATGAAATTCAAATTACATGACAATTTACTGTATATTTCAAAATAGCTAGAAGATTTATAATGTTCCCAACACAAAGAAAAGATAAACATTTGAGGTGATGGAAATCCCAATTTCCCTGACTTGGTCATTACACATTGTATGCAGGTATCAAAATATCACATGGACTGCAAAAAATGTGCAACTAATATATATCACTTTTTAAAGAGCCCTTTGTGCTGCTGTGCTCACTCGCTTGCCCTCTCTCTCTCCTCTCTCTGTCACCATGCCCAGCCTTCGTGGGAGGATGGAAGACATAAAGTTCTTTCACCCCCGTTGGCTGGTCTAGGATGGCCTCACTAGGCCTAGGATGTTCCCATTGGCTGGTCTTCTACACCCACTGGCTGGTCTAGAATGGCATCACTCACAAGTATGGAAGTTGGTTGGCAGCATGGAAGTTGGTTGGCAGCATGGAAGTTGGTTGGCAGCATGGAAGTTAGTTGGCTGTCAGCAGCCAACTAACTTCCATGTCTGTGAGTGAGGCCATCCTAGACCAGCCAATTTCCCATCAACCTGCCAGCATTTCCCCCAGCTGGCTCCACAGATGAATGAGCAAACCCAGCAAGATCAGCTGAGCCTGGCTCAAACCAGCCAATACCTAGGTGACTCAGAGATCCATGAGCAGTAATAAACACATGTTGCCACGAGACACTGAGTTTTAGCGTGGTTTGCTACACAACAATATCTAACTTACATCACAGGTAAACATACATTTGATAGAAAGCAGATACTGCTGTGTTACAAATATGCCTATGGTCCCTTTGATATATAACATGCATATGTTATATATTTATGATGATTAATATGCATATTTTTATGAAAATTTTTTCTGAATATTTATTTGCAATTATCACTATAACCTATGTGGTTGAAATGGAAAGCCCAGTGTTTCCTAACAAGGGTCTGGAGTCAAACTTCCTAGATTCATAGCTCTTGCTTTTCCTGTAACCTCCAGTAAAGTCACTTAACTTCTCTATGCATGTTTTTTCATCTTTAAAGTGACTATCATTATGGCGCTTGTATTTTTTTCAAAAAGAGAAAAAAAATGGGCCCATAATAGTGACTGATCCATCAGAAACATAAACCCCACTGAGGTGTTTATGATGGTGTTAGCTAAGACTATTCCTACTACTATTCTTATTACATAATATAAGACAATGGAAACCAATTATAATATGGATGAGGAATCAATATAACTGAAGTTTGAGGGTATTCAAAACAATGAAAGTTAAAACAAATGCTTGTTTAAAATAATGCATGAGAAGATAGAGTTGCTCCCAAATATCCCTGTATGACTGGATCCTCCAATTAGATACTAGGTCTTTTTCTACTTCTGTTTGTATTAAAATAAAGAAGGCATTTCTCCATATCCAGCCAAATGTTATTTTACTTTCCAAATGTTACATCTGAGTCAAGCAAGTGGAGTTGGTCCCATTTCAATCCCTCTAATGAGATCTCAGAGCACCTATGACACTAAGGAGCAGATATGTCTCAGTGTAAGAGATTTTTCCTCCAAAATTTATCTCAGAAAATAGTTCCCTTAAAAATCAAATTCATACAAAGGCTCCCATTTTACAGAGAACTCTCTCAATTACTTCATTTTGAATTACATAATACTGTTTGGGAAGATACATTAGCCTGAAATGACGCCATTCAGTGCTGGTCTGGGTCACTTATAGACATCATCTGAGAAAATTGGTTTAGAAAAAGGTGACGGAAGGGGAACCTTTAACACAAATTTAGTCATTATTCTTGAGCATTTGGGATACAATTATAAGCGAGCACTGGATGCTATTGTAAACAAGTCTCTTAAAGACTGATTTAAAAAGTAAAAGAGAACATGTTTATTTGCTGGAAATTGCAAATAGGCACCTACGGGAGAAATGAAAGTGACTGTCCTAATGTCAGGTGAATGGGTGCTTATGGCTATGGATAGATTTCTATTATGACATTGTACTTGGATTCTAAAAGGACTAAATCTCAAAGAGCTGGGATGAAAGTGAAATGCTACGCTCTGAAAACTCCATTAGATGACTCAAACAAGTGGCTCTGGTGATGATGACAAAGACATTATCAAAGATGCATGCTACAAGTTCAGCTAGAATTGCTTTGCAAAATGTGAGCAGAAAACATAATGTCCCCAAACTAAGATTTTATGTAACACATGATTTAAAGGGACAGAGGCAACTAGATTAATAAACTACAGTAGAAATTTGCCTTTTTCTTCTACATCTTTATATATTTCGGGTTGGCCCCAAAATTTTCAGTCTTTGTGTTGAGAAAATAGGTGATAGCCTTATATCGGGCATGAACGAGAAAGAGCTGCATTTCATGATTTACATATAACTTGGGCTCTTGTGAAAGTGCTTTATTAAAGGGGTACTCTCAAGAAAAATGTGGAGGGAATAAGGGAAGCAGGGAGGGGTAAGAAAAAGATGGGAATGGGTGGAGGCCTGGCCTGGTGGAGAGGGGTTCTAGACAGGACACCAACAGCATCCACTACCAACATCACTTGTAGCACAAAACATGGAGAAGGCAGCTTGCTGGCCAAGCAACTCACTGAGCACCTCTACCCATTAGGAAGCAGGTCAGGTTGTGATCGACATCTGTGCTGTGTGTTCAGCAGCCATGCCCCACCTCAGTTCTCCTTTAGAGAACATCCCTCCTCAATATAAGCTGGGTGACTTATGACCACTCCTTTTCATCTCTTGGAGTGAGCATATTCCACCCACCTGGCCAAGTAGAAGGTTCGGGGCCAGGCATAAGACCCACACTGATGATGGGATTTTGAACAGAAAGTAGGTATAATATAAGCCAGGGCCATGAGGCCACCATGTGCCTAGGGATGAAGGCAACCCAAAGGAACGTCTACTCTGATTTGAAGAGGGATCAACAGAGACCTGGTCACATTGTTTACATCCCTGGATCCAGCTGGAGCTACCCTGGGCTCTTTCATCACATGAGCAAACAAATTCCCTTTTGTGCTTAAACCTTTTTGAGCTGGGTTTTAGTCTCTTTCTACCAAGAATGGTAACCCACACCATTCTCCTAACTCTTACAGACATTGCACGATTTCCCTGATGCCCCAGAGAATGAGATGGGTGAACTCCATGGAGGCCTGCTGGCCCCCACCACCCTCCTAACCATAATAAAGGTTGACTAAAGTTTACCTCACGTCATCTAATGACAGACTTAAAATTCAGAGTTTGATCGTCTGCTCCTGTCCCCTGGAAAACCATCTAATGTGTCTGCATATGAGCCACAGATCATGACTCTGATGAAAGAAGCCAGTCTTTTCTATAAAGAGGCATTTCCAACAGACGTTGATTAATCTAGTTTCTCATCCTTCTAAGCAAAATAATAGAGAAATCATCATTTTCTGCCTTATCAAACTACACAGATGACTGCTTGGTGACTCCACAAATTTATTGAGTAGTGAAACTGGAAGCAAAGAAGAAATATGCCCTGCGTCCTCAGAAGCACTGAAAGACTTGAGCTGTCAGGACCAAAGCAAGTCTTGCTAAACCAGCCGTGGAAAATCCAAGGCGAGATTGGGAAAGGTAAACACAAAACCTAACAAAATAAAAAAGAACAACTTCTTCTTCAAGGAGACTTCCAGAGTAAACCACGTTAAGTGGGTTTTCTTAGCTTTAATGCAGAGTTACTTAAAATTGACCAAAAAATGTTCCCCATTTCTTAAGTTAAAAAAAATATACATGCATTGAACCTATAATGGAATATTACTTAAATGAATCCAGATTAATTGAAATTAAACACAATGGAACACAACAGATATAGACTAATGAAAAGACTAATAAAGAGCTTTTCCCCCACCAGTTAAAAGCATGCAGTATTCTACTCTACAGAATGAAAAAGGAAAAAAAAAAATCACAAAATTTAAAAACCCTACAAATCCAGGAAGCAATTTTTAAAAATATTGTTTTCATATTAAAACATACAAAACCAATTACTTTTCAACCATTCATGCAGGGACTTTTAAAAATCAATAACATATTTAATTTGTTTGGACAAAGATGAATGAGAATACATGTCTTTGGTTCTCAGTATTCTCTCTGGGCTGCCCTTTTGGAATCACTGTAGCAAGTAATTCCTGTTGTTGCTTTCTCGATTAGATTGAACGACTATTAAACCTTCTCTGTTCAACTGTAAAACCTCAACATTTTAAGAAACAATCGAAAGTCAGAGGAATGTGCCTGATTTGCCTCTCAAGAAACAATGTCTAATGCCTAGCAGTTGCCCAGCAAACAGCTACTGAATGCATGGATGCTTGAAGGAGTGAAGCTAGCAGGGCTGGATGAAGTGCAAAGAACAGTCGGATTCGTCAAGGCAATGGGGCAATTAGAGTATATCAGATGATCAGGGCATCAGGGTAAGCCATCAGGAGGGAACAAAAGAAGGCTGGGATGGGACGAGGCAGAAGAGGCGCCCCCCCACCCAGTGCTCTTCTGCCCTAGGGTGCAGGAGAGTGTTGGCCTCCTGGAATACATGAGAAGTCAGCTTGGAAGAGGATGCTACCAAACCACGGATGAGAAGCCCATGGGCACCTCAAAGCACCCAGGCGGCGAGGTACCTGGGCTGGTGAGAAGCCGGGCGTGCAGAGCACGCACTTGTTGGGAGGGGAAGCAGGTCTCCAGGAACAAGAGGAAGTCCCCCCACCCGCCACGCACCATCACATTTCCAAGGTGGCTTCTGAAGGCCTCCTGGTGCGAGGGTACTCAAAGTGGGTGCCCTGCTATATTCTCCCAGGGGGAACGGAAAAGAAGGACGTGTTTCCCCGTAATCCATCCACCCCCAAAAGAGCGCTGGCCACACCGGTTTCAGTGTTTGGCTCCAGTGGCCTGGATGTGGGGGTGGTGGATGACAGGGAGAGATGACTCCTTCCTTCCTCCCTCCTGTCCCGTGGCCTCCTGGCAGCCTTTGAAGTAAAGGTCTCAAACTAGCTGACTGTATTTGGGCCCAGATGGGGTATGTGTGCAAGTGCACGTCCGTGCGTGTATGTGTGTTTAAATTAGCACCCTGTAAAAATTGAGAGATTTTATTTAACGTGAAATCTGGGTTCTGCCTTCCCCGTAGAGCTAGATGAATACCAGCCAGCTGGCCTCACCACACAACAGCCAAGGTTATATGATTCAAAGCACTCTTTCAAATTCTAGATATATTTTGTGTAGTGTTACTATCACCCCCATTTTACAGATGGGGAAACCGAGGCACAGAAGAGCTGAGACACGTCCCTAGGATGACATGACTACAGGTGGTGAAACTCGGCAGCGAGCCCGAGTGCTTTCCTCCGAGGCCCGTTCCCGTAGCCGCTGGAGCACCGCTGCCTCTGCTGGGAGGCTGCTGCCGGCTCGTTCCTCCTGCATCTCTCTGTTAAAACGTTTGCTTATTAACATTTTTCCATGTGCTTTTAAAAAACATGGCTAGTTCTGAAAGAGAACCAGTGTGTCTGCAAGCTGGAGAGGAAGGAACCATCGCACACACTTGGCAAGCGAAGGGTCCGGGAGTCCTGGTCACCGTGCAGCGATTGGGAGCCTGCATTTTGCGGCAGAATCCTGGATTCTGCTTTACATCCCTGCGGACAGAGAGCACCCAATAGAGCCTTCGGCACCTCGTTTTGTCCTTTTTCTTCTTTCACCCCCATCTCTCACCCTGGTCCTGGGAAACTGAAATAATGTCCCCCCTCTGACCTCCTCCAAGGCCCCCTTCCTGCCTCCTCCTGTTATCAGCTGGGGCTCCTGCCTCCCCTCTTCGTGAACATTCTTACTCTTGCATTTCTGGGTGGCGTTTATGTGAGGGCAGTGAAACATCATCCACAGGCTGGGGTCGTCTGGTGCGGGGGCCGTGACGACAGTCGCTTGCTCAGCGGGGGGTCCCAGCCGATTTGCAGAAGCCAAGGAACTAGGATCAAAACCCTGCTCTCCCTTCCTTCGGCTTCAGCCTGCTCCCTTGGTTCTACCACGGAAACCCCTACGAACATAAAATAAATTTGTACCGCCAGGTCCCTGGTGTTCAGAGCAGGTGCCCCTGATTGCACGAGTCTGGGGTCCGCCCGCCTCCCTCCCAGACCGGACTCCAGGCCGTGCTGCGCCGCGGAGCGAGGAGGGAGCCGGGCTTCGGCGGTGCCCGCGATGGGCGCTAGGGGGCCCCCGCGGAGCTTGGAAGGCGGCTTTGCTGTAAATCCCAGCCCTCTGCGCTTTCTTCCGGGTAATAAATTCACAAGGCTTGTTTTTTAACCCCCACCAGAGGTTAAAATAGTTTCATAAAAAGTTTTGGTAAATTCATGGGTAACTTTTGAGGTTATGTGAGGTTGTTGTCACACAAAAAAAAAAAAAGAGAGAGAGAAAAACAGAGCCTTTCTTCTCTGCTCCTGCAAGATTGAGGCTTGGCGCCGGCGGGGGCGGAGGGGGCCCGGGCTTTGTGTTCTTCCAGAAGCATCCACGTGGCTAGGCGGCTCTCCAGGCCCCCGGGCGCCCACCCACCAGGGTAGGGGGGTCTCGGGAGCGCCCAGCCAGGGGTCCGCACCCACCCCGCCGCCCGCCCGGGCACCCTGCAGCCTTCCCGAGGCTTCGCTGAGCTCGACCCCCAGCCCAGCTCAGCCCAGCCCGTGGGGCGAGTGGGGTTCGGGGCTCTGCGTTGATCGCTTCCTGCCATGCCCGTGGGAATAAAGCAAAAGTTACAGCCCCTGAGTAGGGGTTAAAAAGAACTTTATCAGATTGATAAGCTGGGAGACAGGAGGAGGCAGAAAGAAAACAGCGCAGTTAAGGGAGGGGGCGTCGCACATTAACTATGATTCAGACTCCAATGCACTGAGTTCATTTTTCAATCTGCCTTTAGGTAGGGGAAAAAAAATAAGGAAATTATGGAAAATTGAGAAATAAACATCTCTGAGAGTGCTTTGCACCCGGGGGTGCTTAACGAACACTTAATAATTTCAAACGCTAGTACTTAGAAAAATGGCTTTTGTCCGTTCCCGGCACGCCAGGTGCCTCCTAGCAAAACCGGAAAGCTGAAAATGACTGAAAATGATCGCTAATGTCTATGTGGAGGGTGGTACAAAAATCACTTGTTCATGTCCTTTGGAAGTTAAGGAAATAAGCAAGCCAAAATTTTAAGAGTTTTAGCAAGGGAAAAACCTTGGAACTGAGCTTGCATTTCTTTTCCTCAACGTATGAACTTGGGCAAGACTCCTAATTAGGACAGGGCTGGCCACACATCACCTCCTGACCCCACGGGGCCATACTGAAAATTAGATGAGGAAAAACATTTGGAGGAAACTCTCAAAATGCTACTGCAGGAAGCAATGGTTGTTTTTGGAGCAGATTCCCCATGCTCCCTGCCAGCAGCCAGCAGTGGGGTGAGGGCCAGTGTGAACTATTTACCTAGAGGACGATGGGGTCCCTACAAGAGCACAGTATTGCCAGGGAGGCCTCTGGGACGAGTTGGAGCTTGGAGGATTATTCCAGTTTCGTCATTTTCTCAACCTGGAGGGCAAGTCTCACCCCGGCAGGAAGAGCACCATAGGCATGCATGTAGCACAAACTCAAGGGCCCAGAATGTACTCCCGAATCCCTACGAGCTCCCTGCTGGGGAAAGTATGGACCTGCACCATTCACTGCCTCCCTCCTTTGGCTTGAAGACGTCTTGTCCAGACCTGGGGGGAAAATTCAGTGTATGCTCACCCCTGCCACCTCCCAGCCATGATAACCACACACTGTAAAGTCCTTTGTAGTTCACACAGCACTTTCACAGTCACTGTCTCATGTAACTTGAGCCTCTCCTCAATCTCAAGGGCAAATGAGTCAGGTATTCCTGGACAGGCTTCATGGGGTTCTTGGGCACCAGATTAAATGAATTATGGACTCAGAAACTCCAGCCCCATTCTACAGATGAGGACCTGAGACAATGAGAAGGAACAAATTTTGCCCAAAGAACTAGTAAAAGTCAAGACTCAAACCAATTCCTCTAAATCCAGAAAGCAAAATTATTTATCCTGTACCAGCCTTGGCCTCAAAGGAGGCTGAGAGAGAAAGGGAAACGTTAGGCTTTCCAAGGTTAATGGAGTAAGGTGGTTGAGGAGACTTTGGAGTGTCTGGCATCAGAAGGAGCAGATTCTTCTTTAAAAAAAACAATAAAAACAGAATTGTGTTCTCAAATTCTAGCTAGATGTTGAGACCTAACCTCTTTCTCTCTGATTAAAAGGGAGGTTAGGAAGGGGTTTAGGCAAGTGTTAAAGATGGAATCAAAACAAGACTTTCTCCATGGCATGATCAAGAGGCTGGAGAGGGAGTTGAGAGGAGAATCACCTTCCCATTATGAGTCAGTGTCACTGAAGGTTTCTCTCTGTAGCCCCTAAAGTTACTTCTCCCCTAGGTTCCACTCACACCTTAGTTAGAATTAATCCTACAGGCTCATCTGCCTCCAAACCAAAAGGGCCTGGCCCCTTGTGAAGACCAGGCAGCAGGTGGGTGTCGGGGAAACAGACCCCGCAAGGCGCACCTGGTGCCTCCGTGATTTTGTTGAGAGTGAGTCTTGCCTTTTGTGTCCCATTTGTAGCCTGTTGAGTTCCATCCCTGAGATCCTCATTTTTCTTCCTGCCTCATCCACTGATTCTATTTGGCTACTGGTTCCAGCACGTTGCATAGGAAAATTCCAGAACAAAACTCAGGATTCATTTGTGGCCCTCTGCTGAGAAGGGGGTCTTCCAACTCAAATATGAGAACGGTTTTCAGAAAGTCTTTCAAAAGCAGAACCGTCCCCATTTCAGGTGTGGGATTGAAGGTATGAGAGTTTCTCTCCCTCCCTCTCCTCTTTTCTCTCTCTCAACTTTTAACATAAACACATATTTATCTTTAAAATGCCCATATTTCAACCTTCTCCTTCAATGACTATATCGTCCTACCCACCCACCTGCCCACTGAACCCATCATTAGTGCACTACCTATTGTTGCCTTCCCACCTTCTGTCGGCACAGACATCAGAATTCTAATCATGGCACTCCGTTTCTACAGGAATCTATTAGTGATTGCTAAGGGAAACACTTAGCATTTTAGATAAATAAGTACATAGTAGTTAAGTGCTCCATTCCCAGCAGTTTAGAGTATATGGCAAAAATTCTTTATGATCGAGGGATGAAAGAAGGCATGATAAAGAGTGACGGCCTTCGGTTCTCCCACATGCCCTGCTGACATTCCTTTCTGCAGTGGGGGGCCGAATGGAGAAGCCTTTGGGGTGAGCGTCGGAAGCATGCCCCACCCCCTGCTATGCTCCTGTTTATGCTAGCACACTCTCCCCTCTCCGCTCCAGCAGGCCTTGTCAGGATCCCTCATTTGGAAGCTTAATCATATCAGCGAGCTCACCGCACTGCATTTGTAATGACTTGTTTACCAGTCTGTGCCGGCTCCCCTTGCCACACTGGGCTCTCCCTAAGGACAAGGGCCATGTCATGTTCTTGTTTGCCTCTCTTCCTGCTCCCACACATTGCCTGGCACAGAACAGGCCCCAGTAATTACCTGGGACCCTCAGGCCACGTGACTCTCATCTGTCTCACAAAGGTGTCTTGGTCCACCAACCGGTTCCTAACCTCCTTGAGGTGAGGGCTCAAGCCATCTTCTGTTCCTCTCCTCTCATGGGGCTTCAAAAGACACTCAGTGGCTCACAAATGCATACCTAATTGCATTAAGCCATGAGTAAGATGGTTTCCCCATGTCTGCATGGAGGAAGAGGGGACATCTGCTGTGATTACTTGCCTGACCCCCACTTCTTTAGGGGGAACCATCTCTCATTTACTCTTTTTATTTTGTATTTTTTATTTTGAGACAGAGTCTCACTCTGTCACCTAGGCTGGAGTGTAGTAGCGCGATCTTGGCTCACTGCAACCTCCACCTCCTGGGTTCAAGCAATTTTCTTACCTCAGCCTCCCAAGTAGCTGGGACTACAGGTGCATGCCACTACACCCGGCTAATTTTTATATTTTTAGTAGAGAGGGGGTTTCACCATGTTGCCCAGGCTGGTCTTGAACTCGTGACCACAGGTGATCTGCCCTCCTTGGCCTCCTCTTAATGGCTGTAGCAAAAAGATGGCCCCAACCCAACCCTCAGTACATGGACAGGTGCAGGACCCATACCTGGCCGCTCAACATCCCCAGTGACAGGGTCAAGGACAGCCACATGACCAAACCAGGCCAGTTAGATTGAGTTTAGGGACTCAGTTATATATATAAAAAAAAAAAACAGTCACGCTAACACAAGCATGGAACAGCTGGGCAGGACCAGAGCTGCCCAGAGATGGAGAGAGACGAACACACCCACCTGCAGAGCCTCTGAACCCAGCTGAGCTTGAAGCAATTCTCTCTGTTCTGTGAGATAATGAATTGGGTTCTGTTTGTTTGTCTAAGCCAATTTGAATCAAGCCTCTTTTCCTCACACCTCAAAGAGTCCCTCCTAATACAGGCATGCAGAGTTTAAAGTTCTGCCTCCAGTAGCAACATTTCAAAATAAGATAACCAGGGAATCTGTTTGGGAATAATAAAAGCTTGAAAAAAGAAACACTGCTCTCATATTGGGAGCCCCAGCTTTGTGAGCCTTCTCATTTTATCCCGGGAGTCTGGACTATGGCCCCAAATCCCACCCTAACCCAGGAAGGGCTGAGAAATTCATCTCTCTGGCTTCTGTTTATAATGAGGAATGATGACTCTGCTCAGCCTCTGCCTAAAGCCTCACATATTACTATTTGCTCTCTCAGGCTCCTGGGAGGCCAGGGCTTCTCTGAGCTTTCTGGGAGGTAGCTGAGTAACACTGGGGCTTGGCAGCCTGCAGATCAACTCATCTCTTTTGCAAATTGCTAACTGGGTCTAATGAATTGGCTGGGCACAGAGGAAGGCCTTGATGTCCTTTGCAGTGACAGAGTCCCCCCAGAGCAGGCTGATCCATCGTGCCTCTGCTGAGGAACACATCTATTAATATTTGGTGAGAATATCAAATTGTGCCCAGTGGACATAACATCTGGTCAAGAGAAACTTACTTCTCTGTGATTTAAAAAAATAAATAAATAAATAAACGAGTCTTATCGTCCCTCCATGTTCTTTTTTTCTACTAGAGAATGCCAGCCTTCCACGGACAGAATGGATAACAGACCCCTAGTGAGAATCAAGGAGGGCTGGAAAGGCCCTCCCATCCACAGGCATAGAAGGTAGCATCTTTTACTCATCCAAGGGGAAAAGAAGAAAAAGTTTTATAAACTGGAGGAAAAGAGAGGTATTTAATATGCTACTGGTAGGGGTATAAACTGGGAAGCAATTTGAAAATGGCTATTAAAAATGTGCAACACAACACTCAAAGACCCAGCAATTTCTCTTCTTGGTTATTCCCTAGAGCAAACCCTGCCTGGGCTAAGGAGATATAAACAGTGTGTCCAAGGAGCATGATGCAAGTGTGAAACACTGGTGATGACCAAACTCTTCGTTAATAGGAGAATGGCTTCATAAATAAGAGTATTCCCACCCAGAGGGACTCTGTCCCTGCTCAGGAAGTTGAGACAGAGCTACATGTTTTCACAGTGTGGAACCACAAAACATTTTTGAGTAAAAAGAGCAAGTTGTGCAATGAGATGTGCAGTGTGCTGCTGCTGTGTTACACACACACACACACACACACACACACACACAGAGATGAAGATCTGTCAGATGTACTCCAGACTCCAAACTGTCATTTTACCTGAGGATGGTATTGGGATGGGGTAGTGGTGAAACTGAACATCAGCCTTATCTATTGCATTTTTATGTGTTAAGTATTATTCATGATTACACGTGTAATTAAAAACTAATAATTAACTTTTTTGCCCCTCTAGGTGGAGCATCACTTTTGCCAAGTTTTTTTTTTTTAAGAACAAAAGTGCCCCACCTGTCAGTGGTCTTCTAATCAGTCACCTCATACCCACTCTATTTACCCCAATTCTTGCTCCACTCTGTGTCTAGAGTGATCTTTAGAAAACCTAAATGGGATTATCTGCATAATCCTGTTGTTCTCAGGAAAAAAATTTCAGGCCCCGACTGAGGCCTGAGAAGTCCTGCAGGTGATGCCCTGTCCTGTGAGCCTCCACTGTACCTGCGCCCGTCCCCCATGCACCTGGCACACTAGCCATCTGTCTATCACGCATTCCATCCTGTGAGCCCCCACTGCACATGTGCCTGTCCCCCACTCACCCTGGCACACTGGCCATCTCTCTATCATGTGTGTACCACTTCCTCCTGGCACAGGCAGCATGCCCACCATGGGCTCCCAATCAGTGTCCCAGAATCTTAGAAATGCAGGGTTTCCGGGAGCCAGAGGTTGCAGTGAGCCGAGATCACGCCACTGCACTCCAGCCTGGGCGACAGAGTGAAACTCCATCTCAGTCAATCAATCAATAAGAAATGCAGGGATTCAGGCTGCCTCCGAAACTCTTGGCAAGTGCCTCTCACCCTAGCCCAGTGAAGCAGAGAAGGGAAGGCTCTTCCAGGAGGGTCTTTGCAGAATGTTGCCCATGGCCTCTGCAGTCAATTCTGCTGAATTGGTTCAGTGGTTTAAATCCATACAGGTCAAAGCCTTACAAAAATTGAGAAAATTCTAGATGAGACAATGCAAGCCAATGAGGATCCTACTGACAGAAAAAAAGGGGGTATGGCTCTCCAAGAGAGGGGCCCAGGGAAGGGTGTGGGGGTTGGTGGTTATTTTAGGTGATTGATAAGCAAAAAGTTAAATAAAACTGAATTGCACAATGATGAAGCTGTTCTCTCTTCTATTCTCTTTTAATCTTCTGATTAAGGAGAGAAGAAAGTCTCGACTAGGTGCTAATGCATCTTGAATGCTTCCCTAACACTTCCAAATCTCTTTTTAGCAGAAGGGGTATTCCTAGGGCTCATGGACTTCAGCTCACAACAGATTCTGGCTAGAACTTATTTACCAAAAACATTGTAGGGTTTATATTTTTGCCATGTTCCCTTAATGGCACATAATATTAACTTTTCATTTTCAGTATCGATAAACAGCTTCTCTTGAAATAATTGGACTTAAGTTTTTTTGTAAGTGCACCTAGGAGAAAAAATAAGTAAAGAATCACATAGGTGACATGTAGATGCAACAAAAGTTCTGAAGGTGGCACCTAGATGATTTCAATTTAGGCCTCAGTGCTGATCCCCAGATCAATCATCTGGGTGCCTCTGGGCAAGTCACTGGACAACTCTCTAAGCCTCAGTTTCTCCATCTGCCAAAAGAGGATAAAAGTCACTCATCACAAGTGTGTCCAAGGGAATAAATGCATATGAGCTTCCTAAATCGAAAGTGCCTCCTGAGTTTAGTTATTGAGAGAGTTTTCTAAAATCTCCATTGGAAATATAGCCCTGAACCTTGCTGTGTTTACTGTTATAAACCATGCCAGCTGCAGGAAATTGCAAAACCATAAACTCAATGTAGTTCTTATCGTTCAATAAAACATCTCCCTCAATCAATAAGACTTCAGATGTGTCATCTGGGCACAGGGCCATGCTCAGCTCCTCTTCACTGTTCCAATTTTAGTCTGTGTACCAGGAGAAGCGGCACGACTTCCAATGTGCCCAGCAAAAGCCCAAATAATTAACCTCAACCACATCAATGTTCTCCATTCAGTTCCGCAAAATGTGTTTCTAAGGAAATATATAAGAGCACTCTTTATACCACGGAATGTTTTAATGTACCCAAGCATTCGAGTAAATAGAACAGGTCTCAGTTAATGGAACTTTTAGCACAGAGGTTTTCAATAATAATAATTTTTTACAAAGCTGATATGTCATCGGCTAGAAAGAGATGTGCAGATAAATATAAAAACAGGGAAAATCTATTTATGAGATTATTTTTTGCAGCCCAAGGGTCAATAACTGTCATATTAGGAGAATGATAATAAGGCTGTATGTTGATGGGCATTAGGATCACAGAGAACAGGATGTCCCAGTTGAAATACAAACAAAATCAATGACGTTGCCTTCATCCCCCTACCTCCCTACATTCTGAATAATAATCATTTCAGATCAGTGACCTCATCAGAAATTGTGTAACCACAACAGAGAATCTTCGGCAGCTTTTGCTTAGGTGGCATCACCCTTCATATGGATGTGTAATTTTCAATTGCTTTTTCTAATGGAAAACTGACACAAGAGCATGTGAGCACATGTGCAGACACACACACATACATGCGAAGCTTGTCTTCCTAAGTGAGACTCTAACTGGGAAAATAGTGGGAAGAGCATTTTCAAGACATGATTTGCTGTGAATTTCTCCTTGGGCTAGAAGGGACGGTCTTTGACTGAGTGGCACCAGCTGACTCAAGATGACATGGAGTAGCTGTCCAGTGGAAAACTGCCCCCCAGTTCCTATGCTAGAGTAAGAAAGGCATTCCAAGTGAGAAATGAAACGGCAGCACAGTCCCATCACACATGCATTTAACCTACACCCTGACTGTTGAAGCTCACCCTTCCCTGACCCAAGAAGACACAACTCCACTATCTTGCTTAATCCTCACCATAACAACTCAATCCATTAAGATGTCACAGCAGTTTTAGAGGCTTAATGCTAAAACCAAATGGCACACACCATGCAGTGAAGCAGGGACACGTGGGAATTTTTCTAACCTCTCTTCAGTGGGAGGATTTGCTGTTTATCTTCAAAGCTGCCTGCATGGATGGATGGCCTTTTTTCTTTCCTTCTTTCATCTCAGCAGTCCTCACGCATATTGTGCACGAGAATTTCTGTTCAGAGTTGTATAAACAAATCGTACCCTTATGATAGATTTGCAGGATTCTCAAAGATAATTTTGACAATAGGGATTGTGCCTTGGGGGCCAGCTTTGGAAACAAACCTCACCAGCCTTTACAACATGGCCCCACTGTAGTGTGGGAGAGAGAGGACGTCAGGTTAAAAGGCATGGAAAGGACATTCGCAGTTCGGTTACTACTTTTACCTCCCCAGAGCTTCCATCCATAAAACGGAGGTGACATAAGATGACCCCTAAGGTTGAAAATGGTGATTCCATAGAGTTGAATTTTGCGGTTACTCCACTGCCATCCCACTGGTAACCCACTGGATTTTTCCATTTTTGACACAACGCACAATCAGAAACCAAGACTCCAAGTGGCATGCTCGCTCTTGTTCATGCTCAAAGATTTGGGGGCTGGTCTTTGCTGGTGCTTTCACCTGAAACTAAGCTTCAGGAACCTCAAGGTAAAGAAACTTATGTTTGTTAAATTGTTCATTCAACAAACTTTATTGAGGACCGGCTACATTGCTAGGCCCCTGGATGCAAACATGGAGGAGATGACCTAGCAGCTTGGTAAACAAGGTCTTCTTTAGTTGAGATCATTGCTACAGGGGAAAGGCCACCTAAAATGAATTCATTCACAATTAATTCGCAATACCACAATTTCACAGTGAATAGTATTAAGGACTTTGAGAATTTATCTGGAAAAACGACAAAACCAAAAGTTGTGAAAATAAGCTAATATGCCCACAACGATAAAATAAAAATAAACCTCCATTTTGGAGGTTATAATGGCAAACTATGAGCTAATTGTTAAAAATCAACAAAACGTAGTCAAGTATTGATGAGGACATACATTTTTACATAAAATTGTAGGGTAGACCAATGGACTATTTACCTCGCATTTACTTTAATTGCTAGGTCATCAAGAAGGACTCCCACCCCCAAAAAAATATTATAGAGCTTTATCAATCTTTCCAAAGACTTCTCTTAAGCCTCTGATATTCAAGTCACTCTCCTAGAGTTATCATCTTTGTCACTTTTCTCTTGTTCATTTGTCACCTAGTCTGATTCTGCCAATGGGTGTGAATCAGCAGGCTGCCAATGGTCTTTTCTATCAGTTTCACAAAATGCAACATCTTGAGCACAATTTGCAATTTCACTTAGCAATCAATTTCCATGATATTGCGAAAATTAATCTGAAGGGCATGGATGGATGTGATGGTAGGCAAGGAGAGAGAGAATTGAATGGGGTCTAAATTTACCAGCAGTCAGTCTATTAGGGAAAGTTCTCATGTTCCCACCTAACCAGCCAACCTTATGACTGGAGTGCTCCATAAAGAACATCTGGATTATAAGGTAGATGCCTGTTTTCCCTGGTACATCAATGACTTGATATCTAAGAACTTTCTTACCAATCCCTTCAATGAGACAGCCCCAGTCTATGAGATTAAGTGCACCCCTCAGCCCTGATCCTAAAGCAAATGCAATGAGGAAGGATGTTCTTTAAAACGGCAAAACTTCTGTCCATTCTTAGTCACACTCAGCCTGGGGTGCCTGGGAAATACACCTTAGTTGATATTTAAAAAGAAATTTCAAGTTTCCTGCACCCACTAGCTGGAAACTTGGATGGAATGGACTACCGGATTTAGGATTAGGGAAAAAAGACTCAGTTGTCCGGGCAGTCTCACAGACTCCAATCGATGTACAATCTTACACGGTAGGTCTTTATCCTTCATAACTCCTCTGGCCTTCTGCTTACAGATGACTTCACTGCCAAGCCATCTGTTAATTCAAATGATTAGAACCATGCTTTTGGAATAGTTTAGGAGAGAGGGAAATTAAACATCTTTTTTAAAAATATTTTTTTAAAAAACTCTCTCTCCATCATCCTCCCAAGTTATTGACAGGAAGTGTCTCCAAAAAATAAAGAAGACAAAATTATCAGTTATCACATCTTATTTCAGTCCCTGGACACAAGTATTCATGACTTCTTATTTCTGAATGTTTTGCTGATTCTAGCTGGCCTAAAAGGATTAGTATCTAAAGTTTTTCTCTGCCTTTAAATTGAGAAATCCCACCCACCTCCACCTACACAAAGGTCATTCTCAATTTCTTTGTTGGATTCTACCAAGTTTCCCCAAGTTACAGCCCTTTGGGTCACCCAAAACAGATTACCCCATCATTGTCCTGCCATGGAAAACAGGTCATCTCTCCTCAGAAAGAAAAAAACACAGGCACACTCACGAGCAAACACACACACACACACACACACACACACAAGGTCAGCTCCCTCACCGAGGACGCAGCTCTGATCTCTCCATCCAGGACGCGCCAGGTCAAAGGAGACCCGAGAAAGTTGTTTATAAGTGGTGGACCGCCAGGCTCAACTCTGGGTTCCTTTGAAGTGACAGTGCTTTGTCTTCAAACACCCAGTGCCCTCAGAGTGCCTGTCACTCTACTGTGAAATATTGGTATTGGCAAGTGCTGGTAATAAAACCCCTGTGCCCCTTTGATTTCCAGTGGTATTTATTTTAAAGCATTCTTCCACCCTCCAACTCCATGGTGTCCATCATGATCTGTCAACCCCAGCTTGCTGGTTTGCCCTACTAGCCTTCCCGGTTCCCTCTCTGACACTTCAATAAGGAGCAGGCAGTGATTGATATTCTCTGGGCTAGGGCTTCTACCACATCCTGCAGCTCACAGCTGCCCTGCAGTGGACATTCTCCATGTCCTTCCTAATTGCTGGAGAGGAGGGCCTTTGAAAATGGGAGCCAGGGACCTAGGCCCCTGGTTCAACTGGATGCTCAAATAACAAACATGAAAGCATAGATATTTGTCACCATTCCAGGCTGTTGCTGGGGCCTTATTACCTATGTAAGGGGATGGGGTGGTGGAGCTGTGTTCCCAGCAGGAATCTGAGCTATGGAAAGCCACTTGTTTCTTAGATCTATATTCAGGTTTTGTTTCTGAATTTTTTTTTCTCCTTGGATTTGTTTTTTTTTTTTTTTTCTTTTTTTTTGAGACGGAGTCTCGCTCTGTCGCCCAGGCCGGACTGCGGACTGCAGTGGCGCAATCTCGGCTCACTGCAAGCTCCGCCTCCCGGGTTCACGCCATTCTCCTGCCTCAGCCTCCCGAGTAGCTGGGACTACAGGCGCCCGCCACCGCGCCCGGCTAATTTTTTGTATTTTTAGTAGAGACGGGGGGATTTGGTTTTATTCACCATTCATTGGTGCCCCCAGTTTGCTCTTGGGATTTAGGTGTGAAGAAAGCAATGAAATGCTGATGTTGAAACAGGATGTTTATGGAAGTGGGATTTCCCCCACATGGAGGGAGCTCAGGATCTCTGGGACTCCTCCATTAGTCCATGGGGTGAGCGTGCAGGACCCTTCCCTGAGGCTGAAGGGAAGAAGGGGTGAAAGGGCTTTTCATTCTGGGCTCTCTGCTCACTGAGGCCCCCAGGGTCACCATGAGCATGCAGGATAAGCTGCAGATGAGGCAGGGGTGCCAACTTCCATGGAACACGTTGGGAACTGTGTCCCCTGTGGAGGGGGAGAGAGGAGCAGGTGTCCCTGCTGCAGCTGACACAGCCTCATGCTCAGGGCCAGCGTGTGAGCCAGACAAGTCAGGCCACAGACGGATTTCAGCTCCAACAAACACAATCCTCACATATGGCGGCTCCGCGGAGCCCCATCCCGCCGGCCACTGGGCTTTCTTCCTGAAGGGAAGCCAGTGGGCCCCATAGCTATCAGCATCGAGGCTACCCGTGGTCACTTGGACAACTGTTCCCCCAAGTGTGGAGCATGTCCTGCTGGCAGTGGCCGGGGCAATTCTGTTTTAATTGTATTAGGTTTATAATAGAACTTTCCTGCAAAAATGATTTACAAACAATGAGAGCCCAGATGATGTGCATTATTGTGCACTGAGTGTCCGTGTGTGTCCCTGCCTTTTTTGTTTACAAACACATTTTAAGGCCACTTCTGTTGGTTCACAGATAGGATAAAACCTGTAAGGATGGTTGAATAGTGGCCCTGAGGTCCTAGTCCATGGAACCTGTGGATGGGTATGACCTGAGTTAGAAAAAGGGTCTCAGAAGCAGTAATCAAATTAAGGATCTTGAAATGAGATAAGCCCACGTTTAGTGAGGCTCCTAAATCCAAAGACAAGTGTCTTTATAAGAGAAAGACAGAAGAAGATATGACCCACAGTGACACAGGGAGAAGTCCACATGAAGATGTAGGCAGAGGCCACAAGACGTAGATGAGGCAACAAACCAAGGAAATAGCAGGAAATAGCTGGAGGCCCCAGAAGCCAAAAGAGGCCAGGAAGGATCACCCCTAGAAAGTCCAGAGGGAGCATCAGCCTCTCTTGGCCTCCAAAACTGGGAGAGAATCCAGTTTTACTGTTCAAAGCCACCACCTTTGTGGCAATTTCTTACAACAACCCTAGGAAACTGATACAGGTGACACCCAAGTGGAGACACTGTCATCAATGGCTGTCCCACATCTTCTGGGGGCCCAGCATGTGCCCAGCCCACCTACACTCTATCTGAACTCCCCATGTTCCCTCTTCTTGACCCTGAGACTTTATCCACTCAATCCCCAGTCCAGAAAGTCTCTGTCTGTTCTCCCTACATCCAGATTTCCAAAAGAACCCCCATCTTTCCAGAAAGAGCCTCCTTTTTGTCTTCCTCCCCCAACACTAATGAGATGACCTCGTCCTCTGCTGAACAACAAGAAAACACTCATTACCCACATGCACACTCATGGGCACTCAGTATGTGCTAACTGTCATGCACATGTGTTTATAATGCTGAGCATATGATGATACTTGGTCATCCATGCTGGAGTCTGCAAGGCATTGCTGCACCTTGAATCTCACACTGACAGACCGTCGACATCCTAGACAGACAGACACGAGATGTCCCGGGGAAGCAAACAGATCTGCCAATGTCGTTCCCGGTGGCATCTGAGCTAAGGGGTGGACAGTGGGTCAGTCTGTCTGTCTTTGTCCTGTACCACATTTATCGAGACCAGGGGTCACCTTAGTTCCCCTCCCTGTCACAGTGCCGAGTCCAGTGCCTGGGGAGCTAAGCAGGGAGGCTGACGGGGAGTTCCAGGAGCAGCTCCATTTGGCTGTCCTTAAGGTGCTGGGAAGAGAGCTGGTGGTAAGCTCCTCCATGGGGGCAACTGGCAGAGCTCTGGCTGATTCTGTTGGATTCCACCAGTGACCATCAGAACCTCCCAGGTAGCGGGGGCTACCAGCTCTCTGCCAGCGTCTCAGCAGGGGTTCCATCCAAGCTCTACCCCATAAAGGAAAATTCAAGAACTGGAGCTGATGGGGGCAAAAGTGAGGGAAGAGTCCATGGGAACAGGGAACGAGGAGTCAGCCAGCAAGTACCATGACCCCCGAGGCTCACTTCGTACTTGGAGTTCCCATGCCTCTGGAAGTCACCCACACACACACAATTCTGTGCACAATTCCCAGGTACCCTGAGTTGGCACTTCAGAGGGTGCTGGGCTGGACCTGGATTCCCAGCTGTGGGTTATACATTGGAAAACTCTTAAGGAGAGACGAGGGGCATCCACAGGGCACCTGGAGAGCACAGAGGTGATATCGATGGCACCTGTGCCTGTCACAGGACGGCCCAACGAGAAAGCAGAGAGTTGCATGGTCCCCTGGCCTTTGCATGGGGGAGACATCCTCTTGTCCTGGTGGTACAGACCAGCATTTAGCCCTGAGATGCCCTCCATGGGGCGTGGCAGTATCAAGCACAGCCCAATGGGCAATTTCGCTGGATACAGAGGAGGGAGATGGAGGTGAGGTTGAGAGCCACAGATGAGGAAGAGAGCTCAGAGCCAGCTTCTTGATGGAATTTCCACCTACCCAACCCCCTGCATCCCAGCCTCTCCCACATGGGGCTTGACCCTTGACCTTCCTTAACAAAAACAACCTTTCTTCTTCAACAACTGGCCCCAACTGTAAGATGAATTCTTGCCTGGATTTAAATTCTCTCTGGGAAACAAGACTACTCCATGTCCTTGCCTACCCTGGAAGGCTCTGGGGGTTGGGGAGCAGAGGTGTGGGGAGAGCACTCAAGTGCCATCTGCCTGTAGGGGGCACTGGAGCTACACAAAGGTGGAGGCAGAGTTGCCCCAGCAAAGGATCCCCCAGGGCCAAAGACCTCAGGCATGAGACAGAGCCAAGGGTTAGCTCTTGAGCCAAACAGACAACAATGAACCACAGAAGGATGGTAATTCAGGCACTGCTGGCCAGATGGGACCCTGCAGCATTTCCCACAGGGTATTCATTTTTCCCAATCAACAATCAAGCAAGGCTAAGGCTGAGCTCCTTAATGCTGGGGAGAGGGGAGAAAGGAAGAGGAAATTGAGATCCAGAGAAGTTGAGCCATTTGCCCCGGTTGCCCAGTGATTGCAGCTTAAAATAGCCATTTTTCCAGGAAGCAGCCCCACTTAGTTCGCCTTTTATTTATTTCCAAGCATGGTGAAGAGTGTGCCTCTTACCACTTCACATGTAAGCAATGTACCCTGCAGCCTCACATAACTACTCATCTTTCTATTTCACATGGGCTCTTAAGCCCATCCACAGACCCACTTTAGCTTTACAATGACCCTGCAGAGAGAACTGAGTGAGCTTTCTTTTTAGAAATAGTGAAACTAGAGGCACCAAGAGCTGTGATTCATGTTCTCCTGGGTCCTGGAGGGAACCTGCACCTGGTTCAGAGCTTGGCACAGGTGGCCAGTACTCAAGGATATTGGTGACTTCTCAATATTGAATTCTCCGTCTTCTACCACATGCCCTCCCCACTAGTTTAGGGTCACTTTGATTGTCTCATAGACGTCATGCCTCTGTTACTCTCCCTTTTGGGCCTGACCCCTGTGGCACTTGGGGCTGACTCCTGCCCATCCCAAATCCCCAGTGTCTATGCCTTGGGCGGGTGCCTTCGAGTGCCCAGTCTGGATGCACCTCCAAAGAGAGCATTACCTGCTATTTCTGAAGAGGTCTGCCCAGGGGTCCTGCATGGCTTCAGTCCCTCAAGTGCGGGAGGGTGGCGGCTTCTTCTTCGCACCCAGGTTGGTGTGCGAAGTCTACTGGCTCTCAGCTGAACACAGCTCTGCAAGAAATTCCCTTTGTACCTGTAGAAGAGAGAAGCATGCTTGCAGTAACCAGCCTGGAGAGCACATGCCTGGAAAAATCTGGAAAGTCACTGTGGGGTGCCCAGGAGAACACGGGGCTCAACCTCTAACTAGCTGGTCAGCTCTGAGCAACTCCTGATCCCTCCATACCTCATCCCCCACCTCCCCAGGATAATGCGCCTAGCTTCAGAGGTTGTTGTAGGAACTAAATGAGGTGGTCACAAAATGCTTCCCAGGATGCTTAGTCATAGCAAGGGCTTAGTCAAGGATAGTTGCTGCAATTAGGTTTTAAGCTACGTGGTCTTGACTACTTGCTTCACAGACTGTCCAACAGTTTATTCTTCAATGATGGAAATGTTCTGTAATCTGCATTGACAAATACAGCAGCCATTAGGCCCATGTAGCTATTGTGCATTTGAAATGTAGTTAGTGTGTCTGAGAAACTGAGTCTTAAATTGTATTTCACTTTAATGAATTTAAATAGCCACGTGTGGCTAGTGACCACTGTACTGGACAGCATTCTTCATAGACCTTCCATCTGGAGGAGCCCTACTGGATCATCTGATTTATTTGTCTTCAAATAAATTTTCTTCAAATAAGATGTATTTGTCTTCAAAACAAAGTATTCACATCTCAGAGGGATGTGATGAGGGTAGAGAAAGAAAAACACTAGAGCTTCTATTTATATTTATTTTCATCTAGTCTTTCTTATTTGTGACCACCATATTGGACAACATTCTTCATAGACCTTCCATCTGGAGGAGCCCTACCAGATCATCTGATTTATTTGTCTTCAACACGAAGTATTTACATCTCAGAGGGAAGGCATGATGACAGTAGAGAAAGAAAAACACTAGAGCTTCTATTTACATTTATTTTCATCTAGTCTTTCTTATTTCTATTGTTTCATGTCCTTTCTTGTTTCTATTGTTTCATGTCATAGAGCAGAATATATGTATAATTTGTAAATGAACAAATACACATTTAATAGGTGCAGGCTACAAATTATTTTACTAATAGGAATGTGCAACCACAAACAGGCCATCAACCTAGTATAGCACCCCCATTATATAGGCAAAAGAATGAGACGAAGAGCCAGGCCTGCAATATGCCTTAAGCTCTTTTAGAAGATCTTTGCACTGCTTCTAACTGCCTGGTCAAGCCACAAGTAATCCCTTCCCTTTACAAGCCTCAGTTTACAATATTTCTACTCCACAGTGCTCCTCAGAACCGGCTATTTTCCTTTCTCATTTATCTGAGCCACCGCCAAGATCCAGCCGCAGTCCCCTAATCACCAGGGCCGCTCACAAAATTTTAAATAAGATCTACAGAATGCAGTATCCTCTTGGGCACTGGTTTTTCCTGGCAGCAACAATGAGAAAGTGACATTTTGTTCATCTTTTCCGGCCTCTGTGTTTGGGAGAAGCTCCCCTCAACTGGGCATGATTGCCTCCCCTGTCTGGGGCAGGAGCTGTCATTCCCCGGCTGGGGGGAGGGGAGGTTAGTTTGGTGGGGGAGGCAGTGGTGGCTGGTTTGTTCTTTGAAGCAGTTGTCAAGAACACAGGTTCCTGAAAGAGCTATCTGAGCCAGGGTGGGGAGCGACAAACCCCTGAACCAAATCCTGCAGGGCCTGGGTGGAGAGAGATTTCAAAGTGCAGAGACAAAGGGAGGAAGGAAGGGGTGGCACATGGAGAGAATTCTTCTTCCACCTGCTGCTGGGTCACCTTTGCGCAAGTCAGTGGGTGGCTGCCACACACTTGCAGGTGTTAAGAACGGCACAGTTTGAACTGCAGGGAGGTTTTACTTTCAGAAAATTAGCAAGCGGGGGTCTTTCTCCTCACGCAAAATAACAAGGAGAGAGCTAGGAAAGGCCCCGCCTCTGAATTCGCACTTCATCAAGGTGGAATTTCAAACTTTTTGCCTTCGAGAACAGCCCAAGTGGACCTTGGCAATGTCTTCAAAGGACTGTTTAGTTTAGTCATGGGCAGGGTACGTTTCTCTCTCTCCTGGTTCTCCCAAAACGTTCTGTGTGCAGCCCCTCCTGGAGAAGCAGCATCCTGGCTTAGGAAGGTTTTGCAAGCTCATCTCCATCACCAGCCATGCAAGTCCCCTCAAGGTGTGGCCAGTGCTGTTGGGGCCCCATCCAGGACACTTTCGTCAGGCTGCACCTCCGCACCCGGCTGTGAGGGTGATACACTCGTCACCCCCTTGCCACCTTTGTCAGGCTCTCTCAGGGAAGGACAGTAGACCCAAGGAGTGGCTCTTGCAGGTGTACACAGCCCACTCCACACACATTCCTTTCTGGGGCGAAACTATGAGATCTGACGTGCTATTTCCCTCACTTTCCTCTCTTGACCCCACAGAGAAGAACAAAGCAAAGAGAAGAGCAGTGGAGGTGTGGATGGCAGAGCCTCTGTATCCTGCTAAGCAGGACCTGGGACTGCTGTCAAAGCTCTGGGGCTGTGGCCAACGTGACAAAGAGTCTCAGCCACATGTGGTGGGGGTCACATGCAGCAGAGGCCACGTGGACTCAGGGCCACATCTGTAGGTCTTTGTCTTTACCTCACTGCAGAGATTGTGCTCTCATTACTGAGAGTGCTATCTCATTGAATAAGTAAATTGTGTGATGACTAAAGTGAATAGACACATGGCTTAGACAGATAAACATCCGCTCCATAAGGAAAAACACTATCTGCTAATAGAATTGCATTCTCAAAGCCCAGGATTTTTTTCTTCTCCACTCTCCCCTTCAACGACTAATGTATATTTTAGGGTTTTATAGAGTGCCCTTCTCCCATACAACCTGCAATCTTCTCCTCGCTCATTTCCATTCACTTGGGGCTTCACAATTCATTGTTCCATTTGTTGGAAGCTTCCTAGGAACAAGTCTCTGAATGTTTCATGCTTCATACAGCACAGTACACAGTTATAAATTAATCAATAAAATCTAATTCCATGATCCCGCGCTTGCTTTGGGCAAGGCAGGGAGGTATTTTGTGAGTGCTCCGGATCTCTATGCCTCTAGTTAATGTCAGGGCAATTAGGCTTCTGAGTATGAATTTTCTGCGTTTTTCCATTTCCACTCTGGAAGTGGATCCTGCATTTTCTAATCTCTCTTCTTTAACTCATGTAGTTTTGTTAATGAAAACAACCATTTTCATTACAGTGTGGTATTTGCAGTTGGCAAAAAACATAGAGATGAATGAAAGCAGAATGAAAGGCCCTGAAAAAAACTTCAAGTATAAACGGGAAGCTAAAATTTAACATGTAAGTGGGCAAAAGTGGATTAATGCAGGGGTCTGCTTGATTTTTATGCAAAGGTCCAGCTAATAAATATTTTAGACTTTGTATGCCACAGACAATCTGTGCCACGTATTCTTCTTCTGTTTTTATATGGATAAGCTTTTAAAAATATAAAAACCAAGCCAGGCATGGTGGTGCATGCCTGTACTCCCAGCTACTCCAGAAGCTGAGGCAGGAAGACCACTGAGGCCAGGAGTGTGAGGCTGTGGTGTGCTATGATCACACCTGTGAATAGCCACTGCCCTGCAGCCTGGGCAACATAGTGAGACCCTGTCGATCAAATATATATGTATATAAATAATGCGTTGCTCATGGTTAAAATAAGTTAAAAACCATATTTAACCCGTGGTCCATAGTTGTCTTTATAAACAAAAATAAAAATAAATCCTTCTATATATATGAATTCATACAAGAAGAAAACATAAGATAACATATCTGCATATTTTTGAAAGTAGGAAATTGAGAGTAAAGAAAGATTTCTTAGATATACCAAAAAGTCATGAAAAGACAGCCCCATTTGACTACATCAAAATTTACAAATTCTTAATGAAAAAACCATCATTATCAAGGTTAAAAAATAAGAACTCCATTTCCAACAGCACAGTGGACTCAATACTCTGACTGATTACCACCAAATTTATCCTTATACTGAAAACAATTAAAAATGCAGCGTAAAATGTAAACATTTTTTAAACTTATATTTAAATTTACGTATGTTCTGATTAAAAGATAAGAAATAGTTCAAAGGCAAAAACCAAGTGAGAGCTGCGCCCTGGAAAAGTGAGATTGCTTTCACTTTGAGGAATCTGCCAAACCAGATGAGGATGACCTTCCTATTTTCATGCTCTGGTGCAGCTGAGGGTACAGGACTCAAAGCCCAGAATGTTCTTCAGTGAGAGGCACATGGAAGACCCAACCTCCTTTCCTGCATAAAGCTGAGACCTCTGAAAGGCATACTCTCAGTATGTGGGTGAATTAGAAATAAATACTCCCTACCCCACCACCTGCCCGGGGAACATAACAACAAACAAACGAGCACCCCCAGGCACCCAGTGGAAGCAAAACAAATATTTATTGGAGGAATCCACCTTCAACCCACATCTCAAAGTTCCAAAAATATCAACTCACAGTCAAAAATTTTAACACAAACAAGGAAATAAGTTAACATATGTGAGAGCAAATATATAAAACAGAGTCAGATGTGCCAAGACTTCATAGGTTGTCATTGTCAGATGCAAAACATTAGATGTGTTTTTTTTTTTAAAAAAAAAAAAAAAGGTTGAAAATAAGAGTCAAGTGCAAGAGACTATAAAATGATCAAGCAAATTAAAAAAATAATTAAATAAAACTTTTTGGAAATAAAATATAATTCACATCAACAATTGAACTTAAACTTTAGCAGACCAATAAAAGTAGGGGAGATCAACTAGGAGGCACTGCAATAGGCCAGGGACTTCTGACCAAGACTTTGCAAAAGTAACCAGATTTACCATCCCAAGTAAAAAACTGAATAAAGATACAAAACAATAGTGTTCAGGGCATTGGACATTGAGCAATAAAGGCAGTGATCCATGAAAGAAGAGAAACAGATGAGGTAAGCCTGATGACACCTCAACTTATTGATGGAGAAATTTTCCAGGTCTGGAACCATTTGTTGAAAAGACTATACTTTTTCCGCTGAATTTCCTTTGAGCCTGTATGAAAAATCAATTGACCACAGCATGGTCTATTTCTGTATTCTCTATTTTGCTCCATTGATCTTTGTATCCATTTTGATGCAAAAACCACACTCTTTGGAATACTTTAGCTTTATAATAAGTCTCAGAGTCAAGCGGCGTAATCAAGTCAGTGTGGTATTTGCATTGAAATAGACAAATAGATCAACAAATGATGCTGGAACAACTAGATAAGATATCCACACACAAAAATAAGAACTTCGATCCATACATCACACCATATGTAAACACTAAGTGAAAATGAATTATAGACCTAAATATAAAACTTAAAAGTATAAAACTTTAGAGAAAAATTTAGAAGAAAAGCTTTGAAGCTCTGTTTAGACACACTTTTTTAAACTATGACACTAAAAACATAACAAAAAAAGGTAAATTAAATATCATCAAAGTGAAAGACAGTTGCTTTTTAAAAGATGCTACTAAAAGAATAGAAAGATAAGCCATAGATTGAAAGAAAATAGTTACAAATCACATCTCCGATAAGGAACTTATAATCAGAGTATATTAAAAAAATTCTCAAAACTCAATAAGAAAACAACCCATTTTTGATGCGCAAAAGATTTGAAGAGACACTTCGCCAGAGAAGATATACAAATGCTAAATAAGCACACAAAAAAAGATGCTGAATATCATCACTTGTTAGGGAAATGCAAATTCAAGCTATAAAGAGATACCACTACATAACTATTCAAATGACTAAAACTAAAAAAAATTACCATACCAAGTGTTGGCAATAATGTAGAGAAATGGAACTCTCATACTCTGATAGTGGAGATGTAAAATAATACAACCACTTTGGAAAACAATTTGGCAGCTTCTTTAAAAGTTAATAATACATCTACCATATGATCCAGGCTTTTCACCTCTAGGTATTTTCCCAAGATAATTTAAAGCATATGTCCATACAAAGGTTTGCATATGAATATTTATAGTCATTTTATTTGTAATAGCCCCAAACTGAAACAAACCAAATGTCTATCAACAAGTGAACATGTATACAAATTGTGACATACTCACTCAATGGCATACTAGTTAGCAATAAGAAGGAATGTGTTCTTGATAAACACAACATGGATGAACCTCAAAATAGTAATACTGAGTGAATAAAGCCAGGCAAAAAAAAGAGAGCATATATTGTATGATTCTGTTTCTATAAAATTCTAGAAAAGGCAAACTATCCTATGTGACAGAAAGCACATCAGCGGTTACCTGGGGATGGAAGGACTTCAGGACGGGCAGAAGGGAGGAATTACAAAAGGATAGGAGGAAACTTTTGGGCTTGACAGATATGTTCATGATCCTGGTTATATTGTTTCACAGGTATATATATATGTCAAAATTTATTTAATTGTATGTTTTAAATATGTGCAATTTATTAAAATTTAATTATACTTTAATAAAGCTTTACAAAAAATAGTAGATTTAAAAACTGGTAAAATTTTAAAGACAGATTTGAACAAAGTATCCAGATTATAGCACAGAGAAACAAGGTTATTAAAAGTATTAAAAGACATGAAAGATAGAAAAGGACTAATATATATTATTTCAGTATTTCAGAAAGGAAGGAGAGGGAACAGGACAGAGGCAATATTTGGAGAATGATGGCTAAGAATTTTTTACAGAGAGACACCAATCCACAAATCAAAATAGCCCTGTGGATTCCTAATGGAACAAATAAAAAGCAACATACATCTATATACATCAAAGTAAAACTATGGAACACCAAAGGATAAAAGAAGATCTTAAAGGTAGCCAGAGATAAAAGACTTTCAAAAGACAGATGAGTAGTCTAACAGCTGGCTTTCTTTACCACAAAATGGAAGCTGACAGATAGTGCAATGGTAGCTTTGATGTGCTGAGAAAATAACAGTCAACCTAGAATTGTGTACCCAGCAAACTATTTTTCAACAACAATGATGAAATAAATATATTTGCAGAGTAATAAAAACTAAGAGAATTTCCTTCTCTAATAAAGGAAATTCTAAAGAATATGATTTAGGTAGAAGAAAATAATCCCAGAAGGAAGATCTGACATGCAGAAACAAATGAAAAGACAAGAGATGGGCAATTATGTGGGTACATATAAATAAAGGGGCTTAAAAAGACAAGTAATAGACTTGGAAACATATTTGCAGTATATATAACAGGCAAATAATACATACAAATCTAGGATATATATAGAATCCTATAAATTATATTCATCACTTAAAAAATCTGATAACAACAAATATTAGGAAGCATATGAATGAAGGGCAAACTCTTACTCATGGATGAGACACTCTACAGCAATCAGAATGAATGAATTTGATCAGTATGTCCTGACACGATGAGATCTTCAAAAACACAATGTTGACCTTAAAAATCAAGCTGAAGAATGATAAATGATAAATAACTATGATACTTTTATGTGTACTTTAAAGACACCAAACAATATTATATATTATTGGTGATTTGCAAAGTATGAAAACACAGATTGATATGATTTGTGCCAAATACATAAAACAACATAATAATCTTTTAAATTTTTCTTTTCTATATATTGTTATATAACATTTAAGGTAATATTTTACTTAGAAGAGAACTGTATCATTCTCTGTGAGCTAAGGACTATAGAGCAATCTCTGCTACAGTATTTCATTTTCTGTAGAACATTAAGACAACTGAAATTAAAGTGGGAAAATGAATCAAGAAGTAGGCTTCCTTCTTGAGGAGAGAACACAAGGGTTACGTGATAGATAGATAGATAGATAGATAGATAGATAGATAGATAGATAGATAGATAGATAGATAGATATGTAAGTTGATGGGTGGGTGGGTGGGTGGGCAGATGGACAGATAAATATCTACAAACATATGTGTGTGGGTGGTTGGATAAACAGTGTGGTAGGCAGAGTAATACCTCCCCTCAAAGACGTCCATGCCTAGATATCCATGCCCTCATGGTGCTGATGCTTTTTCTGAGACAGGGGAGCCAGCCATGTGAGGAGCAAGAGGAGGAGTGTGCAGATGGAGGTAGAGGGACTAGCAGGTGCAAAGGCCTTGAAGCTGGAATTAACTCAAAAGACAGTCATGAGCCAACAAAAGGACCAATGATAAACAAATCACTATCAACCAATAAACGTTTGTGCATATAAAAAGCTCAACAGCTTCCTCCTCATTTGACCCAGCCAGGAGCTCTTGGTTAGAGCTCTAAGTCCTTGTTCAGACTCCTCCCTGTTCTGCAATGCCCCTGCCCCTTCCTGTGCCCATCCATGGGCTCTTGTCGTGATTTGTTGAGTGGAGAGGCCGTCTAGTTCCACAAGGCCAGCTAGTAAGGCCAAAATTTGCAAACTCAAATGCTATGGGGGCCAGGCAGAGAGCATAACTGAGAGAGGCTGGCCGAGGGTAAGACATTAGGGAGAGGTGAGCTAGAGAGCGCAGCAGGGAACACAGCTCTTACCCACAAGGGGTGGCCACTGCTCATCTCCATCTGGCTGTTGCCATGTAAGGAGGCAGGCCCAGTGTCTTCAGAGCTTCCCATATTTCAAGAAAAGTTAGAAATCCAGATTTTTATGAGAAATCTTTACATCTAATTATGTGGCTGCTAAGTGCCAAAAGTTTTAGAGCACTGGCCTAATAAGGGTCTTACATGCACTGTGTTTGGCCCAAGAGCTGCTAGTGGGTTTGCAAGGTGTCCTGGAGTGATATCTCCAAGCCTCCTGGGCTCCAGTCTGGGACCCTCACCCTGGATTAAGAAAGTTTCCTCGGCCACCTCCAGGTGTGGGCACCAGGCACACAGCAGGTACATGGTAAATATTTTCGAATTAGTCAAGCTGAAGTCTTGGGAAAGTGGGAGCTGTTAATGAGGCAACCCATCCTCTTCCCTCTCCCCACATCTTTCCAATGATGCCTGGAGGCTTCAGGCTCATCAACTATCAGTCACATGTAACTGAGCACTTCCTCCTTATTGGTGAGATACTGAGGAGGACCACAACCACTAGCCGATGTCCCTTGTTTCCCAGAGCCCCGCATGCAGCTCCTCCGTCTGGATGGCATGCATTCCCCTTTCCTCCAAGAGCAGCACTCGAATTTTCCTTTGGAAGACTGTCCTTCCCACACCACCAAGTTTGGGCCAGGGCTGATGATGAGGCTTAGAGGCCCCATTACACAGGCAGGGAGGCCTTGTTTTGTTCAGACTACCTTGAGTCAGGCTTCTGTCTCAGGACCCTGAGTGATCCATGAGAAAGGAGGGACGCTGGAAAGGAAAGCCCCACTCCCCCAAGCCTGCTCTGGGGGCCACGCCAGCACCATCACCTGGCTGTGTCAGAAATGCAAAATCTCAAGCATTGCAAGAAAAATCTAGAAAATGCCAGGCCGCTAGCGTGCCCAGGACAGGCTGGGGTGCACCAAGACAAGCGACTAGCTGGCACACAGGCTATGGAAGGAGACCGGCTGGTTCAAATCTGGGTCCTTGGGTAGGTTATCTAAGCTCTCTGTGTCTCCATTTCCTCATGAGAAAAATGGGGCTAATAATACCATCCACATCATGGGCAGTACCTTGTGGGATCTCCTGAAACAATGCATGCCAGAAAGCGATTAGGGAAAGTCTGGCACACAGCAAGTGCCCCATAATGTTAGCTCTGGACACATGGTCCCGGCAGACCATTGATAGAGGCAGGGCAGGAGGGGGAACCAAAAGAGAAGAGGCCATCTCTAGCCACTGAGGGTCTGAGCAGCTACAGGGGAAAGTTAGGAATTTGGATCGCCCCTTGAAGAATATCCAGGCTTTGGATAAATTACTGACAGTGCAGTGGCTCACCGCCTATAATCCCAGCACTTTGGGAGGCCAAGACGAGAGGATCGCTTGAGGCCAGGAGTTTGAGACCAGCCTGGGCAACATGGCAAAACCCCGTCTCTACTAAAAATACAAAAAAAAAAAAAAAATAGCTGGGCGTGGTGGCCCATGCCTGTAATCCCAGCTACTCAGGAGGCTGAGCAGGCAAATCGCTTGAACCCCCAAGGCAGAGGTTACAGTGAGCCGAGATCACGCCACTGCACTCCAGCCTGGGCAACAGAGTCAGACTCAGTCTCAAAAAAGAAAAAAAAGGACTGACAGTCTGGGGGAGAATGTTGACAGGTTGACAACTGAGGTGTGGAGTATAAATGCTTCAGGGATCTGGGATTAGAATGTGGATTAGAGAATGGGATGAGGGTGGAGGGCGAGCAGGAGAGGAGGAGATCACAGGGAAAATGAGGGTAGAAAGAGGGCAGGGGTTAGAGAATTCGCTTTTCAACTTGTATGCAACGGGCAGCCTGAAGGGTTTTAAGCAAAGGAGAAAGACAATCCAAGAAAGGCACAATGAAAGAGTGGCAGGAAAATCCACAGGGCCTCCTGTTTGTTGGGGGTGGATATGTGCAAACACATACCGCAAAGAAAAGTCTAGAAGGGCACACTCCTGAATGTTCACGGTGATTATCTCTGCGTGGCGAGATTACTAGGATGTTTTATTGTCTTCTCTTTGCTCATCTGTATTGTCAAATTTTTCTGCAAAGGACATTCATTGCTTGCATAATTAAAAACACAATAAAAGCTGTAAATAATTAACAGGCTCTCTCTCTTCCAGACTTAAGTTGAATGGATGTGTTTTCAACCCAGTTATTTCAAAGATTTGCTGGATTCCTGGCCTTAGAAAGGTGCCATCAAAAAATACACAGGCGGTGAGTTGCAAGGGGTGGGAAACAAATTCAGTCCTTTAATCATGAAGCTCTAAACCCTAGGAAACAGGAACTCTTTCTCTGGAGCACACGGATACCTTTCAAATCCCATAGTAAATTCTTCTTGGGGTTTTGTGGAAATGACAGAGGTGGCCACTCATCCTACCTTTTAGGGTTGATCTTCAGTTTTCTCTGCTTGCTGTTCCCACGAGACATCTTTGCCCTCCAAGGCAGGCCTTTCTTCCATTCTGGCTCAGACACCTGGTGCTGGGGCATCACCCCTGGGACTGTTGGGTAGGAGAACTGAAAACACCAAGCATGTTGGCATCACATTACTCAAAGTCCTCATGATGAAGAAAACTCCAAAGGGTTCTCGCTCTGCAGACAAGATGCCTGTCTTCAGAAATCAAAACGGAAATACTGCATTGCTAAACGGGCTGAGCCCCTGAGAAGTTCAACCAGGCAACGGCAGAGCGTTCCTGGACAGAACCTCCTGAAACCCCGCCTGGGCTTGATCCGCAGAGGAAAGCCTATGCCATCGGTGTTAACTGGAGGCCAAAGAAACACGGTGACCAGCCCCTTTACTATCCCCTAAATCCACCTCCCCGGGAGCCCCCACACCCCTGGGGCCCTACTGACTAACCCGCTACTCTCAAGATGAAAACAGCACTCCCCACAACTTTGGGTTCCACCTAGGGAAAGCCGAACAGCCTGCAAGACTCTGGTCTCCGGGCCTTTGTCACTGTCCACAAAGGTTAAATGACTGCTGAGCCTCCAGGACCGTCCTCAGTGGCCGCGGCCCAAGCCACTCCAGAGCAGGACTAAGCCCTCAGTCATCACAACCAGGTGCGTGAACCCCCTCTCAAGGTGGAGCTCTGCATTATCATTTCTTCACCAAGTGAGAACACCTGTGAGCATCCACCACATTTCCCCCTTTTCTCTCTGCCCCCAGGAACCTCAGAGAGAGGGCTGAGTCCAATCAACAGTAATTCCTTCTCCAGAATCCCCAGTATAAAGACTCTCTCAATTATTGGGAGTCTCTGGCTTATAATCTTAGAATGATCCAGAGAGCTCACCTCTCTGATGGAGTGTTTCATTTTACTTTTTGCTTCTGTTACCAGGAAGCTCAGTTAAATTTTACATTTGGTTATGAAGACTATCTCACCTCATGTCTTGAGTACAGTAATTCTTTCCTTTGGAATTTATGTTTTCCGCAACTCTGTTTTGGTTTGCATTTGGGCCTTTATTCCTTCCTGCTGTCTATGTGGTATCCCCAGCCTCCCTCAGGAACAAGCAAGCAGTGAACAGCAGATGCTACATGGGACGGCTTCAGACTTCCTTCCCTCATGAGAGGTCTTACGGGATAACAACATGCTCTCTCAACCCCGGGCCCTGGGGCAAAGCCCAGCTTTACCTTGGACATCTGCGCCGGCCCTCCTTCTCCAGGGCTTGTCCAGGTCCATCCTCCATTGCTCCCAGGAGGGCCATTGGGACCCTCATCTCGGAGGCTGCTACCAGGAAAGTGCACCGCCAAGTACACAGATGCCGCCTTTGCCTTCTGCTCCGCGGGCAGAGGGACACTGCGGCTCAGGCAACACCACGTGAGCCGCGGCTCAGCCTTCAGTGAGGGAAAGGGGTTTTGGGTGCTGTGGGGACTGCGGGTGCTGTGGCTCCGGGACGTCCCTGAGTGGGAAGACAAGGCCAGCTCTGGCCAGCCTGGGGGCACACCCTGAGGCCGAGTGAGGGCAGTGAGGAAGGAGCCAGGCTGGAGGGGGGAACACGGGTCGGGGCCCACCAGGGGCCCTGAAGAAGGATCTTCTGGGGCATTCCCAGGAGGCTCCCCCAGCTCCCAGTTGGGTACCCAGGGATTCAGGACATCCCCAGAGAGCCTGGCCCTTGCCAAAGTGCTGCCCATGCAGAGGCGATGGATACGGTGGCTGTCACCCTCCATGTCCTGAACTAAGTGTGCCTCACACGTTGGAGTGGGCGGGGAGGAGGTAGCCTCCCTGGGAGCCCCTGGTGCTGAGATGGGCAACTCCCTGGCTGCTGGCCTGCTAGTGGCCATCCTGTCCCCCTTGTCCCCCCCCAACTGTGCCCCTTTTCTCCCATCCTGTGGCCTGGAACAGCTGGGGTCCTCCAGGATGCTGTCCGCCTCACCTGGGGAGGGGCCTGAGGCTGGGCTGGGAGAAAGAGGGGTCCCCAGTCCTGACCCAACAAATGATGCCCGTTCTTCAGGCCACCCACTGCTGCAGAGAGAGTCCTGGCTGTGCCTTGGTCCCCAGGGAATGGGCAGTGGTAAGGGGGTCTCTGCCTGAGGTAACCTGAGGAGGTACTTGGGGGAAAAGGCATTATCTGCCAGGGCAGAGAGCACTCTAGGAGCCTGAGGTGGGGTGGCCAGCGAGGGGTGCTCTGCGGGGGCTGGGGCTGCAGGATGCAGTGGGGTAGCCTTGTCCCTTGGCCCCACCCTCTTCAGGGCAACAGAAGCAGCAGCCAAGGAGGCTCCAGAGGACTCCAGAGGCTCGCCCACCTGCCTGGCACTCTCCTTTGAGCCCCCTGGCACCTCCCCGGGATCGGCATCCTGCTTCTGGGATGACAAAGAGGCAGGCTGCGTGGGCCCACCTGGGGTCTCTGCGCTCACAGGCTCTGGTTGCTTCCAGCTGTGCAGGTCCTCCACTTTCAGCTTCTTCCTCTCTGAGGGGAGCTTGTCCTCCCCTGAGCCCCTGCTGGGCCATCTCAGGACAGTCTGGGCCCACAGGCAGGTCTCCTGAACATCCCCCACACCTCGGGCACCTCCTTCCAGCTTGGGGTCCGGCCAAACTGGCCTGGGAGCCTCTACATCACCCCCTTTGAGGGGGCCAGGTGCTGGGGGCATCTGCCACCCCAGTTCCAGCCTCCCATTTGGAGAGACCAGGGGGCTCCTACTGCCTGAACAGGGACTGTCTCTGCCACCCAGTGCAGGGGATGACACAGCCTCTTCCACCCTGGGTCGGTCACTGTCTCCTCTCCTGGCCACCGTCTCCCCATGCTTAGTGGGTTCAGTCACCAAGGAGGCCTCCAGGGCTGGTGGATTTCCCCAAGGCTCTGGCGTTGCCCCTGCGGATATGTCCTCATGGACAGGGGTCCTCCTGTCTTGGGTGGGGACTGTGCCTGAGCTCCCTGCTGCCTCTTTCTGCAGAGGAAAGCCCAGTTCTGCCCCACTGCCCATTCCCACCTCCCTGGCTTTCTTGCCTCCATGGGGACTGGCTTTCATTTTCTGGTAGATCCTTTTGAACGTCTCATCCCCGTACACCTGCCACTTCTCCTGGGAGAACATCTTCAGCCTTCTCTGGCCGCACTTCCTGCCGCCCGCTCTGCCCTTGCCGGCCATGGCCTCCCGCGCAGCAGTTCTCTTTGCGTCTGTGTCCTCTGCGGGCACCAGGGCATCGCCAATGGGGGTGCCTGGCAGGTCCTCCACCGCGGCCTGTCTGACCAGGGCCCGGGGATGCCCACTGGGAACGTCAGTCGAGCTTAGTCCCGAGCGGCAGCCCAGGCGGGCTGGGCCGGGCCTGGGGCTCAGAGGCTTCTGCGTCCTGGACCAGGGGTCCCGGGGCTCCCTGGGCTCCAGCCACGTCCTGGAGCCCTCGACGAAGGGCAGCGAGTTGCTCCTGGTGACGGGGACACATTCCACGGTGGTGGAGAGCTGAGTGGGGACGGAGTGGAAGAAGAGGGGCCGAGACTTGTCTGGGGGCGTCCAGGTGGAGCGCACGGGGCCCGGGGCCCTCCTACGGCCTGGCTCCAGCGCGCGGATGTCAAAGTGGAAGGAGTCCTTGTAGGTGTAGGGCGTGGGCAGGTCGATGCTGCCCTGTTTGGACAGCCCGGTCTTCCGGGGCCGCACGTTGTCCAGCTGGGCATCGTCCACCACCGCCTGGTTGTGGGAGATGAGCTGGGCGATGCGCTCCTCCAGCCGCTTCTTCTCCAGCTCCAGGCCGGCTTCTCGCGCCCCGGGCTCGGCCCCTGCGACCCCTGGCCCCGGGCCCGGGCCGCCCTCCCCCTCGGACTCGGCGCTGTGCTCCGAAAGGCTGTGCAGGGGGCTGCAGGGCGCATGCGGCTGCTCCGCGCTGTCGGAGCGCGACAGGTACCCCGAGTCGGTGCTCTCACACTTCCGCAGCCGGCCCTCGGGGGCCTTGGCATCCCAGGGCTTCTCCGCTGCCGTCGCCTGCTGCCGCTGCAGGGCGCACGGCTTCCCGGCGGTCGGCGACTTCTGCTCTGGCAACTTACGCCAGGGTTGTGTGCTGGCCGCTGGGAGCCCAGGTGACGCCATGGGGGCAGAGTCCCAAGGAGCCTCTCTGTCGGCAAATGCGGACCCTGGACAGGGAGCAGCTTCGGTCCTCACATCCAGGTTCTTGGCAAGTAGGGGCACGTGGGCACCCGGAGAAAGGGGTCTCTCCGAGGCGCCTTCGTGCATCCCCTGGCACCTGCTCTCGCCCCTGCCCTCTGGTCTGGGGGGCTCTCCGGCCTTGTCCCCTTCCTCCAGGAGGCCGCCCCCGGCGCCCTCGGACTCTGAGGACAGCCGGGAGTTGTTGAGGTGCGTCTGCGTCCGCCTGTGCTTGTAGAGATTGCTCTGGGTCTTAAAGGCGATGCCGCAGGTGGCACACGGGAAGGGCCTCTCACCCGTGTGGGACCGGATGTGCTTCTCTAGAACACTGGGCTTCAGGCAGTCGCGACCACAGTGCGGACACAGGTACTTGCCCGCATTCCGCACCTTGCCTGGGCTGCCCAGCGTGGGGCCCAGGCCCGGCGACAGGACAGGCAGAGTGCCCACGATGTTCACCGTCAGCGTAGGGGCCGCCGGCTTCCCCACCTGGGTGGGGCCAGGCCCTTCAGGCTGCAGCACAGGGCTGAGTATGAAGGGCACGTTGCCCCCATCTAGGCTGCCCGTCACTAGCGGGGCGCGGGGCTGGAGGCCCCCGGGAGGCACCGTGTGGTACAGTGGGATGGGCAGGGCCTTCAGGAACACAGTGGGGGGGGCCAGGCCCTGCTCTGGCGGCAGAAGGACAGGGCCCAGGGTCAGGTGAGGTGAGGCCTGGCCACCTGGGGCCCCTGGAGGGCCAGGAGTGGGAGCTGGCTGGTCCCTCGCAGGAGGGGCAGGGCAGGTGGGTTCTGGAACCTCCATTCCGCATCATCTGGATGGCCCACAATGCTGGAAAACCTGCAGACAACAACCAAACTTTACCATGGGCACCTCTCCTCTCTCCTCATGCAGTAAATCTTGCCTACCCTGCACCAAGCACTTCATCACCCAACGGAAGCCTGACAATCCCCTAAGGAATGTACTCTCATCCCAAGCGAGAGGAAGGTACTCTCATCCAAAAGGGAAAGCTGAGGCTCAGACAGCGAAGTAACTTGTCATGCAAGCTGACATGTGGCAAAGCGGGATTTGGACCCAGATCTGTCTGAATCCTGTCTCTTATTTAACATGCCATCTGCACAGGTCCATGGCAGGTTTGCCACCATCATCCCCTGGCACCAGCACAGTGCCACATGCAGAGACACTCAGAAAGTGTGCTGACTTCATGAAAAAGTCATGCAGCTTGTTCAAGGTCCTCGAAGTTCACAGTGATTCCGTGCACTTGCACAAATCCCTTTTCTTCTCTGGGACTGTTTCCAGATCTGCAAAATGGGCAAGGAATCAGGGCCTTCCCACTCTGAGGTTCTGAGTCTCTGCTGCAGGATGAAGACAGCAAGAAAAAAAACTGACGCAAGGAAAGGCTTGCCAGATTTATCAAACAAAAATCCAAGACTCCCAGTTAAATTTGATAAACAATGCATAGTTCTTTAGTGGGAGTATGTCCCAAATATTGCATGAGAATTACTTTTGGTATAAGTATGTCCCAAATCTCACACGTGCCATGCTTATACGGAAACACTGAGCGCTGCTTATCTGAAATTCCAATGTGGCTGGGCATCCTGTATTTGATCTGGTGACACCACTAGGAAAAGGAGCACTTCCTCAGCCTCAAGACAAGACTTAGGTCTCTGCTCAAAGGTGGGGCTTCCAAAGCCCCTCCAGACTGAGTTAGGACAAAACTGGTTCCCTCTAAGCCAGGAGGAGTAGCTTGGCAAATCCTAGGGGAGGGAGCAAGAGAGGTCCAGCTATGCTCTTCACATCACAAAGGAAAAGCCAGATGCAAGAAGGAAATTCTGGACAGGCCTGTGACTAGAGAATCAGGGGTCCCCAGATCCTTTTTCCACAGATACCCATCACCAAGGAGCTCCATAAGCACATTTCACCCATCCCCAGCTCCGTTCCCCAAGAAAACAACCACATTCCAGCCGTTAGCAGTAAGGGGTTCTAAGCAGGGTGTGGCGGAAGTAGTAGCACAGCTGGACATGGTGGCTCACGCCTGTAATCCCAGCACTTTGGGAGGCCGAGGCGGGCGGATCACCTGAGGTCAGGAGTTCAAGACCAGCCTGTCCAACACGGTGAAACCCCGTCTCTACTAAAAATACAAAATTAGCCGGGCATGGTGGCAGGAGCCTGTAATCCCAGCTACTCAGGAGGATACGGCAGGAGAATTGCTAGAATCCTGGAGGTGGAGGTTCCAGTGAGCCAATATCGCACCACTGCACTCCAGCCTGGGTGAGAAAGTGAAACTCTGTCTCAAAAAATATATAAATAAAAATTTAAAAATAATAAAAAACATAGAAGTAGCAGCACATTGAGCTGGCTCATACCACTCATACTGGCTCAAGAGAGCTGATTGTTAAATTTTCAAAAATTGCGCAAGCCAGCTGTGAAACACAGCCCTAATTAAAAGATACGTTACATAAACTTACAATCAAATAATGTTAAAAACAAATAAATGACAACTGGATAACTTAAAATTGATTACAGTCTCAAATGTAAGCACTAAAGTTATAAAACTCTTAGAAGACAAAGGATTAAAACCTCATGACTTTTTTGGATTTAGCAATGGATTTTTTTATTTTTTTATTTTTTTATTTTTTTTTTGAGATGGCGTCCTGCTGTGTTGCCCAGGCTGGAGTGCAGTGGTGCGATCTCAGCTCACTGCAACCTCTGCCTCCTGGATTCAAGCTATTCTCTTGCCTCGGCCTCCTGAGTAGCTGGGATTACAGGTGTGCGCCACCATGCCCAGCTAATTTTTGTATTTTTAGTAGAGACCAGGTTTCACCATGTTGACCAGGCTGGTCTCGAACTCCTGACTTCGGGTGATCCACTGGCCTCAGCCTCCCAAAGTGCTGGGATTATAGGCATGAGCCACCACACCCGGCTGCAATGGATTTTAAAATATGACACCAAAAGTACATGCAGCAAAAGAAAAATAAATTTGACTTCAAAATCTAAAACTTTGGTTCATCAAAGGATACTTTCAAGAAAGTGAAAAAACAGTCCACGGAATGGGAGAAAATATTTGCAAATTATATGCATGATATATCCAGAATATACAAAGAACTCTTACAATGCAATAACAAAAGACAACCCAATTTATTTATTTATTTATTTATTTATTTATTGAGATGGAGTCTCACTCTGTCGCCCAGGCTGGAATGCAGTGGCATGATCTCAGCTCACTGCAACCTCCGCCTCCCGTGTTCAAGCGATTCTCATGCCTCAGCCGCCTGAGTAGCTGGGACTACAGGCGTGCACCACCACACCCAGATAATTTTTGTAACAACCCAATTTAAAAATGAGCAGAGGACTTGAATAGATTTTTTTTCTCCAAATGCCCAAAAAGCACATAAAAAGATGCTTCATCCCATCAGCTATTAGGAAAATGTAAATCAAAACCACAATGAGATAGGACTTCACACCAACCATGGCTATGGTAAATAATAATAATAAACTAATAAGCAATAAAATAACAAGTGTTGGTGAGGATGTGGAGAATTTAGAACCCATAAACACGACTGGTGGGGATATAAAATGATGCAGCCACTTTAAAAACAACTGGGTAGTTCCTCAAAAAGTTAAACATGTATTACCATAGGATCCAGCAATTCTACGTCTAGGTATATACCCCAAAGAATTGAAAACAGGTATTCAAACAAAAATTTGTACGTGCATGTTCACAGTAGCTTTATTCAAAATAGTCAAAAGAGAGAAATGACAGAAATGTCCATCAGCTGATGAGTGGATAGACAAACGGCAATATACAGTACCGTAGAATCGTAATCAGCCATAAAAAGCAACAAAGTGCTTGCACATGCTACAACATGGATGCACCTTGAAAACGTCATGCTGCATGAAAGAAGCCAGACACAAAATATCACGTGTTTTATAATTGCATTTGTATGAAGAAACTGGAATAGACAAACTCACGGAAACAGAAAACAAATTATAGTGGTTGCCAGAGGAGGGGGAGAATGGGGAATGAGGCTTTAACTGGGTACAACGTTTCCTTCTGGGGTGATGAAAATGTTCTGGAACCAGACAGAGGTGGTAGTTTGTAAAACTATGAATGTACTAAGTGCCATAGAATTGTTCACTTTCAAATAGTTAAAATGGTGAATTTAATGTTATGTGAATTTTACCTCAATTGTAAACAGGTACTGTCTCAATTTTTTTTTTAAAGTATTGTCTTCATTGAGCAAAGGTACTCAATTTTTTAAAAGTACTTTGGGCTGCTATAACAAAAATACCCTAGATTGGGTGGCTTAAATGACAAATATTTATTTCACACAGCTCTGGAGACGGGAAGTTCAAGATCAAGTTTAAGTCCAAGACAGGTTCAGTGCCTGGTGAGGGCCTGCATCCTGGTACCTAGATGGCCGTCTTCTTGCTGCCCCCTCACATCACGGAAAGACCAGTGGAGCTCTCTGGGGTCCCCTTTATAAGGCACTCATTCCACTCATGAGGGCTCCACGTCATGACCTGACCACCTCCCAAAGGACCCACCTCCTAATACCATCACATGGGGAGTGAGGATTTTACATGTAGATTTGGAGCTGGGGGGAAGAAACATCCAGTTCACACCAGCTCCTACATACTCAGAGCTCACCACTGCTAAGGATTCTATGGCATCTTCCATTCTCAGGGATCTTGGGGCCATTTATGTGGGATGTGCTGGTGTGGTGGGAACGCTTCCTGGCAGTGTGGAACGTCACACCTCTGGCTCTTCCCAACCTCAGCATCAGTAGCATCATGTTCACAGCTTGAACTGGCCACAGTGGAAGCACTGACACCACAAAAATCAGCAAATGCTACAAGTCAGTCCTTTTTTTTTTTTTTCATCCTGAAAGCCAGTCTCAACATTTACCAGCACATCACTGAGCAGAAGGGAGGACCCAGAAGACCATTGCACCCACTCTCTGTCCCTCTCCTAAACCTCTGGTCTCATTATGAACCTCACCACACTAGGCCATCTGCAAGAGCCCCTGGCTTCAAAACAATCTGAGACGTTCTAATTGTTTAAGGAAAGATGTAAAGGCAGGAATCTTTAGAGATTAACAGGTAGCTGCCAGAACGGATAAGAGCTAATAGGAATGGAAGATAAAGGCTTACCTCAAGACGCTGCAACCTTTCTACTAGCTGAGAATTTCAGGAACCTCCCCAGGAGACCAGTAGGCCTGAATTTCTGTCTCTGCTTAACCATCTTGCTAGAGGGTGGCCCTGAGACTGTTTCCTCATCTCTAAGAACAGTGGCATTGGGGCAGAGCCACCAGGAGGTTCAGATGAAATAAGTTATGTGAAAACACCAAGTGCTGTGCCCAGCACAGAGTAAGCGCTCCATTTATTTCAGTTTTCAATTATACGCCATAATATTTTGAACTATTAACTACCGGTTCCTCCCCCACCCTGTCTTCCTCCTACCCTTGTCTCTTCCCCCATCCGTCAGCTCAGCAGTCTCCATGCATCGCCTCTAGCAAGGGATGCTGTCTCGGGGTGGGTTCCTGAGAAAAGGATTCCATTCCCAAGTATTTTATTTGGGAGGTGATCCCAGGAAACACTTGTAAGGAAATGGGAAGGCTGGGGGTGAAGGAGGCTACAAAATGTCCAGCAAGTCCCCACTGTGGGTGACTGGAGCTTAATCCCACTGGGGGACACCAGGAGATCATGTAGAACATGCACCCCAGGGGCAAGTGAGCTGCCTGCATCGGGACTGCCTGTGGGAGCAGCCATGTCCTGGCATTTCCAGCTGCACGCATGAATGCACGGGGTAGGCTCTGTGGCCACAGGGAGCCATCAGACACAGAAGCACTGCCTGCAGTTGGCTCTTAAATGCTGAGTCGGAGAATAGGTGAGCAGGGCTTCTGTCTTCCTGTGGCAGAAACTCAGTAAAGGCGTTTTAATTCCAAAAGCCCCAAACCCTAAGGAAACTGGATGAGTACAAGCCTCCTGTCCTGATCCCCCGGTTATAATGGTCATGGGTGGGGAGGTCACGGAAGGGAGGAAGGGAGAAATAAGTCCGTCCAGCTCCTGCCTCAGTGGCAATTCCTGCTCCATTCCCCAGGGCAGTCTGGAAAGAGGGGTGCCAGGACACAGAGCATCAACAGCCCGGAGTGTGCGTCCAGGCAGGAGGACGAGGCACACGCAGAGCTCTCGCTGCAGGACGAATTTCAGAGCACCCAGAAAGGCCCTGAAGTGACTGGGAAAATGGGGCCAAATTGAGGGGGTTGTCACCCGAGGGGTGTCTCAGTGGGGGCCTGCCTGGGGAGCTGAGGGCTGAGTATCATGTGCCCCCCAAAAACTTTAGCCCAACCTGGGGGTAGGGGGAGGAGGAAAAGGAGCCCAGAACTGACTCTCATAGGGTGGGAGGCTTGGGGCTTCAAAGTAGAAATGCCAGGAAAAGAGCGCTATGTTTCCGACACACCTGCCACGATGATCATTTTGTGCTCTCTGCAGCCTGTTCTGTGATCACTGCGAAATTGACGCCTTTGAGTAACAGCTGATCCCTGCTGGCAAGATGACAGCTGACTAACACCTTCCTCGAGGGAGATGACGCTTTTCTCAGGAAAACCTCAAAAAGCTGCAGATAATTTTGCTCACTCTGAATCAAGGAGATGGCAAGTCCTATTGTCCCCATTGGACTGATGGGGAAGCTGGGGGCCGGGGCTGGGAAAGCAGCTCGCTAGAAGGCTTACCTCTTTGAGCGAGGGAAGGGTCCGGGACAGCCCCTTGGTCACCTGGACTGAATGCCAAGCCCTCACCCTGTTGCCATCCCCAGGCTCCCACACGCAGGGAACTTGGCGCATCCCTCATCTGCCGCGTGTGCAGCTCCCCACCTCCTCCCAATTCCCCCCCACAAACAGTTATATCTTTTGGCGCAAATGTGCAGCTTTATGGAGGAGAGGGGAACAAAGAGGTGGGAGAAACTTGAAGAGAAGAAGTGACAATTTCCCAAGCCCTCCTTTGCAAAAGCAAACCACAAATGAGCCTGGGCAAAGAGAGAACATGAAAATGCCATAAGTAGGTTTTTAGAATTTACATTTAGGGCCCCGAAAGAGAAGGCCATGGAGAAGCATATTGGATACGTTTAGCAGATAGAACTTGGGTACTAAGATGGCTGGTGTAGTTACAAGTTTCCCAAACTTCCGTTCATCCTGGACCACCATCACCCACTCCGCCACGTATGGGGACCACTTACGCTGTTACTCAGTCCCCACCCTACCTGTGTAGAGCCTCATGCCTAGAACACCATTGCTTTAAAAGGGATGCATGCAATGTGAATGCACTTCATGCCACTGAACTGTATGCTTCACAATGGTGAAAGTGTTATATTTTATGTATGTTGTATCGCAATTTTCAGAAAGTAAAAAAAAAGGGGGGAGGGAGGAAGAGGAACTATATCATTGCCCAGTGAGTTGAAAACTGACATTCACACAAAAACCTGCACACTGATGTAAACATCAGCATTGTAATTGCAAAAACCTGGACGTGAGCAAGATGTCCTTCAGTAAACATCAGTAAACACACATCCAGACAATGGAATATTATTCATCGATAAAAAGAAATAAGCTAGCAAATAAGCTGGCAAGCCACAGAAAGACAGAGAGGAAACTTAAATGCATGTTCCTAAGTGAAAGAAGCCAATCTGAAAAGACTTTGTCTTGTGTGGTTCCAACTGTATGACCTTCTGGAAAAGGCAAAACTATGGAGACAGTGAAAAGGTCAGGGGTTGCCAGGGGTTGGGGGAGGAGGGGATGAAGAGGTGGGTGGAGTGAAAGGGATTGTTCTGATCCTGTAATACCAAATACTTGCCACTATACATTTGTCAAAACTCATGGAACATGCAATACCAAGAGAGAACCCTAGTGTAGACTATGGACTTTGGTGTCTCTCAGTGGGTTCACCAGTTGCAACCAATGCACCACCCTCATTTGCAAGATGCTCACAACAGGGAAAACAGTGGGGACACAGGCTGAAAGAGGTGGATGGGAGGTCTCTGTACTTTCTCCTCATTTTTCTGCAAACCTAAAACTACTCTTAAAAATTGTCTATTAACTTCGAAAATTGTTTTAAATCAAAACAGTTTTTTAAAAGAGATGTGAAAAGATAGTTATCCTCATCAGCCAAGAAATGCAAGGTATAAACCATGATGTCATGTTTTGCCTACTGCAGGAACGAGGGGGCCAAAAGAAATAAATACTTGTAATAATTGGGCATAAAAGCGGGCGGTGGGGATACTGAATCAATCATCACCAAAAAGAGAAGATCAATTTTCCCTACGAACCATTAACATAAATACCTATTAAAATTTTTCAAATATGTATCTGTAGGCCACCATGCATGCTCTCGCACACCTGAGTGGTATGGTCCTCTACTTTGAAAAGCACCTGCCTAACTTACAGTCTTCACCTGATACACCCTTGGTGTAGACCCTGTACCTGCAAGGCTGCAGCAACATGCTCCCTAGTCCACTAGCACCCAGCTAGGCTTGCCCAAAGGGAGGTGCTGGCAAGTCCAGGCAGGAGGGTAAGGTCAGGCCTGGCTCCAAGGTGGCCTTTGTCCCTCTACTCAGGGACAGACTTTCGTTAGGTGGCCCTCTCTAGGTCCAACCACGGTTCCCACGTTGGCCTCTCATGCCTGGAGTGGGTAACACTCCCCCACTGCTGCCAGCCCTCAGGTGCCCCAACTTCCCAGAACCAGGCCCACACTTGGTAAATGGCCCCACATTGAAACCCCTCTCAGTCGCCCACCCACTTGAATGTGCATCTAGGCCAGCCAGGACCCAAAGGGAAATTACAACTTACCTTATGTGCGCAGGTGAATGTTCCCAGAGAGCAAGAGCAGCCCTAACTTTTGTCAGATTCTAGAAGGGTCTGGAAGGGTCTCTGAGGGTGAGAATAGCTGGTTAGAAACAACGCCTCCCTAAAAGCAGGGGAGGCTGCCCACTTCCTGTCAGGGCCAAACACATGTTAGTTCCCACTATGACTTCACCCAAATTCATTCTGTTTAGTGACAAAATATGTTTTGCCTAAACAATTATGATAAAGGAGCAGGCCAGAAGAGAGTTTACAAACAAACACACAGTGTGCAGAAAGCTTAGGCAAGTTGGAGGAGAGGAGTGTCCCCTGCAATTGCCTAATTTTCATACACAAATTACGTGGTTTCCCTGTAGATGGTCAATCGGTTGCAGATGTGTGGAAGGAGAAGCTTGATGTCAGGTTGGCTTTGGCAAGAGGGAGGGCCTGCCAGCTGCGCTCAGCCATCCCCGTCCCCTGTCTTCTTGGTGGAAGAAGAAAAAAGCCTGGGTTTGAGTTCTGGTTTTGCCACTTACCCCCTCCCTGTGAAGCTCAGCAAGTTCCCTAACCTCAGGATTTTCATTTGTAAAATGTGGATAACGAGGATTAAACAGATGCTACCTATAAGCACTGATCACAGCATAATGCAAAATGGGAAAAATCTGCTGAAAATTATTCAGCTAATTTTCTCTTTTTCTTTTTCCCAAGCCCATCAGTATTACCTTGATCTGCCTGAGACATCTTCTGCCTAAGCTTTGCAGGTTCACAGCACAGGGAGCTGACCTTTATGTGACACCATGTCCAGGCCACAGGCCCAAGGTCTACACATGCCCTAAGCCATCTAATCCACGCAGCAGGGAGGTGCTGTTATTAATCTAACAAGAGGAATAAGGCGCTGAGAGATGGAGGGATTCACCCAAGATCAAGGAGTTGAGAAGTATATTCCTTCCAGTGAAGAAAGACAGAGAGAACAGGGAAGCCTGGGCTGGCATGCAGAATAAGATTGGCATAAAGGACCTCTTCAAGGAGAACTACAAACCACTGCTCAAGGAAATAGGAGAGGACACAAACAAATGGAAAAACATTCCATGCTCATGGAAAGGAAAAATTAATATCATGAAGATGGCCATACTGCCCAAAGTAATTTATAGATTCAATGTTATTCCCATCAAGCTACCAGTGACTTTCTTCACAGAATGAGAAAAACTATACTACAAGGCTACAGTAACCAAAACAGCATGGTACTGGTACCAAAACAGATATATAGACCAAGGGAACAGAACAGAGACCTCAGAAATAACACCACACATCTACAACCATCTGATCTTCGACAAACCTGACAAAAATAAGCAATGGGGAAAGGATTCCCTATTTATTAAATGGTGCTGGGAAAACTGGCTAGCCATATGCAAAAAGCAGAAACTGGACCCCTTCCTTACACATTATACAAAAATTAAGATGGATTAAAGACTTAAATGTAAAACCCAAAACCATAAAAACCCTAGAAGAAAACCTAGGCAATACCATTCAGGACACAGGCATGGGCAAAGACTTTATGACTAAAACACCAAAAGCAATTGCAACAAAAGCCAAAATTGACAAATGGGATCTAATCAAACTAAAGAGCTTCTGCACAACAACAGAAGCTATCATCAGGGTGAACAGGCAACCTACAGAATGGGAGAAAATTTTTGCAAGCTACTCATCTGACAAAGGTCTAATATCTAGAATCTACAAGGAACTTAGACAAATTTACAAGAGGAAAACAACCCCATCAAAAAGTGGGCGAAGGATATGAACAGATACTTCTCAAAAGAAAACAATTTATGCGGCCAACAAACATATGAAAAAAAGATCATCATCACTGGTCATTAGAGAAATGCAAATCAAAACCACAATGAGATACCATCTCGTGCCAGTTAGAATGGCAATTATTAAAAAGTCAGGAAACAACACATGCTGACAAGGCTGTGGAGAAATAGGAATGCTTTTACACTGTTGGTGGGAGTGTAAATTAGTTCAACCATTGTGGAAGACAATGTGGCGATTCCTCAAGGATCTGGAACCAGAAATACCATTTGACCCAGCGATCCCATGACTGGGTATATACCCAAAGGATTATAAATCATTCTACTATAAAGATACATTCACACATATGTTTATTGCAGCACTATTTACAATAGCAAAGACTTGGAACCAACCCAAATGCCCATCAGTGATAGACTGGATAAAGAAAATGTGGCACATATACACCATGGAATAGTATGCAGCCATAAAAAAGAATGAGTTCATGTCCTTTGCAGGGACATGGATGAAGCTGGAAGCCATCATTCTCAGCAAACTAACACAGGAACAGAAAACCAAACACTGCATGTTCTCACTCATAAGTGGGAGTTGAACAATGAGAACACATGTACACAGGGAGGGGAACATCACACACCAGAGCCTGTCGTGGGGTTGCCGGGGGGGAAGGGGAGGGAGACCATTAGGACAAATATCTAACGCATGCAGGGCTTAAAACCTAGATGACAAGTTGATGTGTGTAGCAAACCACCATGGCACATGTATACCTATGTAACAAGCCTGCACGTTCTGCACATGTATCCCAGAACTTTTAAAGTAAAATAAAAAATAAAAAAGATTTCTCATAAGATGATCATCTGTGCTTGAGCCTGGGAGCTTGAGACCAGCCTGGGCAACATAGTGAGACCCCCATCTCTACAAAAAATAAATAATTAGGCAGGCATGGTGGTACACGCCTGTGGTCCCAGCTACTCAGGAGGTTGAGGTGGGAAAACCGCTTGAACTGAGGAGGTTGAGGCTACGGTGAGCTAGGATCACACCACTGCACTCCAGCCTGGGTGAGAGTGACACTCTGTCTCAAAATAAAATAAAATAAAATGATCGTCTAGAAAGCCAGATATTGTTTATGAGAGTGAAGAGTTTTTCAAAATTACCTTCACTCTTTGTTTAATATTTCACGCTCCAAGGAGGGAGGACCTGTGCCCACAACTCTCCTGTAGAGAAGATGCCCCTCTAACAGTGGCACAGCAAAGATATGGGCCTAGCTGCCTGATAGGTGAGGGCAGCTTTATGTAAGGGAAGCATGGTGGGTTGAATCGTATTCTCCAAAATAGCATCCAAGTCCTGCCCCTACTACCTGCGATTGGGACCTTATTTGGAAATAGGGTCTTTGCAGATATCATTAAGTTAAGGATCTCAAAATGGTATCACACTGGATTTAGTGGGGTCCCTAAATCCAGTGACTGATGGTGTCCTTATAAGAAAAGGAGAGGATGCAGGGACCCAGGGGGTAGGCCATGCGAAGACCCACGCGAGGACGGAGGCAGAGATGGGGCAAAATCCAGCCACAAGCCAGGGAATGCCTGGAGCCACCAGGAACTGAAAGAGGCCAGGAAGGACCCTCCCTTGCCCTCTCCCACCCAGAGCTTTAGAGGGAGGGTGGCCCCTCCCTCTAAAAATCAAGGATGCCTTGATTTCAGGCCGCTGGTCTCCTGCACTGTGAGAAAATCCATTCTGTTGCTGTGAGCCCCCCAGTGTGTGGTCATTTGTTACTGCAGGCTCAGGAAACAAATCCAGGATGTGAAAGGAAGCTCTGCCCTTCGCTGGACTGTAGTGAGAAGCGGATGGGTGCGGAGGAGGAAGGCAAGTGGGAGGGTCAGGCTTCAACCAGAGAGGAGCAGGTACAAGCGGGGGTAACACCAGGGCTATCCCCCAACTTCCCATTGATGGACTCTATAAAGAGTCGTCTTCACAGGCTGTCCATGTGTGACCTGGTGTGAGGCACGGTCGGGCAGTGGGTGCCCCAGGGCTGCACTGTCCTGAGCCACTGTGGTCCTCCCATGATATGAACAGAGTCTGTCGTGGAGCTCACAGTGTGCCAGGGTGGGGACAACTAGTGGGAAGAGGTGCTCTGTAATGAGGGCTCCAGGGTGGACCCCCCGCCCTTCAAGTCCTTCATGCTGGGGGTGGAGGATGGGTAAAAGGACACGACATATGGGGACATAAGGAGACTGGGTGTTTATTTGATAGAGTGTTTAAAAGAGAGCGGGCTCTGGAGGACGACCCAAATCCCACCATGCATTTCCAAGTCCTGTGACTCAGATGAGCTGCACAGCCTCCCTAGGACTCGGTTTTCTTGTTTGTAAAATGGAAAAATATTGACACCTCCCCCATGGCATCATGTGATACTCAAATGAACTGTAAACATGCCTGGCCAAAGTAAAAGCCTAATGGAATCAATAAATACATGTTTTTTCTTCCACTCCCACTGATCTTAGAGAAGATCCGATCAGCTATGGAAAAGTAAAGGAATATTTTCTTTTAGTATATCCAAGTTGTAGAGTGAGTTATTAATACATTTTTTTCAAGGCATGAGACTCTTTCTGAACCATTATACTGAATGACTGCATAGTATCCATCACTGACCCAGGATGGCCCAGGGCCCTGTATACTACCTGGCACATAGCAGGTGTTCAATAAATATTGGTTGAGTGAATGAATTATAGCCTTAGATAAGACTATAAAGAAATGGCCTGACTTAAATTATCACATTTGAGAAAAAGGGAAGGCATTTTTATGTGAAACTCCTCTGAAGAGGTTCCTCACTTACTTGAGCCAAACCATGCTGTTCTGGTCTACTTCTCAGAAATTCCCAAAGGTTTATACAGCAGAGTCCCTTAACGTGCAAATTTAATTCACTTGAATTCAACCTCACAGGCTGCATAAGAAAATAACAATTTCCACCACTTGGTAATGCTCCTAGCTGTCAACTCATAATGCCCAAGTGAAAGGAGGGGGCTTGAAGCCCTGGTTCCCTCAAGCAGGCTCAGCCCCACATGGCCCTCACAGCTACTGCTAAACACGACTCCAGTGTTTCCAGTATTTTTGGTACAACATGTGCCAAAAATACAAGCTTCTCGCCGCATCTGTTGATTAAACCAGGAAATAAGACAAAATTCAAAACCAAAAGAAAAACTGGCTGAGTTGGAGGTACTGAGAAGTACTGTGAGCAGATCGGAAAAACAGCCTCGCTTCTTCACACCTTTCTGTTTCTGTGGCTTCTGCAAGGGCACTTTGCTACTCCTCCCATCAAGATCTGGAGACTTTTTCTCCACTCCTCAACTCCAGGCAACATCGTGTCACATTAGGGATGGTGTGCCTAGGTCCCAAGAAGCTTGCACGCTTCTGCTCTGCTTCTGCCATGAGAACAAGCCCAGATGAGCTCCCAGGAGGATGAGCGACCATGTGGAGCTGAGCCAAGCAATCCCAGGAGAGACCGTCCTCGTCCAGCCAGTGAGGGAAGAGTGCAATTTTAAATGAGATGGGCCAGGTGAGCATCCCTAACAAGAATGTCAGCTCCATAACACAAGCTCTTTCATTTACTGGTCTACTGTATACCAACTCGTCCTAGTTTGTCCTAGACTTGCCTGGTTTTAACATGGGAACCTAGTGGTGGAATGAGCCATGCTGGTACCTGGGGTAAGAGTGTTTCCTGCAATGCAAAGGCCAATGGATGCAAACAGCCAGTGCAAAGGCCCTGAGGTGGGAATGTGCCTGGCATGTTTGCGGCATGACACACTGAATCAGAGGAACTGCACCCACAGACGCTAGCCTGCTCAACAATATTTTTTTAAATTCTTTCTGGGCAAGTATACTATTTCCCTGGGCTTTTGTTTCCTCATCTGCAAAATGGAGAGAACAATGTCTGGGTACCTAATGACCTGAAATTATGGATACTAGGGATGCCATGCTTAATTAAATGACAAGACGCCTGTCTTGATTACTGCTGTGACTGTTACTCTCCTCCACGGCAAATGGAGAAAGCAAAGCCTAAAGCTTTATTGCTGGACAGAAGACAAGGCCAGCACAAGGATGAGAACTGCCATCCAGAACTGCTCTCCTTCCACCACTGAGGGCCACTTGGAAGGTGACCTCTGCTGGCTGTTGTGTGCCAAGGGCAGATCTTTCCAGTATGGGCCTGGCTGTGTTGGAGGTTTATCTTGATTCCTCGTGGCTTAGAACACAAAATAAAATGTTACATAGCACCACGATTCGTGATTGCCTAGCAGGCTATCAACAGATTTGTTTAGGATGTGAAATAATGAATTCAGAATATTGTATTGATGATGGTTATTCTTTTATATAATTACAATAATTATCCAGGAAAATAGCAAACAGATGCAGTGCTGAATTCAAATAAAGGGTAGGAAGAAGCGTCCCAAATACTGACGTGATTCAGAATATTATATGAGTTAACCCTACCTCTTAAACTGCCCATGTCAGAACTACAAGGTATGGATAGGCACTCTTTATAAATGGACATAATGTACGCACTAAAGCGAAATACACATGCGTGTTACAGTGGGTCTAGGGGGGTTACTCAGAAAAGGTATGTCAGTTAGGACCCAACATGATTCTATGGCTGCAGACTGACAGGTGGCAAGAGATCATGTTCCTCAAATTTCTCCATCTCTCAATGGGATGTATTTTTTTAATTAAGGTACAATTTACATACAGTAAAATGCACCCTCTTTAGTGTACAGTTCTGTGAATTTTGACAAGTAAATACAGTCGTGTAACAACCAACATAATCAAGAAGGCCATCACATCCCCAAATCATGCCTCCCTCTCTGGTCAATCCCTTCCTCCACCTCCAGCCTCTGGCAACCACAGATCTGTTTTCTGTCCCTATAAGTTTGTCTTTTCCAGAATGTCCTATAAATGCAACCACATATTATGCGGCTTTTTTGGTCCAGCTTCTTTCATTCAGGACAATACCTTTGAGAGCCATCCAAGCTGTTGTGTGCTCCAATCATTCATTCCTTTTCCTTGCCAAGTCCTGTTTTACGGTGTGGGTGTGCCACAGTGTGTTAATCCACTCCCTCTTTCTGTGGGAGGCAATAATAAGGCATTCCTAGCTCTTCCAGACAGGGAAATGTCAGTAAAGGCCTGGCAGAAAGCCAGTGCTACTATCCTTCCCAGGAGGTAACAGGGCCTTCCCAATGAGTACCAACAGAGGCTGAGTAGGGAACCTCAACTTCCACTCATCTCTTCCCCAGTCAGAGCAGTAGCAAAGGAAGCCAGCTAACACAGAAGGGTCACTAAACCCAGACTCTCATACCATAATGCCCAAAATGTCCAAGTCTCAATTAAAAATCATTTGTCATACCACGAACCAAGAAGACCTCAAACTGAAAGGAAAAAGACAATGCACAGATGCCAACACCAATATGCAAGAGGTGCTGGGATTCCCTGACAGCTATGAAGCAGCCATCATGAAAATGTTCCCATGAACACTTACAAATATGCTTGAAACAAAGGAAACATAGAAAGCCCCAGCAAAGACATAGAAGATAAAAGAAGAACTACATGGAAATAATAGAAATGAAAAATACTATAATCAAAAATGTAAAAACTCAGTGGATGCCCTCAACAGCAAAATGGACAGGACAGAAAAAAAGAATCGGTGAACTTGAAGATAGGACAATGGAAATTACCCAATCTGAGCAACAGAGAGAAAACAGGATGAAAATTAAAAAAAATAAAAAAAAAATGAACAGCCTCAGGGACCCATGGCACTAACAAAAGGTCTAATATTCCTATCATCAGAGCCTGGGAAGGAGAAGAGAAAGAAGATGAGCTTAAAAAGTGCTCAAATAATGTTCAGGAGCTTCAATTTGGCAGAAGACATAAAGCTACAAGTTCAGGAAGCTGAGAGAACCACCCACCCCCACCCCCACCACCAGGATAAACCCAAAGAAATCCACACCAAAGCACGTCATAGTCAAACTCCTGAACTCTAAAGATAAAAAATATTGAAAGAAGCAAGTGAGAAACAATGCCTTAGCTACAGAAAAAACAATTCTAATGAAAGCAGGTTCTCATCAGAAACTTGGAGGCAAGTAGAAAAGGGTATCACATTTTTCAAGAGCTGATGGAAAGGAAGTGTCAGCCCAAAATTTTATATCCGGTGAAAATATCCTCCTGGAATGAAGGGGAAATCAAGATATTCGCAAATAAATGAAAACAAATAGAATCTGTCACCAGCAGGCCCACCCTCAAAGAATGAAAGTTCTCTAAACAGAAAGGATGTAACAAAAAGAGAAACTTGGAACATCAGGAAGGAAAAAAGAACAATGGAAACAGTAAAAAAGTGGGTAAAAACATTCCCTTTTGAGTTTTTCTTTTTTGTTTTGGGGTGTTTTTTTGTTTGTTTTGTTTTTTGTTTTTTTTGTTTTTGAGACAGGGTCTTGCTTTGTCACCCAGGCTGGAGTGCACATACATTGATCAGTGGTGCGTACATGGATCACTGCAGCCTCAACCTCCTGGGCTCAAGCAATCCTCCTGCCTTGGCATCCCAAAGTCCTGGGATTACAGGCATGAGCCAACACTCCCGAGCAAGTTTTCTTAATCATGTTTGGTGGCTGAAACAAAAATTATAACACTGTCTGATATGGTTCTAAATGTATGTAAAGGAAATATTTAAGATAATTCTAAATGTGAGGGCATAAATGGAGGTGAGATTTCTACTCTTCACTCCAACTGGTAAAATAACGACACCAGCAGACTATGATAAGTTCCATATATATAAAATGTAATACCTAGAGCAACCATTATGCGGTGGTATCTGAGAGAACCAGCCTGAACCGCAGGCTGCAAAAGTGCTCCCTGTGCAGCCTACAGCCTTGGATCAGGGATAATCCATCTGCAGCCTTCCAGACAGGGAAACTAAAGCCGCGTAAAGCCAGCTAGCCTCCCGTGGCCAGGAGTCCACACACAGTGGCCGTTTCCTCTGCAAGCCCCACTTCCTCTATGCATGCCACAAGCTCCAAAGCCTTCTGTCCTGCTGTGCCCAGGCTCCCAGATGCATGCCCACATCTCTGCTTGTGCATGGTCTGCTATCCAGCAGCACCCCAGAGGGTTGTCAGCTGTTTGCCTAGCAACTCCACACAATCTCAAGTCTAGCTGAATCAGCCAACTTCTCTGCTTTCTGGTGGCTAAAATCACAGCTTCTCCAATGAGACCTGAATGCCTTCCAAGTGTGTTGTTTCTTGAGTACTCTCCCTCAATCTTAGGGTACCCTATAGAGTTTCCTTGTACCTAATAGTCACTCTTTCATTGTAACTAATCATTCCTACGCCAAGTTTCCCCTGCATAACCCACTGGGTGGTTTCTGTCTTCTGACTGGGCACAGAAGTCTACAGAATTGTCTCTGGGAATGGTCCCAAGAGATCCCTAATGATGGGATTTAGGGACTAGTGTGGTTGTGCTTTTGGATGTGAGCACAGTGTTGAGCTCCTTGACAATGAGAAATGTGACTCTTGTAACCTGTGAGGTACAAAAGCATCACAATTAATAAAGCCATCACCTGTGGTCAATTGCGGCAAAGTGCCAATTTAGAACATGTGCCTTGGAAGCTCAAGTGGCTTCTGCTCCTGCTGTATGGCAGGAATGATGACCATAAGGGATGTGGTATGAAATGGATTTCTTTTCGCGTCCTTGAGCACTTACAGAGAGAAAATGACAAGCTCAGGTCCATTAATTCCCACCTTGAGTCATGATCTGAGGATCACACAGCCTCCATGACAGCCCTCAAAGAATGTCTCATTTTTGTAGCCACAGGGCTGATGTTGCTGAAAATCAAACAAAAAAATTAATGGTGCAAGTTACTGAATTAAAATGGCAGTTGAATTCACAGTCATGCCAAGCTTCTCATGTGAAAATTTGGGCACTAATCAGGAAAAAAGGGGATCCTAAAACTCGAGGTGAGGACATCTTGTTGGACCTAGAGAAACTGACAACATTGACCTCCAGGTCATTCTGAGCCTCCCGTACAAGTGGCAGCAGCTTCCCCTCCACTGTCCACAGAGGCCAGACTTCCTGAGCTGGAAAACCTTATGATGCCTTCACTTAGGGTAGATGCCTTGAAAGGGAATACTGATCCTTCTCAGAACCCACCACAACAAGCCCCTGCTCCCTCTAGACTTAACTAGATTTAACTGAGTCAAATCTCAGCATGGCCCAAGGAGACAGGTGCTCACTATGACCCAGAAGGAAATGGCTCACACACCAGAAGAGCTGAACGCCCTGGCTAATATGTCAGCAGAATCCTAGGGAACATGTGTGTGCAAATGGATTCTGTGGGTTTATACCAAGGAGGGCAGAAAACACCACCAGCCATTGGACCAAATTCATTGACAGGAGTGCACTTACCAGAGAGTCTCAATTTAGTGTATTAGTTGTGCAGCTGGATGTGGCTTTAACAGCTTCCTAGGTTGGTTGACTGAAATCTGGAAATGATGGTGACCTGCATTTAGTGAGGCCGGAATGCTGGAGCTTCCCTGGCATGACACAGAGGAGGGGCTCTAAAGACTATGGGAAATATGCCTGCTGGGCCGGGTGTATCACAGGCAACCTCCAACTCTCCCAGCGGCATGCCTCAAGAAGACCCAGAAGGCCCCTCTTCAGGAGGGCGCTGAGAAATGCATTAATGAGGGGAGCATCCGCATCCCCGAAAAGATCTGTGGTTGCTCTTTTTCCAGGCCAGGAAGAGCTGTAGGGGACACCACTATTGAGACAGGCTCCCTCATTTCACTGTGGTTGTTGGGGGGTCCCAGAATAGCAGAGGACCAAGTGGCATCACTTCATTGCCAAAGAGAAGGTGAGCGTGCCACGGGAGCAACAGGGAATGGCAGGAATCCGAATTCTTTGGCTCGCAGAGATCTTAGCAGTAACTAACTGATCACGTTGTCCCTCGGAGGGAAAGACCAGTCAGTCTACTATGATATCATAGGAAATCATAGGAAAAGTCCTAAGTGTGGTGGCAAGTAACGTGACTCAGTCATCAAATGGAGACTCACGGCCCTTTACCCAGTTTTCAGAACTAAGGCAGTTTGCAGACCTACAGGCCCTTGATTGAAGGGAAAGCCAGGTCCCCTTGAAAAGGACACTCTACTATTGCCAAAAGGATACACTGTAAATCTTTCTTTATGCCTTCTCAAAGGGACCTGTTGCCACATAGTGGAACAACTGCAATTTGGGAGAAAAGTACATACTCATACTTTTCAGGAGTTAGTAGATATTCCAAGAGGTAAAGAACCCAGGGCAGCTGAGGTCAAGGAAGATGTGGAATGGGTGGTGGAAGAAGAAAGTCACAGATATGAACTACAACTTCATGATCAATTATATAAACGAGGACTGGAGGGGGTTTGTGTATGGTCTCTATGTGTGTTATATGAATGAGTTTTATTTTATCTTTACTAATCATTCTCTACTTCTTTCTCCTACTTCATGTTTTAAATTTTTATATATGAGTTATTGGAAGTTAACTTTACAATTTAGGCTTTAGGGAACAGAATATTCAGTGAGAGCTTGACTGAATTTGAAGAGCAATTGATACAGCCTGTGCTGAGTACAATGACTGCATCTGCTCATTTCGAACAAGTGAGAACCTCTTCACTTGCTAGAAGCATGGATGTATCTTGTTAGGTGGAAATACAGAGCCATTCTGTTGTAAGAAAGTTCACATGCATGTAAAGGGTACACATGGGGCTGCACAGGCAAAGGGATAGACTGTGCCAGATAGAAATTTATTGCCTCTCAGCTCCAAAAAATGCCATTCAATACATGCTGTATGATAAGGGATGCAAACTTTTAAAGATTTTCTCCTTTAAAGTGGACACAGTGCTAAGTTTTTCCAACAGAGGATGTTGGAGGGTCATTGCAGGAGGAAGAGGCTTCCTGCAGTTTCCAGGAGGGGCCCACGAGAGGGCCAGTGGTGTGGGTATGAGGACATGCCATGGAGTTCCCCCTCCCAGCCACAGGCCCCAGGACTCACTCCCTCTGCAACCTTGCAGCCTCAGCCCAGCAGTAATCTGTCTGCAGCCCCCACAACATAAAAACCAAAGCTGTTGCACAGCCTGCCTGTGGCTGGGGGGTTCACATGGATCTGCTCCTTCTGCAACCACACAGCCGGCACACTGTCTTTCTGGGAGCTCTGGAGACTTCTGTCCCACTAGTGCCAGACTCCCATAACACACCCACGTCTCTGGTTGTAGATTGCCTGCCACCTCCCACCTGTACTCCAGAAAGTTGCCCATTGTTTGCCCAGCAACTCCAGATAAGCTTCAGTCTTGCTAAGCCAGCCAACTCCTCTGCTATCCAGTGGGCAAATCACATCTCTTCCAGGGAGGTCTGACTCCTTCCACGTGTGTCCTTGCTGGGAGAAATGGAAGCTGTCTCTTTCAGTTGAGAAGCTGAATCTCAATCCTAGGGTGCCACATGGAGTTCCCTTATGTCTTATAGTCCCTCTTCATTATAGTTAGTAATTCTTATCATCAGCTTCTCTCATTTAGCCTATTGTATGGCTCCTACTTCCTGATTGGACCCAGACTGCTACATCAAGATAGACCACATTCCAGGCCATAAAATCAACCTCAACAAATTTAAAGAATTAAAATCATACAAAGCATGTTCTCTGACGACAACGGAATCAAACTATGAATCAACAACAGAAAGATAACAGGACAGCTTCATATACTTGAAAACAAAATGGCACACAGTTCTAAATAATCCATGGGTCAAAGAGGAAGCCCCCAGGGTAATCAAAAAATACACTGACGTGTGAAAACAAAAATACATCTCAAAATTTGTGGCACATAGCTAAAGCAGTGCTGGGAGGGAAATTTATAGCACTAAATGTTTACATTAGAAAAGAGGAGCATTTCCCACAGTGTGATGATTTCACACTGCATGCCTGTATCAAAACATTTCATGTACCCCACAAATATATACACCTACTATGTACCCACAAAAATGTTTTAAAATAAACTGCTATTAATTGTTTAAAAAGAAAAAGAAAAAGAGGGAGGGTTTCAAATCAAGACTCTAGACTCCCACTTGACTGTAGTAAAAGGAAAGCATAATAAATCCAGAGCAAGCGGAAGAAAGGAGATAATAAAGGTAGGAGAAGAAATAGGTCAAATCAAAACAGAAAAATAATAGAGAAAATCAATGAAAGAAAGAGCTTTTTCTTGGACAAGATTAATAAAATTCACCTTTTTTTTTTGAGACAGAGTCTTGCTCTATTGCCCAGGCTAGAGTGAAGTGGCATGATCTTGGCTCACTGCAACCTCTGCCTCCTGGGTTCAAAACATTCTCCTGCCTCAGCCTCCCGAGTAGCTGGGATTACAGGTGTCTGCCATCATGCCCGGCTAATTTTTGTATTTTTAGTAGAGATAGGGTTTCATCATGTTGGCCAGGCTGGTCTCAAACTCCTGACCTCAACTGATCCTCCTGCCTCAGCTTGCAACATGCTGGGATTACAGGTGCGCACCACCACACCGGGCTAATTTTTGTATTTTTAGTAGAGACAGGATTTCACCACGTTGGCCAGGCTGGTTTCGAACTCCTGGCCTCAAGTGATCCACCCATCTCAGCCTCCCAAAGTGCTGGGATTATAGGCATGAGCCACTGTGCCCAGCCTAAAATTGGTCTTTAGAATCTCTACAAAAACTGACAAAGGACAAATGAGAGAAGACACAAACTATCAATGTCAGGAAGGAAAATGGGCTATCACTACAGACCCTGCAGACATTAAAATGACCTTAAGGGAATACCGTAAATAACTCAGCTCACATAAATTTGATGACTTAGATGAAGTGGACCAATTCCTCAAAAAGCGCAAACTACCATGATCCACCTAATGGGAAACAGATCATTTGAATCACATGAGAATCACACTATAACTATTTATCAGATTGAATTTGCAATTTTGAAGCTCCCTGCTAAGAAGTCTCCAGGCCCTGATGTGGAGAATTCTAACTTTAAAAGAAGAATTAACACAAATTCGACGCAACTTTATCCGGAAAACAGAAAAGGAAATAACACTTCCCAGTTAATTTTAAGCACCTAGGTATTACCCTGCGACCAAACTAGACAAAGACAGCATGAAAAGACAACTACAGACGAATATCCCTCATGAACACAGACTCAAAACCTCTCCCAAAATATCAGCAAATAGAATTCTGTGATAAGAAAAAAATTATACACCTTGAACAAGGATTCCAGGAATGCATTCAGTATAATCCACCATATTAACAGGGTAAAAAGAAAAATCACATAATTATATCAATTGATGTAGAAAACGCTTTTGACAAAATTCAACACCCATTCATAATAAAATCTCGTTGGAAAATAGAAATAGACGGAAATCTCTTAATGTGATTAAAAGCATCTACAAAACACCAAAGTTTACATTATACTTAACGGTGAAAAACTGAATGTTTTCTCCCTAAGATCAGGAAAAAGAAAGATGTCCACTCTCATCACTCTCATTCAGAAGATGACTGAAAGTTTTAGCCAGTAAAATAAAGCAAGAAAGAAATACAAAATACAGGGAAAGGAAAGACTTGCAAGCAGGAAATGAAAAAATAAAACTATCCCTACTTGCAGATGAGATTATTGTCTACATACAAATTCTCAAAGAATCTACAAAAAAAAAAAAAAAAAAACCTCCTCGCACTAATAAGTGAGTGCAGCAAGGACACAGGATACAAGATCAACACACAAAAGTCAATTACATTTCTATATACTAGCTATGAATGGTTGAAAACCAAAATTAAATGAAAAACGAAATATGTAGTTGTAAATCTAATAAAACATGTACAAGACTTACGCACTGAAAACTACAAAACACTGATGAACTAACTCAAATAAAGTCTAAATAATAAAGAGGCATATTGTGTTCATGCATTGGAAGATTCAACATAGTAAAAATGTCAATTCTCCCTAAATTGATATACAGGTTTAATGCAATTCCTATCAAAACCCTAGTAAGATATTTTTGTGGGCATAGACAAGATTATTCTAAAATTTATATAGAAAGGCAAAAGAACTGGAATAACTCAAACAAGTTTGAAGAAAGATAATAAAGTGTAAAGAATCAGTCTACCTAACTTGATAACTTATTATATAGCCAAAGTAATCAAGACTGTATTGTCAGAATAGACACAGACATGAGTAGAACAAAATAATTAAAAAAAAAAACATAAATCAATCTGCACAAATATACCCAACTGATTTTTTTTTCTTTTGAGATGGAGTCTTGCTCTGTCACCCAGGCTGGAGTGCAGTGGCACGATCTCAGCTCAGTGCAACCTCTGCCTCCTGGGTTCAAGCAATTCTCCTGCCTCAGCCAACTGATTTTTTGACAAAGGTTGAAAGCAGTTCTGTAGAGAGAGTGTAGATGTTTCAACAAATGATGCTGAAACAATTGACTTCCGCAGGCAAAAGAAAAAAGAAAAAAAAAACCTTGACCTAAACCTCACATCTTACTTATATAGAAATTAACTCAAAATATTTAAAACAGTCTTAAATGTGAAATATAAAACTGTAAAAGCTTAGGGGAAAAAAAGCACAGGAGAAAATCTTTAGGACTTCTAAAGTGGGAAAGAGTTCCTAGACTTGAAACAAAAAGTATGAGCCATAAAAGGAAAATATAATAAAATGGACCTCATCGAAGTTAATTTTTTTTTTTTTGCTCTGTGCAAACCCCTGCTTATAATAAGAGAATAAAAAACTAGCTACAGATCTGGAGAAAGTATTCACAAACAACATATCTGACAAGGGACTTATATTTAAAATCTATACAGAACTATGAAAATTTAACAGTTAAAAAAAAACCAACAACAATCCAATTAGAAAGTGTGCAAACACATGAAGCAAGTTATCACCAAAAACGGTATACAGCCAGCAGATAAGCACACGAAAAGGTGTTCAACATCTTTAGCCACCTGGGAAATATAAATTAAAGCCACAATAAAATATCACTTCACACCTGTCAGAATGGCTAGAATAAAAAATAGTGAAACAGCAAATGCTGGCGAGGATCTGGAAACACTGCCCACGTTGCCAGGATCCATTTCGGTGTGGATGTGAAGTGGCACAGCCATTCTGGAAAAAAGGGTGGCCATTTCTTAACAAATCAAACATGGGACTATTATTCAACCCAGCAACTGCACTCCTGGGCATTTATTTCACAATGAAAACTTACGTTCACACAAAAGCTTGTACATGAATGTTTCTAAAGCTTTATTTGTAATAGTCAAAAATTGGCATCAGCCCAGATGCCCTTCAACAATGAATATTTAAACCAACTGTGGTACATCCATATCACAGAACACTACTGAGCAATAAAAAGAAGCATACCGTTGACACATGAAACATTTGGATGAATCTCTAGAGAATTATGCTGAATGAAAAAAGTCAGTCCCCAAAGGCTACACACCACACTGAATGATTCCATTCATATAACATTCTTGAAATGACAAATTATAAAACTGGAGGACAGACTAGTGATTGCTTGGGGTTAAGGGGTTGGGGGGGAGAGAGAGAGGAGGAGAGCAGGAGGGATTTGGGGTGTCCACGACGCATCCTTGCGGTGACAGAAATGTTCTGTATCTTGACTATATCACTGTCAATATTTTGATTGTGATTTGCAAGATGTTGCTATTGGAGGAAACTGGGTAAAAAACACATGGGATCTCTCTGTATTTTTTTCTTACAACTGCAGGTGAATCTGCAATGTTCTCAAAACAAAGAGGCTAATTTATGAAAGTAATAAATACGTAAATAGAATCAAAACAGGAACAACCTTCCCAGTGTGTGAGTCAATGTTATTTACTGCAGCATCCATAGTGTATCTAGAACCGACCCTAGCCACGAGTACCACAGCCTACCCTTGGAGAAACACCGACTCTGCACAGACCATTTTCCTTTCATTTTCTTTATATCAACTCACTTTTTCTTATGTACCCTTATATATTCAAAGGAAAATTGACATCACTACCATTTACCATATCTGGAAAAGCTCCAACATTGCTATGAATACAAAGTGATCATAAAGAAACTACAAGGGGCTGGGTGTGGTAGCTCACGCCTGTAATCTCAGCACTTTGGGAGGCCGAGGCAGATAGATCACCTGAGGTCAAGCGTTAGAGACCAGCCTAGCCAAAATGGCGAAACCCCTTCTCTACTAAAAATACAAAAAAATTAGCCAGTTGTGGTGGTGAGCACCTATAATCCCAGCTACTCAGGAGGCTGAGGCAGAAGAATCGCTTTAACCCAGAAGGTAGAGGTTGTAGTGAGCTGATCATGCCACTGCACTCCAACCTGGGTGACAGAGCGAGATTACAGCTCCAAAAAAGAAAAAAAGAAGAAAAAAAAAGGAACTACAAGGAAAGCAATGAAAACATACAAAGATCTCTCACTTGGTAACAAGCCAGTACTGAGAACAAGCTTCCTACCTATGCCCCAAAGTCACTCTGCAGAAATCCCTGAGTGTGACCTTCCAGCATAACTCAGCCTTCCCTGCCATGCCACACCCAGACAGGCAGCATGGTGGGTAAAGTTCCCAGACCCTGGAGATAAGACCTGTCTTTGAACCTTTGCTCTGCTACCTATAAACCCTGTAACCTGGAATAAGTCACTTAAACTCTCCATGCTGTGTTTTCCTTATCTGAAAAGTGGGGCTCATGTTCATTTGTTCAAAGGATTGGATAAAACCATAGATGTGATTTGTCCAGACGTGGTAGACTCTCCCTGTGTCTGTTCCTGCCCCACTCCCCTAACCAAACAGCCTACCCTACCTCCCTTTTACAGTCTTGGTTCTCTGCTTACATGATGTTCATGGTCTCTACCAGGAGAAAAGTCTCTCTAGCTGGTAACTCCACGGCGCCTGATAGTGAGCCCATTTCCCCTAGGCAGGTGCTTTTGGGTAACCCTGCTCACATGGCACTCCTCCTTCAGGACCAACCCTCCCCAGCTTCCCAGCGGAAGCACAGCTAAGGAAGCAAATCTCACAGACCCCAACATTGCCACAGAACCTAAGTGTTCTCTCTGATTAATATTAGCCTATGGTCCTAAATACTTGCTCTTAGCTGGGGCAATAAAGCGAGGGTGGTTAAAAGGCATATTATTTTAAACTGGCCCTGACGTTGATTCTGTTTTTCCCAGTCAGCTAATGTTACCATTTTTCTAAGTTGCATCCTGTCCCTCGTTGCATTTTGGTAGATAACATCTCTGGTTTCATTCTTACAGAAAGATTTGCTACGGGAAAGGAGAAACACGTTACCTCTCAGAGCATGGCTTCCATGGCTGATCTGAGATAGCCTCCAGCTCTTTGCTATTTTGGATACTGGGAAGTCAGATATGTGTATAAATACATGGACTATTGGCCCTTGTAAATCTCATTGAAAAATGCTACCCTTGGGTGGCTGATCAGTAGAATTGCTATAAATAGTAGCTCTATCAAATACCTTGATATTTCAATTATATTATATACAAATAAAAAACTTGGCCTAATAAAACATACATATATATGTGTATATATATACCACACATACTTGGGCTAATATGTTCTAACCAATTCACACTTTCAGTTTAATTAGGTTCATCACTGGGAAAAAAAACAGTTTATAAAGCAATAAATTTTCTTATAAATGTTTTTCTGTTTAGTAGAACATGGATTGTGGACCTGGTTTCTGACAGCCATTTTGAATTGTAGTAAATATTTTGACAAAAGCAACAGCAGTATTAAGCACATGAGAGAATTACTTGAACTGGGTCACACACAGTTTTACGTAGCATTTTCCCTTTAACTGCGTGCTTGAAGATAAATATATCATTAAGAACATAGAGTAAAAGAGTTTTTTTTTAACTGACATTTTATATATGCTTATGTCATGGAGCATGTTACATACCTTTATAAACAGTGGAGTGTTTTCAGCCAATGATGCTCTGATTCAAACACAATGATCTGGTTGCCCAGAGAAGACACCCACAGGTCCAGAAAGGACCACTGGGCTGGCCCCACAGAGAAGAGATGAGCTCAAGAGCCCGTGCTCTCACTCTCTGTAGGGAGCTCGCTACTCTTTGCTGAGAGGGCATTTTAGTGTTCTCTCCCAGTTCCTACTCTGCAGGCAGCATCTCAGAGAACGGAGAGATGCTCCCTGAGCCTTAGAAAATAAAATAAAATAAAAGAGGGCAGCCTCCTGTGGCTTGGCCTTTATGTCAAGTCCACGTTTAACTGAGAAAAGCACCATTTCAAGCAACCTGGAAGAGACTCAAGCAGAGATAAAACTTGGTATGGCCCAGAAATAGGAAGTAAATTATTTCCTATACATTACCTAACGTCACGGTAGCAACCCTTAGAAAACAGGAAGAGATAGAAGCAGACACGAAAAAAAAAAAAAAAGAGCCACCGCTCAGCTCTTTAGTAATTGTTACTATTGACCTAACAACCTATAAAGAGCTTGCTGCCCAGAAATGTAGGTGTGCAAAAAAACATTGCATTAGAGATGAGGTTGTTCTGTGCAGGCAAGTTTAAGAATTAGAGCCTAGGTGGTCGTTTTCCTGGAGATGTGGATGGAACAAGTGTTTGCAGAACCTCCACATGTAACCCCAGAGGTTCCTGAGGGCCCAGAATGAGCATTTCCACTGCAATTGACTATGGTGGGAGGTCCCAGTGAAAGATTTCTGCGATGCTGTCTTTATGTAAAATGGTGATATTTTGTTCAACATGGATTTGTTTGAATTAGGTTTTATTTTTAAGATATGGCACTGATCACTCTATTCAACATAGTACTGAAAATCCTAGCCAGAGCAATCAGGCAAGAGAAAGAAATAAAAGGCATCCAAATAGGAAAAGAGGAAGTCAAGTTATCTCTCTTCACTGATGATATGATTCTATATCTAGAAAACCCTAAAGTTGCCACCAAAAGACTCCTAGACCCAATGAATGACTTCAGTAGTTTAAGGATACAAAAATCAATGTACAAAAATCAGTAGCATTTCTATACACCAGTAATGTTCAAGCCGAGAGCCAAATCAAGAACACAATCCCATTTACAATAGCAACACACACACACACACACACACACACACACACACACACCTAGGAATACATCTAACCAAGGAGGTGAAAGATCTCTACAAGGAGAACTACAAAATACTACTGAAAGAAAACAAACAAATGATAAAACACTCCATGCTCATGGATTATAAGACTCAATATCATTAAAATGTCCATACTGCTCAAAGCAATTCAACACTATTCCTATCAAATTACCAATGTCATTTTTCACAGAATTAGAAAAAAACTATTCCAGAATTCATATGGAACCAAAAAGGAGCCCGAATAGCCAAAGCAATCCTAAGCAAAAATAACAAAGCCAGAGGCATCACATTATCTGACTTCAAACTATACTACAAGGCCACAATAACCAACACAGCATGGTATTGGTATAAAAATAGACACACAGACCAATGGAACAGAATAGAGAACCCAGAAATAAAGCTGCACACCTAAAACCAACTGATTTTCAACAAAGTCAACAAAAATAAACAGTGAAAGAAAGGACCCCCTATTCAATAAATGGTGCTGGGGAAACTAGCTAACCATATGCAGAAGAATGTTGAATAGAGTGATTAGTGCCACTCTAATTCCAGAATGAAACTGGACTCTTACCTCTCAATATATACAAAAATTAACCCAAAATGAATTAAATACTTAAATGTAAGACTTCAAACTATAAAAATCCTACAAGAAAACCAAGGAAATACTCTTCTGAATGTCAGCCTAGACAAAGAATTTAAGACTAAGTCCTCAAAAGCAAATGCAACAAAAATAAATATTGACAACTGGTACCTAATTAAACCAAAGTGTTTCTATGTAGCAAAAGAAATAATCAACAATGTAAACAGACAACCTATGGAATGGGAGAAACGATTTGCAAACTATGCAGCCAACAGAGGTCTAATATTCAGAATCTATAAGGAACTTAAACAAACAACAACAAAACCATTAAAAAGTGAGCAAAGGTCATGAAGAGACACTTCTCAAAAGAAGACATGCAAGCAGCCAACAAGCATATTTTAAAAATGCTCATCATCTCTGATTATCAGAGAAATGCAAATCAAAACCACAATGAGATACCATCTCACAGCAGTCAGAATGGCTATGACTAAAAAGTCAAAAAATAACAGATGTTGGTGAGGTTGCAGAAAAAAAAGGGAACACTCACACATTGTTGGTGGGAATGTAAATTAGTTCAACCCCTGTGGAAAACAGTTTGGATATTTCTTAAAGGACTAAAAGTAGAACTACCATTCGACCCAGCAATCTCATTACTGGGTATCTACCCAAAGGAAGATAAATCATTCTACCAAAAAGACACCTGCACTCGTATGTTTATCACAGCACTATTCACAAATAGCAAAGGCATGGAATCAACCTGGGTGCCTGTCAACGGTAGACTGGATGAAGAAAAAGTGGCATATATACACCACGGAATATACAAAGCCATAAAAATAATAAAATCATGTATCCATGCAGCAACATGTAATCCCATGCCTGTAATCCCAGCACTTTGGGAGGCCAAGGCAGGCGGATCACTTGAGGCCAGGAGTTTGAGACTAGCCTGGCCAACATGGTGAAACCCCATTTCTACTAAAAATACAAAAAATTAGCCGGGTGTGGTGGTGCACACCTGTAGTCCCAGGTACTCAGGAGGCTGAGGCAGGATAATAGCTTGAACCCAGGAGCCAGAGGTTGCAGCAAGCTGAGATCATGCCACTGCACTCCAGCCCGGACTACAGAGCGGGACTCCATCTCAAAAAAAAACAAAAAAAAACAAAGACAGTGAGAGTGACTGTAATGTATGGGGTTTCTTTGGGGGTGTTGAAAATGTTCTGGAATTAGATCACAGTGATGGTTGCACAACCTTGTGAATATACTAGAAGCCACTGAATCCGACACTTTAAAAGGGTGAATTGCATGGTATGTGAGTTATATCAATTCAATATAACAAATAAATCCATCACTCCCATTCTAATTTTTCTAAGCACCATGGTACAGATAGACTCTCCAGAGCATGCAACCAATAACCAATGAACTAAGCATGTGGCAACAGTCACCAAAGAAAAAGAAAAATCATTTCCAAAGAATTGTTAACTTGCTTTCTCAGGCCCTTTTTTCTGAAGGAAACAAACAAACACAAAGATATCTCACTCACTTGCCAAGAGCAAGCCTCATTCGGAAAACTGCAGTCTGCATTGACTATTCTTTCAAACAAAACTACCTCATGCAGCTAGAAAAAAAAAAAAAAAGCAGCAAAACCAGGAGGAGACATGAGAAATCCTGTGTGTCCGAGGGAGACTCACGGGTAGAAAGAATAACTCTCTCATTGGCCATGCCCCTCTGGTCTTGCACCATCAGACACACATGCCAGTCCAGAAGCTGTGGTCAGGAGGAGCAGGGACACCCTTCACCTTTGCAGTTCAGTCCCTGGGCCCTTCTCCAGACCCCAAATGTGCAGTCACGTGGCAGGAAGCCCCAGGGAGAGGGGCTGGAGCAGCGCTCTGAGTGGAGCCACCTGGTACACTCAGGGCTAAGTGTGTGGCTGGGTCTCAGCAGGAAACTCGGCCTTGGGGAGCCAACGCAGCCTCACAAGCAAGCTGGGGATGAAGGAGCACCTCTGGGGCCTCAGAGGAATTCGATCAAGAGCGTCCATGAGACAAGCCCCCTGGGCTCCTGCACGGCCCCTCGCCACATCCTTCCTCCCCCCACCATCATGATCCTCTTCTGGGAATTGAACTCATGGCCCCAAGAGTATGTGTCAAATAAATGAATGGGAATAGATGGATATTTCTTGTGTCTATTTTAACCCTCTTATATATACCAAGGAACACAATTTGTGAAGACCCAAGTCCTCCCAAGGTCAGCCATGATGGGTGGTCCTCTCTCCTCTTCTGGAGTCTCCCCAGGGCTGGGCACCTGACAGCCTGTCTTTCGTTCCTGTGGATCCGTCCATTCTCTGGTCTGTGGAGCTTGGTGTCGTGAGCGACTGTAGGAATGTTCGTCTCTGCCTTGGCTGTGCCTGGCCTCACAATGGAACCCAGCATCCAGCACAGGGCCTGGCACAGAGCCAGCCCTCAGTCCACACCTGCTGAATGACAGAGAACTGCGACTCCCTCACTTCCCTGAACTTGCTGGAGAGACCACAGACTTACGCACCAGGTGGAAGCTGATGCCAAAGGCTCCAAAGCACAGTCTATATTCCAATGCAGGTGCTGTCATGCCTTGTCCTGTGGGGGAGGCAGCGGAACCCAGGGCTCCTCTCTGGGGCTCAGCAATGCCCTGCCTCGGGGAGGCACGCACTCCGCTTTCCACTGAAGCTGGTTCCCTCTTGGGGTTTGGTTCCCCTAACATCCACCGCATGCTCTCTCCATTGTCAGAAGAGGTTGATCATCACCAGCCCTGTGCGAGGGAACAGGAAGCTGAACCTGAGGAGCCCCCCTCAGGAAGTAACACTCCTCAGATGTGCGACATTGTGCTGAGGGCCACCGCTCTCATCTCCGTGCATATAGGAAAGTACCTCCCCCTGGAGTGTCATTGGATGAACACCCCATGCAATTATCTGCTTGCACATCCTCAGGGCCACCTCAGCGATGTTTTTATTTAAGGCATGATGCATCCACCCCGTTTTTGATTATCCATGGTAATGGGGGTCAAGGATCAGCTGAATAATTGAAAAGGAAACTTTATTCCCACTGAGAGTTCCTCTCCTCTCCACCTCCTTCCTCCCTTCTGCAGCATCCAAACAGGGAGAGGGGCGCTGTTGGGCCATGGAAGGGGTACTGGGTTGCTAGTCCTTATCTCAGCCCCACCAGGACTTTGTTAGGGATTTGCTTGGTGTTAAGCAAGCCTGAGCTTCTTGGTGGGTCTGTGAAGTAAAGGGCTGTACCACAAGTCATCTGTATTTATTTTCATAACACACCTCTTCAAATTGACTTGCTTTTATCATTTAATTTGTCCCAAGCTATAATAATTGATGTGATATTTTTTGTAATATTCATTAAAATAACTCCATAATTATGGCACTTGAAAAAAGTTATATGAAAAATCACCACCCACCCTGGCTTGGATCCTGGAACAGAAAGAGACATCAGTTGACAGACTGGTGACGTGCACATAAAGTCTGGAGTTTACTTCATAGGAATGTACCCACCTGCGTTTCTTAGTCATGACAAATGCCCCGTGCGCATGTAAGATGCTGCGGGGTGGGGGTTCACTGGCTGAAGGGATGTGGGAATTTCTGTGCTAACTGTGCAGCTTTTCTGTACATCTCAAACGATTCCAAAATAAAAAGTTTATTAAAAAGAAAAAGTCCCTCCTAATGTCAAATAAATGAGGTAAAAAGTTAAAAACCAAACAAAAGTGTCCCCAGGGGGTGCATACCAGCCTTTGGGAAATGGGCTGACTGCAGGTCTGAATGGTCTGATACTTTGAACAAAAGGGATGGCCTGGGTTTGGGTTGATCTCTCCAGCCCAAACTCCTCCAGGGAAGGCTAAGTGAGAAAGAGAAAACAGACAATCCACGTCACCATCACCTGTGGTTCAGTGGGCACAGAGTGGGCAGAACTTTGCCAAGACAATGTCCTCCTGACCCACAAACAAGTTCCCTGCATCCTGTCCTCCCCTCACCTCTGCTGACCTGTTGCCTCGTCCCCTCTCCCTGTGCAGCACAGACTGTTTGGAAATAAATGCCCCCTGGACCCTTTCTGGAAATGCTCCCGTCACATTGACGGAGATGGCTCCATCAAGCTGGCTTCCTGCGCACGCCAGGCTGTGACTGTTGGGTCCTGGGGGAAAGGCACACAACCTCTCAGTGCCCAATGCTCCCCCGGAGTAATCGCCTTCTGCAGCTCCCTGTCGCCACGGGCCAGTCTCACTGCATCACAGATAATGAAAGCGCCTGAGGAACAGAAGCAAAGCCAGAGGAGAGCAGGGTGTGGTACATTCCTGCTTAGGAAGATGTGATGTGGCTCCTGAGCACTTGGCTACCGACTTTTAATCATAGAGTGAGAAAATGAAATCATTTCCAGCACCTGAAGTGATTTCTTTGGTGTCACCCACTGTTTTTGTAGATTAATTTTTCAGGACCAGAAAGAAAAAATGTTTATATTTCAGCTACAACAAGAAAAGCTGGTTCCCCCTCCTTGCAGCCCCAGAAGTTTCTTATGTAAGGAGTTTGCTTTCTTATTTGTTTTTTTAAAGGGAAGAGTTTACTGGCCCAGATGGGGAACAAAATGGCAGGGCTGGGACCCTGCCACACCCATCACTTGGGGGGCTGGCTAATCAGTGTCTGTTGGATGTATTTACAAAAACAATATGTTTAAACATTTCAATAAACAGATTTAAACACAGATTTGTATATTAGCCTCTGCCAACTCTTCTCCAAGCCAAGAATCCTTTGTCCTTATGAAACCAAATGATGACTGTTCCTTGAATCCAAGTCCTGGTCTGAGAGACCCTGGCCCTTCCCAGGGTTTGGTTTTCTCTTCCTTTTGGTGGCCTATGACCTTTCACTCTGGTTTTATTTCTCACTGTCTATCCTCTGAGTATGTTCTCACTGTAAGTCCCCTCAAATCCTTTTTGGAAGGTGGCAGGGCTCTCAAATGATAAGCCACCCAATTCGCCTCCCAAGCCAGAGTTCAGAATCCCATCCACAGCCGGAGGAAAGAGTGAGCCTAGCCTCATTTCCCTCTTCCCTTAGCACACGGATCCGCCCCCACACTTTCAGTAGGACTTGTTTTCATTTTAGTTTTTAATTTTGTTTTCTTCTTTCTCGCTCATTTGTGGGAGGTAAAAATTAAAACAATTGAACTCACAGAGATAAGAGGGTAGGGGAGTGGGCGGGAAAGTGGGGATGGTTAATGGGTACAAAACTATAGTTAGAATGAATAAGCTAGAATTTGATAGCACAACAGGATGACTACAGTCAACAATAATTTATAGCACATTTAAAAATTAAAAGAGTATAATCAGAATGTTTATAACACAAAGAGATGATAAATGCTTGAGGTGATGGATGCACCATTTACCCTGATGTGGTTATTAAACACTGCATGCCTGTATCCAAATATCCCACGTATCCCATAAATATATACACCTACCATGTGCCCATAAAAAGTAAAAAATTAAAATAAAATTTTAAAGAATGGTTTTAAAGTTCTTTCTTCTTTTTAAAAAAATATTTAGTTGAGATGTTTATTCCACCTTTTAAGAATTCTGCCTTTGCAACAACACAGAGGGGCCCAGAGGACGTTATTCTCAGTGAAATAAGCCAGGCAGAGAAAGAAAAATACTATCTGATGTCACTTCTATGTGGAATCTAAAACAGTCAAACTTATAGAAGCGGAGAGTCCAGCGGTGATCACCAGGGAGTAGGGGAGGAGAAATGGGGAAGGTGAGGGTCAAAGGCTACAAAGTTTCAGTTATGCGAGATGGCTAAGTTCTGGAGGCCTAGTACACAGCAGAGTGTCCGTTTTGCCTATTTAACATTTTCTTTCTTTTCTATTATTTATTTATTTATTTATTTTTGAGACAGAGTCTCACCCTGTCGCCCAGGCTGGAGTGCAGTGGTGCAATCTCGGCTTACTGCAACCTCCACCTCCTGGGTTCAAGCCATTCTCCTGCCTCAGCCTCCCGAGTAGCTGGGTTTACAGGCTCCCACCACCAAGCCTGGCTAATTTTTTCTATTTTAGTAGAGACAAGGTTTCACCACGTTGGCCAGGCTGGTCTCAGACTCCTGACCTCAGGTGATCCGCTCGCCTCAGCCTCCCTGGGATTACAGGCGGGAGCCATTGCAGTCAGCCCACGTACTTAAAATTTTCTAAGACAGTAGATCATAGGTTATGTTTTCTGGCCACAGATAATAATAAAGGAGGCGAGAGGAAACTTTGGGAGGTGAATATGTCTACGGCCTTAATGGTGCTGATGGTCTCACAGGTGCATACTTATCCCTAAAGTCATACAGTGTATGTTAAATACATACAGCTTTTTACGGGACTTGCTTCTAAGCGCTGGGAATTTCAGTCTTCGGTTGAGCATGAGGGGGAGCACACAACTCATCATGTACCCTTTAGGTGGACCCTACTTCTTCCTCTTTAGTCTTCGGTTGAGCATGAGGGGGAGCACACAACTCATCATGTACCTTTGGGTGGACCCTACTCCTTCCTCTCTAGGAGGGGCTTTCTGGCACGTGTCTCAAGGCCAGACTCTGAAGATGAAGTCTTCCCAGAGGAGGAGAATTGTTCCTTTCACTCAGGGTCTCCAACCCATCTCTTACCATTCCCAAAGGAGGGGAGACTTTTGGAATTTTAGAGCCAACAGTGCTTCAGGGATTATCTAATGCAGCCACATCACAATACGGTGCCCCTTCTCTCCTTCCTACACTCAGGGTAGACAGTGCGGCCTGGCCCCAGCACTCCTCCCTGCTGCGCTGGGCAGCGGAAGCCAGCTTTACCTGGACTTCCAAGGCAATCATTCCCAGTAAGATTTAGCACCTGAGCTAAAACCAATTTGCTACCCCCTCATTCTAAAGATCACAGAGCAAGAAAAGTTGACCAGCTAATGAGCAAGATGGGAACAAACCCACCTCTCACCAGAGCCCAGCCAGTCACCCAAAACACCAAATCCCAGCTGCTCCCATTCACATCAGGGTGCTCTAGGCATGTATGTGCAGACAGAGACACAGCTGCACACAGACAAAAATATTAGTGCATTCATGTGCCCAGCCTTGCCTGCTTTCCTGCCTGCTAACAAGTGTTCTGACTTTGTCCAATCTCTTCCTTCCCTTCCTCCTACTTCTGAGAGGTTTTGCCTTTACTAGACTGTTCTATAGTCTTTTGTATGATGTATAATCAAGATAACTGGGAAACAATGACAAAAGCCAAACAGGCAGATTGTAATGAAAAAAAAGCTATGAAAGAGGAAGACATTATCCCTCCCAGGTGTCAGGGAAACTGTATTCAAGTTACTTGTCCAGCAAATACTGACTGACTCCCCAGCACATCCCAAGTTTCATTCACGGCTGTAAGATCAGGGGAGAATAAGAAAGCGGCCCCCTTGCCGTCATGGGACTGACATTTCAGTGTGAGAGACGGGTATAAATAGGAAAATATGTACATGAGTGAAGTGATTTTAGAGAAAATCACAATGAAGGAAAAGGAATAGAGTGGTATGATGAGTCACAGGGGAGGGGTAGGAGGCCGTCTATGAAGACAGACCTGGGAGATAAGAAAGATTCAGCCCCAGGCACATCTGAGGGCAAAGGGCAAAAGACGGTGCGGTGAGTGCCAAGGCGCTAAATGGGCACTCTTCCCTGCAATGCAGAAACCAGCAGAAGGCTCATGAGTTGTCAGGGTCCCCACAAAGTGGGCAGAGCGAGGAGAGAAGCCAGGCAGCATGCCGGGGACAGATGACATAGAGCTTAGGCCACAGGAGAAGTTTTGTTCCAAGTGGCATAGGACTTGTCTCCGAGAGAAAGTCATTAAGAGAAGCAGCAAGGGCAATGCAAAAGGAGGAACTCCTCATGGAGTCTGAAGAAGAGGGACACTGGAGTTGCTGCAGGATGGGAGGAAAGTGGAAGGAAAAGGAGGTACCAATCGCAGGGGATTGGGGTAGAGACCGCTTCGGCTTCACAGGGTTCGAGCAGAGAGCTTGAGTTCTCATGGTGCTTTCTGCTCACTGCTCTGGGACCGCACCACCTGGGTCCTGTCCCAACACGGTTATGTGTACCTTCTACGTGGGTTACTAACACTTGTGAATGAGCATGTGTGCATTCTTGGAGAAGCACTTAGTCTCTGCATGTATGTCTTTCCCCAATCCTACATGGGAAAACCAAATCTGGCTCTCCCAACCCACTGCAAGAAGTGATCTCCCCACTGCCAAACCTCAGCAGCAGGGTCCCTGTGACACTTTTAGGTGAATCTTGGCTCGTCTCACATTGTAGTGGATTTAGCTTAGCTCTCTGGACTCTAAGATCTTCAAAAGTGAGAGCTGCACTTTTTTTATGACTAGCTCTTTCTAGCATCCTCTGTGAAGCATGACCAACCCACCAGGCTGCAGGAGTCTCCACCACCTCTAGGGTCCTGTGCCACCATAGTCACTCCTCACCACCTGAACAGGACAATGCCCTGTAATGACTGGTTTATACGTCAGGCTTTCTCATCAGACCATGTGCTCCTTGAAGGAGTAGATGAAAATTTCTCTTTCTTAGCCCAGCTCCAATTAGGTACTTGGTAAGCAATTGTCCAATGGAATCTCTCAGCTATTTTGGGAGAGCAAAAATTGCTTGTGGCTTTTTCAAAGAGTTTGCTACAGTACAAAGTAGCAGGACAGTAATTCCCTCTCCAAGACTATGCTGGCCAAAGCCTCCTCCTGCCCTGTCCTTGACCTCCTGGAGTTCAGCTTGATGGGGTCACCAGCCCCCAACCACATTTGCCCTTCATAGGGTGTGCTGGTGAGCCCCCGGAACCATTGAACATGTCCGTCCAGCCTTCCAATCAGCTCTTGGCAGCGGGGCACCCAGGCTGCCAGGGCAGCTTCCAGCACGAATAAGCGCTTGGCCCTGTGTGCCTTGGCACTCACTCCCTCAATGAGGCAATCCACTGCTCCTGCCAAGCCTTCCGCTCCCAGGGGGAGGCTGTCCCAGGAAGATGCGCCCAGCCCAGGGAGGAGGGACAAACAGAAATCGGGCCCTGACCTTCTCAAAAGTCAGGCAAGGGGTCTGGAGCAGGCTTAAGATCTTGTTGACTCCTTCCTGTTCTCTCCGGGTCCAGTTCCACAGGATTTGGCTCTGTTGGGAAGAACACAGAGCATGCGGGCTGGGGGCCAATGCACGTGTGCTCGGCAGCAAGGGTGGTGGGAAAATCAGGTGGGTGCTGAGCTCAGGAACAGGGACTGTATGAGACACTGCTCAGGTGGGAAAGAGTGAGTTGTTGAGTCTGTTGGACTGAGGATGGTGGCGATGGCAAAGTGGGATTTTGGTCAAGTTGTACAGTCCAGAGCTGGCCAAAGTCCAGTTTCCTCCCTTCACCTTCACCCCTGCTACATGCAAAGCCTTCTCCACCACCAGCAGAGGGATCTTTTTTAAACACAGAAGTCCACCCACACATCCCCACTCTAGCTAAAACCTTGTAGTAGCCTCGTCACTCTTGGAACAAAGTAATGTCCTCCACCTAGCAGGGCCCATGTAGGCCAGCCTCTGCCCACTTCCTCAGCCACTTCCCAAGCCCCACTTCTGGTTGCCTGCAGCACAGCCACATACTGGCCTTTTGGCTCCTTGGATGCTGGCCCATGTCAGGGGCCCCAAGGGAGCTGTACTCAAGGCCTGAAGTGCTCTTTCCATTCCCTACTGCCTCCTACTCAAGCTTCACTTATGCCCTCAGGGAAGCCTCGGGCACCTGCTCCCTGAGCAGCTCAGATTCCCCAGAGTTCATCACAGCTGCAATTAAAAAATTAAATGTATCATTACTTGCTTAACGTTGCAATCCCCAAAAGAGCAGGGACTTTGTACCCTATTCGCCAGCTCCAAGCCCACTGCCCCGGCATGCACGGATGGATGCGTGCACCCTCCAATCAAACCAAAGGCCCCCAGGCTCTCCTCCACACTTTGCTTATGCTGTTCCTCAGCCAGGAATTCCCTTCCTTCTCTTGATCCACAAACCCAAAATCCACCTGTCCACCTACTCGCTGCCTCCTCAACCAAGGCCTCTGGAAACCCCCAACCCCCTGTAAGTGGTGATCTCCCACTCCCGAACCTCAGCAGCAGAGTCCCTGTGACACTTTTAGGTGAATTTATGCCTGTCTTACATTGTAGTGGATTTAGCTTAGCTCTCTGGACTCCTAAGATCTTCAAAAGTGAGCGCTGTACTTTTTTTCTCATTACTAGCTCTTTCTAGCACCTAAGCTGGTACCTGGCAAACAGCAATGACTAATAACTATTATGATTGATCAGGCAACAGACTAGTGAAACCTCCAAGCTGGGGTGTGAGGGAGGTGCTGTCATTACAAATATTACTTAACAGATGAGGAAAGGAGGTTGATAGTGGTGAGGCAGCTCGCCCCAAACCACTCAGCCAGAGACTGGCAAAGACAACCTGTGGCTGAGGCTATATGGCCCCCACACCAGCATGTTCAACCATTCAATCAAGCCCTGCCTTTGGTGTACACCTTCCCCTTGCAGCATCGCTAGACAGAGGGGCTGGGCAGCCACCTCCTATGGGTCTCCCGAAGGTTCAGCGTTCCCTCGTGGAGAACATCTCCAATACATGGGGCTCAGCCGGCACCAGTATTTGAGGCAAACCTACTAACTCTAAGAGCGCAAATACAAAACAATCTTAGCTAAAACTACTACAAATCTCCATAAAGGACTTTTCAAAACAGTGCTCTCTTCAGAAAGTCCACGCCCAGGAGCTGGTGTTGAAAGCCATCCCTCATTCACCTGGCAGCGATTCACCTGACCGGCCTGCAGAACTCAGGTGGAATCTTGGCTCGGTATCTCACCAGTTGTGGCCAAGTTATTTTACCTTTCTAAGCCTCGAGGTTTTCATCTGTCAAGTCAGGGCAACAAGAGCCCCAGGCACATGGGAGAATTAAGCACAAGATGCTAGCACAGGGTCGGGTGTATCATAAACACCTGGTCAACGCTCACAGTAGCATCACTGTGGTTAGGATTATTCTCCTCAAAGGTCTGCAGTCCTGTGGCATCTCAGCAGGAGGGTGCCCAGGGAAAGGGCCATTTCCTTCTGTCCAGAGATGGGTGCTGGAGCCTCAGGAAGGGTTATCCCAGGAGACAGAAGCCATGTGGCTTGCTGGGAATACACAGATCAGGGTGGCAGGTCATGCACACATCAACACACCCCCTCCAGCCTTAGGCATCCACCTCCATGCTAGCCCCCTCGCATCTTCATCCACACCAGGAAAGTAAGTGTGTGCATGTGTCCCAGCCCACATGTACCGGGAACATGGGCCTCTCCAGAGACCCAGCCGCTATCAGCCCGGTACCCCTGCACTATCGGAAACCCATGGACGGCTGGAGGCTGTGCTCATGGGTCTCCCATCTGGGCAGGCGGGCCAAGTGTATTTGTATATAATTTGCATGGTTGACACAGCCGTTCCCATCTCTGCAAGGAGAACTTCCAAGCTAACCTGTTATTACTGCTCCTCTGAAGCTGGCACGGCCCGCCCGCCCACAGCCAGCGAGTACTATGCAGAGAGACAGGCCAGGAGCTGACTGAGCGTTCGGGTGCGCCACACCAACCTCCCTGAGCCTCTGTTTCTCTCCTGGACAACAAATCACTACACACCTCCGTTGGGCAGACTCAAGGAGAGCTCCTTGCCCACAAAATGACAGCGTGTGCTGGCGCGGAGTACTGGCCACAGCATAGTGGGCTGTTTGTTATTCTCAGAAGGTCAGGAATTAATCTGGATGGAGAAGTTTGCCTCAACGTTCCTCCCAGATGATGGTTCTGAGTCTCATACGGTGGGTCCCCTATGCTATGGTTACTATTCATAGATGATCTATAAAAATACAGGATTGCCTACTTAAATTTGAATTTCGAAGAAATAATAAATATTTTAGTTTAAGTATATCCTGTGCAGGCTTTGGGACACGCTTATACTAACAAAGTATTCATTGTTCACCTGAAATTCCCATTTTAACTGGGCATCCTGTATTTTATCTGACAACCCTACCTGTGACCCGAGGTCCACTGGTTTCCATTACGACTTATATCCTGTTTTCTCACAGTTTTTACCTAAACTCAAAGGAACACGGTCTCTGTTTCCTAAATGTGCAGCTTCCCAATCTAGGATAGGGAGGGCAGAGGTTGCATGTGAGGAAAATTGAGACTTGCTGAGAGGAGAGAGGGAGGGAAGGAGAGAGAGAGAACATGTGTTTCCTAATTGAGGTAAAAATCTAAAATCTGTTCCTCTTTGGTTTCTGTGAGGAGCCTGGTGGTTACCATTGTGAACGTGAGGCCACGTTTCCTGTGGCAAAGGGTATGTGTGTTTTTATCAACAGAGCCCGTTTCTAGGGCTCCTCTCAGGATGTGAGGCCCGTAGCAGGTCACAGAGGAAAAGGCGGGCCATGGCGGGGCAAAGGGGGCTGGCGCTGGCGTTGGATGGGGGTCCAGCCATTGAGGCTCCCTGGAGAGCCTTAGCCCTGTGTGGGACGACAGCCCCCCTCAGGGCCTCGGCTCAGATTTCCCTGTGCACACCGGCCAGCTGGAACATTCCACAGAAAAAGGCAGTGGAGACTGGGCCTTGCCGGATTCCCTGGGGCCCTCAGGGCAAGTTCCAGCCCCGCCATCCACACAGTGTCAACATCACAGGGACAAGGCTCAGGCATGAAACATGTGTTGGGGGCCCTGTGGATGGTGTCTGCTCTCCATACAGGGGCTCTGCAGCCTCTCTCTCCGACAGGCCAAGCCCAGGCTTTTGGCGCTCACTCAGGAGGGAACCCTTTTCCTTCACGATTTTTTTTGGAGGAGGGAGATCTTATTTTATAGTAAGATCAATAGATATATTATGGAGTATAAGGTTAAAGTTTTATATCTTTAAGATACAATGCAAAAAGTAAAATGAAATGTATAAGACTCCGTTTCTTCCTCCATAAAATGGTATTGGGGAAGGCGCCAACCACATGGGGCCATTACAGAGATTAGACAAAGAGACATAAGCAAAGCCCTTCTTTGGCACAGCCCCAGGCCACAGTCACATCTTCTTTAATTGGAAGTTTGCCATTGAGACTGGGCCCAAGGATTAACATCCCTTCATCTCGTCTGGCTTATCAGACCTCCACACACAGAAAGAAATTGCAAAGCAGCAAAGGGAGTCTAGGTTTTGAGCACCAGAGGAAGCTGGTTAATCTTCAGTTGATTTTCTGATGGCACCTCTGGTCTGATCTCAAACAGAGGATGGGGTCTGAGAGCCCTTACCTTGTCTGACCCATCAAGATGGGCACCCATCCTATTCATCTGTGGCCACAGACACGGCCAGCCTGGAAGGGATGGAGACCCTCGTTACCAATGGAGACACCATCCCCTGGCTCTGCCCCTCACAGCCTCTGGCCAGGGCTGAACTCGAGTGCCCGCAGCCCAGAACGCTGCAACTGCACCTGCTCTCCAAGGCACAAGATGCTCTGGGGAAGGATGTGGTAAGCTGTGTCCAAGGTGCAGGGGTGTTGTGGTCAGGAGGGCAGAACTCACACCAGGTATGTGGGTCTGAGGTAGGAGGCTGCAGGACCTCTGAATCTCCTGGCTGGGTGACAGGATGGAATTGAGCCTCAAGACATGAGACCCAGAGTCAGCACCCTGCTTGCTCTCACGCTCTGTTCTTTTTTTTTTTTTTTTTTTTTTTTTTTTTTTTTTTTTTTTTTTTTGAGACGGAGTTTCGCTCTGTCGCCCAGGCTGGAGTGCAGTGGCGCGATCTCGACTCACTGCAAGCTCCACCTCCCGGGTTCACGCCATTCTCCTGCCTCAGCCTCCCGTGTAGCTGGGACTACAGGCGCGCGCCACCATGCCCGGCTAATTTTTGTATTTTTAGTAGAGACGGGGTTTCACCGTGTTAGCCAGGATGGTCTCGATCTCCTGACCTCGTGATCTGCCCGTCTCGGCCTCCCAAAGTGCTGGGATTACAGGCGTGAGCCACCGCGCCCGGCCGCTCTGTTCTAACCCATCTTCAGAACATCAGAAATGTAGCAGTGGTGATGCTTCCCAAGGACTGAACAGGGACTTTGCCACTGGTCCTCAGAGCTCATGTGCACCCCTTGGATATCCCCCCTCAACAGAGAGGCCAGCCCCATTCCATCATGGAAACCCTCCCAGCCTACTCTGATGAGATTGTCCGTGTCCCTGTCTTGGATGGGCCGACCACAAATGACTTAGGAACTAAACGAAGACTATGCATTGGCCTTGACCAACGGCACTTAACAATTAGCGTCAATGGCCCCATCAGGCTCTAGGTTAGTAGGAGAACATTCTCAAGCATTTCAGAGAGTATAAGGGACGTCTCTTCTAATTAGGGTCCATGATGTAGTCATACTTTCTTATTGATCTAATAATTGGTGCAAATGTACAAAAACAGCTGTCCCAACAGTGTGCTGCCACGTGGCCTTGGGTTTTTCATTCTGGCCTGTAATCCCCCCTTTTACCACCTCAGAAAGCAAGGCTTCATGCGTACAATCATGCCTGCATTTCAGCTGCTCTTCAGATTTACAGCCTCGCCTCTGAAATATGAACAGGTTTTTTGGAGATAATTAGTCTCACACACAACTTCAGCCAACATCTGATCAACCCCAGTCATATCATTAGTTCTTGCTAACATATTACACTTTGCCTAAACTATATTGGAAGATGTTCTCCAGTTATGATATCTGATTAGTCAAAATCAGCCTTGTTTGGAGATGAGGGGGGCCTCATTCTTCCTTGTGGTAGGAGAGCTGCCCTCAAAGCCTTTTCTTTAAATTCTAAGCCATGATCCAACATCTTTGCCTTTTCCCAATTTCAGCTTGTACAGCCTTTCCTTTTAAAAAACAAAGTATAACAATTGCAATTCTCCCTTGGCCACTGGCCAGACATCCAAGGGCCAGAGTGAGGAGATTAACGGATACACCCAGAGGGGACAAGGTCAGAGAGCAGAACATTCTGGACACATGTTTGTGTCAGAGACCAGACCCCAAAGGACTGGAGAGCTCCCATTAAGAAGGGCTGGTACCTCCAGCTAGAGTGACACGCGAGGGCCCTTCAGAGCCTGTGCATGGAACATGCCTGTGACATTAATTAATGCCAGGCAAAATGTAACAGCAGATCTTGGAAACTAAAAATAGATCTTTACTAACTGATTCATCCCCTGACTGCACAGAATTTGGAGCTTTTTGTCTGCTTCTCTTCTACATGTACATTACATTACGGCCTCTTTTCCCCCTTTTCTCCATCTTTGTTGTTCTTCCTTTTTCCTCTCCTTCTTGGTGAAAGGTCTAAACCTTCCAGAAGCGATGTCCCCACTCAGCTCCCCTCCGACCCAGAGACATGCTCGATAAGCAAGGAGATTACTCCTTCTCCTGCTCCCATGGTTGTCAGCCATGTAATCTGCACTTAGTATTTTCCATGCCGAGGTCCCTGCCTGTTGCATTCCACACAGAACTCTGCAGCTTCATTTCCTATTAGAGTCCCTTCTATTTTAGACTTTGTTGATTTCTACTAGGAAGGAAGCCTATTTTAAAAAAATTAGCTGGACAGCTGGGTCTGATTGCTTTTGGTTACTGGGCTTGGGGCCACCAGGGAAACAGGCTTCCCAAAGCCCCTTGGATGGAGGACCATTTCATAGGGCCCCAAAAGTGTGAGTCACTACTCACTCTAGAGAGGAAGGGCCAGCAGCCCCGGTTGGAAATCAACAGGTCAAGTCAAAGGCAGGACGGCACCTTCATCCACATCTGAGGTTTACAAGGCTGTGCTGAAAGGTGAGGAGGAGGGGCTAGAAGCCCCTTGGTTCAAGAGATCTCAAGGGGACCTGAGTGGGGCTCGTGTCAGAGATAACTGCGTGTGCTTGGAAGGAATCATCCATCATGCTTGCCTGATAGAATCACTCGGGAGGCAACAGACCAGGCTCAATGATTAAGATCCCTTCATCTGGCCTTGCATCCCAGAACTCCAGGTGCACAAAGAAATCACAAAGTCCTCTCTCACCTTTAAGTGCTCAGTCCACAGGCAGGTGGGGGCTGCCGCTCTCTCCCGAAAACCGGTGGCTCCGATGAGGCAGGAGCATTCTCCCTGCTCGTCCCATCTCTGCCTCTGCTTCTCTTTATGCCTTCTCTAGAGAAAAACCGACTGCTGGAAATTTAAAAAAAGAAAAATTGTGTGTGTGGAGGGTGGTGGGTGTCGGGGTTGCTGGGGCGGCGGGGGTGGCAGAGGGACACCGGGGGTAGGTGTGCAGCCTGCCCTGGTGTGGGCTCGGGTTTAATGGCCGACGCTGGTGATATGGTTTGCCTGCTGAAGCTCAGTGCCACGGCAGCTCTGTGTGTGGGCGGCGGCAGCTACACGGCTGGGTTTCAAACCATTACACTGAACATTTGCAAACAGATAAAAAAACAAAACCATCCGGTACAAATGGAAACTTCTGTTCTCCTTTCTCTTCCTGCACTCTTTCCCCTTGCACCTCTCCTCTTCAGTTGAGGAGGAGGAGGGTGAGGGTGGGCATTTCTCTGTCTGGGCTCCCTTGGTCCCCTCTTTTCCGACCATACCACTCCCACGGCCACTCACATGGACAGGGAAATCAGGTCTTCCAGACCAACTCCCCCAGCTTTGGGAATGTCCAGTCATGTGAGAAGGATTTTCTCTCCTCCAGGGTCTTGCTCAGAATCCAGCCACTGAGAGCCACCAAACCAAAAGAGGGTGTGGGCTTCCATATCTGACATTCTTTCATCCTTCCTAGTTTCAAAGCCACCTTAGAAATGGCCAAACACAAAGTGGGGTGAGGTGTCCTTTCACATCTAGGTGACACTTTTCCCACAGAACATCATGCACACAGTGGAATGTGATACTCCATGAAAAGAAAAGAGGTCTTGTGGTCAAATGACTTTGGGAAATGTTGCATCCTGTATTGCTCTGGAATAATCATAGAGCACATTACCAGGTAAAGGCTCTGAGAAGTCCTGCAATAAAGAATCTTGTTTTACTTTGTTTAATCCAACATTTTCAAAAAGGGTAAGACCTTAAAGGACCGACCCCTCCTCTCCCTTAACAAAGACAATGACACACACAAACACACACACAATCTTCCGTCCCTCAGCCCAATGGTAACGTGACCCAAGTCAATTATTTTAGCCAGAGAGCAAGATTGGGCCAGAAAGGATACATGTGGGGAAAGGGTCCGGTCAAAGTTCACCATCTAAGGACACTATCAGCTGGGAATTAACCAAGGTGCCACACATGGTTATCAATGAACATGAGACTGTGGCTGTGGTTCATGAACAGAGCGTGAACCGGACCATCCACAGATAATTTCTCAGAACTGTGGGTCACTGTCAGTACATCTTCCCTCCCACCCCAGCAGGTCTACTCCTCACTGCTCCTGCCCGTGCATGGGGGCAGCCTGTGGCCAGGTAACAGGAACAAGCACTGTGGGACAAATTCACAGGCCCTCCCTGCCCAAGAGCCCTCCAGACAGTCTTCTGGACACTATAAAAATTAAATGAGATGTCCTCTAGGACATGAAACTTAGGAGGCAGAAGAACAGAAGCCTGAAACACATCAACTCCAGAAGACACATTTGCTGAAAAGACGCACTTATGTTGGCAGTGACTCTACCAGGACGAGAGGCAGGGAGGTTGACACAGGGGGTAGGAGAGGAAAGAATGGTGCCTCTGCTGGGTTTGAGGGTTTCTATGAGTCATCAGTGCAGCAACAGAAGAGGCTGACAGACCCTCCACAGCACGCCAACTGTAGGGCCTCGGGCAAGCCCTTCCCGTCACCATCTCCTCATATGAAAATGGGTTAAGTCAACTGTTCTCAACCAACAGTGATTTTTTTTTCCCCTCTGGGGACATTGGGTAATGTCTGAGGACATTTTTAATTGTCATAACTAGGGCAGGGTGCTAGGCCTCTAGCGGGTAGAAGCCAAGGATGCTGCTAAGCACCCTACAATGCCCAGGACGCCTCCACCACAGAGAACTGATCAAGGCTTCCATGTCAGGAGTGCAGAAGGTGAGGAATCCCAGCCTCAGCAACCCCTCCAGCCTCCTTCTTTGGGGCTCAACTGAGACGACACCTGTGAGAATCCTGTGCACATTGAAGGCAGTTATGTTCTACTGTGTGTGGTAAGGAAGCGACTGTCATATCATTTAAATGGCATTTAATTTCTTGTTGGGTGACAAGATGGAAACAGATGGAAAGCAGAGTAAAAACTCTGCTTCAGATGAAAAAAAGAGAAAGCTAGCCTGCCTTAAAAACACTCCAAATTACATGATTTTAAAAAAAAGAAATAGAAAGAAACAAAATGCCTCCTCTTGCTTAAGTACATCAGACAACTTGAACTCTGTGTGAACAGAGTTAAATGGGCACAGAAAAGCTTTAAAAAGCTTGCGAGCACTCAGCGGATAATCACTGGTAATTAGAGCATTTTATAGAATCCATTAAAGTGGCTTTAAACAAAGCTGAAAATTATTTGTTGACCTTCACTCTGAAGGAGGCTAACGGTCATGCTGACAACAGTAATGTGTCCAGCCTGGTTGGGGATTTTCTTTTAAAGAAATCCTTGGCCAGACTTGCAATACAATCCTCAGCACACACTGAATTATTAGAGGCCAAGAAAAGGAGAAAGTGAAGTTAAAGTTCAGACTGATCCTCGGGCCAACCATCCAGCCTTTAAGAAGAAAATCTGGCCATGTTCTGATCAGGAAACCCATCCTCCTCCCCAGAAGGACCCCGAAGGTGCAATTCCAATTCCACAGGCCCAGGACATGGTTTTTTCTTCCACGGCAGAGAAGTCCCAGGTGGGTGAGAGCTCTGAAGAGCCAGGTAGGGCCAGGCCTGCCATGGCTGGAGTGAAGGCAAGGCCCAGCCCAGGAGGGAAGGGAGAGAGGCTTGTGTGAAGAACAAGTACACAGCTCACTGTTCTTCCAATAAGGCTTTCAAGGAAGGGACGACCAGCTAAGTTTCTGACATAGACTCTGAACGGGACTCACACTAGCCAGTTCCATCAGCTACCTCTGGGTATCAGCATGGAGACCAAGCCCAGCCTGTTAGACTCAACTTTCCTGTGTCTTCTCCACCTGCCTACTTACTCACCAGAACAAGCAATGGTTGTGTATTTGAGCACTTTTCTAGGCCCTAGGAGCAAAATGGCAAATAAAAAACAAAAGCAGGGCCAGGTGCAGTGGCTCACACCTGTAATCTAAGCACTTTGGGAGGCCAAGGTGGGAGAATCATTTGAGGCCAGAAGTTGAAGTCCAGCTTGAGCAACAGAGCGAGACCCCATCTCTACAAAAATTAAAAAGTTAGCCAGGTGTGGTAGTGCACATCTGTGGTGCCAGCTACTCTGGAGGCTGTGGCAGGAGGATCCCTTTAGCCTAGGTGGTGGTCGAGGTTGCAGTGAGTTATGATCGTGCCACTGCACTCCAGCCTGGGCAACAGAGTGAGACCGTGGTCTAAAAAAAATAAAAATAAAAAGCACAGTCCCTGACTTCAAGGAGTTCATAGTCAGTTGAGGTTAAAAAGACAAAAATCAAAGAATAATGAAAAATAATCAAATTAATTCAATGGCTGAGAGTTTGAACCTCTACAATGTGCTAGGCACTGAAAATATGAGTAGGCAAATTACTGTCAAAAACCATAATGAAAACAGAAAAGCACTATGAAATTTTTGCTAGAGGCATTCCTCATCAAATGCTGTAAAGCCAAGGCCACCTCTCTTTGTTAAAAGGGATTAGGAAGGACCAGGTGTTAACAACCTATTCCGCTGAGATCACTGGAAAGGGGGTAGCTTGCTGATTCTGTGATGTGTTGTTATTTAATCCCAGGTTCTGCGCACCCTAACGTCATCTTGTGCTCTTCCACGGCTACGAATCCCAAGCTTTGGAAACACTACCTTAAATGTGGGGGTAGGGGGTATTGGGGAAGAAGAGAACACAAACCAGATTCAGGCCTTTCACGGAGGAAAGAAGGCTGTTCAGGACCTAGGACAGCTCCAGTGCCCATTGGCTAGTTTCCCATCCTTCCCAGGCTGCTGGCAGACCAAAGGAAGTACGGCTCCCAGCTCAAGTGCTTCCCACCATGAGGAATCAGTTACTCTTTCCATGGGAGTCTACTGATTCCTTCATGCCTCACTCCTTCATGGCTCTGCTCCTTCATAGCTTCCACCCTATTCCCCCTGCCAACTACTGACTCTCTACTACCCATCACTCAACTGTGTTGAGGGAGGATCTGATTGGTTCACTTAGTCCATATGGAGCCTCACAGTTGGGCAGAGCTTGCCCTCTCGGTCAATACATTAGCCGCAAGCCATCCATAGAGGATTGCTGTGGGGCCACACAGACACCACTAAGCCAGCTCGGAATGAGGCGGCCAAGCCATGTGAGTTTCCCCAGACACGTAGAGCCAGCCGTTCACCACAGAGTGCTCTTCCCAACACAGGGGTGCTGGGAGACGAGGGTCCAGGCCAATCTGGGGGTTCATGGGATCATTTCACAGGGTTCACAGATAGTTTTTTAAACTATAATTGTTATATTTTTATTTTAACTGACTTTGACAGTACAGCTCTAGCTGACATAGCAAACTTATGTGTTTTCCTTTTAAATAAAGTTGTAACCATCAATTTAAAGAAAATCATTAATTTTGTTCTAAAATTTACATGGAAAGGCAAAGGAACTAGAATAGCTCAAGTATTTTGAAAAGGAGAATAAAGTTGGAGGAATCACATTACCTGATTTTAAGACTCACTCTATGGCAACAGTAATCCAGAGAGGGCCATGGTAATGGAGAAAAACACCTAAATCAATAGAACAGAATAAAGATCCCAGAAATAGACCCACACAAATATGCTTGACTGATTTTGACAAAGGTGCAAAAGCAATTTTAACGGAGTAAGGATAATCTTTTCAACAAACGGTGCTGGAGCAAATGGACTCTGTAGGCAAAAATGAAAGAAAGAAAAGAAAAATCTATTCTACACCTCACACCTTATACAAAAAGTAATTCAAAATGGATCATAGATTTACATGTAAAACTATAAAACTTTTAGAGAAAAAAATTGGAGAAAAACTTTGAGACCCAAGATCAAAGTAGACTTCTTAGATGTCACACAAAAAAACACAATCAATAAAAGAAAAAAAATCAATAAATTAGACTTTATTAAAATTAAAAACTGGCTGGGTGCCATGGCTCATGCCTGTAATCCCAACACTTTGGGAGGCCAAGGTGGGCAGATTATTTGAGGTCAGGAGTTCAAGACCAGCCTGGCCAACATGGTGAAACCTCGTCTCTACTAAAAATACAAAAATTAGCCAGGTGTGGTGGTGCGCACCTATAATCCTAGCTACTCGGGAGGCTGAGGCAGAAGAATTGCTTGAACCTGGGAGGAAGAGGTTGCAGTGAGCTGAGATCGTGCCACTGCACTCCAGCCTGGATGACAGAGTGAGATGCCACAATAAATAAATAAATAAAATTTAAAACTATTGCTCTGCAAAAGACCCTGCACAAACCACATATCTGACAAAGGGCCAATATCCAGACAGAATATTATAAAGAACTTTCCAAACTCAATGGTAAATGAAAAAGTAAAACCATGATAAGATATCACTGCACACTTATCAAAATGGCTAAAATTAAAAATGACAACACCAAATGCTGGCAAAGATGTGGAGAAACTGGGTCACCCAGACCCAGTTGCTGATGTGAATGTAAAATGGGACAGTCACTCTGAAAAGTTTGGCAATTTCTATAGTTAAATAAGACGTTAGCATTGGAGGAAACTGGGTGAAAGGTCCCTGGGACCTCTCTGTACTATTTTTGCAACTTCCTGTGGATCTATAATTATCGAAAAATAAAAGACTTCAGAAATGAAGAATATTAATAGTAGTCAGGTGATTTATGAATGCAGAAAAAAATTGTGATGGTGCCTAAGTTCTGTGGTTTACTGTTCCCATGGGGTGGAGGGCCCAGTCTCAACCAGGAGCAGACTCTCTGGCCAGCCTACCTTAGGCACCCAATGGATTTGCTAGAAACAAAACTCTAGCTCTTCTCCAGTCCAGGTATCTGGTCAAATTTAAAATCACGGTAGCCTCTGAGTCCAAATGAGCCAGCTTTCTAAATGGCCAGAGGCCTTGTTAAACTCAACTAAAATTGAACTGAATGACACAGCAGATGTCTTTGTGATAAGGGCAGTCTCTGAAAGAAATACCACATTTCATCACCTCTGAGAAACACAATTGCAAGAAGCACCATTATTTTTTGTTCCCCTGTGAAAGAAAAATACACTGCCAATTAAACCATGACACAATGCATTCTTATCATTTAGAATTTTTAATTTTACTTATTGTAAGAGTTCTTTGAGACTTAATTAGACAGATTTTTATCACATATTACTATTGTGCATACATAAAAATGAAAATACAAGTGAAATAACTTGGTTGTTATTCCTCAAACTACTTTACACTGAGTCCAATTCTTCTGAATCACTGTTCAATTCAGACTCATCAATGTTTGGGGTTTTTCCATGCTCTATCATCCTCTGTGCATTCATCCACGAGCACTGATTATACGGCATTTCTTCAAAGAATCCATAAAAAGATTGAAAGTCAAGAGTGCTGGGCTTTGAGGACTCTTTAAAATTATATACAGTTTTTCTGCTTCGGTTCTGACTTCAGCAATGTCACTAAACATATTTGACTTGCTCCAGTCCTCCAGTCTGTCCCCACATCCATGACATTCATAGGGGTTAAAAGAGGGCTCCATTGTCCAATCTCGGATTCTTTTCCAGTGCACTGATGCTGGTCAGTTGAGTATTAGTTACATGTGTTCACTGGTCATTTGGTTGTTCACACCTGCACAGGTAATTCACCTGTGTCATGGCCTGAATAGCACACTGTGGACTCTAAGAGCCATCCTGATTTCAGAAAAGCAATCATGTTAAAAACTTTAGGGGGGCTGGGTGGAGTAAAAACAGAAAAACAGAAACAAGAATGGAAAATAAAAATTATTTTTATTTCAAGTTTCCATCTCAGAGATAATGAAATACAGTAAGTGGACTGTATTTATAGATATAAATAAATGCCCTTCAACAGGTAAATGATTAAATAAACCATAGTACATCCACACCATAGAAATACTATTCAACAATAAAAAGGAAGGAACCACTGTTATACCCAGCAAGTTGGATGAACCTCAAGGCCTAAGCAGAAAATAACAGTCCCGCACACTGTATGATTCAACGTATAACATTCTCCAAATGACAAAATTACAGAGATAGAGAAACACTTTATTTATAAATTGTCACGTTATTTATAAATGTAAATAAAATAATGTCAGAAGGCAGTAACCGCTGTCAAAAAAAAAAGAGAAGGAAACAGAATTGAAAGTGGCTCTGGGGAAATGGACGGAGAGGACCTCTCTGAGGAGGGGATTTGCGAACAGTCTGAAAAATAAGAGAGTAAAGATCAAGGAAAAATCCAAGGGAACATCCACTGGCTGTGTCCATCAGGGCCAGTTAGATCATGCTGCAGAATCAAGCCACTCCAAGTCCCAGTGGCCTAAAACAATAAACGTTTGTTTCTGCTTTATACTTCAGGTCCATAAGCAGGTAACTTCAAGACCCCAGATTGATGGAGAAGCTGCTGTCTGGACAATCTCCAGTTGCCATGGCAAAGGAAAAGAAAAGGTGTAACTTCCACAGGGTTCTAAAAGCTTTTGCCCAGAAATGGCACGTGTCCCTCTGCCCACATCGCCTTAGTTACTAGGGAGACCTAACTTTGAGGGGGTGTGGGAATGGAGCATAATCTATTATGTGCTTGTGAGAAAAACCAAAAATATTTGTTGAACAACAGTAACAATGACCTCACAGGCAGAGCAGAGAGCAAGCAAGAGTGCAGTGAGGTGCAAACAAGCACAGTGATCAGGGGACGGGGGCCAGCGAGACTGAAGGATGGCAGAAGAGACTAGTGGCAGGGGAAGACAGCACCATAAAACATGGGGAGCCACTCAGCACCCTGAAAGTGAGGAGCCTGTCAGCACCATGGAAAGCGGGGAGACCCATCCTAAAGCCCAGTCATGCCCCAGAAGCCACAGCTTCATCCTGATTATGACCTCAAACGCCTGCAGACAGAATTAAACAACTAATTGTATAATGAGGTGGTTGAATTACACCTAATTTCCACAAATGTTTTTGTTGAACAAACATTGCAATGCCAGAATGTGGTTTTCAATCATTTAATTAGTCTTCCAAAATGCTCCAAAATCGGTGTTAATCACAGTTTTAAAATAATACATCTAATGTGTCCCTAAATACATTACTGTGTCTCAGCATTAATCCTGCAATTAAATATGTCAAGTAATTCATACACATTTAACACCTGGTGTTTGGGATTTGGGAAATAATGCATTTCTGAAAGCAGGTAACCAATGCATGAAGTCCAAAGGAACTTAGCAATTTTCTCTGGGATAGCAAGTGAGGAAGGGGCCACAGTCTTGGAATTGGGGGGTGGGTGCAGAAATGACACAGGAATTGAAATGAAGGGCTTAGGATGTGACACAGGGTCAGAGTAGGCCTATCTTAGAATAACACAGCTGTGCCCCAGGGAACACATGGGCACTGCCAGGTCCCTCCACCCAGTGCTGGTTGCTATAAATGCTCTGCTGGCACCACTCCCACCTGCCTGGAGCTTCTGCCAGGATGTGGCCATGTTCATGATACTGCCATAAACCAAAGGTTAAAAACTGCAGGTTGACTCTGGCTTTGCAACTTCCATTCCACACAAGAATCCCTAACCCTGTGTCAGCTCAACTTCTACGGAATTAAAGGAAACTCTTCCAGGGGCAGAGAGCTGATGCAGACTCCAGCTTTGATAACCCCATAAAGTTTGAGCCACCAAGAGAACCTAAAAAGGTCTGAGTTTGAAGTTGACCACCTCTGAGGACCCAGAGATGTCAAGTAACATCTTGGCACTCCCTGTTCTCCAACCTGACATCATTGGTGAACAGAAATAGAGACTGATTACACAAAATGTAGTGAGAAAGGCAAGGTATTTTTCATCTTGTATACAGCGCTTCATTGATCACAAAAAAAAAAAAAAGATGTATTGGAAGCATATTAAAGGCATATTAGTGCATATAACTTCTAAAAAATCTGGATTTTGCCTGTCTTGGGATGAAAGTTTGGGTTTTGTAATAGAGACCCCAAATAACAGTGGCTTAAGCAAGATGAATGTTTATTTTTCTTCTGTATAATAATCACAACACAGACAGTCCAGAGGTGGGTGATGGATCCACAAAGTCAAAGACCCAGGCTCCTTCTAACTGGTTGCTCTTTCTCCCTAACAAATGCCCTTGCCCACATAGTCCAAGGTGCTTCACCAGCTTATTCCAGGAGGAACAAAGGGGTGGAAGGTGGATGCACCCCTTCCCTTTAAGGTTGGGACATGAAAACTGCATAACTCTTTCCTGATCACAGCTCTTTCACCAGAATTTAGTCATCAGGCCATCCCTAGCTGCAAGAGAAGGTAGAAAGTTTTATTTCTATTCCGGGTAACCACGTGCCCAGATAAAACCTGGGGGATCTGTTGCTATGAGATAGAAAGGAAAAAAGATTTTGGGGGACAACTTGTAGCCTCTGCTATGTTGCCTTACAGAAATCTGGAGTCTGGTGAGGAAGAAAAGAATATGGCCAAATTCCAACATTTTATCCTAGAATGAGCCAAATATCAGGATGAAAGCTCAGAGGAGGGGGGAGGTTTTGGACTGCAATCAAGAGGGAGCTACAGTATCTACCGCAAAGGATCATGGCAGGTTTAAACATGAACATGCAGGTGCAGCAACAGTTGGGTGTCAGAGGGTATCTTGAGCTCCAGGATCTCAGGACAGAGCTGGTGTCCTGTCCCACCATTTACTTTCTGGGTAATGTGGAAGGCAGAATTCTAACCACATCCCCTGGTTATTCAATCAAACTTTAATCTAGGTACCGCTGCAAAAGGACTTTGCAGATGGAATTAAGGTTACAAATTAGCTCACTTTAAGATAGGAAAAATACTCTCAATTATAAAGTTGGGGCTGAAGTAATCACATGAACCCTTAAAAGCAGAAGAGAAAGGCAGGGCAATGAAGCAGCAGCAGAGGGTAGGAGATGAGGCAGGAGGGGAAGGAAGAGAGACTCGAAGCATGAGAAGGACTTGACAGCCTATGCTGGCCTTGAAGGGGGCCATGAGCCAAGGAATGAGGCAGCCTCTAGACCTTGACAATGTATTCAGTCCACAGTTAGTAAGAAAACAGGGACCTCAGTCCCCCAACCACGTGGAATTCAATTCTGATGACAAGCTGAATAAGCTTGGAAGTGGATTCTTCCCCAGGGCTTCCAGTAAGGAACACAGCCTACTGACTTTTTTTGAGACAGGGTCTTGCTCCGTTGCCCAAGCTGAAGTGCAGTGGTGCCATCATGGATCACTGCAGCCTCAAATTCCTGGGTTCAAGCAATCCTCCCACCTCAGCCTCCCAAGTATTGGGTTGGTGCAAAAGTAACTGTGGCCACTGAAAGTCATGGCAAAAACCGCAATTACTTTTGCACCAACCTAATAACTGGGATCACAGGCATGCACCATCATGCCTGGATTATTATTATTATTTTTTTTTGAGATGGAGTCTCGCTCTGTCACCCAGGCTGGAGTGCAGTGGCACAGTCTCGGCTCACTGCCAGCTCCGCCCCCCGGGTTCACACCATTCTCCTGCCTCAGCCTCCTGAGTAGCTGGGACTACAGGCACCCGCCACCACGCCTGGCTAATTTTTTGTATTTTTAGTAGAGACAGGGTTTCATCACGTTAGCCAGGATGGTCTCGATCTCTTGACCTCATGATCTGCCCGCCTCGGCCTCCCAAAGTGCTGGGATTACAGGCGTGAGCCACTGCGCCCAGCTGCCTGGATTTTTTTTTTATTATTTTGTGTAGAGATGGAGGCTTACTATGTTGCCAAGGCTGATCTCAAACTGCTGGGCTCAAGTGATCCTCCCAATCTCGCCTCCAAAGTGCTGGGATTCCAGGCATGAGTTGCCACACCCAGCTCTGCCAACTTCTTGATTTTACCTTTGTAAGACTCAGAGCAGGGAACCAGCTGAGACATGCTATTCCTGGACCTCTGACAAACAGATTGTGAGATAATAAATGGGTGTTGCTTCAAGCTGCTAAATTTGTAGTAATTTTCTACAGCAACAGTAGAACATGAGCCCAGTGATCTTGTGTGAGTCCCTTCTCTGTGGCTTATTTTCCTTATGGGTCAACAAGAATAATAATAGTCGTTATTCCTTAGAGCTACCGAGAGGCTGAAAGAGGACTGCTGGGGTAGCTGGTGTAGAGGAACCAGTAATCAATGTTCCTGCTGCCATGCAGATGGTTTTTTTTCCATCTTGGAGGGGAAGGGGCCAGTGGAGGTGGATACCTGTCATGCATGGTATTCCTCAATCCTCACCACAACCCTCTAAGCCAGGTGCTTTCATTAGTCTCATTTATAAGAGGAACCTGAGGCACAAAGAGATCGAATGACTTCCCCAAGATTGTACGGTTAGTAAGAAGCAAAGTTGAGATTCCACCCCAACCCATGTGGCTCCAGGGCTCTGTGAGGAAGACTACAGACGCTCCCATCCCAGATGAGCACAGAGAGGTTGGGAACAGAAGGACCACGCAGCCAGTCTATGGGGAGCCAAGCATGTGAGAACAGTGTCTTGAGCCAAGACGACAATAAACACATGCCTTCTGGCTTGGCCCATGGTGGGACCGCTGGGTTTCTCTTGTCCTTCTCAGGTCTCTGAGAGGTCCAGTATCTCACCTGTAGCTTCTCAGAGTAGACTAAAGAGAAAGCCCACAGTTTCCATCTGCTTAAAGGTCAAGAGAGAAAAGCGGATAAAGAAAGACCCATGCAGCTGTTTTCCCTTCAGTCTCCTTGTTCCTCATTTATTCAGCAATCAATGACGTTCTACATGTCAGGCACTGTCCTTGGTGCTGGGTGACAGTGATGAGCAGGATGGCACAGTCCCCATAAGGAAATACAGACAAGAGACAAGAAAATAACCGAACAAGGACACAAGATCACCGTGGATAGAGGGACTGCTTTGGGCCTGGGTTCTGCTACTTCGAGTCCTCTTTGGTAGGGAGGGAGAGCAGGAGGGGAGCAGGGGATCTGCTGGCTGCTACAGCCACTGCTTTCTGTCCACCATTCAGCAAGATTCTGGGCATGATAGTCCACATTAGAGGGTTCTGGGGTGGTCCTCAATGCCACTGAGAAGCCAGCAGGAAGCTGACCCAGAAACATGCCCAAGACATCTGCTGGGAACCAAGGAGGAGCATCTGAGCTGTGAGGTGTTCCCATATCAGGGCCCCAAAGAGCAGCAGCCCCACCATGGGCCAAGCCCAGAAGGCATGTGCTTATCATCGTCTTATCCCACGGCACTGCTGACCAGTGACCTGCACTTGATGGCAATGATGCGCTCTTCTCTGGGACCTGAGAGTGAGCAGCATGGAAGTCAAGTAGGGCCTAAAGGAGCAGAGAGCCAGGGGGAGGCATGCACTCTTGCTCCAGGGCTCGTCCTTGCCGCTGAGCTGCCTCCCTTCTCTGAGTGTCTGTTTCCAAGCTGGAAAATGACAGAATGCAGGGAGATGAGCTCTTGAGTCTCTGACCCCTGGACTCCAGCATGTGCTTCTTCCTCACTTGGTCAACCAGCCTTTATCTGCTGCTTGTTGTGTCCCCAGCCCTACACCCATAACCCAAAATCCATGCTTTCTATTCCCTTTTCCTCCTTGGCAACTGTCAAATTGAGGCACACACGGGGCCACTTGTTCTGCCCATGGGCAGGGCCATCTGGTTCTGCATGGAGATGCCTATGGACAGACCTGCATTCATATACATTGCTTTAAATTATCACAAAAATTGAGTTTGGATAAGAACTTGACGGGGGAGGTGTGTTTTCCTACTGGAAAAACAAGCATAGCAACTGCCCAAAGTGATCCTATGGACGTCATGCAGGACCAGAGCATAGCAACTGCCCAAAGTGATCCTACGGACGTCATGCAGGACCAGAGCATAGCAACTGCCCAAAGTGATCCTATGGACGTCATGCAGGACCGGAGCATAGCAACTGCCCAAAGTGATCCTACGGACGTCATGCAGGACCGGAGCATAGCAACTGCCCAAAGTGATCCTACGGACGTCATGCAGGACCGGAGCATAGCAACTGCCCAAAGTGATCCTACGGACGTCATGCAGGACCAGAGCATAGCAACTGCCCAAAGTGATCCTACGGACGTCATGCAGGACCGGAGCATAGCAACTGCCCAAAGTGATCCTACGGACGTCATGCAGGACCGGAGCATAGCAACTGCCCAAAGTGATCCTACGGACGTCATGCAGGACCAGAGGTTGAACATACCCTAACAGGTCAGTTGAGAAGCTTCCAGCTGTGGTCAGCAGTGTAATGGGCCACTGTCAGGCCTTGGGAGCCTCAGCAGAGTGGAGCCTCAGCCCAGCTGGCTCTTGGCACAGCTCACCCGGGCCAGCAAGGCTGGAGAAGCGGCCTTCAGCCCTGACCAGCTCACCTTCTTCCAGCTGAGGGGTGCTTGAGATGAAGTTGAAAGTTTGCTGAGGATTCAAGTTAATTCACCAGTGTAGCAATCTGGTGATTACAAAAAAGTATGAAAAAGACAAGGTGCCCAATTGAAAAAAAAATAGGCAAAGACATTTCCAGAAGCCATGCCAATGTCCAAGGAGCCTATGAAGAGATACTTCACCTCTCTGATCATCAAAAGAAAAGCAGGTGAAGATGAGATGTCATTTTTTATCCACCAGACTGAGAAGAAGGTGAGATATTGCCAAAGCTGGGCTTGGCAAGGCTGCAGGGAAGAGGCCTCCTCCAGCCCTGTTGATGGGCATGTGAAATAGTAAACTTTCTGGAGACCAGCTTGGCAATATGGGCACAGCGATTAATCGTCTAGAAAATTTTTCCTGACAACATAATCAAACACATTCACTATAGGCATATACAAGACAGTTTACTGAAGTCAGACAATGGCCAAAAAAAAAAAAAAAAAGAGTTAAACCTCCAACAAGAAGAAACTTGAGCAACTAAATTATGGGACATCGCTGAAATGCAAGGCAGTCATTTAAAATGCTGATAGAATGCTACAGTTTTTATTTTTTAACTCACAAAGATGACTCTATCATATTATTGTGCAGAAAAAAAACAGCAAGTTACAGAACAGCACAGGACAATGTTCCCACTTGTGTGAAATTTCTCATACAATGGGGTGTATGTGTGCTGTGCACAGTGAGACACCAAAGAAGAGGCATCCAGAATGTTACCCCTATGTGGAGAGAACTGGAGGGATTTTAATTTTTATCTTTATGCTTTCCTGTGTGCTTTGAATTCTTTACAGTGATCATGTACCATTTTTATAATGAAAAAAAGTACAATGAAAACAGTTTTCATTTTAAGAAGAAAAGAGCAATTTAATGAGGCACAAAGAATGCCAGCACTCTAAAGACCTGGCCATGCCTGGATGGATAGAGATAAATCTGTCTCACGCCCTGGAGACAAGGGCTCACAAGGCGGTCCCTGCCATGCCTGCAGGTGCTGCTTCACACCTCCCTGGGGCTGTACCCATCACCCACTCAATCCCTTACTCCCTTAAAAATGTGCCAAGGAGCAGGCCTCCTTGCTCTAGCCCAGGCCACTCCTTAAGGATCCCGGTGCTCAGAGGGACACCTGCACGGGGCTGGGGTCTGTAGAGTGGAAGACAAACGGGAAAGGACCACCATGGGGTGCAGGGCAGAGTAGGCAGCAAGAAACCCCTCGAGGCCAAGACTTCTGGAGCCAGACACACTGGCATGTATCAGTAAGTAAGGAATTCCACCTCCCCTCTGTCAAGTCAGAGGTGATGACACCCACCATGAGAAGCTCTCCCAAGGACCCCCTGAGCTGACACACATGAAGGCTATCACACCTGGACCAGGACCCTGGCTTTAGTGCGGGAGCTGACTATTAGTAGGAATCCTTTATTAGGAGTGTGGTTCCTGTCCTCCGAGGACATCAGAATGTGAGCTGGAGATGAACGTGAAGTACAGAAATGGTGACTTGGGTACTGATGACCACAAAGCTGTTTTCAAACATATGAAAGGAAGGGGCAGAGAGGACGCCTTTTCCAACTCCAGACCAAGAAGTGGTCCCAAGACCCAAGATGGATGCTGGAAGGTTAATGCTGGGAGTCTAGCATTTCCTTCAACCTTGCCCACAAAAGAGTGTTTCAAAGGGAGATGGATTCAGACACATCTCATGTTTACTGAGCGAGACACATCTCATGTTTACTGAGCACCTACCATGCACCACATGCTTCCACGCCCATTTACTCAGGCCTCACAACCAGCTGTGATAAGAGGATTACTAGCCCTCCTTTCAGATGAGGAAACAGGGGCTCACAGAGCTCAGCCATTGTCAAAGTCCCACTGGCAGAAAGTGTCAGGGCCAAGCGCCCCACCCAGACACTAGGTTCCTGAGTCCTGAAAGCAGAGGCTAGAAAACTGTCCCCAACTCCCAGACCTCCCACCCAAGAACCATTCAGAATATCCATTAAACACCAAAGGCACAGATGTGTCCATACCCAGGGTGAGTTTGGGGCATTTTTCATCTCTGGGACTCAAATTTGGATTAATCACATTACCAGCAGCTTCCAACATCACCATCAAGCGCCACCAGACAGAGCACCTTGCCTTTCCAAAGTGCCTTTGGCGTTTAGAAGCCCCAAGGTGCACCCACATCCACAGGACATGTTCACACAGCCTGTCTTGCTCATTAGGAGGGGAGGGAAGCCAAACGCCTCAAACTTCTTTTTCTGGGCCTCGCCCCAGCAATGTGTAGGGTGAAGAGAGAACCATCAGGTGTCTGTTTGCTCAGAGTGCCAGGCCGGATGCCAGCAGTTCAGTGCACCCTGGAAACTTAGGGGCCCTTTCACACTTTGCAAACCCTCACACCTTCCAATGGCTACGACAGTTCACATCTTGCTGGAAAAACACAGGGAGAAAAGGAACACGATGCTGAAGCCAGTAATGTGCTTCCAGGCCCGGCTTAAATGCTATGCCTCTCACGACACCCACCCAAGAGAACCTTCTCTCCTCCAAGCATATTAATGGCCCTGTCTCTTTAATAACAGCAAATGTTGGTCAGCTTCTTACCAAGTGCCAGGCCCTTCCTAGCTCCCTGAATCCCATCGTCAAGGCTGTGTGGGAAGTACTGTTCTTATGCCCATCTTACAAATGAGGAAACCAAGGCCAGGTGGTTCATTTCTGCTCTAACCACACCCAACCCAAGGGCTGCTGGCTCTGGTCCAACGTCCATCAGGAATCCTGAAGTCTGCATATGGTCTGAGTCTAGTTAATAGGATAAATGGTATAAATGTCCTTCAACAGGTGGATAGGTAAGCCCCCCATGGAGTTCTACTCAGCCAGAAGGAGGAACGAGCATGGGATGCACCAATAACATACAGGAATCTCAGGGACTTTGTGCTGAGTGAAATGAAAAAGGCCAATCCTGCACACCGTGTGAGTCAATGTATAGCATTCTCCAAATGACGAAATTACAGAGGTGGAGAACCAATGAGTGCTGGCCAGAGGTTAGGGAGGTGGGCTACGACCATGAAGGGGCCACACAGGCAGCAACTTCACGGGGCTACACAGTTCTGTGTTGTTTGTTTGTTTGTCTGTTTGAGCCAGAGACTCACTCTGTCACCCAGGCTGGAGTGCAGTGGCGTGATCTCGGCTCACTGCAACTTCTGCCTCCCGGATTCAAGCAATTCTCCTGCCTCAGCCTCCTGAGTAGCTAGGATTACAGGCGCCCGCCACCACATTCTGCTAATTTTTATATTTTTAGTAGAGGGTTTCATCATGTTGGCCAGGCTGGTCTCAAACTCCTGACCTCAGGTGATCCACCCGCCTCAGCCTCCCAAAGTGCTGGGATTATAGGCGTGAGCCACCACACCAGGCCCAGTTCTGTGTCTTGTTAGCGTTGGGGGTTCCATGCATCTACACAGGTGATAAAACGGCACAGAACTAGATACACACACACAACACACACATACACACATGCACATGCACACACATACATACACAACATACACACACACAAATGCATGCAAAAACTGATGACAGCTGAATAAGGCACTGTGCTTCCATAAGGTGCTATCAGTAGAAGAGAGGTGTAGGAACCACGGGAAAACTCTGCACCACGTTTGTAACTTCCTGTGAGTCTAAAATTATTTCAAAATAGGCCAGGCACGGTGGCTCATGCCTATAATCCCAGCACTTTGGGAGGCCAAGGCTGGCGGATCACCTGAGGTCAGGAGTTCGAGACTAGCCTGGCCAACAACGGGTGAAACCCCGTCTCTACCAAAAATACAAAAATTAGCCAGGTGTGGTGGCGGGCGCCTATAATACCAGCTACTCAGGAGGCTGAGGCAGGAGAATAGCTTGAACCCGGGAGGTGGAGGTTGCAGTGAGCCAAGATTGCACCACTGCACTCCAGCCTGGGGGACAGAGCGAGACTCCATCTCAAATAAATAAATAAATAATTTCAAAATAAAAAGTGTTTTAAAGTACATCCATTTCTTACCACTTCCCCGGCCTGAGCCACCACCACCTCTGACCTGGTCACACTGCCTCTGCCATCCCCAGCCCCCCAACAAGTGGCTACCATCTCATGGAGAATAAAGGCCAGGTGCATCCCCCTAGCTGGCAAGGGCCAACGTGGTCTGCCCACCAGCCAGCTCACACTGCGGCTCTGTCTCAGCCACTCCTCTCTGCCATGCTGCCTCCTGGACCATCCTCCATCTGGGCACTGTCCCCCAGGTCTCCTGTGGCCACCTCCTCCTATTCCTTCAGGGCTCAATTCAGATGCTACCTCTTCAGAGAGGCCTTCCCTGGCCAGTCATCTAGGGGTCCCTTCTAGGAATGACTGGGGAGGGACAGCAGGGAAGACAGATGGAAGAGGAAGTGTTCCATACCCTTGCAGGGACAGGAGTATGCACGCTGGCCACTGCTCATCAAAGTAAACACCTGGTCTGTACATTTTACCATATGTAATTATACCTGATTTTTTAAAAAACACCTAATTAGTATCCCTCCTCACTGTGACTATTGCATTACCCTATTTATTTTCTTTGTGGCATTTGTCACAATCTGTGATCATCTTTTCATTTATGTGCTTACATAAATGAAAATTTACATAAATGTCTGCTTCTGGATGCAGACCACACCCCACATGTGTGGGCACGCACATGTGCTGCACACGCACGGTTGCAAACGCCTCACACTGGGCCACGGCCCCCAGGATAGGCAGCCCAGCATCCAGCCAGTGCCAGGCTGGCTACAGCGAAGGAGTGTCTCCTAGGCTTGGCACACCATATGGGCACTGCCCTGAGAGCTCACCAGGGAAGAATGGAAGGCTCCACTCTGCATCCTCTCCAAAGTCCTCCTCTTTTGTCTAGGCCAGAAAAGTTCAGCCCAAATTCAGAAAAGTTCCACGGGCAGGCATACTTGCTCATTTGAGAAATGCTTCCTGGGGGTGGAGGGTGCTACAGGAACCAAAACAACCCAGGCCCTGCCCTTGAAGCTCCTCCATTCCAGAAGGAGTCACAGGCAGGAAACACATAAATATCTCACAGGCAAGGTGGCAAAACCATCACGCTGGAAAATAAAGTAGGAGACCTTTGAGTAGAGATCAAATAAAGTAGGAGTGAGCCCGTCGGAGGGAAACCAGTCATGGAAATCGAGGAAAGCACGTGTCAACCATCTGGGCTGAAACACGCATTTGTGGCAATGGAGGAAGAGCAGGGAGCCCCGTGGGGCTGGCTGGGAACAGGAAGGTGCAGGCCCTCGAGGCCACGGGAAGGACGTGGGACTTTACCCCAAGTGAGAGGGAGGCCATAGGAAGATCTGACCAGAGAGCAGCATGACCTGACTGAGGTTTTCACAGGATCCCACGGATTACCTGGCAAAGAAAAGCCTCTAGGGTGAGATGACAGGGCCGGGGAGCCATGAGAAGTGGATGGTCTATGATCAGGGGAAATGGAATGGTGACGTGGACTCAAGAGACAGTGATGGAGGTGCGACAAATGGCCAGATTCAGACTATGCTTCAAAGGCAGGCCCAAGGGGACTTGCTGGTGGATTAGATGTAAGGTGTGAGACAGAGAAAGGATCCTCCGAGAGTTTTGCCCGGGGCCCAAGGAAGAATGGAGTTGAAATTTACCCAAGAAGCAAACCTCCTGGGATGAACCCCTTCAGACGAGAAGTCATGAGGTAGGTAGGGGCAGTGGGGCAGTGAGGGGACCAGTTGGGTGGGGCAGCAACCCAGGCAGAAATATAAACATGGAGCCCATCGGCATTCCAACAGGCGCTCAAAGCCACACTCTCCACCACTTACCCAGGAGAGAGGGAGGAACGGGTCCTGCAGCCCAACACCCAGAGCTCAGAAGAGGAGAAGCCACAAAGACGACGGAGCCAGAGTGACCCATGAGCTTCACAGAGAATCAAGAGTTTGTCCTAGAGGACAAGCAAGAAAGTCTTTCCAGAAAAGGAGAGTGACCAAGCATGTGCAAGGTGGCTGATGCGGACAGCAAGCGGAGAGGAGAGACTATGAGTGCGTGGCCTCAGGCCATGCATGCATATGGAAACGGGGCGCCATGGAAGCTGAATTTCAGTGTGTTTGAATGAAAATGGAGGACAGCTGGAGACGGGAGCAGGCAACTCTTAGAGGAGACAAAGGGAAGCAGGAAAATAGGGTGTGGCTGGAGGAGAGTATAGAATCAAGATCAGAGAGCTCTTTCTAAAAGGATAGAAACAAACTTCAGTGTGCACACCCAGTACCTGGGTATCTTGTTAAGGAACAGAGCCTCAGAGTCTGCATTTCCCACAAGCTCCCCACAGTGACACTGCTGGGACCACTTGGAGGAGCAGGGCATTTAGGGTGCACTAATCTGCAAGTCACAGAAGCCAGCACTTCTGAATGGCTGAAACAATAGGGACTTCATGTTATTTTACAATCCAAGAGTTCCTACAGCAAGTTATAAACACCTTGGAGGGTAAAGAGGAATTGACACGGGGGAGAGAGAGGGGGCTGTTCAAGAGCAAAGTGCTCTGGCACACGTGGGGAAGGTGGCCTAGGATAGGAACACAGGCTGCTTAAGAAATGGCATTTCCTAAAGAAATCTGATACTTCCAGCATGGGTAATGATTAAAAGTAACTTCTAACCAAGTGTGTTCTGCCAGCCGGGGACGTTTGCATAAGGGACACTCAATAACTCTTTGTTGATGGATTGATTTCCAAGTGTGGCTCCTGCTGAACTCAAACACACCAAGGGTCGTTTATAATTGGAAGCATCTCGTTGCACCCACCTGGTGGGCCCAAGTCCTTCAGAACAGTTTGCTCTCAATCCTGCTCTCACGCCAGCCAGCCCAGCCTCCATTTAAATTATCACTTCAAAATTGGTGAGGCCTGAATTAATGAGATTTTACTGTAGTCACGGCTTTAGATTAAAATCGATGTGGTACCCAAACACGAGTCAATGAAAAATGGTTGGGTAAAGCAGAAACTAATAAACAACTCTCTCATAATTTTATTTTAGAGACCAGCTAGGCCCTCCACCTTCCTCCCTGAGCTTTTCCCCAATTCCTTGACACAGCTGAGATTTCAAAATCTGCATAGCTAACACCTCCTACTCTGTCTCGAGAAAAAATTGAACCCAGTATTGTCAAAACCCAAGTCCTCCTCCACAGAACACGTTGGACAAAAAGTAAACCCATCGGCGGAGCTTCTCAGACGTCAGTATGCACACGAAGTGCCTGGGGATCTCACTAAGGAACAGAGGGTGATGCTGCGGGGGGGTGGGGAGAGCCTCAGAGTCTGCATTTCCCACAAGCTCCCCATGCTGATGATGCTGGGGCCACTTGGAGGAGCAGGGCATTTAGGGTGAACTGATCTGCAAGTCACAGAAGCCAGCACTTCTGAATTGTTGAAACAATAAGGACTTTGTATTATTTCACGTATCAAGAAGTTCTACAGCAGGGTGAGGCCAGGGATGGCGAGTGCGCAAGAGCCACAGCTCCTAGCAGTGACCCACGTCCTTTCTATTAATATCTCCCTGATCTTGCATCCCCAGTGTGCAAGCTCTGTCCCCAGGCTGTCACATTCACAAGATGGTTCACGTAGTCACAGGCATCACATCTAGTCCTAATAACGTCCAGCCAAAGAAAAGAGACATCTCTCTTCTTTGAGCCTCTTTTTAAGGAAATTTTTTTCAGAAGGCCCCAGCAGGCATTATCTTTGCCTCACTGGCCAGGCCTAAAATACTTGCTCGCTCTAGACTGAGCCCTGGTCTAAGGAATGTGACAGCCAGAAATGATCGCCTCCAATCAGACTTGACCCCGTGCACGGGGATGGGATCCTCATCCTGAACACACTCCCAGCGTGGAGGAGGGTGGACACCGAAACCAACTAGAGGTTCCACCAGCAAAGATGAGGAGTGGCGGGCTGCCAAGCCCACTGCGATAAGAGCCATTTTATTCCACACTGAGCCTCTCGAAGGGGCCAGCCCCTTACACGAGAGAGATCTGAGGTTCAGAGAGGTGACCTGACAAGCACCCCTGTTTTCTGACTACAAGCTCTGTGTTCCCTTGCGTGACCTCCTCCTTGCTGGGGTGGTGAGCCCAGCAACAGACAGCAACGATCCTGGACATGCTGTACCCACGGAGGCGTCTGGCCCCACTGCACAGGCTGCTTAGGTACATCTGTAATCCCCCAACCCGGGGTTTAGAGTCAACAGAAGCCAGATCAACAGCTAATCATGCTTGTGAAGCCCAGATGATTTCAGAACTTGGATTGCTAACCCTGAGACAGATGGTGAATCAGGTACACAAAAACAAACCTTATGTGGCACTGAGGGATGTTGCCAAGGGACAAAAGAGGTGACAGTTTTGTTCAAAATCAGACTCTGTACCCAGCTGTGCTTCCAGCCAGCCTATGGTAATATGAGGCCAGATGAGACCACCAACACAGCCATGATTTTTCTTTGGCAATGGGGCCTGAGGAATGACCCTAGAGGCTAGAGTCATAGAACACAAACAGGCATCCCAGTGTCCTCCTCCCGTTCAGAACCGAGGGAAAAGAAACGGCCATAGGAAGAGTTTATTTTTCCTGAGCTGCTGGAGGATCACCTGACATTGCCACCAACACAGATTATTTTGCGTAGGAGTCCACCCCACCTTGTCCCCGCACCTGAACCAACAATCCTGACCTTCACGGGGAATGGTAAAGGTTCTCCTGGCAGGAGGAAGACCTGTATTGCCTGCTCCGTGTGCCCTGGCTAAGCTAGTTTGAAGTCAAAACTTTAATATCCTTTCAACTGTCACTGACTTCAAATATGCTTCAGAGAGCTTCTTAATCTGGTTTATGTTCTGTGGATGAGATGCCTGATTGGAGCCCAGAAATGCTGCTGTAAATCAAATGCCCCGATTAGAGACACTCCTCAGAAAGCAAGATCCCTTAGCAGCTGTGTGGCTGGGCTGGGAAGACCACCATGCTCCTGGGAATTAATGGGTAGCCCACTCCCCTCACCTGCACTGACCCTGTCATCGAGTCACCTCCACATCGCTCTCCTTGAGCTTTCTTCCTCCTTGCCCTGCTTGTCAAATACAGACAGGGCTGCTGATTTTGTCTACACCCCTACCTTTCCCCATTTGGGGGTCCCCAATAACCCCCGGCGCTGCTGTCTGCTGGCTCCTCTTTCCTACGGGGTGGTGGCCTCCTTAGACTTCTGGGTCAACCCCTACCTCATCACAGCAGGCCATGCACAGAGACTCCACAGAAACAAAGGCTTGGAAAAAGTCCTCCACCCCCGACGGAACTTCTTAGCTGGGGTTGTTTTGGTGAGACAGGATGTTCACATCTGAAATGTGCCTCTGAATATGCAAGTGGGTATTTGCCCATCATTTATTTGCTATGCATAAGATTTCCACGCACGGCTGACGATTTTCTCTCATAAACAGATGCCCCAAACTTCCTTTCTCTCTCTCCCTTAAACCCAACATCTGGGCCATCTACGTGGATGCGCCATTCTATGGGGGTAGCCACATGGGGGTGGGAAGGAGATGCAGTCGAGAGAGCTGAGCTTTAGCCCTAGAACGGCCGGAAACTTCCCAGGGACTTTGGGCAGATCGTCAAACCTCCCCGGGGTTCAATTTCCTCCCTGACAAAGTGAAAAAAAAAAAAATGAAGCTAGTGTTGCCCCACCTGCCTGCCCAGCCAAGCTGTAGGGAAGAGGAAATAGAAAATGCAATGGCTTTGAAAATTAGAAACTGTGACATCCAATTGTATGATACAGAAAATGACACAGGGCATCTGAAAATGGACCACCAAGCCTCCCGAGGGAGATTCTGGATCCAGTTGAGCCTCCTTGGTACTACTTCAATGAGTCTGAAGAGTAGAGGCAGAGTGACATGATCATAGTAGAAAGAATAACACGCAATTTATTGCAAGCTCATTGCAGGTTAGACACTGTGTAAGTGCTTCTCATGCATTAGTTCACTGAGTTCTCACCACCCTCTGAGGCTGACATTAGTGAGATCCTCATCTTACAGAAAGAGTTTACGAGGTCAGCTGGTTTGCAGAATGTCACACAGCTAGTAAATGGTGTCACTAGGACTTGTACTCAGGTCTGTCTGACTCCGGGCCCTGAATGCTTACCCACTAGACTAGACTAAAATCCTAATGGCACATTAGACTGACTGCGAGCAGCCCTCTTCCCTCTCAGGACCTCAGCTTCCCTCCCAGCTGATGGAGAGGATGAGTAAGGGACTCGATGCTGTTCAGACCCCTTCCAGCTTGAGCAAACTCTCATTCTTGGAATGAAGCTTGGCTGAGAGCAAATTGTGAACTCTTGAAGGAGGCACTTAGTGACAGTGCCGCATGCTGCTCCCTGGCTGTGAGACTTTTCTCCTGCTGTGGAGATGGGCCATGAAAAGAGAAGGGCTTCCTGTTGTTCACTTTATAGCTCCCCATTCAGGCAGTGCTTCTTCTAACAGACTCTCAAACTGCATGGAGGCAAGTTGTTGTTTTGCTGGGAGAAGGGAAGCTTCTTTAGGCTAATTTCCCCCTCCTCCTGATTCTTCCTGTTCTTTGTAGTCTTTTGCTTTACCAGACTCGGATTTGCAAACCTGTTGTCAAGGCAACACTAGGTTTCTCTCTTTGCACTCTAATGTCTCAATGGGGGTATCCATGGCAACAAGAATACCTTGCGCTTTCAAAGTCAGTGACCTTCCAAAGCTTCCTGGGATGTGTGGAGTTAAATTATGTTTAGACAATTTTTTACCACAGCTACCAATTTAGTACCTAATAAGCCTAACTGATGACGTCTGTAACAGTTAGCTTTTGCTGTGTAACAAATAACCCCAGAAGTTAGTGGCTTAATCTGAAAAGTATTTATCATTGCTGTAGAGGTCAGCTGGGTGGTTCTTCTGGTCTCAGCTGGGCTTGCTCATGCTCACCTGACTGAGCTCCATCACGTGTTTGGGGGGCATCTGGCTGTAGGCTGGATCAGGAGGGACTCATCCAGGACAATCGGGCTCTCCTCCACATGGTCCCCATTCTTCACTAAGCTATACCAGGCTTTTCCACACAGAGGCAGTAGGCTGCTGAGGCAGGGACAAGGGAGGGAGAGTGTGAGCAGACAGAAGCCACAAGGGCGCTTGAGGCCTGGGCTTGGGACAAGCTCAGCATCTCTTCCACCATATTCCATTGGCCAAAGCAAGCCCCAAGCCAGGCTAGATTCAAGGGGTAAAGAAGTGGACCTCACTTCTTGATGGGGGTGGGGAGGATGGCAGAAAGGTCACATTGCAAAGAGAATGAGAGAGGAGGGATGGAGAATCGTGGCCATTTTTACAAACAATCTATCACATCATCCTTCCACATTTGTTGTGGAAATATTCAGGCACTACATACATGTGAATGGAGCCTCAACAGCCAATAAGCAATCTTAGCAGAGATGACATGGAACCCTCAGAATTCTCAAACCTCTCCCTGCTCCCTCTGGAAAGTGCTCTTCCTCCTCGGGATGACGCAGGTGTGAGCTGTAGCACAGCTTCCGTCTATGCATGTTGGTCAGTCCACCTGAACCTCACAGATTGAGAATACCATGGGTCCCCAGGGGAAAAGAGAGATGCTGTCACCAGAAAAAGGGACACTGAGTGCTAGACATCCAAAAACAACAGATGACTCTGTAGTCCTCCCCCAGCCACCACTCGCCGAGAAGCAAAAATCCACAGTGCATCAGCAGTCACTTCTTTAGCATGAGGAATGGAGTGATTTCTTATCAGGTGAAACCTCTTCCAACTGTGAACTCCTGGAAAATTTCAGGATTTGATCAAAACTATTTCTAAAAACAAAACCTGGAACTTTCAGCTGTCCTGATCCTAGACCAGGAAAGCAGGAGCAGCTTTCCACTTTGCTGCAGGAGCCTGCTTCTTTCCTGAGGCTGGTGAAGGAGGCTGTGCTCCGGAATGGTGAAAGGTGGAGGGTCACCGCCCCTGGGGAATTACCACAGTGACAGTAAAAACCACAATGACCCTCAAATGTGTCCTAACCACATGCCAGGAGCTGCTCTCACTTAACCAAAGTTCACTTCCTGTTAGCCAAGATCTTTTTGGTAGTGACAGAAACTCAACCCAGACTGGCTTGTTTGTTGTCAAGAGGAATTTAGGAACTTGAGGAAGTGAGGTCGGGCTTAAATAGTTCGTTCAAACGTGGCCAGATCAGGATCTCAGTGACGTCGGCACCTACATCTCCCTTGGACCCTCTGATCAGCAGCAATATTGTTCCAAATACCACTTCATTCATAGGATGTCTTGGTCCCTCACAGAGACCCCAGCATCTACAATTTTATCCAGTATCTACTGGGCTCTTGGAAAACAAACTAGGGAATGGATGACTGTGAAAAAGAAATGTCTTGTGCATAACAGCTTCTTGGACAACATGACATTTCCACTTGGGAACTTGAAAACCATTCTATATGCACTTGGCTCCAGCAGGAAAAGACCCAGGAAGGACTGAGCCAGAGCCTGAGGTATCTCCTCCCTAGCATTTCCCTCAGAAGCAAGGAGAAGGTTGACCCACTTGTCAGAGGAGGACCCGTCTGCTCCTTTACCGATCTGCACCCTGTCACCCATCATCCCTCTTTTTGCTCTCCGTGCATCAGCTAAGTAAGTTATTCTCCACCATTTGGCCTTCAAAGAGCAGAAGCATAAGTGTTTCAGAACAAGCCATGCAATCCACTACGAACGCTTACATCTCTAGGTGCTGTGGCTCCCTCTAATCCCCCGGTGATTCATCCGCTTTAAAATTCCCGCTTTCCTCCCACTTCTTGAAATGTAAGGAGCACCATGTCACCACGTAATCAATTCCCTAATCCCTAGTTTGAAAACTTATTTTTTAAAGGTGGTTGTTTTAAACAGAAGCAAAAAAAGAATATCACAGTGTGAAGCCATGCCAGGCCATGGAGGGAAAAAGCAACAGATGGGGATGATGGATGAGACTTTCTGCATGCTTTTTTAAAATGAGTTTTTAAGGTAACTTGCAAAATGCATCAGGGGCAGTGATGATTAATTTATGTATGTAATCTCATTCATGTGTGAAAAACAGCAGTTAGAAATCACCCAGAATAACCCGTACACAGCTTCCCTTGTTATCCAAGACTTAATAAGAGAAATCCTTGTCTGATCATTATTAGTGAAGCAGCTTTTTATGAAATATACTTCAGATCAGCAGCAAATTCAATGGCTGGAAAGTCAACAGGAAAGCAACATGTCAAAATGGATTCATCGCCTGCACTTTTAGTGCTTTCAGATCATTTTCTAATTCACCAGTGTGCTGATTTTCCATGACAATGCTCCGTGTTTGTCCACATTTAATATGAAGAAATTGAACCGATAAAAGAAAAGGAGGCTCGGACACCTTGTAGGTCAGGGAGTGTGTTATTGGCTATTTCAGTAAATAATTGCTTTTAATCTAGTTTAAAGCTCTGTAGCCCCACGGGCTTCGTTGGCTTCTTCTTGTTTGTTCTGTGATAAAGGTACACTTCACATCTTATAACACATTCGTGAAATGTCCACATTTGGGAATTAAATCACGGTTGTAGCACAGTCAAGATATTTACTTTCCAAGCTGAAGCTCCCCCAGGATGGGGACCGGCGTTGTCCCTGGCCACATCCCCAACACTGTGTTTCCAACAGAGCAGGTTGCAGCCAATAACTGCTGAATCAGTGAAATCTCCCCTAAAAGCCTCCTTCAGTGTTTTAATGACGAGTCCTTGGATTGATAAATTTGTGTAATCCCGAATTCTCCACACTGAGCTTTCCTGAAGTATCCCTGAGAGGGGGAAGCCATTTTCTCAGATCATGGGGAGAAAGCTAGGGTCGGGCTAGAAGACCAACCCTCAGCACATCAAAGAGGAGTGGCCATTTGGTTAACTTCTTCAGGTGTCTGAACACGTCATCCGAATGTAATACATTTGGATAACTATTGAAAGGTACCTCTTGTGGAGACAGGGCCAGGATAGTGGTAGGGTGGGTAGGAACTGCTCCACCTGCTCCTCTCATCAGCCACATCACAGGCATTTCTGTGTGTGCTGTTTTCTCATTTTACTCAATGTTCTCTCCACTGAATAGGGATCCAAAATCCCACACTTGGCAATGTAATGATTTTGAAAAAGCCTTTCCTCCAATTTTCCTTTCATCTATCACTGCTATCTTCCCCAACAAAGAGAGTTGGCAATTCAGCCTCAAGAAGACGCGATGTCATTGTTCTCTAGTTGGAACAGGAAGCCTCTCGCTGGTTCCCCAGAGTTGCCATGAGGACACTCTCCATGCAAATTTCATCTGGACATCAACTCAGAAATTTTTGTGCCACGTTGAGGCACAATATCCGCTGAGGATATTAAGGAAGAAAAAATAATCTCTTGATGGAACATAGAAATGAAACCTAAATGTGGCCCCGAGCTCTGAGTGCTTATGGGCATTTATCAGCAGGTTCAAGGGTGACAGTGCCTCAGGTGCAGAAGCTGTGCCATGCATTCAGAACCCTTAGTTTCATCTGAAGCTGCACACCTTAAATTCCCAGCCTTTCTTACAAAAAGTGAGGGGCAGGAACTTGGAGAGGGAAAGAGCTTTTGAGTATCTGTCCCAGTAACAAAAGATTTCGGCTCCCTTCAGGTAGCCACATCCCCTCCAAAAACAGCTCAAAACATAACTTCTGCAATACAGGAATGGAAGTCATTCCATTTACAGACCCACAGAGTCAAGAAACAAGGGCCTCCTTGGAACATGAGAGCCAGTCCTTTGGTACAGACTCTCCAGGACATCTTGGCCATTTATTAGGCAGAATTTGAAACCTGCCACTCGGCAGGGTGGGCCTGGGAAGACCCACACACACACACCCAGTCAGGGCAGCATCTGCTTCCACAGGGTGCCCAAGCCCACTTCCACTTCTTCCCACAAGTAAATTAGCTTAAAAGATTGAAGGTACATTATCTCTACTCCTAACCACAAAGACTTGGGGTTTTATGGGTTGTCAAGGCAACAATAGCAGTTTTCTCTCTGACTCTTTAATCCCGAGATTTATGTTTCCATAGTTACAAGAAATCCCTAGTTCTTCAAGGTAACATAAACTGGTCTCCCAAAACTTTCAGGGATGAGATTGTGGCCACTGGCCAAAAACCACGTACACAGGCATTGAAGACCCCTGTGCTGACCTGCTCACCATTACCCTGGAGCTGGGTTTCTGCACCCCTTCCTGTTCTTGAGGTCTCATTTGTAGTTAGGAGTGGTTCCTTTAGTTAGTTAGGCCACTCCAGGAATTTGCAAAGTTAGGAAGTTAGAATGGACCCAGGAACTGGAGCTCCCTCAAACCATCAGGCTGAATTTGTTAGAACCACTGCTGCCAAAGCCACCACAAAGAACTCTGCCAAGTCAAAGTCACCCCTTGGTGGCTGAACACAGCAATGACACAGGGTCAGGGCCCTTGGAGAAATGGAACCATCTGGAGCCCCCGGAGATGACATTCCTGGGACTTCCACTCCCAACCAGCCCCAAGCTCTGTAACATCAATTTCTACAATCCAGGAATTCATTTTTTTCTCAGAATTAACTCACACAGACCTAACCTTCCAGACATTTGTACAACTGGGCTCACAGAATTTTGTTTAGGCCAATAGGTTAATACATCATTTCTCTATAACTTGTAAGGACTTGTCGGCCTTTCCTGAGATTTTACTAGGTCAGGAGCATTCTAGCAAATAGTTCAAGATTGTTGCTCTAGAGCAGTAGAAACAAAATCATGTGTATGTGTGTACATATGTATGTGTGTACATGAGTACATGTATGGTATGCATGTGTGTACATGTATGTGAGTACATGCATGGCATGCATTGTACCTGTGTGTGCACATGCATGTATGATGTGTATGTGTGAGAGTACATGTATGGTCTGCAGATGTACATGAGTACACGCATGGTGTGTGTTTACATGTGTGTGACAGTATACGTGTGGTGAGGCTATGAGTACATGTATGGTGTGTATGTGTACGTGTGTGTAAGAGTACATGTTTGGTGAGTCTGTGTGCATGTGTGTGAGAGTACATATATGTTGTGTATGTTTACATGTGTACGAAAGTACATATGTGGTGAGACTGTGTATGTGTGTGAGAGTACATGTATGGTGTGTATGTGTATGTGAGAGTACATGCATAAAGACTGTGTACATGTGTGAGTACATGCATGGTGAGACTGTATGTGTGTGTGAGAGTACATGCATGGTGTGTATATGTGTACATATATGACAGTACATGCATGGTGTGTGTGTACATGTGTGAGAGTACATGTGTGGTATGTGTACCTGTGTATGAGTGCATGCATGGTGTCTGTGTGTACGTGAACACATGGAGTGAGGGGCGAGAGGGAGCTGACCCTAATGCATGAGTAATACTGACAGACAAAAAAGGAGTGGCCAAGCTGAGAACCCCAGACAGGAGCGCAGCAATGGGGGCTCACAGCCCAGTTCTGAAGCTCTTCCTTGTCATCAGTGACATCAACATCCTGAACAACGGCTGTGGCCTCCCTTTGGGATGAGAAGAAGGCACTGAGCAGGTGCTGAAGGGAACACAAAGACAGGGACCCCATCTCTGTGAGTTTTCTAGGTCTGCCATAACAAAGTTCCACAAACTGGGCAGCTGAAACAGTAGAAACGCATCATCTCATAGGCCTCCAGACCAAGGCCTCCAAAATCAGGGCATTGGCAGGGTCAGTTCCTTCTGAGGACTGTGAGGGGAGGATTCATGCCAAGCCTCACTCCGTGGCTTATGGACAGCCGCCTTCCTGTTCACATGAGATTTTCCCTGTATACCTAACTGGGTCCAAATTTCCCCCCGTACATGGATGGACACCAGTCATATGGATCACAGCCCACCCTACTCCAGGATAATCTTAACTTAGCACATGTGCAGTGGTCTCATTTCCAAATAAGGGCACATTCTAAGGTACTGGGGGTTAGGGCTTGAACATATGAAGTTATGAGGCACAATGCAACCTGCAACACCAACCCTGACATTTTAGAGGAAGAGATGACACCTACTACTCATTGTCCTTGACAACAACCACTATCCCATGTCCATCTGCAGAGAAACAACCAAGGCTAAAGAATGTCTCTAACGTCACACAAGCAATAAGCAGCGGACTCGGGCGTCAAACCCAGGACTGCTGGATTTCAAAGTCCTGACCTTAGGGCACAAAAAGCCAGCTGATGGTACCAGGCTATACTGGATACATACTAGAATGACACAAGGACCAGGATCTTCCTGGAACTTCAGAGCAAGGAGATTCTTTCTGAGGAGGGCAGTCAGGGAAGGCCCTTCATTTCAGGGAGGTGGTGAGATCTGGGCCAAGTCTTAGAGCAAAGTAAACCAAACATTTTTGTGCATCAAAACCTGCAATCAAGGAATTATTAAAATGAGCCACAAATTGTCTAATTATAAAACACTATTTTAGTTTATCTTAATAATAAAATAAAATTTAATAATAAGACCTATTATGCAAATGATCACACATATACCAAAGTTGAGAAAACAATAGAACAAATCCCCATGTACCTACCACCCAGCTTCAGTGATTGTTTTAGTATTTTGCCACCTCATTTATCTACCCACTCTTTTCTGGATTGTTTTATAGCAAATCCAAGACAGTGTATTATTATTACTTTTTAGCACATTGAAATATCCTTTTATTGCAATTCAAATTTTTGAAAACCAGGAAATCAAATTAATTATTATGCTCTAGCCAAATACCTAATACTACCTAATGTTTTCTCTTTTTTTTTCTTTTTTCTTTTCTTTTTTTTTTTTTTTTGAGACAGGGTCTTACTCTGTCACCCAGGCCTCCTGGGCTCAAGTGTTCTTACTGCCTCAGCCCCCTGAGTACCTGGAACTACAGGCAAGCACCACCATGCTCAGCTAATTTTTTAAAATATTTTGTAGAAGTGGGGTCTTGCTGGTTGCCCAGGCTGGTCTTGAACTCTGGCTTCCAGCAATCCTTCTTCCTCAGCCTTCCAAAGTGCTGAGATTAAAGGCATAAGCCACTGTCCGTATGTTTTCTTTACATTCTTTCAAGTTACTTTACTTCAAATTCTTGATGTTGAATTTTATCTCACTGACTTCAGGCTTTTAAAACACATGGAATACTTGAGACCAATGGATGGTTCTTTGAGTCAAATCAAAAAGTAGAGCTAAAGTATACTGAAGTTATTCAAATACATTCGAACTATACAGACCCCTTATAAATTACTGGCATCAAGGGAGGAAGGAAAAGATACAAGAAGTAAAATGTATCACTCACCATAGGTCATCAAAATTATTGGTATACAGTTTATCCTAACATACAGCAGCTTTCTCTACCTGCTCCATAAAATTACCAGCAAGAAAGAAAAGTACAAGAATAAGGTTCACAGCTGAATTAGCTTGGTGTCATAATTCCCTATTCCAGTATTCTCAGAAGGATCCCATCTATGATACATGCAGAAAATGCAGCCACATTTGAATGGTTCAGTCTTGATTCATTCTGAATTCCCTTAAGCCCAGCACTTTCTCATTCTTAAAAGGTAGGTTATTACAACCAAAAAGCAATTTTCACAACAAATCTACCTTTTGTATATTTGATCATATGTGTTAAGCAAGACAATATAAATCTCCAATTACAAAATCAATAAGAAAGGTAACTGTTCTTGCGCTTGTGGGATGAACATGAAGATATGGAAGATATGAACATGAACAGTCTGGCTGGGGGCTTTGAAGCAGTAAATATTGGAAACCCCAGCAGATTGTAAAGTGTCCAAGAGACCCAGAGCCCAACTCAAAAGTCCAATCCTCCCGTAGCCACTGTCTTTCCCAAGACAAAGTCCAAAAATCTAATTAATACCTAGCCCCTGCCTTGTGTCACACAAGAACAAATCTCTCCCTGGGCCCTGTGCGGGCCAGGCCAGAAGAGCAAGGGTGACTCAGGACACTCCATTTATTGACCTCTGAATCTAACAAAATTAAGATCTCTGCACAGTATTTTAAGAGGACCTTGACCCTGTTCTCACTGCTATGCTCACTGAAGTCAGCTCACTTGTGTTCCTGTAGCCTCTGTATCTGTAGCCTCTGCATCTGTTTTCTGAGAAGCTAAGAGGACTTCAGGTGCCCATTTCCTTCATAGTCTCACGGCACTTCTGATCATCATAGGATGCACAGGGAAAAACCCAGCAAGACCCACTAGCTTTTCCATAGGCTTAGAGAGGTGGGCCCCACAGCCAATCCAATGATGGATCCAGTCCAGTTTGAGGACAGCAAGTTTTTCTCTATGACTGTTGGGCAATGGATCATAGGAGCCCAGCTGCTCTACAAAACGGCCATCCCTGGGACACCTGTGAGCAGCCACAATGCGGTAGAAGGGCTGGTTGGTGCAGCCACCCAGGGCAAGGCAGATCGTTAAGTGGCCCCTGTAATAGGCCTTGCAGAGGGGAGTAGTGAGGTGGACCATGGTGTGGCCAGTGCGCAGCTCCTTGGAGCATCCTGCTACCCGCATGGACAAGCTCTACAGCCTTGGCGGGGCAGAGGACTGACACAGAAGGCAGCTGCAGGTGGACACTAGGCTGCACCACCCAGCCATCCAAGCCCGAAAGCCTCAACCAGATAGTGTATTATTTTAACCATCATTACTGTTAGATTACATCTCTATCAATTGAAGATACTTTTTACATAACCACAATGCTTCTATCACACCTAACAAAATTAGCAAGAATATCTTCTAACATCCAGGAAAAGAAACATTTTTCTAAGTGTCTCAAAAGTTTCTTTTTACAGTTAATTTCCTCAAATCAAGATACAGACATGGTACACATATTGCAGTTGATTGAATATGTCTCTTACATTTTTTTTTTTTAATCTAGAGACTCTCCTTCCCCACCTTAGGTCATTTCTCCTGTAGCAAGTTTCACATTCTGAATTTAGCTGGTTGCTTCCTTGTAGTGCCATTTCACTTGTTCTCCTATTCCCCACATTTCTGAAGACTGGTAGTAAGCACTAGAGAGATTCAAGCTAGATTCAAGTTCAAGTTTCTTTAAGAATATACGCGGTGCTGCGTACTTACTATTGTATCCCATCAGGAGGTGCGTAATGTTGGAATACCTCACTTCTAATGATGCTAAGATTGATAAGTGGGTTTAAGTGCTGTTAGCCTGGTTCATCCCCCTTAGATCTCCCCATTCTCTCCACTGGCTTTGTAGCTAATGGTTTCAGCAGCATCCAGGATTGTTGCCTAGATGTGTTATTTCATTAGGGATAGCAAACAGTGATAATTCTACTATTCCTTCTTCTTCCTCTTGTTTTTTGAAACAGGGTCTCACTCTGTTTCACTCCAGCCAGGCTGGTCTCACTCCAAACCAGGCTGAAGTGCAGTGGTGCAATCACAGCCCACTGCAGCCTCAACCTCCTGGCCTCAGGTGATCCTCCCACGTCAGCCTCCTGAGTAGCTGGGACTACAGGTGCATGCCACCACACCCAGCTCCTTTTTGTATTTTTTGTAGAGACAGGGTTTTGCCATATTGCCCAGACTGGTCTAGAACTCCTGGACTCAAGTGATCAGCTCACCTCAGCCTCCCAAAGTGCTGGGATTACAGCTGTGAGCCACCACACCCGGCCTCCTTCATTTATTTTACAAAGAACTTTCCCTCATCACCTTTTTACCACAAAATACAGTTGGCACAATAAGGCAGTATAAAAGCTTATTTCTTTGCTTATAAATTTTCAGAATAAGTTAGTGCCTTATCAATGTTCAGGAGCAACCAAAGAGTTGTTTTCTCATTATCACTTTGGCAATAATTGATTTGCTTCAAACAATTGCAATCATTATTCTTTTTTATTGTTCAAGTTGACCCCTCTTTGCCAGTGGAAGCCCATGGTGTTAGCTCCTACTTCCTTTTGACATGATTCCATTAATCTTTTATAGCTTTCTTGCTTTCTGGCAGAACAAAAATTCACATGTCCAACTTGCATAGGTCCTGCTCCAGACCTGGAACTGGCTATTTCTCTAAGGAACTCTGGTTCATTTTGTGGAAAATGATATTTAGAGACCATAATCTGGACATGTGATTGCTAAACACTACTGGGTTAGTCATTTCCAGGACTTTTCCATGGACAGAGTTAAAAAATACGTAAAGGATTGTCTGAGCTTCATCAGTGACAAGTTAAAAAAAAAAAAAAAAAGAAATATGTAAGGGGCTTTTGTTGTTGTTGTTTTAGAAAGGGAAAGGTAACTCATGAATTTATACTGATACATTTTATTTAAATTTTAAGATTTTAGGGCTTTATTGAACATCTTTGGATTTTATATGTACATATATTTACTTTTATACTGAAAATTTGGTTCCTAAAGTTATTAACATAATTTCCACTTACTTTAACCTACATTATCATATAATAGTTTCAAAACAGCAATGCCAATATTATTACTTAAAATAAGGCTTTTGAATACTAGTTAAGATTTTTTTTTACAGTTCCCTTGGTCTTAAGGATTATTCTCCCAGGGATAAACAGTTCAAATACTGTGTTTAAAAGTCATTTGAAATAATTTTTTGTGTGTGCAATTGAGCACCATTTTAACATTCACCTAGATTCACTTATTACAATTTGTTTTCAATTTTTAAGTGTTGCTATTTTTTAATTTTCATGTTTAACTATGTGAAATATGTACAGGGCTCCAAAGCCAATTCTATAAAATGAGGTACCTTCTCACATGTCTCTTTCATGTCTGCCTCCTTCACCCAATTTCCTCCCCCCATCTAGGTATCCATGTTAAGTAATTTTTTGGTTTATCTTTTCATTCTTTTATAAAAATTCTTTATATACATTCATATTTTAAAATATATTGTAATATATTAATGTATTTAAAATATATTTAATGTTTTAAATATTATTTATTTAAATATATTAAATATTTATAAATATATATTTATATATTAAGTATATATTTAAAATGTATTCTAATATATATTTAAAAGAATAAAACATATTCTTACATAGAGAATAGAATATATATATGTTCTCCCCTCGTTACACAAAAGGAGACTACTATTAATGCTATCCTACACCAGGTTTTTTCCCAATTAACGATATACACTGGAAGCTACTCCATATAAATATATGAAGATATTCATCACTTTTTTTTACAACTGTATAGTACCCTACTGTTTGGATTTACCATAGTTTACTCAGCTTGTCCACTATTGATGGACATTTGGTCATTTCCTACCTTTCTCTCTTACACATAATACATTAAGAGTTGTTGTGTCTTATGAGAAAAATGCACATTTTTATTACTTAGCTATGGTTGAACTAAAGGATGCCAGTGGGAAGAACTATTCCCATTTTCCCATGAAAATTCACTATTTGGAGAAATTAGAGAGGTGACAAAAGAATGGCAGCTGGCTTTTGGGAGGCAACAGCTCAGACTTTAGAATCAGTAAGACCTGAGTTCAAATCCTGACCCCACCATGTCCCAGCTATAGGGTTCTGAGCAGGTGACGTTACCTTTCTCATCTTTGAGTACAGCAACTGTAAAATGGGGAATTATAGGACTATCTACTTCGTGCTAGTATTTTCTGTCAAGAGTAAATGAGATATCCCACATATAGCCTTGACCACATAGTAAGTGCTTTGTACATTTAGCTATAATTTCCAGCATCATTTTTTTTCCTAATTTTTGAATCTTTCATCACAAAACGAGGAGGGCCCAGATGAATAAGGGGGCTGTTCTAAGCAAGGGAAAGGCAGACACCCCTGACATGCAATTGGGATCAACATCTCACCCCCCTCAGCTGGCTGAAAAGGTTCAGGTAGGGAAGTAATAGGTCAATGGCTAAGTGTTCCCCAAAGAGAATTTACTCACTCTGCTCTTATTTTAGAAGTAGAAACACCATCACCACCTTCTTTATTCCTGCAGAAATAGGTCTAAATAAAGACTGACCTTGTCCTGCAGTTTCTTGGCTTGCAAAAATCACTGGTCATCTCCAGTCCTCCACACCCCTTCCTCGGCTAACCAGTCAAAGCCAAAATCCTGAGTTAATGGGGGCAGATGTCTGTCCCTGACTTAATTCCAGGCCAAGCCACACTCACTCAGAGCCCAGTGGAGCCTGTTCACCCACAACCCTGACCTCAGAGCAGTTGTGAAGCTCCAGCTCAGGAACATGTAACTTTCCAAGAAAGAAAGTTGGTTCCTGCCAAGAAAGAACATCAAGTTGTCCCCTCAACTGACCTCCAGGAGTACTGGCATGGAGCTGTGGTCATGAGGAGATGCTGGCCCAAGCCAAAGGAAAACGTGTTTCCATTGGTTCGCATGATCCTGCAAAATGCCTCTAGGGCTTTGAGCAGGGCCTTTGGAGCCTTCAAGGTCACCACACAATCAAGAAGCCACCATGGGCACAGCAGTGTCCCAGGCTCAACAGTGCAACAAGAATATAGTCATTCATACAGGGAAAGGGTCTTGTTGATTGAATCCCCAACGTCAGGTGACCCCTAAGTAATTAGTCCAAGCCAGGCCTTACCAGCAACTGGTTGACAAAAGGACATGTGACCTAGCCTGACATGGCTGGGGAAGTCTGGGAAATATCCCCTCTACAAATGCTTATCTGAAATGGAAGCTGCCATCTTGCTTCCTGACCGAAGTTGAAGCTAACACATCCTGGAGGGCATGAGCAAAGCTAAGGCCCTAACTCCGAAGCCTGGAGCTGACCCACCTATGGACTTCCTGTTGGCCAAGAAGATAAATTCCCTTACAATTTCAGCCAATTTAAGGATTTCTGTTACTTAAAGTCAGGGGTCAGGGAGAGGAACAAAGTAAGAGTTCCCTGCCCTCTGACACACGAGGAATTCAGACAAGGAAGCAGGCAACTACCATTTAGCTACTATGCTGTGAAGGAGGGGATGCTTTCAGTGCTCACAAGCTAAGCTGAAACCTTATAAAGAGACAGTTAATTTCCTAGCCATTCGCCTTGATATCTATGTTTGGTTGGATAGTGCCCCTCCAAAATTCATGTTCTTCCTGGAACCTCAGAATGTGACCTTATTTGGAAAGAGGGTTATTGCAGATGTAATTAGTTAAGGTTACATAGAAGTAGGGGAGGCCCTAATCTAATATGATTTGCATCCTTATCAGAAGAGAAGATACAAGACACACAGGGGAGAGGGTCAGGTGCCAATGGAGGCAGAGATTGGAGTGGCACAGCCGTAAGCACAGGAGCAGCAGGTGTTGCTGGCAGCCTCCAGCAGCTGGGAGACAGGTCTGGAGCAGACCCTTCCCCACAGCCTTCAGAGGGAGCACAGCCCTGCCTACACCTTGATTTCAGACTTCCAGCCTCCAGAACTGCAAAGGAAACCATTTCCGTTGTTCTAAGCCTCCCAGTTTGTGGCCATTTGTTAGGGATGCCCTGGGAAATGAATACAGCTCCTTCTTTAACAGACCACATTTTTTTAAAGAAAAACTGATACATTTAATCATAATTTAAAATATCAATCCTTCAAAAGACATCAGTAAGAAAATGAATAGGCAAGTCATAGACTCATAGAAAATGTCTATACTATACCTGTCTGATTCAGGAACAATTAAGGGATTATTATGAATTTGTAATAAAAAGACAGCCCAATAAAAATAGGTAAATGTCTCGAACAGAACCTTCACAAAAGGAAGTACATGAATGGTCAAAAAGTACATCAAAATGTGCTCAACATCATTAGGTTACAGGAAAATAAAAATTAAAACCACAGTGTTATACAATTTTATAGACACTAGAGTGAATACAATTTTAAAAATTGACAGCACTGGCTGGGCATGGAGGCTCATGCCTGTAATCCCAGCACTTTGGGAGGCCAAGGCAGGCGGATCACTTGAGGCCATGAGTTCGACACCAGCCTAACCAACATGATGAAACCCCATCTCCACTAAAAAATACAAAAATTAGCCAGGCATGGGGGCGCACGCCTATCATCCGAACTACTCGGGAGGCTGAAGCGGGAGAATCACTGGAACCCGGGAGGCAGAGGTTGTAGTGAGCCAGGATTGTGCCACTGCACGCCTGCCTGGGCGACAGAGCGAGAGTCTGTCTCAAAAAAAAAAAAAAAAAAAAAATGACAGCAGTAAATACTGGCTAAGATGTGGGCCAAGTACACCTCCCACATATTGCTGGTGGGGATGTAAAATAACACAACCATGTTGGGAGAACTCTTCTGGATATATTGTGAGGCAAAGACAAGCAAGATGGAGAAAAGGATGTACAATATGCTCCATTTATTTTTTAAAAGGTAGTAAAGTCATAAAAATCTATTTTACAAAATGCCATGAATGGGACATGAGAAGCTCCACTTCTCTGAATATACTTTGCAGAACCATATTTAGAGTAATGGGAGGAAGAAAGGACTATGTGCTCAGCTGAAAAAGGAAAAACTACATTTCCCAGCTCTCCCTGCAGAGCTGTGCCACAGTTCTGGCAGATGAGAGGTAAGCAGCAGCGGCCAGGTGGATGGACCTCAAGGTAACCTCCTTAAAAGACGCTTGTGGTCCTTGCGGGTTTGCCCCCTACCTTTCCTCTTCTTCCTGCCTGAGTCCAAAACTTGATGGTTGGAGCCGCAGCGGACATCTTGCAACACAGAAAGGCGGGGGAAAGGTCAGGAATGTTGCAAAGCCCTTGGACCAGGTGTCTGCACACCATCCTCAACTGTCTACCCTCAGACTTCTTTTTGCGAGAGAAAAAAGTCAACCCCTATCTTGCTGAAGTTTCTCCTATTTGGATCTTCTGTGACACGCAATCAGCTGAGTCCCTAACAGACACCCACCCGACAGATGAGTAAGAGTCACGTCAATGACCAGAGAAGAGAACATGTCTTGGGCAGAAGATGCTGTGTGTGCAGAGTCCCAGATTCAGACAGTAGCCTGATGCATTCGACCAAGGTGTTCAGATGGTGGCACAGGATGGAAAAGACATGTTGAAGAGGGATGAGAGCCAGAGAGGACAGCAAGGATCAGACAGGGGAGGGTGGGATAGTCACTGGCAGGGCCCTAACTCTTCAACTGGGAGGCTCAGCGCTCTCCAGCCAACCGCCATGCCTTTCTTCATCCCAGGGCAGGGAGAATCCAGAACCAAGATTCCACATTTGCCCATTGTGGTTTTGTCCTTAATGGTAAGCATGGGAACTTTCAAAGCAGAAGCTGGATCCCTGTTTTGTGAATTGAGTTGAATTATGGTGTAGAAGGAATTATGATGTAGAATGTGGCTCTAGGGTTTGAACTCAAGGAAAACATCCTCCTCTTCAGAATAAGGGATGGGTGGGGGGCTGATCTTACCTCCTAAGAAGTCAAATGCATCACTGAGGTATCCCTGTTGACCTGCAGATAAAAAGAAGCTCACTGCAATTAGGGCAATTAGGGAATTGAGCTGCTAGACAAAGAGAGTGAATATTCTGGGCCACAGCAAATTCACCTTAGACCTGAAATCTGATCTCGCTGTCTCTGAGGTTTCCAAGCGGTAACTTGGCTCCCTCACCCTGCTCAGTCTGATCCTCAAAACCCCAGGAAAATAACAATAACCAAAAAGGGAGGAAAAAAATAAACGAAGAAACAAATCAAATGAAACTATAACAGGTTTGTGATAAGATCCAGAGAGAAGCTGAGGCCAGGAGAGAGCAAAAGCCCTTAACAAATCATAAATGGCCAGCTGCTCTTGATAAGCCAGCCATCCAAGAAGCCATGTCCATCCACCAGTTTCGAGTTCTCAGCTCTCCAAAAATTAAATCTCTGCACCAAACCTATATCCTGGCAGCCACAAGTGTGGGCCAAAGGACATCCACCTTCACCCAGTTGGGATCACGTGGCTAAGTCAAGAGGCCTGCCAAGAGCTGTGCATGGAAGGACAGGATCACAGGAATGGCCAGAGCCATGATGCCCCGGGGAAGAATGCTGGAGAACTCTAGGGCTTTCCACATCAGAGAGTCCCCTGGGAAGGGCAGTGGGAGGCTGGTGAGAGAAGAATGAACCTTCCCTCCCCTAAGCACTTTCCAACGCAAGGGCAGCCCCAGCCTGCTGTTTTCCCAGTGAGCTTTGCTGCCTTTTTATTTCATTATAATAGCCTCCTGAAGAAAACACATACAAATATAATGCTCTTGGTTAGGACTGAGTTAGACATTATCCTGCAGAATATTATAATAAAGGCAGGGATTATTTATATGCTAAAGAAAAGTTCAAAATTATTATATTCATCACCGCAGGTAACTTCGGTAAGACATGATTGGCAGGTTGGTTTCATTTTTCATCAAGACCAAGTGGATGTTGCAGAAAGGAGAGGCTGCTGCCCTGTAACAGAAAGGCACAAGACTGGGGCAGGAAGTCTCTGGAACTGTCTCTCGACCTTGGCAAAGTGGACATTTGTTGTGGGGCCATCCCATGCACTGCAGGGTGTTCGGCAGCATCCCTGACCTTCATTCCCTGAATGCCTATGACATCCTCTCCAAAGCTGTGACAACCAAAAATGTCCCTAGACATTGCCAGATGTGCCCTGGAGGGCAGAATCAGCCCCATGGAGGACCACTGACTTAGAAGAAGCCAGCTCTGTTATGTACAAGCAGCCTAACCTTTAGCAAATCCCTTCCCCTCTCAGCCTCAAGTTCCCCATCTGAAAAGAGCCCCATGTCTGCCCAGCTGGCTCTGAACTTTCGAGAAGGTCAAATGAGGTCATCACGGGAAATTGCTTTTAAACCTCTGAAGTTCTGTATCTATAGAGGTTGGGAGGTCTGTCACTTGCTACCTGAAAAGTTTTTAATATCTATAGTTACTCATTTTTATCCTGAGTGCAAACTTGGGTTCCTAGAGCAGAGCTCAAACTGACTACTCACAGCAGTAACTGTGCTGATTTCCCGTGCCCCGTGTCCTACAGGGACCCACTGAGAACCAGCTGTCACCCTTCATGGACAGGATCTGTATGGCAGGAGAAGAACCCCAAAATTATGAATCTAGGAGCTTATACATGACAGCTTATGGACCTCTCCCATCCTGAGAGAGAAAGAGACAGAGAACCCTTTGCTCCCCAATGTCTTAAGGCCCTTTGGAATATAAATAATTCATTTAGGAAGAGGAAGTGGGAGGGCCCTATCCCAGGATGAATATATTTGGCTCACTCCTGGAATGGAAGCCCACGGCTCTAGGTCTAACACCCTTTAACTTCCAAAGTTTGTTCATCAGCCCAGGTGCCAGTAATGTTGCCTTAGACAGTTCAAATGACACAGAAACGAAAACACTTGCTTCTTCATACCAAAGCCAAAAATCTGGATATTTTCTTTGGTTCGTTCCTCTCCATCATCCCCTCCACCCCATCCCATTCTACCTCAAGGCATGTTTTGTATCTGTCTGTCTTGCTTTGTCTCCTGACACTTCCTTAGTTGGGGGCACGACCTGCGACAGCATCCCTGATGTCTTGCTAACTCCTCTCCACCCTGACTCCATTGGCTAACAAAAGTCACGTTGCTTCTCTATTGAACATTTTCTGTGACTCCCCAGCACCTCATCATTGACCAAGCATGCAAGGAGTGCACCAAAGGTGCCACTCAAGATGGTTTTGGGTAGTGCACAGATAAACATTTTTAATTTTAATTTTTCCAATTGCTACTTTCATGGCAGGTAAGCCTGGTCTTCCATTTACAGCTATACTACAATGCTTCCTTCTGAAAATACATGCATTTATTTTCTAAATGCTAAAAGGTGAATTTAAATAGAAACTTTAAATAAATAATTGAATGGGAAGATTTTAATTTCTGCAAATATGGTAAAAATGTATGAAAGACAGAAGCTTGGGGATCACTGACCTACAGTTAAGAGTGACAACATCTTTGCCTATGAAAGCTTCTTCATGCCTATGGGAGATGCCTTCCTTCCTCCCTGATTTCATCACCCGTCACTGCTCTTTCACTGCAACTGCTATCCTCTACCACACACACCCTTCCCTTTGGACAAGAGAATGTTTAGGGAGTTCTTTTACTTGATAAGCTCTCCACCTCCCTATTTTATTAAAATGGGCTTCCAGGGAAATTTATGCAAACAGTATGTATCACTACCTAAAATTTTAAGTATCTTATGCTTCTTGGTTCATTGACTGTCTCTTCACTAAAATCTAAGTGCAGTGTCAGCAGACACCAGGCCTGTTTCCCCCACTGTATCTGAGTATCTAGAAGCATGCCTGGCACAGAAGAGATATTCATTCAATGTTGAATCCGATTAGACTATAGCTCCCAAACATGTCAGTCTGCTTTCCATGAGTATGACAATCACAGCAACATTTCCTCTGCCCAGAACACTCTCTTCCTTACCTTCCTGGTAAACTCCTACTCATTCTTCAAAACACTTCTCAGACATCACCTCCTCTATAAAACTTCAGAGTTAGGTGTACCCTTCTCTTTCTCCCTAACACCGTGAGTATACTGATAACAACAACAACACCATCACGGTTTTTCAAGTAGTGATGATTCATGAAGCATTGAGCTAAGCACATTACATTTGATAACTCATGTAATCCCCACAAGGAAACTGGAACTATGAATATCCTCATTTTACAGAGGAGGAAACCACGGCTTAGACAGGTTAAATCACATGACCAAGACCACAAAGACATTAAGTGGTACAACAAGGATTTGAACCTACAGAATCAGGCTCTGGTACCGACAGAGGCAACTGGTTTTCCACACACTGGCCATGGTCAATATTGTACTGCAGGGTAATCATGGTTTACTTCTTTGGGTTCTTTACACAACAGGAAACTCCCAGCAGGAAGGAGCCTTGTGTTACTTCATTCTGTAGCCTTATTGCAGAAGATGTAAGGAGGTTGGAGTGACAACTTTCAAGCTAACAACAAATACAAAGCTGGACAAACTGAAAAATCAAACTCTTAGATCCATAAGAGAAGTGAGGTGAAAGAGCAAAGTGCTGCCCTCAAAACTGGGGAGTCAGACAGGCAGATACAGAAATGTCAACCTATTGGAGCAGATACCTATAAGCAGAAACCTCTACCATGGGAACCAATACTAGAAATCCTGAACTGTATGTGACAAATTGCTAGAGACTCAGTGTAGACAAGTCTGAGAGTAAAGAACTCCAGAAGGACCCAAACTTTTATGAGTTTTACCTCCAAGAGCTGGACCAGTTTCTCACAGTCAAGAGTGGAGAAAAATCCCCTTATGTTTCCATCAGGGGAAGGAAAAAAGTAAACATTTAAAATACTCTAGAGCATTATGTTCTTCTTAACAAGGTCTGCCCTCAAGAGAAACTATTTAACCAGAGCCTAACAAGCTAGGGTCTTATCAGAGCCTAACTGACCTGCGGGAAGGGATATAACCAACTCCAGCCAACTCTAGCCTTCCACGTGGGAGAAGGGAAACACCCAACTCCAACTGGCTCTAGTCCCCACAGGGAGAAAGGGAAATACCCAACTCCGGCACGTTCTAGCCATCCTGTCCCATATAAGGGAGACCAAAAAAAAAAAAAACAAGAAACACTTGAGAAGCTCACAGTCCCAGGGCACAGGCTCACTAGAAGACTATGGCCTAATCAGAAAAGTACAGAAGGCTTCCCCTCCCCGTAGCTTACCACCACAGTACTAAAGGCCTATTTATAGCACTGCCTTTTACCCAGTACATCATGTCCAGCTACCAAGAAAAATTACAAGGCATACTAAAAGGCAAAAAAAAAAAAAAAAAAAAAAACAAAAAAAACACAATGTAAAGAGGCAGAGCAAGCATCAAAACCAAACTCAGATATGTCAGGGATCTTAGAGTTATACTGGGAATGGAAAACAACTATGATTAACATGCTAAGAACTTTAATGGATAAAGTAGACAGCATGCAAGAACAAGTGGGTAATGGAAGCAGAGAGATGGAAATTCTATGAAATAATCAAAAGAAATGCTAAAGATCAAAAACACTGTAATAGAAAGAAAGAATACCTTAGGTAGGCTTATTAGTAAACTGGACACAGCTGAGGAAAGAATCTCTTAGCTTGAGAATATTACAATAGAAACTGCAAAAACTGAAAAGCAAAGAGAAAAAAAGGACTGAAAACAAACAGAACAAAATATCTTAAAACTGTGGGACAACTACAAAAGGTATAATTATACATAATGGGAACACCAGAAAACGAATAAAGACAGAAAGGAGCAGAAGAAATATTGGAAGCAATAATGACTGAGAATTTTCCTAAATTAATGTCAGACACAGATCTTATACCCTTCACAAAAATTAACTCAAAATGGATCACAGACATAAGTGTAAAATGCAAAACTATAAAACTCCTAGAAGATAACATAGGAGAAAATCTAGATGACTTTTATACAATACCAAAGTCACTTTTCATGAAAGAAACAAAGGTGAGGTCTTTCCCCACAAAGCCAGGCAAAAAAAATCTGATTAGCTGGGCTTCATTAAAATTAAATTTTCTGTTCTGCAAAAGACACTGTCAAGAAAATGAAAAGATATGGAGTCACAGACTAGGAGAAAATACTTGCAGAAAAACGTACCTGATAAATGTCTCTTATCCAAAATATACAAAAACAGTGATATCAGCAAGATGGCCTCATGATAACCATAAAGCAAAAACCTATAACAGATACACAAAAGCATCCAAATTGGAAAGGAAGAAGTTAAACTGTCTTTCTTTGTACATGACATGATCTTATATATAGAAAATCCTAAAGATGCCATAAAAAATCTGTTAGAAATAATAAAGAAGTTCAGTAGAGTTACAGGATACAAAATTAACATGTAAAAAGTAGTAGCATATCTATACGCCAACAACGAACTATCTGAAAAAGAAATTTAAAAAATCGCATTAAAAATAACGTCCGATTATCAAAAAGTCAAAAAATAAAAGATGGGCCAGGTGCTCTGGCTCACGCCTGTAATTCCAGCACTTTGGGAAGCTGAGGTGAGTGGATCACCTGAGGTCAGGAGTTTGAGACCAGCCTGGCCAACATGGTGAAACTTCATGTCTACTAAAAATACAAAAATTAGCCAGGCGTAGTGGTGTGCACCTGTAGTCCCAGCTACTCAGGAGGCTGAGGCAGGAAAATCACTTGAACCCGGGAGGCAGAGGTCGCAGTGAGCCGAGATCACGCCACTGCACTCCAGCCTGGGCAACAGCAAGACTCCGTCTCGAAAAATAAAATAAAACAAAAAAATAGATGCTGGCAAGGTTGTGGGGAAAAAGAAATGCTTACACACTGTTTGTGGGAGTGTAAATTAGTTCAACCATTGTGGAAAACAGTGTGGTGATTTCTCAAAGACATAGAACCAGAACTACCCATTCAACCCAGCAATCCCATTACTGGGTATGTCCCTAAAGGAATACAAAATCATTCTATCATAAAGACACACACATGTGTACGTTCATTGCAGCACTATTCACAACAGCAAAGACATGGAATCAACCTAAATTCCCATCAATGATAGACTGGATTAAGAAAATGTTGTACAGATGCACCATATAATACTATGCAGCCATGGAAAAGAATGAGATCACGTCCTCTGTAGAGACATGGATGCAGCTGGAGGCCATTATCCTTAGCAAACTAATGCAGGAACAGAAAACCAAATACCACGTGTTCTCACTTGTAAGTGGGAGTTAAATGATGAGAACACATGGACACACAAAGGAAAAAAATCCACGTTGGGGTCTATCAGAAGGTGGAGGAAGGAGGGAGAGGATCAGGAAAAATAACTAGTGAGTACTAGGCTTAATACCTGGGTGATGAAATAATCTGTACAACAGACCCCCAGGACACAAGTTTACCTATACAACAAACTTGCACATGTACCCCTGAAATTAAAATAAAGGTTAAACAGGGAGATGTTGCTCAAGGGGTACAAATTTTTTATTAGACAGGAGGTATCAGTTCTGGAGATCTATTGTACAGCATGATGACTATAGTTGATAGTAATGCAACGTATATTTGACAATTGCTGAGAGAGTAGGTCTTAAATGTTCTCACCATAAAAAGTGATAAACATGTGAGGTGATGAATGTGTTAATTACCTTGATTTAATCATTGCGCGATGCATACGTACATCAAACATTACATTGTATGCCATAAATCTGTACAATTTTTCATTTGTCAATAAAGCTTAAAATGAAAAAATATAGATAAACAAAGAACTCTTAGAACTCAACAGAGGCTGGGAGCGGTGGCTCATGCCTGTCATCCCACACTTTGGGAGGCCGAGGCGGGTGGATCACCTGAGGTCAGGAGTTCCAGACCAGCCTTACCAACAAGGTGAAACCCTGTCTCTACTAAAAATACAAAAATTAGCCGGGCGTGGTGGCAGGCGCCTGTAGTTCCAGCTACTCAGGAGGCTGAAACAGGAGACTTGCTTGAACCCGGGAGGTGGAGGTTGCAGTGAGCCAAGATCCTGCCACTACACTCCAGCCTGGGCAACGAAGTGAGACTCCATCTAAAAAAAAAAATAATAAAAAAAAATAAAACTCAACAGTAAGAAAACAAACATCCTGATTAAACAATAGACTAAAGACTTTATCAGATACCTCAATGAAGTTCTATAGATGACAAATAAGCACATGAAAGGATGATCCACGCCAAATGTCATTAGGGAAATACAAATTAAAACAGTAATAAGATACCACTACATGCTTCTGAGAATGGCCAAAATCCAGAACACTGACAATGCCAAATGCTGGTGAGGATATAGACAGAAACTCTCATTCACTCCTGGTGGGAAGCAAAATGGCACAGCCATTTTGGAAGACAGTTTGGCAGTCTCTTACAAAACTAAACATACTCTTACCATACAATATGGCAATTGTGCTCCTTGGTATTTACCCAAGAGTTGAAAACTTATGTCCACACAAAACCTGCTCACGGATGTTTACAGCAGCAGCTTAACTGCAAAAACTTGGAAGTAACCGAGATGTCCTTCAGTAGGTGAATGGATAAACTGTGATACATTCAGACAATGAAATATTATTCAGTGCTAGAAAGAAACGAGCTACCAAGCCATGAAAAGACATGGAAGAAACTTAAATGTATATTGCTAAGTGAAAGAAGCCAATCTGAAAGGCTACATACTGTATGATTCCAACTACATGACATTCTGGAAAAGGCAAACTATGGAGACAGTAAAAAGATCAGTGGTTGCCAAGAATTAGCAGGGGGAGAGGGAGGAAAAGCTGGAGCACGGGACTTTTAGGACAGTGAAACTACTCTGTATGACACCGTAACGGTGGATACATGTCACTATGAATTTGTCCAAATCCACAGGATGTACACCCAGAATAAAACCGAATTTAAACCATGGACCTTGGGTGATAATGATGTGTCAAGGTAGCTTCATCAATTGTAGCTAATGTATCACTCTGCTGGAGAATGTTGACAGTGGCGGAAGCTGTGCCTGTGTGGAGCTAGAGGTATATGGGAAATCTCTGTACTTTCTGCTCAATTTTGCTATAAACCTGAAACTGCTGTAAAAAATAAAGTCTACTTCTTTTTTTTAAAAAAAAAAAAAGAAACAGCCAATATCAGCTTATAAACGAACCAAAACCAAAAACATCCAACAGGCAAGCATTAATAGCCATATGAGCACAAAGTTTTCAAAGTTGTTTGCCATTTCTGATCTCATCCAAGGACGTCAAATACTGGGAATGTAAATTAACTGTGGATGGAAGTTAGAGAGGAGAATTCACTGGACTGAGAATGGCAAACAAGCAAAAACAACAACAAGAATATAATCTGTCCCCAAGCACTGCAGCCAAAATCACACAGGAAAGGATTACGTTTTACAGTTGACTTACCTGCCCAGAAATTCAGCCCATAGCTAAATAGAAAGAAGAAACTGGGCTATTTACTCCTAAATATTTTTTAAAGACCAGATTTTCATCCTATAAGGTATGGCAAGGAGAGATAACAAGTTGAATTTCCACTCTGGTAACTGACTCTGGAAGGAGAGAAACATTTATTTTTATCAGTTTCTCTCTTGCTCATGATAGTGTTTCTGAGGTTGGTGGTAGAAGCTTATAGATATCCAGTCATGAGGCATGGTAGTCCCTAGTTGCCATCCAACACCATGTGAAAATTAGAATTATTCCATTCTGCGGAATTGATATCACACCTTGTCTCTGGAGAGCTCTAGGCAGCATTCAAATTACATTTAAACTCCAAATTAAACTTTTAACTATAAAAAATAAGGGGATAAACAAGAGAGAATCGTATTATAATATTATATTAGTTAAAAAAATGGCTGAGAGAAGGAAGTGGATTTTCCATATTGCCATTAAGCTAAACACGCCATGATTTCCATTAGAGCCACAGGAAGCACACGGCCCATTTAGCATCAGTCTTCATCAGCGTCCTGTTCTCTCACTGGCTTTTATTAAGGACCCGTGGATACCAGCCACTCTCCAAGTCAAGTCACTAGAAAGTAAATTCCTGTACAAGTTTTCCTAACAGTGACTAATGCAGACCTACAATTTCTTATTTTCCAAAAGACATGTTAAATGAGAATAGAAAAAGGCATCTAGCCAAGTTGAGAATAGGCCCTTCATTGACTTGCTTCTTTGCTTTTCATCTAGATGTTCTGGCTTGCAAGCCCAAAGCCTGGTTGGACTGATGTGCTGAACAGGAGTTTCCTTTTCCCTCTCAGGTCTCTCTCCTCTCCTCTCATTCCTCCAGAACCTCTCTCCCTCCCCAAATGCAAAGGCCATAGAACTGTTTCGAGCTACTGGGGATTTTTAGGCAGTACTGTATTGGAAAAGAATAAAGGACACATTTAAAGGAGAATTTGGTCTCAGGGCTGATTTATGTAAAATAATAAATGGTGCCACTTGGCTGTTTATAGAGTTAGAGATAAAATTAGATTCTAGACAGTCCTTCCTTGTGCACATAGGGTAACTCTGATGGATTACTGCCTTCATATGACTTAGGATAACAGCCGCTCATGGAAATTTACAAGGGGCTCCTTGAGAACACATTTTACAGCCACATCCAATAATTCAGAGGATATTTTGGGCTTCCAAAATGACTCAAATTTAATCTGGGAATAATGCTCGAAAAGAGTAAGCTGATGAAAAGTACCAAGTAGTAGGCCGGGCGTGGTGGCTCATGCTTGTAATCCCAGCACTTTGGGAGGCTGAGGCAGGCAGATCACCTGAGGTCAGGAGTTCGAGACCAGCCTGGCCAACATGGTGAAACCCGGTCTCTAATAAAAATACAAAAATTGGCTGGGCTGGTGGTGTGTGCCTGTAATCCCAGCTACTTGGGAGGCTGAGGCAGAAGAATAGCTTGAGCCTGGGAGGAGGAGGTTGCAGTGAGCAGAGATCGTGCCATTGCACTCCATCCTGGGCAACAGAACGAGACTTCGTCTCAAAAAAAAGAAAAAAAAAAGACAAGAAAAAGAAAGAAAAGTACCAAGTAGTTAGCAATTGTGAAAAGTTACTTCACTCCCCAAAGCTAAACAGAAATCATTTCTACCCAACTTTGCCCCAGTCTCACCTTCACTGGCCCACTCTTATACTGGTCACCCTTAAAAAATAATAATAATAATAATAATAAGTAAAAAGGAGAGCAGGCAGTGACTGTGGGACCTGGAAAGATGAACATTTCATCAGCTGGCCAAGAAGAAAGAAGTTTGGGTTGTAGAGAGCTATCGCCTTTGATCGTGGACGTTTCATTTTTTATAAGAAGTCGGAAATCATACTGGCTCGACTGTCAGTATCTGTCTAGGCTTTAGAGTCTTTTTGACCCAGAGATAGGCTGCCCTCTAGCAACAGTCAGTTGTGGGAATCCTTTCATTTATGTAACAAGTGTTTATTGGACAACTACTACGGCCCTGGCACTTTGCTAGTGGTGAGCCACAGATGGGAATCAGGAGTAGTCCATGCTCAAAATCAGTCTATAAAGCAGAATGCAAAGTGCTCTTATGGGGGAAGGTAGAAGGGAAGAGGATGCTCTCCCAGAGTAAGAGGTGGCTAACTGAGACCTTAAGGAAGAGTCAGCTTGGCAGGCAAAATTTTGGGGTGAGGATGGGAGTAGGCGGCACAGAGGTAGTATTAGGAGAGGGCTGGGTTGATGGATTTCAGGCAAAAAAAAAAAAAAAAAAGGAAGAAGACTTTGATGACTAGACTGTAAAGTGAGAGAGGGAGAAGGGTGAGTAAAGAGGCTGAAGAATCAAGACCTGATAAAAGGCCTGGCGGGAAATCATCTGTAGGAGCTTGGACTTCACAGCAGCATTCACAGGATACCACCAGATGCAGCTTTAGGAAGACACGCCCTGGTGCTCAGTGTTTGGCTGGGGGTGTGTGGGTCAAATTGCAAACAGGAAGGCCAGAAAAAGAGTCCTTGCTGTGATTCAGGTGACAGTCAGTGACGGCCTAGACCATGATGGGAGACAGACCACAGGAAAGGTTCCAGCTATACTTAGAAGGCAGAACACACACAACTTGGTGATTGATTGGCCAGGAGACTGAAGGAGAAGGAGAGGCTGAGATGATGCCTGGGGTATGGCCCAGAGTGGTGGAGAATTTACTGAGACCAGCACACAAGAGAAAAAGATTATGGGGACTGGGCACGAGAACAGTTTTGGAGAGATTGGACTTACGAGTTTACAGGGCACAGCCAGGTGGAGATGCTTCAGGAAGAGTCTGCAGCAAGTGTGCGAGTTTCTGCGCTTTTCCTCTACCCCTCAGCCCAGGGAGAAGAGAATAAACCATTAGGTTATCAGGTAGGTTTTAAAGAGCTTAAGACAACCATGTTCCCGGAAGCTTTACGAGTAACCCGGAAACAGCAAGGTGACCAGAAAAAAATCTACCTGGACCAGCAGCAGAGCAGGCTCAATGAGAGTAAGGAGGCGGGGCCTCCGTGTGAGGGGCAGGACTTCTGGTGAGGCCAGCTGAAGCCTTTTGCCAGCCTGGAGGTGGGAAATGCTGGGACTCTTCACCCCTCTGAGTGTTTGATGGCAGGTGGTGCTTGGGGCCTGCCTGCTCAGCCACAGTTTGAAGCAATTATGCTGAAAATGGAAAAGTTCACCGCAGCCTTTCACGTCTGCGGCCCTCAATTCCCTGGCTTAGAGGGGCAGTGTGTGAATATGCTGGCAATTGTGCAGGTCCTTGGGATCCTGTTCCAAGACTGTCTCTGTTTTCTCCCATCCGCAGCTGAGCAGTGCCCCGAGCCTAATGCTTTTTCCCAGTGGAAGCTCCAGGCTTCAAGCTATCTCTCTAGTGCCTAAGGCCAACATGGAACAATAGAAATTCAATGTAAGTACGTAAAATTAAGTAAAAAACGTACGTAAAAAAACGTAAAATTATGTTTGTAACTTTAAATTTGTTAGCGAATATATTTTTAAAGGTAAAAAAATGCAAAATTAATTTTAATGATGCATCTTAATGAACCCACTATATCCAAAATATTTTCAAGTTATCAGGATTTTTTTTTTCTGTGTATTAAATCTTCAAACCAGTGTATACTTTACACTTAAAGCACATCTCAATTTGAAGGAACCGCATATCCAGGGCTCAACCACATGTGGCTCTGGGAACCCGTGTTGGGCAGCATAGCTCTTGCTAGGCCATCAGACCCAGACCTTCACCCCAGAGCCGATAGCTAATAATAACAATAATAGCTAACATGGATTGAACTCTGACTGTATACCAGGAACCATGATGAGCATTCTGCATGCCATGTAATGTTATGATAAAGCCATAGATTCCTAAGCTACGGTTCTAGCTCCACCACTCACTAAATTAGTCCAGTTATTCAACCTCTCTATGCCCCAGCTTCTCGCTGTAAAGTGAGAATGATAATAAAATTTGCTGCTAGAATTGTTGAGATAATTAAATTGGTAATTATATGTTAAGCGCCTAGAACAGAGCCTGCATTAGTAAATTCTATATGTTTTTGCTGTTACTCTTACCCTAGATTACACAGCTTCTTAAGAGGTGACTGTAACAAAGGTTGGACACTGTCCATTAGATTTCCAGTTGGAAGTTTTTGGTGATATTCCCTAGCATAGTTTACTTTGAATGGTGATGAAAGTCAAAACCAGTCTGCTCTGATCTCTCCATGTTGCCTAGGCTTGTCTTGAACTGCTCTCCTCTTGCCTCAGCCTCCCAAAGTGCTGGGATTACAGGTGTGAGCCACCATGCCCAGCCTCCTTAGTCTCTTGAAACAGGAGCAGGGATGATGAGTAGACAGTGAGGGCTTGACAATTTCCAATTTCATTTAAAGTACATGATTTTGTGAACATCCAGGTCATAAGCACCTCTGTGCACTGCTTTATCTACACAACCATAAATCAAACCTCTGCAACCTGCCCTAGCACCCTGAACACAACAGTGTGCAATATACTTGGGTGACAGAAGCCACGAGCGGAATCAAGAGCACCAAGGAAGTGTGGAGGGAAAGACTGCAAGCAAAGGGGCCTTGGGGCATGTCCACACTTAGACAATAAGAGGAGGAAGTTAGAATCAGGGCAAAAATGAACAGGACTAGAGGAATGGATAAATAAGGACGTATCGCTTCCACCTGTCCATCCTGGCTAACTGTTGCTTGTGCTCTTTATTCACAGAGTATCAATATCAAAGAAAAGGTTTAATCTTGGAAATAACTTTTTATTAACTTTATTTAGAAATAATGCTTAGCTTACATAAAAGTTGCAAGAATAGTACAAAAGGTTCCCAATACTCTTTACCCAAATTCACCGATGGCTAGCATTTTGCCACATTCCCTTTATCATAAATTCTCTCTCTGTCTGAGCCATCTGAGATTAAATTGCATACATCATGTCTCTTTATCCTTAAGTAGCTCAGTGTGCATTTCCCAAGGAAAAGGACAGTTTCTAATATAACAATACTGTTATCAAATTCAGGAAATTTTACCTTGACATAAAACTCTTATCTACAGTTAGAACCAGGAGGAAAACATAATAGAATGAATAGGAAGGCAGATGAATAATGCATGTAGTGTGGCTCTGTATTCCAGCTTCACCAGTGGACTCAATAGTGTCCTTTAGAGCAATTATTTTTCTGGCTCATTATCTAATATCATGCCTTACATTTAGTTGTTCAGCAATAGCTATCTTTTCCATTATTAACCTGAATATTTTGGACTTCAGCATTAAATATCTACTTGCCTACTTCAAAGATACTAGGAAAGTAATTTAAATGAAGGTAGTTTCAGAGATAGCAGAGATACTAAGGAGAGGTGAGAAGACAGAAACAGCCCACAGAAGGTATAACTGATGATATAGTGTTTGCGAACCATTTTGAGTGCAGAAGGTGATACAGCCTGGGTCCTTGGAAACAGGGGCTGAGTGTCCCCCACTGTCGAGACATTACAGAGACCTTGTGAAAACAAGGTCAAATAAAACTGGCCCAGCCCCTGAAGAGATGGCAATCTAGTGTGGACGACAGACATGTAAACAGATCATTTCAATGTGATGTGGTAAATGACATGAACACCAAGACCCAGCTGCGTGAGGAAGCATCGCACGCTGCCAATTTTTTTATCCCGTACACTCAGAAAGACTTAAAAGCACGTGACTTGAGCATCAAGGTGTTTCTATTTACTGTTTTGCCAACACAGATCACGAACTTCTCAGTGTAAGATTTGGAGGCTATTCTCCCTGTCACCTACTGACTGTGTCCTGATGATCTTATAAGAATCCCACATTTCTTCTTGAGGCCTATTCTGTGAAACCTCCCTCCATGTATCAGTTCTATGGATCAGGCTCTTCTAAGTTTTAGAAATCTAGACCAATTCAACCTAGCTCAAATAAAGGGTTCAAATAATGCCTGAACCCCCTCTGCAGGATGGAGGCAGCACAAGAACATCTGGTTTTGACAAGAAACTGAGCAACTCCATGGCAGAACATGGAACTTTGGGGTGGAGGGTAGATGTTCATAAGCAGGGGCAGGTGGTCAGAGCGAAGTCAAATTTCAGTTTCCTTTGTCTTTTTTTCTTAGACAGAGTCTGACTCTGTCACCCAGGCTGGAGTGCAGTGGCACTATTGGGGCTCACTGCAGCATCTGCCTCCCGAGTTCAAGCCATCCTCCCACCTCAGCCTCCCGAGTATCTGGGACGATAGGCACACGCCACCACATCCAGCTAATTTTTTTATTTTTTGTAGAGATGGGGTCTCTCTATGTTGCCCAGGCTGGTCTTGAACTCCTGAGCTCAAGTGATCCTCTAGCCTCAGCCTCCCAAAGAGCTGGAATTACAGGTGTGAGCCAACACGCCCAGCCTCCTTTGTCTGTTGAAACACCAGAAAAATCATTAGTCCTGTTTTGTCTTTAGAAAAAAACACTGTGAAAGAAATAGTTCTGCCTATGCCCTAGATGTATGAAGAATGCATGTGGAACAATTTGATGGAATGTATTTTACAGTGGAATCTGCCTCTGCATTCGTACCAGAGTGAATCTTCTTGGAGAATCATCAGGAGAGAAGAGCCGGCTTCAGTGCTTCCTGCTGGCACTCCAAGTCTGTACAGCTGAAACAAGTGTTACCCTTGCAGCTGGGTCCCAGGAAAGAGTAAATTCAAACTATAAAATGTCAATACTCTTCAAGCTGCACAGGGTCAATACAAATACTACAATGGTGCATCATTGATCTAGTATTTGTTAGTTAGGTTTTCCACAGTAGTTAATTATTTTAGAAAATTAAAAATTAGTTTAATAACAAAACTTAACAAGTAATTAGCACTGGGAGGGAATTAACTTCAAAAGGGCCCAAGAGAACCTTTTTGTGGTGGTGCAAATATTACATCTTGACTCTGGCGGCTGCATATCTATATATATTTGCCAAAAGTCATGCTGCTGAATCCTTTGAAAGGGTAAATGTTATTATATGTAAATAAACCTTAATAAACCTGACTTTTACAAAAGGCAAAAAGTAATTATGACATTATCAAAAAAGTGAAAAGACAATCCACGAAAAAAAAATATTTGCAAGTCATATATTTGATAAGGATCTAGTATCCAGAATATATAAAGTACTCTTACAACTCAACAACAAAAATACAAACAATTTTAAAATGCACAAAAATTAATCCTTCTTCAATAAGTTAAACACAGAATTATCATATGACCCAGCCATTACACTCTTAGATACATAGCCAAAATGGTTGAAAACAGGTATTCAAACAAAAACTTGTGCGTGAATGTTCATATCAACACTATTCACAATAGGCAAAAGGTGCAAACAGCCCAAATGTCCATCAACTGATGATCATAAACAAATTGTGATATGTGCATACAATGGAATAGTAATCAGCCGTGAAAAGGAATGAACCACTGACACAGGCTATAACTAAGTGGAACAAGCCAGACACAAAATGTCACGTGTTGTACAATTTTATTTATATGAAATATTTGGAATACATAAATCCATAGAGACAGGATGCAGATTGGTAGTTTCCAGCCTGGAAGGAGGAGGAATGAGGGGTAATTGTTTATTGGTACAGGGTTTCTTTTGGGGTTGATGAATATGTGAAAGCAGAAAGAGCGGTGTTTGTATGACATTGAGCATGCACTAAATGTCACTGAATTGTTCACTTTAAAATGGTTATTTTATGTTGTGTGAATTTCACTTTAATAATAACTGTTTAAGGGAAAAGTTAATTCACTGATAGAGGTATTTCTAAAATGTATTGTACTGCCCCCAGCATTCTTTCTTGTAGTGTAAGGTCAGTGATACATTAAAGACCATGCATTGACGCATTGGGAATCTCTTTTGGAGCCCAGCTCCAGAAGGGTATGAGCTGCCAGATCAGGTCATCAATAGCTATGTTTGCCTGAGGACTCATAAGGCCTCTTGGGAGAAACAGTAAGAGGAACTTTGAAGACTCACAGACCTTTGGGACCAGATTCCCCAACTCCTTACCCTGTCTGTGAAACTCATAAGACAAGCCACTTCCCCGGAGCTTGGAAGGCTGTATGTTCCTCTGCACTGACCATGCCTCTAGGTTGTGATTTAAATTGCAACTGTTGTGGTCCTAGGTGGCACCCTTTAAATGCCCTCTGAGCCAGGCCCTGGGAATTTGTTGCCAGTAACTTGATAAAAAGAAGTAAAAAAAAAAAAAAAGACTTTAAAAACTCCATCTACTGTGAGGCAAATGATAAAGCTCTGTGAGCACTACAAAGTCAGATTGTCCAAGGCAGACTGAGACAAATGTTTTGACTGTTAGGAAGAAAACCAATCCTCAGCGCTGGACATGGTACACCCAGAGAAATGAGGAGAACAGACACAGACGAAAGATGGACAACACGGGTCCCTCTTCGCTATTTGAGGCAGTGAGGACACATGCATCTCAGAACCAAGCCATCAAAGGCTTAGCAAAGTGGGAAGACACCAGGGGCCACCAAAAGATCAGGGTGTGTGACTGGCATCCAACAGGAAAGCAGGAGGACCTGGGAGAGTGGACTTTAGGCCCAGGACCCGGTGAGCATCCCCAGTGATGGTCATTGCCCTCTTTGCCCTTGACCTTGGCTTCCCCAATGTATCACTCATGACAGGCTTTCCCCAAAAAGTGTCAGTTGCTATCAACCTGGAAGGAGAATGCCTGGTTTTGCACCTTGGAGCTCCACTTGACTGTGAATGTTGAACTAGGATGAAGGCTTGGAAAAATGAAAATCCAAGTTAGAGGTATCCCAGGACTGGAAGGGAACACTCGTCCTTTGTCAGAATAAATGAAGATTCAGAAGGATTTTTACCATTGAAAGATGAACTGAGGCCGGGCACAGTGGTTCATACCTGTAATCCCAGCACTTTGGGAGGCTGAGGTGGGTGGATCTCCTGAGGTCAGGAGTTTGAGGCCAGCCTGGCCAACATGGTGAAACCCCGTCTCTACTAAAAATGCAAAAATCAGGCAAGTGTGGTGGTGCACCCCTGTAATCCCAACTACTCGAGAGGCTGAGGTGGGAGAATTGCTTGAACCTGGGAGGCAGAGGCTGCAGTGAACCAAGATCGTGCCACTGCACTCCAGCCTGGGTGACAGAGCGAGACCCCGTCTCAAAAAAAAAGAAAAAAAGAAAAAGAAAATGAAAGATGAACTGAAATTAGGAAGAAATTTAACAGGCATGAACATAAAACCCTGGATCTCTGTTATTTGTTTTAATACAATAAAGGATAACAGAAACTTGATAAAGGGTATGAAGCACCCACTATGTGCCAGACATTCCACAGGCATTATCTCAACTCATGTTTATAAACTCAGCTTGCAAAAGTGGCAGTTAGGGAAGTTGGAGCCTGAGGAGGTCAAGCCATTGGCTCAAGGTCACATACTCTGAGGATGAAGAAAAGAGACACTAGATTCCCAGAACTCTAATATACATCCTCTGGTTTTCCATAAACAGTTCTTCGGGGAATAAATCTTAACCTAAGCACAAATTCATATGAAAAAGATCCAGGGCTGCACTTGACTATAGGTTTTACAAAACTTTGTAGCTTGAAAGCTATATTAATTAAAATACAGGTTCCTAAATCTAAGGGACATAACCATCCCACTGGGATGGATCTGTTGGATCATTGGCAAGGAACTGAAAGCCTCAGAGTTGATTAATCAGTTTCAGGATCTCTCCAAACACGGCAAAGAATCTTTACCAATCCAGGAATCTTAACCAAGAACAACCCCTAGGGAAAGCTTAGAAACAAGGCGCCCCCTGGTGGTCCTTCTGACCGGGGCGATGCATGGGTTCAGAGCATTCTCCCAGCCTATGAGATGCTCCAAGCCATTCATTTTACCTCTATTTTTAAATTTTGTTTTGATCACTGCAATTATTTTCCTCTTAACTCTTATTACCTATATCTTGTATTTTAGAGAACATTTATTATGTATTTATTTACAGTTGCATCCCAAATTTATAAACTGGTAGAATTCGCCTGTAAAATTGAAAGTTCAGCTCTCTACCATGAGATGTTGTCTTCTCATTAAAAAAAAAAAAAAAAAGTCAAGCAATACAGGCACATCTCCCACTCAGTATAGAACTTTCTGAACTTAATTACCACTGTCAGGATGCCTTTGACAAGAAATGTTTACTTCACAGAAAAGAGGGCGAATGCATTCCGAGCAAGGTTAATCGTTTTTTGTGAGAGCCTAAGTTGTCCTAGCAGCCTGAGGGTAGTCTTCAGCTTTGAATAAGTGTCTCATTATTTATATTACCCATTTTTTGTCCTGTTTATTCTCCGCCTCGTTTATTTTTGTGAAAATAACTTGCAGAGTATTTAGTTCTGATGAGTGATTTTGCTTATTTGTTTTTGAGCATTAATCAGCCACAAGTTCTAAAATAAACACCTAATTTATTTTGACTGTAACAAAGCAAAGAGAAACAAAATTAATTAATCTGCCAATTCGCTATCACGGTGGATATTAAAGTACATATAAATCATCACAATTCTGAATGATTCTACAAGCCAGAGGTTGGCAAGCTTTTCTGTAAAGGGCCAGAGAGAAAATATTTGAGATTCTGGGGCCAGAAGATCCTGCCGCAGTGACTAGACTCTGCTGGTACAACACAAAAGCAGCCAGAGCCAATATGTAAATAAGTGGGCATGGCTGTGTTTCAATAAAACTTTATTTACAAAACAAACCAGCGTGCCAGATTTGGCTTGTGGGCCATAGTTTGGTAACCCCTACAATACTGAACAGTAAATCTCCATCAGTGCCTTCCATTTTGGAAAACACTTCTGGAATTCACATGCTAAGAATGGCTAGTAGTAATACGGAGTTCACAATTCCGTTCTTACTATACGAGTATTTATGTGATATTTTCTGGATTATTAAGGAATATTTATAAAGAAATGTATGAAATCTTTAAATTGTGATTGCATCTGAATAAGTCATATCAGTTACATACCTTGTCACATGGTACACAAGTCACCTTTACAAATCAATAGCAAAACTCTACCAGCCCATTTTTTAAAATTACTATCTGCCTAACTTCCTAACAGACACTAAAATGAATACAAACAGCATTCTCTACTCACAGTAATTCACGCTGTCCCAGGCATACAGTCTGGTTGTTATTTCAAAGTTTTAGACCAGTACATATTTTTTGTTTTTTCTTTCTAAAGTCTCTTTTTCTATGTAAAACCTCCTTTAAAACCATATGGATTTTATTAGAAGGATTATAACCTTTCTGGCTGATATATGCTTACATTATTTGCATTTAATTTAATTGGAGTTTTGAAGGAAGTGCTGTAAAATCAAATTCAGTGTTTTTATATCATTTGATATTTGTTTCCTATTTTTGCAGCACCAGTAATCAAGGGTCTTATCTTTGAAAGCAGTTTACATAACCATGTTTTGATGTTTTCAAAACTTGTCTAGAAAATAAGACCCCCTAAAATCACGATTTGTGTCTTCAAAGTTTTCCTTTGTTAATTTTTAGGTTAATGGATATTTAGCTGAATCTTTCTTTATGTAGAAGATTTTGTTTGAAACTGTACTTTGTCCTCATGATAAATTGGAATGTCTTAATTTTGAACTTATGTCCTACTGAGTGACCTAATTTCTTTATGAATCTCACGGATGGAGCAGGCAAGTAATCTTGAGTATCAAGCAGATTCATTTTTAAATGCAATTATGCATTCATTCTGCCCCAGAAAAGTTTCATCCTAACTAATCTTTGACCTGACAGCTGAGGGTGGCACAGCAACACCACTGAAAGTCTAGAAGACACAGGTGCACAGCATTTTGTTCCTAGGGTTACCTTTTTTCAGCAACTAATTGTATTTCACTGGAGGAAATTTTTAAATGAAGCAAATAGGGGGAAATAGTGATTTTTCTCCATACATGAATAAAAGTTAATGTTATGAGGCATTTCACACTTTTCTTTTATGTTAAAATTTTATTCTCTGCATATGTTTGTAACTTATAAAACTGCTTGTGTGCCCCGTGTATGTCCTAGAAGAAAGAAAGGGTTCTGGAACCTACTGTCTTTTCATCTCTACCTGGCAAGTACTATTTGAGTTTCTAGAATGAAAATAGGAAAATTGATTAGTCCATTCAGTATTCCAAAGAAAATCTGAAAGAAAGGTTAAAATCTAATAAGAAGCTGGCATTTGTCTTTAGGTCTTGTTTATGTCTCAGTGCCCAGAATCAAAAAAGGCTATGGGTTCTCAGCAGAGACGCAATGATGTTGGCCATAGAGGACACCGTCAGATCAAACCCTATCAGTCCATTTCCTTTGCTTCTTAGCCCATTAGAGCAAAGATTTTTAATTTTCTTTTGAAATGCCTTGAAGTTATAGAGTAAGACAAAACAAAATATTGCCTGAACAGGAGCATTAAATTTTTTTTTTCTTTTTTTGAGACAGAGTCTCACTCTGTCACCAGGCTGGATCGCAATAGCACGATCTCGGCTCACTGCAACCTCCACCTCCTGGGTTCAAATGATTCTCCTGCCTCAGCCTCCTGAGTAGCTTGGGACTACAGGCACGTGGCACCATACCCAGCTAATTTTTGTATTTTTAGTAGAGACGGGGTTTCACCATATTGACCAGGATGGTCTTGATCTCTTGACCTCATGATCCACCCACCTTGGCCTCCCAAAGTGCTGGGATTACAGGCGTGAGGCAAAAAAATATATTTTTTTGAGACAGGGTCTCACTCTGTTGCCCAGGCTAGAGAGGCTGAGTGGCCCAACTGGTTTCATAATTCTCATTACAGAGAAAATCCAAGTATTTCTAATCCTCATAATGAAAAGCATTTCATAAACCTCATTTTTTTTGTTGTTTTTTTGAGACAGGGTCTCACTCTGTTGCCCAGGCTGGAGTGCAGCAATGTGACCAAGGGTCACTGCAGCCTCGACCTCCTGGGCTCAAGCGATTCTCCTGTCTCACCCTTCCCAAATGCTGGGATTAAAAGCATGAGCCACCATACCCAGCCCAAAAACATTTTAATGGGGCACTGAAACAAGGGTAACTAGTTCATTAAAAAAAAATAGTATGGAACCCGGTTTGAGTGTACAGCTGCAAATCCACATGTTCGAGCCAGCTGGACAGCTTCTCCAGGCCACATTCTCTGCCAAGAACAGCCGGGAACCCCTGCCAAGGACTCAACCCTCTTCTCCCTGGGCGGGTGTTGGTTTTGGCTCAGATTCGGTCCCACCTAGACAGTTTCCAGCATTGCAGGTGAAGCAATTAACTGTAAATTTTTTTTAATTAAATTTTAAATGATTTTTAACTAGGAAATGTGCTCCTGTATGCAATGTTGTCCAATCTTCACTCACCCACACCCCTTCACAATTTTTGCCACATCCCTGCACCATCTGTACCATTATTTGCTTTCCTCTTCCCTTAATGGATTTATTTATTTTATCTAAATAGGTTTATTTTAAAAGAGAACTTTATGAAACTACCGTGAATGGGGAAAAAATGGCATCACTAGCCTGGAACAGAAAGTCACCCTCTGGAATGACAAAGGAGCCAGCATGTGCCTGGGCCATCAAGCTGCCCATTCAGCCATGCTGAGTCTTGCCTGCCCACCTCATCTCCCGCCTCACGCCAGATCACACTGCCTAATATTTTACTCAGATGTCTTCTTCAGTTCCCCATTGGAGCCAAAAGTCTCCTTCCCCTGCCCTCTGCTGAGCTGGGGGTCACTGTGCCCTGTCTCTCAGCTCCTCTCGGAGCTTTCTCCAGCCTTCAGCTCTCAAATGTCTTCAGCCTCTCTGCTAACTCATCCTGGCCTGAAGCAATTCTTGCCTGGATTCTCTCCCGACTCAAGACATCCCTCTAAGCGGATTCACGCCCGCCACTCCAAGCCTTTTGGGAAAAACACCTTGCCTCCATAGCTCAGCCGCCTTCTTAGGCCCAGGAACTCAGCCATATCCTACCCATGTAGCTGAAGGTACTCCTTGGAAGGCCCCCAGTTCCTAGATACCAAGTGCTTCTGGGCCCTCCTTCCCGTCCAGCCCAAACTTCCTGTGAGCCAGCTTTTCTTGAAGCATCCTCGTAATTCATTGAACATATAGGAATTTAGGAAGTCCCTCCATGCCCTTTCTCCTGCCGCTCTGCTGTCCTGTCCCCTCTTCCCCTAGTTGGAGGGCATTCCCAAGAACACACCTCTGGTCTTTATCACTTTCCTCTTTCTCCATGCCCTTGGCAGGAAGATGCAATCGCCAGATTTCACTACGTGTGACCCCAGGCAAGTAATATATTTAACTGCCTTGGGCCTCAGTTTTCACATCTGTAGAGTGTGGTGATGGTAGTCCCTAGATCAATGGGATGTGAATCACCTAGTGCAAGTAAAGCGTTCAGCGTTCTGCCCAGAATTCAGTGGATGCTCAATGGATGTTAGCCCTTATCCACCTGCCATGATGTAATAATGCCCAAGTTCACATGGACAACCCACAACCCTGGGAGAGGCTGTAATGTGTACACACAGGTTCACCCTGATCCCTCCTCCTAAGGCCAATATTCAATGCATATGTACCAAATGCCTGTGAGGCACTGCTATTCTCGGCACTGGACAGCCCATTTATGGCCTGAGGGTAGGGCCAGTGATGCTCAGTCCACCAGGCTCTGAGCATGTGGTCTGGAATGTGGTAGACACTCCTCAAATACTTTTTGGATGAATGAATATCAGCCTCTGCTAATAGGAAAGAAAATTAGGTGAGATCAGAAGGGAACCTTCATGATAACAATTAGTAACATCTAGACAAGCAATTGTGTTTACAGAGAGAACCTGAAAGAATTAAAGTAACTATAGAAGCAGGAAAACTGAAATTTTTTGAAATGCAGTGAAAGCTCATTCTTTCATAGAATAATTCCATTTTTTTTAATGTCATGCAATTCATAGTCACATGATTCCCTGTTTTGAAATTTTTCGTTTTTACCAAGTTTTCTTAAAGGATGAAAATACAGATATTTTCATTTGGGTAGCTTTCTTTTAACAGCAACTTGAAATAGTAGTAAAAAATAGTAAACAAATATCAGATTTTATTTCATTATAGGAAAATTGATCACATTTTGATATACTTTATGAATAAAAGAATGAGCTCTTATTAAGGATTTTAAGCAAATTACATTTTGTTAAAGGATTATTTAAATGCAGTAGGTTGGCTTATTTTCTTGACATGCTATTTCTTTTAAGTATATTTCTTTTTAGTGCATTCCAAAGTCACATAACTTAATTATGTTACTGTAATTACCTCAATATTATCTCAACTAAGAGGCTGAAGTCTTTGAATAGCACAGTGGAGCCACTTGAGGGTGCCTGACTTGTTTGCTCAGCATGGTATATCCTGCTTTCCACTGCGTGATTGGGTTTCACAGGACACCATTTGCCTGATCATACAGATGAGCTCATGGAAAAGCTATCCATGTTATTACTGGATTCTATGGAGGCATGTTATGAGTCAACAGACATACATAATCCTGATTTTACATTCCTATTTTTATTATATCACCTATACAATTTTTTTCTTAATACAAAGTATGACATGCTCATTATGAGATATTTGGAAGGACAGATAAGAAAACAATTAAGTCAACCATAATCCTACCACATAATCCCTCTACCCGAGAATCACCACTAGGGGCTTTTTTCTGTAAAGCCTTTGTCCGTTTATGTATTCTTTATATGTTATAAAATACATATTCATATGTGTTTATATTTTTATATATAGTGTTGATTTATAAAATTATTTTAGCAAGTACAATAATTCCTATATCCACTTTTATTTCCCTACTTTTTTTTAATTTTATTATTATTATACTTTAAGTTTTAGGGTACATGTGCACAACGTGCAGGTTTGTTACATATGTATACATGTGCCATGTTGGTGTGCTGCACCCATTAACTCTTCATTTACATTAGGTATATCTCCTAATGCTATCCCTCCCCCCTCCCCCCACCCCACAACAGTCCCCGGTGTGTGATGTTCCCCATCCTGTGTCCATGTGTTCTCGTTGTTCAATTCCCACCTATGAGTGAGAACATGCGGTGTTTGGTTTTTTGTCCTTGCGATAGTATTTCCCTACTTTTACACTTTTCCCCCCAAATATGTGGTGAACATCTTCCCTTTTCAAGAAATATTCTTCTCCATCGTTTTATTATCTTGAGGGAAAAAGTAACGTAACATTAACCATTAACCATTTTTAAATTAACAATTCAGTGTCACTAGTACATTCACAGTGTTGTACAACCACCCCCTCTACCCAGGTCCAGAACATTTTCATCACGCCGGAAGGAAAACCTATATCCATTAGGCAGTCCCTCCCCGGCTCACTCCTCCTCCCAGCCCCCTGGCAACCATTAGTCTTTCCGTCTCTATGGATTTGCCTTATTCTGGATGTTTCATATAAATGGAATCACACAATATGTTACCTTGTGTGTCTGGTGTCTTTCACTTAGCATAATTTTTTCAAGGCTTATATGCACATTGTAGCAAATATCAGAACTTCCTTCCTTTATAGCAGAATAACATTCTGCTGCATGCCTACAGCACCGTTTGTTTATCCATTCCTCTGCTGATTGACACTTGGGTCATTTCCACCTTTTGGCTATTGTGAATAGAGCTACTATAAACATGCGTGTACCTGTATTTGTTTCAGTTGCTGTTTTCAATTCTTTGGGTATTCAGGTAGGAGTGGAATTGTTGGGTTGTAGGATAATTCTATGTTTAATTTTTGAAGAACTGTCAAACTGTTTTCCACAATTGCTAAACCATTTTATATTCTTACTGGCAATGCATGAGGATTCTACTTTCTCCAATCCTCACCAAAGCTTCTTTTCCAGTTTTTGATGATGGCCAACGCAGTGTGTATGAAATGGTATCTCATCATGTTTTGGATTTACATTTCCCTTCCTGCCTCATTTTTAATGCCACGGTGTGGACATACGATTTGTTTTACCTGGTGCCCTGAGGGTGGACATTGAAATTAGTAATTTTCTGTTTTGATAAGCAATGCTATGGTGGACATGCTCGTGGCACAATCTTTACATAAATTTATTGTATCTTCCATATATGTCCCTAAAAGTAGATTTCTTGGAGAAAAAAATAAAGCTAAGGCTTCAGACATGTATTGACAAATTGCCTTCAAGAAATATTGATCCAGGCGGGGCACAGTGACTCACATCTGTAATCCCAGCACTTTGGGAGGTCGAGGCAGGTGGATCACCTGAGGTCAGGAGTTCAAGATCAGCCTGGCCAACATGGCGAAACCCTGTCTCTACTAAAAATTCAAAAATTAGCCAGGCATGGTGGCAGGCGCCTGTAATCCCAGCTACTTGGGAGGCTGAGGCAGGAGAATCCCTTGAATCCAGGAGGCAGAGGTTGCAGTGGGCCAAGATCATGCCACTGCACTCTAGCCTGGGTGACAGAATGAGACTCTGTCTCAAAAAAAAGAAAAAAGAAAGAAAGAAAAGAAGAAAAAGAAAAAAAAAAAGAAATATTGATCCAATTTACATTTCCTGTCATATTCCTGTCATTCCTGACTCCTTGTTTGTAAGTTACTCATTCTTTCCAAAATATCTCTGGATCTCTGGGAAAAAGAAAAAAAAAAAAAAACACCACTCCCTGCATTAAAACCTGCTGGTACCAAACCTGTACAAACCTTTATTTATTTGCACGTGAGAATTTTCCCCTATATTTTAGCGTACGACCAATACTGTGCATTAAAATTATCCATGAGATATGACACTTTTAAATTTACGTGAAAAGCCCTTTAATGGAGACAGCTTAATTTATAAGCAATCACATATAACCATTGGGTTGTTCAGGTTCAATAATTTGGGTTCAAGGGCCGGACATGGTGGCTCACACCTATAATCCCAGCACTTTGGGAGGCCGAGGCAGGTGGATCATTTGAGGCCAGGAGTTCGAGACTAGCCTAGCCAACATGGCGAAACCCCATCTCTACTAAAAAATACAAAACTTAGCTGGGCATTGGTGGCTTACATAAATAGTCCCAGCTACACAGGAAGCTGGGTCTGGAGAATCATTTGAACCCAGGAAGAAGAGGTTTCAGTGAGCCAAGATCGCTCCACTGCACTCCAGCCTGGGTGACAGAGTGAGAACTTGTCTCAAAAAATAAATAAGTAGATAAATATTTAAAAAGATAATTTGGGTTTAAGGAATAACTCATTGGTTTGATTAAATCCTAAAACTAGGTAGTTCCCTTGGACAATTAGATGCCACCCTTTAAAACGGATCATTACTGTTCGTTAGAGACAGTGTCTGTTCTTCCCTCTGCTGTGTGACCATCATAGTGTTGGGCTTCTTTAACCTTTTGTTAAGAAGATGATAGTTTAGGGCCGGGCGCAGTGGCTCATGCCTGTAATCCCAGCACTTTGGGAGGCCGAGGCGGGCGGATCACAAGGTCAGGAGATCGAGACCAGCCGGGTCAATATGGTGAAACCCTGTCTCTACTAAAAATACAAAAATTAGCCGGGTGTGGTGGCAGGCACCTGGATTCCCAGTTACTCGGGAGGCTGAGGCAGGAGAATCGCATGAACCCGGGAGGCAGAGGTTGCAGTGAGCCGAGATCGCGCCACTGCACTCCAGCCTAGATGACACAGCAAGACTCCATCTCAAAAAAAAAAAAAAGATGATGATGATGGTGTATGTAGTTGTCATTACCAAGGCAAGAAAGACCCCCCTCTTTGGTGGCGGTCCACTTTGTGGATCCTAAAGTAAAATTGTGGAGTTGATGACATGTGTCACTGCTTACCAAAGAAGTGCCCATTTTCTGCACCTTGAAAGTCCTACGTGTAATTAGTAATTGAAGAATAAATATTCTATGGACAAGATGAGTAACATTTTTAAGTATTTTTTGTTATTCCTGTACATCGAAATTGCACAGCAGTTATTTGTATGTACCCACTTCCAGAAAAACTTAATATAAAACTTACAGTAATAGGCTTTTATTTTTTCAGAGCATGGTGTTTAAAAATTGGTATAGCATTAGTAATGCAAGGCTCTATTTTTAAAATCAAGGGTTATTGTAGTTTAAGGAGTATGAAAAGGTTTATAGTCAACTAGACTATTTGGGGAGCATTGAAATAACTAATTCATGGAAATTAGGAGTAAATGGAAGGTTTGTGGGGGGTGAATTTCTAGCCTAGACGCATGGTACAGATGATCATTATGGTCATGATGAACAAATCATTTCTGCCCTAGGAAAAGTACTTTTATTCCATGTGGGAAAACAACATGATTTGTCATTCATATTCTTAGGCTAGTAACATGCTTTTGGCGCATACCTACTTGTTAGTGTCATAACCGGTCCCTTATCTCCGAATGGGAGACAGGTGGAGACACCCCGTAGAGCAAAATGAGAGAATATGTATTACATTGTTCTTCCCTTTCAACCTCTGAGAACTAATTACTCACTCTCTCATTTTCTGGTTTCTATTCTGAGAATTTCCTCTTTCTTAGTATTGACATGAAAAGTGTTTATACTTTACATTTGATTTTATTAAATGTTTGTGTTATTAACACAGACTTTGTCACTTAGATTATATAGTTAGTTACTGAACCTGTTTCTACTCATGAAAACCATTTCAATGTTTAGGGAAATTTGTTCAGAAGGGTTGATTTGTTTTTGTGAAAAGCAAATTTTTCGTGCAAACTGCTTTAAAAACTCATAGTTAACAAAAATCAAAATTTTTCCCTAACCTAGCAGACACTGCCATTCTTTCTCCTCTTGCTCCCACCCCCTTTTCTCCTTCTTCCCTTTCCCCTTCCTCTTCTTCTCCTTCCCTTCCTCTTCCTCCTCCCCCTCCTACTCCCCATCCTCCTCCTCCTTCTTCCCTTTCTCTTTCTCCTTGCCCTCCTTTTTCTCCTTCTCCTTCTTCCCCCTTCTCTTTTTCCTTTTCTCCTCCTCCTTCTCCTTCTTTTTCTTCCTCCTTCTCCTTTTCTCCTTCTCTTCCTCCTCCTCCTCTTTGTCCTCCTTCTCCTTTCTCCTTCCTCCTCCTCTCCCTCTCCAACATGATAATACCATCATAGCTCGGGGAAACTGTCTAGTATGCAGTTCTACCCTGAGACAGGGTGCAGATAAATCACCTCCCCATTTCCTGGCAGCCAGGATATGTGCGCATATATACGCTCAGCTGATTGCATGCTCCCCTGTTCATGGTTCTGAAATGTTGGGATGTGCCTCCAAGAAATGGAAGCCCCTGAAGGCTATTCAACATGGTGGCAGAAAGGTTAGGAGCCCAGGGGCAGCAATGGCAGGTGCACAAACAGGTGGCTGCCAGTGGGGGAGACCCCTGGACTCTTGATGCTCTTGGCTTCTGTTCTCGCAGTGCTTGCTTACTTTCCGAGGCAATTTTCCAGGCCTTTCCATTGGTTCTGTCAACTGTTGGTAGCCTTCCAATAAATTCCTAACCTCTTAAGTTAATCAGAATCCATTTCTGTTGCTGGTGATCAGAACCCCTGATTGATATAGTGTATATCCTGGCTTAAACTTGAAACACAAATCTTAGGTTTGGCACCAATTATATCTATTAATAGAGAATACATTTGACATTCACATTCAATAACTATGTATTGAGGAATTGTTGTTTAAGGCATTTTTCTGAGAAATAGAGCAAGGATAAAGATGCAAATTTTTTCTTCTATGTATTCAAAATCTAATGACAGCATATATACATTTAATCACACTACAGAGCAGATTACACAAAGTCCTACAAATGAGGCCAAGAACTATCGAACCTGTAACAAAGGAAAAAAGCTGTTCACACTTGGCTGACCCAGAAAGGCTCTGTGCGCAAGACGAGGCTTGAGTCGGCCACATCACTCTAGGCTTATCAGAAAATAGAACCTCATTTTCTTGTCTAGGACAGTGATGTGCTGAGACCTCATGGAGAGTGCAAAAAAGAAATACTTTCTGAAAATGATAAATCAGGCCTGGCACGGTGGCTCATGCCTGTAATCCCAGCACTTTGGGAGGCCGAGGTGGGAGGATTGAGGCCAGTAGTTCAAGACCAGCCCGGGCAACACAGTATGTCTCCCCCGCCCTCATCTCTACAAAACATTTAAAAATTAGCTGGGCATGGCGGTGCATGCGTTTAGGCTTAGCTACTCGGGAGGCTGAGGCAGGAGCATCACTTGAGCCCAAGGAGTTGGAGGCTACAGTGAGCCGTGATCACACCACCACACTCCAGTCTGGGTGAAAGAGCCAGACCCTGTCTCAAAAAAAAAAACAAACAAAACAACAACAAAACAAAAAAAAACAAAACCCTAATAAATCAGGGAACTCGAGCTAACACTACCAATCTCACTTGGAAGTTCCTAGAAACAGGATAATACCTGCCATGTGGTGGGAGCCACTGTGTGGCATCACTGCTTTTTTTCTCAGAAGCACCCCAGCTCCCAGTTCTGTGCCCTTCCTGAGAGCAGAGGTGTGAAGGCTTGTGCGAGGCACCCAGTGTCACTGTGTGAAGAATGAAACCTTCTTTTCACTAGAAGATAAAGTGAAGTTATGAAAATGTCAGTGGTTTCACTTAAAAATATTCAGTTGTTGGGCACGGTGGGGGTTGTGCCTGTAGTCCCAGCTACTTGGAAGACTGAGGCACATACTAAAGAACACACACGTGCACATACTGAACCCCACAGTGGGCTGCTGTCACCCCTGCTGGGCTCAAGTCCCCACATCCTCACCAGACTCTGAACCTGACTTGCCTCCCTTCTTTGGGGAAGGGGGAGACAAGGGTTGGGGAATGAGGCTAAGAAGTGTGAATGCTGCTGCTCCTTCCTCTACCAACACCTGCCACCCCCACCTCCACCCATTCAGACCTCAGGGAGTCCAGCATCCCCATTTCCTTTCCTGAAAACTGTTCTTCTTGCTCACCAGGAGGCTAGATTCTTTCCATCCTTCAGACTCCAGGTTAGGTGTCCCCTCCTTGGGTAGCTGAATAACCTGTCCTAAGTAGGGAAGCAACCTCCCTCCATCCCTATTCCCACCTGGCCTCCTGTCTCTCTGCCATGCTTGTATGTCTCGTGACCTATCATGCTTTATGATTAATAGAGGGTTTGCTTGTTAAGAATCTTTCTCTCCTACCAGAGGGTAAACTTCATGAGGCCAAGTGCCATTTCACTTTGCACATAGCAAAATTCAGGAAATGCTGATCAAAAGAATAGATCATTTTTGTATGAGAACCCTAGAAAACTAAAGAATCAGCTCATGGAAGATTCTTACTGCTTCCTCAGAACTTTGAAATCCCTGCAGAGAAGTTTTCTTTTGGGGAAAAAAAAATTAATGGGCACCCTCTTCCCATAGAAAAGGTGTTGTTGATGACGGCAACACCGAATAATACAGATACAGGACTTGAATAAAAGCTAGCCCACTCACCTTCCTTGCTTAAATCCATTAGTGTCTCTCTTTTATAAATGACAGAATGCAAAGTGCACTCAGTCTGTGTCTGAAGTTTTCCCCTTTGAAGTCTTGCTGCTAAAATGTCCATCTTCTGTATTGTAATAGGAAATTGAAATGTAGAGGATCTGACTTTTCATAAAGGTGTTATAAGTTAGTGGGTAGAACATTGCTGTGAGCGGACAAGTATGAGTCAGTCTTAATTATTTAGGGTTCTATTTTTCTCCTCAATCTTCGTTGAAAAGACACCAAAGTGAAGAACGCATTGTATGATCTTCTTCAGGCTCTGTAGGTGCAAAAGGAGATGAAACAAATAAAGCCATCTGGCTTTTTTTCATTTCCAGACATCCACATTTCTCACACAGCGTTTTTAAGAAAACCGGTGTTCTTAAACTATCCAAAATGTCTTGCATGTACTTGTAGAAGAAATGAAGCCATTTGCAAAATTACAGGCGAATAAAGAGCCCCACTTTTTCATCAGAGCTTGACAATGGAGTCTGAATTATAAAAGATTTTAAAATGTATCCCAGAGCATTCTGTTAAAGTTATGAAAGTAGTTCCTATAGAACTCGCAGATGGGGTTAAGTAATTGAGTGTATTATCTTGTGATAGCATTGCTTGTTTAAATGATCGATAGCCTGGTCACTAGTAATTTGTTGTGGTCAGAATAACTCTGTGCAATGCATAGATTGGGTCAATTTGTGTGATAATGGAAACCCTATTTGAAACTCCAGCGTCAGTGTTATGAGTCAGCCAGGTTGGATACTTTATTTCAACAAGTGCTATGAGTCATTTGAAATTATGTATCATTCATAAGCAGAAAACTTTTTAAATCCCACCTACCTCTGACATTTTGATTCTCTATAAAGTGGGAAAAACAGTATACATTGTAATTTGGTGTCTATTTTTCAGGTAATTGACTTAATAAGTTGAAATGAAATCGTGCGCCACCCAGTTTGCGTAAGAGATGTAGAATTAGGCAGTAACTTTCTCAGAGTAGCGTCAAAGTTCAGCACGGTAATTCTGAAAGCTGTTTTTCCCCAACTTGGTGCCGAAAAGCTGGAAGGATACCTGGCAAGTTTTTCTATCTCAGAAGCACTACTGAGTTGATCAGAATAAAGCATATACAATAAATGCATACTGAATTTTAGGCATAAGAGTTCATATGTAGAGTGCTCACATTAGATAAGATGCATATGGTGTGTCTGTGTTAGTGATGAGCGTTTTGTGTATCTTTCATCGGAATACATTTCAGGCTTCCTAACACAGTATGCTAGTCCTTCACTGAAACTGGCTTGATTTTGATTCTCACTTTTTAAGAATTCATAGGATCAAATAGTGAAGCCAAAGTAAATAACAATAGATGCAAATAACTCCTTGGCAAAGTGCATAAGGAAAAAAATTCCACTTTTTCAGTAGTGTTTCTGAACTGGTCTTAGCTGTTCTTTATTTGTTTCTGGGAGATAGAAAGAACCATGCATTGCTTTCATTTAATCTGTATTACTGGTGACTTGTTTTTATCTGGTGTTTGTTCCTGTCATCACTGTCATTTCTAACTGGCAAGATCCTTCCCATTCCTCTTAGTGGCCATAGCTTTAGAGATTACTTATGGGGCCCTCCTCTGTGCCGCTTTGCAACCCATGCTTCCTCCCCAGCCTAAGAATTATGTTTCCTAAGCTCATCTTTCCCTGCTGTTACCTCTCCCACCCACCCATCTTCCCAAAAAAGAGGTTTATGAACCCCTAATGGCAATTCCATGTACTCAACAGCTTGCTGTGAAATTCAATGTATGCCCTGTTTTTCTTAAACAGGGCATAAATTCAAATTCAATGTATGCCCTGTTTTTTCTTAAAGGTAGCAACATGAAACAATGTAGAAGATCAGGCCCTATGTGACCAAATAATAAGGAAGTCCTAAAAGTCTAAAAAACATCCTGTTTGGAAGATGCTACTAAGTGAAATGAGAGGAAAATGCATGATTCTTCATTCAGTCAGGAAACATTTATGAAGCATCGCTCTGTGCCAGTACTGACACGAGGCTTGACTGTCCAAGGACAAAACTTGAGATCTTGTGTCATTAGGGGAGAAGGATGGGGCTTGGGGCCAACGGATCTTCAAGTTATTAGCATGTGACTTTGGCAACATTTTTGTTTAAGGTCTCTGAACTTGAACAGTGGCCACAGTAGTGACAATAACTGAAAGTTAGAGCTTGACAACTGATTAGAAAAAGATGGGTGAAAACGGGGAGGAACTCTCATGGGAACTGAGGTTTCCAGTCTGGGTAACTAGCGGCAAAATATATTTCGAAGGAAGAACAATAGGATTTATACCTGGGTAACTAGCTAGGGTAGAGTAAAAGGTAACTTTGAAGTTGCACGTCTCAATAATGAGTGCTCTGCATTCCCCAGCCCAGGCTGACCCACTGCCATTTTCTCAGCTCTGTCCTGTAGGATGCTGCAATAATCCATGCCACAGCTTGCTGGGTGCCTTCAGTTTACTCTGAAACTCCCCACCCAGCAATTCTTGGCTGATTAGTGGCCCCTCTTGCTGCCAGTTCATGGGAGCAAGTTTTTTTTTTTCCTTCTTAGATAGTAGAGGGGAGATTGTCTAGAAGAGTCCCATCGAAGACTTTACAGGGGAATCCAAGGGCACATCAACATTTAAGCAGTGGACAGAGGGAGAGAAAATTGTGAAGATGATATAGAGAAGCTCACATATGGTTCTAGAGTCTCTGGATCCCAAGGATAAAGCCAAAGAGAAGGCCCTAGATTGGGGACTGTATTCGTTCCCTAGGAATGCAGTGATAAAGCACTAAAAGAAAGGGAGCAGGGGTCCCCAAATAACAGAGATGGATTCTCCCCTAGTTCTGGAGGCTAGAAGTCAAGGTGTTGGCAAGGCCATGCTCCCTCTGAAACCTTCGGGGGAGAATCTGCCCTTGCCTCTTCTGGCTCCCAGTGCTGCCAGGAATCCTCAGCCTTCTTCGGCTTGCAGACGCATCCCTCCAGCCTCTGCCTCCATTGTCATGGCCATCTTCTCCCGGTGTCTCTGTCTTCACATGGTGTTTCCCTCTTCTGATAAGGATTCCAGTCATATTGCACGAGGACCCACCCTATTGACTTTATCTTAGTTTGATTATACTTGCAAATGCCCTATTTCCAAAGAAGATCACATTCCTAGGTACAGGCTGTTAGAACTTCAACATATCTTTTGGGATGCACAATTCAGCCATAGCAGATACCTTGGGGCAAAATATATGGTTTAGGATCTGGAGGGTGTGGAGGGTCAGAGTAATGTTGCAGGTGTAGCCAGGACAGGCTGGAAAGAGAGGAGGGCATTGGCCTGTGCACAAAATTTAAAGGGGTGCCAAAAACCTCAGTAATCAAGGTAAATAATATCTTAATGAAATGTATGGGTTTTTTTGTTTGTTTTTGAGATGGAGTCTTGCTCTGTTTTCCAGGCTGGAGTGCAGTGGCACGATCTCAGCTCACTGCAACCTCCACCTCCCAGGTTCAAGCAATTCTCCTGCCTCAGCCTCCCAAGTAGCTGAGATTACAGGCGGATGCCACCACACCCAGCTAATTTTTGTATTTTTAGTAGAGACGGGGTTTCACCATGTTGGCCAGGCTAGTCTCGAACTCCTGACCTCAGGTGATCCACCCGCCCTTGGCTTCCCAAAGTGCTGGAATTACAGGTGTGAGTCACCATGCCCAGCCAATGAAATGTATGTTTTAAAATAAAAATCAATGCCAAAAAACTCATGATAAACAAAATATCATCATTTTACATAAAGACAGGATCGGTATTATTGACTTTTCTTGTTGCTAGTGGGGGAAACATGCTCTCTGCTGTTCCCATGCAGCTGAGGCTGGTAGGATAAAGGCCAGTATTGCCAGAGGCCCTGTTTGCTGTGATATGGAAAGCTCAGATTGAGAATGAAACCACAGAGATGAAAGCAGAAGCAAGAGGCAAAAAGGAACTAAGTTCTGATGTCACATTTGAGTCCCTGGATCTACTCATGCCTGAAGGAAGTTCTGCTGGGTTTTTTGTATTGGGAACCTCACTCCCCTTTTTTGTTTAAGCCAGTTTGAATTGGATTTTGGTCCTTTCTAATCAAATGGAGAGCTGAGTAGCAAACCAGTCCCACTCTGACTTGCCCTTGCTGTGCCAACAAGCGGGCTATTCCTTTTAACTGCCTTGCTTTCCCCAAGCTCTTCTCAGCTTTATCAGTTTTCTTCTTTATTCTCTCTTCCTAAAAGAATGGAACGTGTTTCTCCATGCACAGAATGGCAAACAATTCTTTGAGAATCCTGGCATCATTAAATGTAGTTGAATTGCAATGGCATTATTTCTACTGCTTCCTTTGTAATTATCAATACATAACTCTTTTGCATTATTTCTATTATTCCATAGAGTTTATTTAATGGAATCTCTGTGATTTCATTCTCAGTCTGAGCTCTCCACATCATGACAAAAGTGGTCACTGGCAATTCTGGCCTTCATCTTACCAGCCTCAGCTGCATGGTAACAGTACAGAGCATACGTCGGCCGGGCGTGGTGGCTCGTGGCTGTAATCCTAGCACTTTGGGAGGTCGAGGCCGGTGGATCACGAGGTCAGGAGTTCAAGACCAGCCTGGCCAACATGGTGAAACCTCGTCTCTACTAAAAACACAAAAATTAGCCAGGCGTGGTGTCGTGTACCTGCAGTCCCAGCTACTCGGGAGGCTGAGGCAGGAGAATCGCCTGAAACCTGGAGGCAGGAGTTGCAGTGAGCCGAGATCATGCCACTGCACTCCAGCCTGGGCGACAGAGTGAGACTCTGTCTCAAAAAAAAAAAAAAAAAAAAACCGGCATATTTTACCCTCTGGAAACAAGAAAAGTCAATAATACCAATCCTGTTTTTATTTAAAATGCTGATATTTTGTTTATCATGAGTTTTTGGCATTGATTTTTATTTTAAAACATATGTTGCATTAAAATATTATTTACCTTGATTACTGAGGTTTTTGGTGCCCCTTTAAATTTTGTGCACAGGCCAAAATTTATTGCAGGAAGGTGATCAGTGTTTACAGGATTTTTTTGGTAATAAATGAATTCTGAGTCCAAAACCCTGGTAAGTAACTTTTGGAGATAAAGACTTTTTATGTTTGGGGACTCCCAACATTCCAGCTCCTTCATTTATTTCTATATTGCTGGGATTCTGACTATCATTAATTCAATCCGTCAGCCATTGAGCCCCATTTCTGTGTGCAGTCCGATGCCAGGAGCTAGTGACCAAAAAAGTAACAAAACACAGCTCCTGCCCTCAGGAAGCTCACTGTTTGGCGAGGAACCTTACAGTCACCATTCCAAGTACAGTGGGTTCTGGGTCTGGTGTGCACCACACAAAATCCTTCGTCTCCCCCCTTTGTGTCTCTCCAGGTCATACCCCTCCTTCACACTGCAGCTGAATCTTGTCCATCTCCTCCCTGTAGTTTCATGACAGTTGCAAGGATTTTTGTCTGTTTGGAATACCAACTGTACATACAAGTCTTTCCATCCATTTAGTCTTTGGCTATATAATTTTCTAATCTTTGCAAGCAGGCTAAAAATGAATCCCATAAATTCACTGAGGTCAAAGTTTATGTCTCAGTATAAGTTTGTTCCCATTGCACCAGAATTAGAACTGGGCATCTCAAAGTTTCTCAGTAAATCTTTTGTTTGATTGGGAATTGGAGGGTTTTTAGTTTTTTGTTTTTTGTTTTTTTTGCAACAGATGTATTCTAGAACAATATACAACCACCAAACATTTATAAAATGAATCATTTACAAAAGAATCCCAAAGCCCTGTTATTAAGGTGAATAAGCAACTCCTTGTTTGTCTTTTTATGCATATTTAGGTATTCATATTGCATTACATTGACAACTTATGCCTATATTGGAATGACTTCTAGAAATGATTTTGGCATTTTTTAAACTGTAAGTAACTAATTGTAAAAGGCAGATCAGGAGAATTTATTGTTGTTTCTAAATGATCTTTTGCTTCCATCCGATATTTTAATTGAGCCCTCATTTAAAAGCATGTTTGGCTCCTTAACAGGTTCTAAAAGGAACCAAAACATTTCATTTCCTCATTTTATTGTTTGGAATATTAAAATGAAACACTGAAACTTCCCCTAAATTCTGGGATCCTACTGGGCACTTCCACTGGTGTATGTTCTTGAAAATATTGGTAGAGAGAAAATCACGTGCAGCCATCCTTGTTTTATCTTTTAAAAGAAAGATTTTTTTTTAAATATAATTTTTGAATAGGAGGCTATGAGAAGTTGGTTCAAGTGGGAGTTTAACTGACAGTTCTTGATTCGCTATTGAGAAAAATAAAGTGCTTGTCACTTGTGGGGAGTTTCGGAGGGCATAGAGGGAGTCAGCATCCCTGAGAGAGCCTCATCACTGAGAGAGCGTCCAAGCCACTCCCCATGGCCTTTCCACAGGTGGCAACAGGAAGAAACGGAGGTGACATGTGTGGCATTTGTTCACAGCAGACACTTTTAAGAACCCAATGTAGTGAAAAGGGCATTAGCACCTTTCAGTGGATAATGTGTGTGTTTACATCAGGAGCTGGTACATGCTGCTCCAGCTTGCATAACAAAGCACCACAGAGAGAGGGACTTAAATAACAGAAGTTTCTTGTCTCACAGTTCTGCCGGCTGGAAGTCCAAGACCAAAGTGTCAGCAGGGTTGGCTCCTTCTGACAGCGGCAAGAGAGAATCTGTTCCAGGCCTCTTTGGAAGCTTCTGGTGTTTTGCTGGCAACATTTAGCATTCTTTGGCTTGTATAATAGAAGCATCAGCTCTATCTCTGCCTCCATCTTCACATGGCATTCTCTGCATGTGTGTGTGTGTATTTCCAGATTTTCTGACTTTATAAGGATACATATTGGTTTAGGGTTCACCCTAAGGACCTCAACTTAACTTGATCATCTGCAAAGACCCTTTTTCCAAATAAGGCCACATTCACAAGTACTGGTGGTTAGAACATCAACATCTTTTTTGGGGACATCGTTTAATCCATAACAATAGGCAAACTTCTTCTGTAAATGGCTACATAGTAAATATTTTAGGCTTTGCAGACCAAAGGCCTCTGACTAAGTTAGTCAACTTTGCCATTGGGGTGCAAAAGCCACCATGGACAATATGAATGAGCGTACGTGGCTCCGTTCCAGTTATTTATAGACAATGAAATTTGAATTTTGTATCATTTTCATGTGTCAGAAAGCATTATTCTCCTTTTGATTTTTTTCCTACCATTCAAAAATATGATGATTCTTAGCTTGGGAGCCATACAAAAACAGAGAGCTGGCCAGATTTGGCCCTTGGGCCCCAATGTGTGCACCCTGCTCAAGAGCATCAGTATGCATTCTTCCCCAGGGCCTCTGTACATGGAGGTATGTTAGCTCCAAAATGACGTGCAGGAAATCAGGAAGCAAGAATTGAATCTGTGTCTATCATGTGCCTGCAAAGCCATTTACAGACAGCATGTGGCCTGAGCCTGCGGCAGCCCTGGCCACCTTTACCCAGAAGAGACACTCAGGAGAAGCCTCTGGCTGCTAAGAAAACTGAAACACTGGAGATGATGTGAAAAAAAAAAAAAAAAAAAAATCCAAAGAAATAAACAAGTTAAAAGAATGTCCCATCATATTTCATGTCAGGTAGCTGAATGTTTTGGGATAAATGCAAGATATCTTCCATTTGAATCCCATTCCCAGACAGCGGTATCTGGAATGAACAGGAAATTGAAACAAGTGACATGGCTATCAGAAATCTTTTATGTGAAAGAAAACGTTTTTGCACATTTGATAGCCTGTGTTTGAGTCTCTAACGAAAGCAATAAACAAAGATTTTCATCGCTTCTTTGATTCCAGGGGTAAGAGAAGAAGACACCTTCCTATGCAGGCTTGAAAGCACTTTGCTTCTTTTATGTTTCAGTCTAGGCTGAGAGGGAATGGAGACTGAGCCACATGATGGGAACTGACGCTCTCAGCCCAGACTCTTCCCCGAATTGTCACTTATAACTATTACTGTGCTGGCTACTGACAAATGTCACTGCCTAAACACGTAGTAGGGACTTTATCAAATCTGTTATTTGGCCCATCTAGATAGCTCACTGAATCTATTTAATCTATTTTTGGCATCATGATGAGACCAGAAATCAACTGCCAAATTTCAGAACAATATTTTAATAAAAATGTCTTGACCAGAATAGTTTTATATCAATTTTGAGGTTTCTAAACAGTTGTTTTCTTGTTTTATTTGTAGCTGATGTCAGTAATAATTCTTGAAACTGCAATTCTCAGAAATTGAAAAGAGATTAGATTGAGCATATTTGCATTTTTTAAGTAAAAGAGACAGAGGTTATCCCCCTTTGGAACAGTTTAACTTATAAATGAAAAATATCTCCTAAGATTTGTTTCGATTTTTATGGAAGTATAACTTAAAGATAGCACAGTGCCCAGACCTTAAAGGTACAGCTACAGAAACCTTTTAGCTAACATCATTCCTGAGCTCAGGAGCAAGATAGGAAGAACCACCATTGCCACTTCTAGTCAACATTGTATTGGAGATCATAACCAGTACTACAAGCTCTTTGATACATCCAATTCATTTTAAAATACCTCATCTTTTATCTGTTTTGTCCACAGTTGTCTCTATTTTCTTTAGCATCTTAATCGTAGGTATTTGGAAGTACTTGTTTGCTAACTGCAATACCTGGATGACCTCTTAGTCCGCTTCTGTTGACTCTTTGATCTGAATTCCCAGTCACTTTTCTTTTTTCTTCTTATGTCAGATAAATTTTTATTTTATGTCAGACATGGATAATAAATTGCAGTTTCTGGATTATATTACCTTCTAAAATATGTCTTTTAAAATATTTCTGTTTAATCTTTCATAATCATGAAGGTAAAAATATTACTCTGTCTTACAGGCAGGATGCTTGTTATTTATTCTGAGGCAAACGAACATCTTTAGCAACATAAAAGGTTGAAAAATTGCATCTAATACATAGAATCAATTGTTCAGAATAGCTTGGAAAGGATGCAAAGTTGTTCTTAAGACTATTTGATTTTTAGACCATTCTAAATCATCACATACCCCAAATTGCTTCAATCCTAAATAAATAGCTGCCTATTTATTTAGGATTGAAGCAATTTGAGGTATGCAATTATTAGAGGACAAATGTGTTCTATGTGTCTAAATCCTTTTAGAAGAAAAGGGCAATGTCTGTCTCTTTTCCAGTGTGACACAGAATGTAGCTCACCCCTGAGAAATCATGATACTTCATTTGAAGACATGATTATCTTTCTCATCCTGCTCTTCCATTATAAATTAGCTTGGCGATAATTAGAGAATTAGAGGCATAATTTCCAGTTATGCAGTCAAATTCTTTGCCTTTCTTGATATCCACATAATTTTAAAAAAAAATTTAATGCAACCCACAGTATTTTATGTTGCATACTCTTATCGTTATGTAATCCCAACTCAGGTTTCCTTTATCTATTTGTGCTGCCGTCTGTGTAGATGGAGTCACACTTTCCATGCAACGGTTACTATGTTTCATTGATATAAATTATTAGAACTGTACCAAACAGCACAATTTCATTACTTGTAGCTGTACCTCATTTGCAACTCATTTATAGTACTGAGTGCAATGGGAAAGAATAAAAGCAAAAATAAAATGTGCTTGCTTTCTATATCCTCTTTCTGTATAATATTTAATTCCACATTGATATTTTGTCATACAGATAAAATGTGCATGAAACAAACTAAGAAAAATCAAGCATGCCTCATTAAAACCATTTCTACCTTCATCTCATATTTTATGGCAACACCTTGATAATGTATAAAGCGAACAACAGGAACTAAAGTTAACTTGTTTGTTTTTATTATTAAGTTGCTCCAGGTTATTTAAGAAAAAAAATAAGATCTCGGGCGGGCCTGGTGGCTGATGCCTGTAATCCCAGCACTTTGGGAGGCCAAGGTGGGCGGATCACTTGAGGTCAGGAGTTGGAAACCAACCTGGCCAACATGGTGAAACCCCATCTCTACTAAAAATACAAAAATATTAGCCGGGCATGGTGGCGGCGCCTGTAATCCCAGCTACTAGGGAGGCTGAGGCAAGAGAATCGCTTGAACCTGGGAGGCAGAGGTTACAGTGAGCCGAGATCGTGCCACTGCACTCCAGCCTGGGCAACAGAGCAAGACTCTGTCTCCAAAAAAATAAATAAATAAATAAGATCTCTAGCCTGCTGTACTATTTAGTCATTTAAAAATATATATCACGGCTAATTTTATAAAAAGACAAATTTTAAAACTAAACTTTCAAAAACTACAGTATTTAATTATTGGCTTTGCTTAGTTTTTATAGATAGAAAAATTTTTACTCAGTTGGTAATTCCTGTTTTTATACTTATTACCACAAGCTTATGAATTACTAAAAGAAAGCCAAAATCCCAATTCCCATAGGTGAATGTTTTTATGTTGCAGAATTGATTTTGTATTTAGAAGTACAGAGGTGCATTGCTTCTTAGCCTTTGGCTAAGATCAACTGTAAAAGTACAGATGTGGTCTGACTAGTTATTTGGTATTTATTCCATGTCAGCTATAGTATTGTTTAAATATTATTTTTGTGAGTATATGCTTGCATAGAATCATTCACTGAATAACTTAACCACCTCATCAAATAGAATTTACAAAGGCTTTCATGGGGTAGGGAAGAGATTTTGGAGTAGTTAAATATCTTTCTATTTTCCATCAAGAAAAGAAAACCAATTAAATTAATTAAAGCAGGTACCACTTAAGCCAGGTCGAATCTGGCATGCCAGACATATATAAACAAACAGCCTGGGCTGGTCAAGTCTAGGCATGTTATGTAATCATAAAGCCTATTCAGCTCCGTTTTTCTTTGGGGTTAATTCTGACAGCTTCAGCAGTGAATGGTCTGTCGACTGTACCCTCAGCATAAGGACCCATCAGAAACAGCAAAAGCTGTCACAAAGCAGAAGCTGGTAATCCTACTTGCAGAGGTGACTGCGATAGGGAAGGAAGCCAGGCATCTTTGCTATTCACTATCCCCTAGCAATTTTCTTTAGTTAGTGTACAGAACATGGTAAGTTCACTCCAACTGTTTTGATGAGTTTCTGCCTACTTCAAGCACTTCTGAGTTTATTTTGATTTGTAACTTTTGCTTTTCTTGAAGTCGAGCATAAATTACTTTTTCTTTTACAAAGCAATATAACCTTCCATCACCAGTTTAGTTTTTTCCCCATAGAATCATTTTGATTCATAGAAGAGCTTCACTATTTTTAAACACTGGCTCCGGGCTGACGTCATTATTCCTGACCTGCGTATGTCTCCTGCAGCACCAGAGCCCTTTTCATTAGCACCTTCCTCCAAACTCTCCGCCTAAATCTCAGTGACTCATTCTGCCATCACGTAGCATCCATTCAACGCCCACACGGACGTGGGCCTGGCAGTGTCCGGCGTAAAGCTTTGTGCCTGTCTCCGGTCTCTGGAGAGGTTAGATCTGCTGAAGCAATTTAAGAGGCTGTGTAGAGAAAGATAAAGCAGTCAAGCAACACTTCAGATAAATCAAAAACAGAAAAGAAATCACAGTGAAATTATATAAGGCTTCGGTGTTTGTGGTTTGGGAATTAGGAGGGGCTGTGAGAGAAATATATACATATGTACTCACGTATTGGAGGAAAGTGCAGCAAAGGATGAGGCAGAGAGACAAGGGCATGCACAGCCCTCCTGGTGCCAAATGACTTCTGCGACATTCCCCTTGTTTCTAATCCCAAGTCCGGAAGATAACATTTGACAGCCCTGTTTCCACTCAGATTTATCGGTGTCGATTTGTTTATCTTGCCGGAAGGAAAACTGAGGTTGTGCATATGATTTTGGCAGTGTCGGATTTGTCGTTATGCATATTATATGTAATCATTTGAAAGTGATTTTCCTCCATTTGGGCCGTTTAGTATAAAAAGGGGGAAAAAAGTCTGTTCACTTTGTTTTCCTCGGATAATCTATCAACTTCTGAACTCCCTCTAAAAATGGGCCTTACATTCTCTGCTGTTTTAATGTATTCTAACATTTTATCTTCACATTAGGAAGACTGATATTTTTTGCAAAATAATACTGTCTATTGATTTTATGTCCACCCTCACAACATACACCAAAGCTATTTTCTCCCACTTAAAATCACCCATTTTTAATGTCCTATAACTTGAATTGGGTGGAGGTTAAGCAGGTGTATATATACGTAAAAATTCATCGAGTGTACATTTAGGCAGGTGTATACATATGGAAAACTTCATTGAATGTACATTTAGGCAGGTGTGCACATATGGAAAAATTAGCTGAGTGTACATTTAGGCAGGTGTGTATATGGGAAAATTCATTGAGTGTACATTTAGGTGCACTTTACCATTTGTAAGTTATACTTCAACCAAAAAAATTTAATAAATTCATCTATTTTTCTCTCTGCACAGCAGCCATTTTCTTTCTGGTAGTTGTTATTTTATTGCTAACACAATATTTTCACATCATAAAAGGAATTTTTTAAATTCACCCAGAATCTCACTGCTGTAATAAAATGTTTGCTTTTCAATATTCCCTCTGATTCTGGACATATATTTATAATTGTGAAGTTCGTGTCATTTTGTATTCTACTTTTGTTCCTGTGTAATATTATATCAGATATTTTTCTGTGTCTTTTGTGATGCTCAGAATTTTCCATTTTAATGACTGCAAAGTCTTCTGCTGTGTGATTACAATCCCACTGGCCTAGCCACTCCTCTTATATTGGACATTTAGGTGACTTCAGATTGTTCATTAAAACAAATGACCCTCCTGTAGACATTTATGCATGCATGCACCCGATGAATGGAATATTCATTTGAGCCTCTGTTCTATACAGAGGACACACAAAAGAAATATAACTGTGGACTCTCTTTTGAGGAGCACTGAATGTGCCCTGGATGGCAGAGTCATCCTAGCTAATTACAGCGTGTTTGTGTTTGTTGAGACCTGTGGCATGATGACCACATGACAAGCCCATCTCTGGACTCAGCTCCAGCTGGAAAGGGAATGGCTGACTGGGTTTGCTTCATCTGCCTCCGTATGGCCAGCACCTAGGTCAGCACCAAGTCACTCCTAAACCCTCAAGGTTGAATGAATGAATCCGTGTGTGAATGAATACATTATCTCTTCTGACTGTGAGACAGGTATTATTATCCCATGTTACAGACAAGGAAACTGAGATTCATGAACAAAGGAACAAAGTGCCATAGAAATGTTAAGTTCTTCCATTTATACCCAGGCTATTGCATTTAACCTTCAGCCAAACCCTCTGAGGCACATATGATAATCCTGACTTTGCAAAAGAGAAAACTAAGGACCAGAGAGAAAATTAAGCAACTTTCCCGGGATTGCCCAGCTTGCAAGTATTAAAACCTGGCTTCAAACCTAGAATTTCCAACTCGAAATTCCATGCTCTCTTCCCCATGCCATGCTTCTTCTCAAATACAGGATTATGGGGCAAAAAGGCAAAAACATTTTTATTATTCTACTTTTATATTGCCAATATATATTTCTCCTATGTCTGTTCAAGAGAAAATTATAAGCAAGTAAAATAATTGAACTATACCATGCCAGTTACTAGTACAACTGCAGCGTTAGCAGCAATATGCATCTTTTTAAACATATCACTCGTGTGAACAGTTTAAATGGCACCCCACTGTTACCTCACGTGGCATGTCTTTACCCAATCCAGAAGCCCCACATCTCTCCATATGTTCGTTTACTCCTCGCTCTTGTGTTAATCGTCCACTTATGACCTTTGTTTCTTTGTTCATCAGACCCTCCACATTATTGGTATATATTAAAGTGGTTTCTTTAAATATTAACCCCTTGCCATATTTGATGCTCACATTTTTTTCCCAAATAGTTTCCTTTTTGATTTTTGTTAATTTTCATTTTATAAAAATGCTCTACATTCTAATTATTAAAATGTTTGGCTTCTTTTATTGCTTCTATTCTTAGAAAGTCTAGAATCGAGTATTTTAAATTTTTTTATTTGCTTGAGATGGAGTCCCACTCTGTTGCCCAGGCTGGAGGGCAGTGTCACAATCTCGGCTCACTGCAACCTCTGCCTCCTAGGTTCAAAAGATTCTCTTGCCTCAGCCTCCCAAGTAGCTGGATTACAGGCGCCCACCACCACACCCAGCTAATTTTTGTATTTTTAGCAGAGATGGGGTTTCACTATGTTGGCCAGGCTGATCTCAAACTCCTGACCTGCCTGCCTCAGCCTCCCAAAGTGTTGGGACTACAGGCATGAGGAGTATCTTAAATTTAATGTGCCAATCCACCTGGAGCTCAACATAGCATACAGTATAGATCTAAAGTGCAATTCCCTGGCCCGGCCTGGTGGCTCATGCCTGTAATCCCAGTACTTTGGGAGGCTGAAGTGGCTGGATCCCTTGAGGTCAGGAGTTCAAGACCAGCCTGGCCAACATGGTGAAACCCCATTTCTACTAAAAATACAAACATTAGCCAGTCTTGGTGGCATGTGCCTGTAATCCCAGCTACCCGGGAAGCTGAGGCATGAGAATCGCTTGAACCCGGGAGCCGGAGGTTGCAGTGAGCTGAGCTCACACCACAGCACCCCAGCCTGGGCGACAGAGTGAGATTTTGTCTCAAAACAAATAAATAAAGTGCATTTCCCAATTTCCTAAGTTATAGCAGGGATGACATGAAGTCCATACACACTGGTTCAGCAGCATATGTTGGGAATGGCCAGTAACTGTTGTTACCTGTCAGTGCATTGTGCCCATGCCACACCAGTTGTTACTATTTTGAACATCACCTAGCTGCACCCAATACCATATATTAAATAATGTGTTCTTGCGTTCTTTCATATTTTTATGACACTATCTCCCATATTTATTTTTTCTCTCCTTTCTTGTATTTTATTGTACTTTAAGTTCAGAATATAAGTGCAGAACGTGCACGTTTGTCACATAGGTATACATGCACTGTGGTGGTTTGCTGCACCTATCAACCCGTCACCTACATTTTAAGCCCCACATGCATTAGGTATTTGTCCTAATGCTCTCCCTCCCCTTGCCCCCTGCCCCCCAAACAGGTCTCAGTGTGTGATGTTCCCCTCCCGGTGTCCATGTGTTCTCATTGTTCAACTCCCACGTATGAGTGAGAACATGCGGTGTTTGGTTTTCTGTTCCTGTGTTAGTTTGCTGAGAATGATGGCTTCCAGCTTCATCCATGTCCCTCCAAAGGACATGAACTCATTCTTTTTTATGGGTGCATAGTATTCCATGGTGTATATGTGACATATTTACATTTTACATATCATTTTATTTACTTCTGGCGTTTCTGTTCTATTGACCTATTTTTTCTTTCTTTTTTTTTTTTTTTTTTTTTTTTTGAGACAGAGTTTCACTCTTGCTGCCCATGCTGGAGTGCAGTGGTGCAGTCTCAGCTCAACTGCAACCTTCGCCTCCCAGGTTCAAGCAATTCTCCTGCCTCAGCCTCCTGAGTAGCTGGGACTACAGGTGCACACCAACACGCCCAGCTAATTTTTGTATTTTTGTAGAGATGGGGTTTCAGCATGTTGGCCAGGCTGGTCTCGAACTCGTGACCTCAGGTGATCCGCCCACCTCGGCCTCCCAAACTGCTGGAATTACAGGTGTGAGCAACCACACCCAGCCAGCTGTCTTTTAATTATTATAGATTTAGAACATCATTTTATATCTGGCATGGTGGCTTCAAGTATTGTGACACCCAAAACTTATACAATTGGGTGAGGGGTGGTATCTCATGAAGAAAATATTTACTGACGTAAAATTTACAAAAGCACATCACCATGAGAAAAACAGAGCTCCTCCCAGGCATTACTGGGAGGATCTGTGCCCTGAGCGCTTAGGAGTGAAAACTTCAGTAGCTTCATGGTATATCCACCTCGGTCAGCCGGGCTGGTCGCCACTTAAATTCTTTATAGCTTCTCATGACCATTCTTTTCTAATGATTTTTACAATTATTTACGTTAGCTATTTTTGTTCTGTTTAACATCTTCTGGGGATTTTAATTGAACTTGGGGAAAATTACCATCCTTAGAAAATGTGTTCCCTTGCAGGACACAGCATGTTTCTACCTTCCATCATGTCTTCCTTTGTACTTTTCAGTAAACTGTTCACTGTATTTCATGCATCTATTCCTTATTAAGCTTATTTCTAAGGATTTTCTACTCTTTCTTATTATAATTAATGAAATGTTAATGCGGATACACAGGGATACTATTGATTTCGAAGATTTGTTCTGTATCCAGCAACATTTAGCAGGTTTAGTTACATGTTTTATCACCTGAAAATGAATGTTTTGTCTTGCTGGGTCCATTACATATTCTTATTTCTTAATTTTTGATTTTATTTTATTGAATATACATCTCAAAACAATTTTAAATTAAGGCAGCACCTTAAAAATTTCATTTTGCTTTTAAAGAAATGTCTCTAAGGTTGTCCATTGGCTATAATGTTACTTGGTTTTTATTTATTTATTTATTTATTTATTTATTTTGAGACAGGGTCTCTTTCTGTCACCCAGGCTGGAGTGCAGTGGTGTAATCACAGCTCACTGCAGCCTTGACCTCCTGGGCTCAAGCGATTCTCCTGCCTCAGCCTCCTGAGTCCCAGACTGGGACTACAGGCGCACACCACCACACTCAGCTAATTTTTGTGTGTTTTGTAGAGACAGGTTTTTGCCATGTTGCCCAAGCTGGTCTCAAACTCTTGGGCTCAAGCAATCCTCCCGCCTTTTCCTACCAAAGTGCTGAGATTACAGGCATGAGCCATCATGCCCGGCCTTGATTTAAAAAAAAAAAAAATGGCCAGGCGCAGAGGTTTGTGCCTGTAATCCCAGCACTTTGGGAGGCCGAGGTGGGTGGATCACTGGAGGTCAGGAGTTCGAGACCAGCCTGGCCAGCATGGTAAAACCTAGTCTCTACTAAAAATACAACAATTAGCAGGGTGTGGTGGCAGGCATCTGTAATCCCAGCTACTCAGAGGGCTGAGTCAGGAGAATCACTTGAACCTGGGAGGTGGAGGTTGCAGTGAGCTGAGATCATGTCACTGCACTCCAGCCTGGGTAACAGAGGGAGACCCTGTCTCAAAAAACAAACAAACAAACAAAAACTATTAATATATTAAGAAAATATACCTCTAGCCTTTTTTTAAAAAATGTGTAGTTAGAATGTGTGCTGAATTTTGTCAAACTACTTGTCAACATCTATGGAAATGGCTATGTATGGATTTTCATTTAATTCTCTCATACCATATTACATTTTGTCATTGAACCATCCCTGCATTTCAGGGATACGTTTTACTTCATAATCCAATGTCTTTTTAATGGGTTTCATTTAAGATTTCCCCATCTGTTTTTATGACCTTGGCTAGTTGTTTGGGGTGCTTATCCTTATCGGTAGTATAATAAGTGTTTCTCTGTCAGGAATACTCATTGTAAAACAGTATTATTTATTTCTTTAAAATATTTTTGTAATTATCTGTCAGATTCAGAGCCCTCTTTCTTGAAATCTTAATAGTTCTTTGATGATTTTCTGAATGTATTCCTCTCTTATTAATGTATAAAGATTTTCTTCATCTCGCTTCAACTTTAGAAACTTCTATTTTTGTGTGAAATTACCCATTTCCTTGAGAGCTACAAATACAGTTGCAGAATTATCAACATTGATTTCTTATAATTTTTATGTCTATAGGGTTTCTGTTTCATTTCTAATTTCTACTTTTTATGTTTGGCTTTTTTTTGTTTTGTTTTTCTAAATTAGATTTATCACAGGTTTGTCTATTATCAAAGTTTCAAGGAATCAGCTCTTGCCTTAGTTTACTGTTTATTTTCTTGCCTTCCAATTTATAACTTTTTTATTCTTTTATTGTGTTCTTTTTTCCCTAAGATGTAATATTGAATAATAAATTTACTTTTTCTTTTTCATATTAACAATAAAAATATTTAAAGCTGTCATTAACTTGTTCTCTAAGCATTGACTTTTATAGATCTTGAAATGTAGTATATTGTTATTATTTCCTAAATTGTCTTTATTGAATTCTTTGTTTTCCCATTATCCCAGTTGTTCTTTGAGGGACTACTTTAAAATATTGCAGTAATTTTCAATTTTGTTTGTTTATTCTTAAGGCATTTACTTTCAAATTTTGGTTGTATTTTGGTCACAGTACAGCCTGTAAAACTTCTGGTGATATTTATTCATTTGATCTTATGTAAACTAGCAAGTGATAAGAGTAATAAGTGTTCTCTGAATACTTATAAGGAGAGTATATCAAACTTACAGACTGCAGGATTTTATTTACTTTACCTGTTGTGGTCTTGATTACAAGAAATTTAATGCTGCTCCGTAACTAAATTTTTGTTAGCTTCTACTTGAAGTTCTTCTATCCCTCACTTTTTGTGTTTTGTTGCCATGTTATTTGGTGCATATAAATTCACAATTATTATGTGTTAAGTATGTACTGTATTTATCTTTGTATAACCACCCATTTATTTCACATAATATGTTTTAATTATTTGATAAAATATGATATTATTTGATAAAATAAGATATTATTTGATAATATACAAAAGCTTTTGCTTTCTCATATTTATTATCATTGCTCTATCTTTGTATAAACTTTTAATTTTAGGTTATCTGTGTGACTTTTTATAAGTATGTTATTCAGAGAAAGTGCAACGTTGAAATATCTTTTAGGAGTTCTTTTGAGCATCTGTGCCTTTTAATAGGTCTTCCACATGGTGCTTTTTTTTTAAATTTTAGTTTCATAATTTTTTCTTCTACAAAAGTTTTTAAACTTTTGATTGCATATGATTCACTTTAGTAATCATTTTCATTGCTAATATTTTCCTTTGTTTTAAGCCACTTTATAAGCATTTTTAAGGAACGGAAAGGGAGAAGATCATTGGTACACCCTGTATCATCATTTCAAAAGAGCATAGCATCATCTAATGAAATGTAGGCACCTCTCAGTTTCCAAACTCTACTCTACCACAAATGGCTCTTTTCCTATTCAGATGGTGCTTTCTTTAATTCTATAGTTTTAATTTTCTCTCAGGAAATGCTAATTCTCATTTCATATGTTTTGATACCAGGGCTTATTATTCTGGCGCAATATTTTTAGCTATATTCTTCAAATGTTAACTATGCCAATCAGGTTCCTCTTTGTTTCAAAAATACCATATACAAACCTAATTTTATTTCCCCCTCAATTTCTCTACACAACACCACAGCTCTCTGTACTCTTTAAAATTTCAATAAACTGTGGTATTTTATTAATTCTATTTTATAAAGAGAACTTTGAGAAAATAAAGTTCCAAAAGTGAACTCCTTTTTAATGAGCACTTTATGAAATATGCTTTATCTAAAGGTCACTATTACTCTTCTTTTAATTATACAATTTGTGTCCCCATGGACTATTAAATATCACCTCCATTTTTTACTAGTACTAATACTTTCTCAACTATTGTGATAAAAAATGTGTCATGAATAAATAAGCACAATTTAAACTCTTCTCCATACAGCAATTTCTCAAAAATGTCACACTTACTTGTAACAATTTAATAAACAGCAACATTAAATTAACTCTTATTAAAATCCAGTTTTATAACTGGTGGTATGTGCAGCAATGAGAAATTTCTTAATGTGGGGGATAGAGAGTGGTGAGATGGGCAAAAAAGGGACAAATAGTAAGCAGGACGAAGGACCGTAAGATTAACAAATAAGTGCTATTCTTTATTAGTATCAGAATTTTCAGCATTGGTGCACCCCCTACTGACTGAAGTCCACATAAGGCTGTTTTAAAGTATCATTTAATGCCTGTCATAAATCAACCAAGTTACTTAAGGAGAGTCGTTATTAATTTTCTTCCTAAGTAACTTTTCTGGATCTAGCTGGGCGCGGTGGCTCAAGCCTGTAATCCCAGCACTTCGGGAGGCCGAGGCGGGCGGATCACGAGGTCAGGAGACTGAGACCATCCTGGCTAACACGGTGAAACCCCGTCTCTACTAAAAATACAAAAAATTAGCCGGGCGTGGTGGCGGGCGCCTGTAGTCCCAGCTACTCGGGAGGCTGAGGCAGGAGAATGGCGTGAACCCGGGAGGCAGAGATTGCAGTGAGCCGAGATGGCGCCACTGCACTCCAGCCTGGGCGACAGAGCGAGACTCTGTCTCAAAAAAAAAAAAAAAAAGAAAAAGAAAAAACTTGCTGAATCTTTACTAGCTATAGAGGAAAACCATAACCTAACAACACAGAACTCAAAGCCGCTCAACACTGAAAGAAATCTCTTGATTATTGAGCAGACATTTGTTAAGCACCTATTAGGAACTTGGAAGGATATAAAGATAACCAACCCAGAGTCCTTACATCTTAAATTCTCATGCAGGAGATAGACCGCTACACAAGCCTCTGACCCTCACCTCTTCTTACCCCTTCTATCTGCCCCTCACCTGGCCTTCCAGAGCACACTACAGTTTCCAAATCAAACTTGCAATGTACTTTCATGTACCCTTCCTATCACCCTCGCTGTTCTTTCTCCCTAGAATTCTCCCACTTCTTCTCCCTCCCCTTAAAACACAAATTCTGTTTCTTCATGATCCAACTAGTGAATCTTTTTCTGAACACTTAAGGTTTTTCCAGCTTTATATTATTACAAACAATTCTGTGACTTAGATCTTGGTCCAAATTTCTGAATTTCCTTAAATTCCTGCATTGAGAATCACAAGGACAAACAGGAATGTTTAAGACTCTTCATAGATATTGCTAAATTGTTCTCCAGAAAGACTGTACCAACTGATACTTTCAATAGAAGTGTATGAAAGTACCTACCTCACTTCATATTCACCAACTTTGAATAAGAGCTATATTTCGATTTGCTAAGTTGATAGGCCAAAAATGGTATATGGTTTTAATGGGCATTTATTTGATCACCAAAGCAGTGGAACATTTTTTCACATTAATCACTTGCATTTTTTCTACCAATTGTCTGTTCATGGTATTTTCATTTTCTAAAGGGTTTTAGTGGGTTTCTAATGGTTATATGAGGATATATATATATATATATATTTTTTTTAATTTAGACGGAGTCTCATTCTATTGCCCAGGCTGGAGTGCAATGGCATGATCTCGGTTCACTGCAACCTCTGCCTCCCAGGTTTGAGCAATTCCCTTGCCTCAGTCTCCCAAGTAGGTGGGATTACAGGCTCATGCTACTACGCTGGCTGATTTTTTTATTTTAGTAGAGACGGGGTTTCACCATGTTAGTCAGGCTCATCTCGAACTCCTGACTTCAAGTGATCTACCCACCTTGGCCTCCCAAAGTGCTGGGATTACAGGCGTGAGCCACGGCACCCAGCCTATATTTTAAGAAAATTAACTCTTAATCCATTACATTTGTGGTAAATATTTTCATACTATATTTTCCTTTTAATGTTTTTGATGTTTTCTATATTTGTGACTCTGTCCCACTTAGGCAATTGAAGCTGTATGAATAACTAGATTTTTAGTATTTCTCTCTTTAGGTAATCTCTGATTGATTTAGATATATAGCCTGAGATAATCCTACTTTCTGTCTTTTCCAAATACTTAACTGGCTGTTTCAGCACCATTTATTTACTAATCTATCCTTTCCCCTTGGATTTGAAATGCCCATTTAAAATACATGCTAAAATGTCATATATGTTAAGGTTGATTTTAAGGGTATCCATTTCTTTCTACCCATTTTTGCTCAGTTTCGCACTACTTTAGCTACTATAGCTACCTAATATGTTGTAATATCTGGTAGATTGAATTCCTCCCTTTACCTTTTCAAAACTTTCCTGGCCACCCTCACCTGTTTGTTCTTCCAAAGAAACATTAGGATCACTCTGTCAGGTTCCAAAACTGTCCTACTGAGATTTCAACTGGAATTTCATTCAACTAATTTAGGGAGAATTGACAGTATCAAAACACTGAATCTCCCTGCCCAGAAGCATGGTATATCATCTTTTATTCAGGTTTCCTGTTACGTTCTTCAGAGAAAATTTATGATTCTCTTCATTTAGATCCTATACATCTCTTGTTAAGATTTCTTGCTAGATATTTCATATTTTTAGGTCCTTTTCTTTTCTTTTTTGAGAAAGTCTCGCTCTGTTGCCTAGGCTGGACTGCAATGATACAATCTCGGCTCACTGCAACCTCCGCCTCCTGGGTTCAGGCGATTCTCCTGCCTCAGCCTCCCAAGTAGCTGGGATTACAGGCACGCACCACCATGCCCGGCTAATTTTTGTATTTTTAGTAGAGATGGGGTTTCAGCATGTTAGCCAGGCAGGTCTCGAATGCCTGACCTCAAGTGATCCACCCACCTTAGCCTCCCAAAGTGCTGGGATTACAGGCGTGAGCCACTGCACTTGGCCTTGAGTTATTTTTGATAGGGTTTTTCTATTATTGTTTATACATGATCACTGCTGGTTTGAAAGAAAGGTGCTGATTTTTGCATTTTTCAGTTAAGTTTGATTAACATTTTAGATTTTGATATTAATTTTTCCAATAAATCACAATTACCCAAGGTAGAATTTTGATAAATATACAACCAATGCTATGTGCTGATTTATCTTGTTAAAAATGTAAATACCTGAATGTATTTTTGCTGAAGGTACCAGTTGGCTGATGTAAGTGACTAAAGCTGTTTGAGGACTAAAGCTTATATGGAATTATATTCAATACCATTTGAAGAAATGAGAAACCGTTGAAACTCCTTCTTAAGGTAGGCTTTTTCTACGTTGTTACTCTGAGTGAATAGACAAGTCAGCAAAGGAAAAAGACTAGAGATGTAGATTATGGTCTTAACTCAATGGATTCCAAAGATTGTCAACATATGGGTTCTAGTGCCTCTGTTTCCCCATCTGGTAGGTGTCTGAGTGTTTGAAAAAAAGGTCTAGGTGAATTTAAGATTCCTTTATGATCTATCAGCCTGCAAGTACTCAGAAACATTCTCATCATTGTTTAACATCACACACAATCCATAAAAGAGGGTGTTTCCTGTTCGAGTTTCTGCCTCACTTTGCAGTCCCTCCTCTTAAGAAAATGTCTTACTTTCTTCTCTTCCCCAGTGGTTTCAGTGCATGCATTTGGCAAATATTTCTGTGATGAAAAATGGAAGTGGAAGGCGCAGGGTGGATTTTGGTACATTTTGACATTAAACAAACTTGCAGCACACAAGTAAAGCTATACGTAAGGGCTGGCTGGTTACTTTCTAATCAATCATTTGGGCACTTTTTCTGATAGGGCCATGCACTGATTTACTAAGGACATATGGCTCAGCATTTTTTTCCTCAGCCTAAGGCCCAAGCAAACAGCTGTTCTCTCAAATGAAGGCAGTTTGGGCTGCGGGCACCTGTCTCCCTCCAGACCTGCTCTGCACAGCCAGCTGGGGAACAACTGCTGCTTCTAGGTGCCCTGGTCTCCCTAGACGTGGCTTTGGGACCCAGAGAGCTGGCAGCGGCACTGCCCAGATTTGGGCACCTGCTGATTCTCTCCCCGTACCCTTGTGTTCTTACTGGATTGGGACCTTCATGTTATGCCTTGCAAGTTCCAAATTCTGGTAAATGTCAGGGCTCATAAACTGTACACACTATATATTGTTGACCCCTTGATGATAAATAAGGCATGGGTTACCTAACACCAGGACTTGGCTTGCTTTCTGTTGATGCCTTTATTCACCCAACAGATGCTTACTGAGCCGTTACTATGTGCCTGGTATTGCGGATATACCTGTGAATGAGACAGACCATCTCTCTGCCTCTTTCTGTCCATGTGCTCTTTCTTACCAGAACTGAAAACATCACAACCCTAGATGCTTGCAGTCCCTTCGATCCTGCTGGGTTTGCCTCATAGTCTAGAATGCTTCAGTTTACTTTACACTTGGTGGGAAAAAACCTTTCGGAAAATTTTTGACATCATTTTGGAGCATCTAAACATGAAGAGGACTGCCTTTCCTCGGAGGACATGCATGCATAAAGCTAGAAAGGACACATTTCTTTGTTTTATTTTGTTTGGGAGGAGAATACAAGAATGAGAATGGAATGAGAATACAATGAGAACAGAAGCTGAAATCTCTATCTTCTCTTCCTAAAAGTTATCCGACATGGGCCAGGTGCTGTGGGTCATGTCTGTAATCCTAGCACTTTGGGAGGCTGAGGCAGGTGGATCACCTGAGGTCAGGAATTCGAGACCAGCCTGGCCAACATGATGAAACCCTGTCTCTACTAAAAAGCTACAAAAATTAGCCTAGCGTGGTGGTGGGTGCTTGTAATCCCAGCTACTTGGGAGGCTGAGGCAGGAGAATCGCTTGAACTCAGGAGGAGGAGGTTGCAGTGAGCTGAGATCGCATCATTGCACTCTGGCCTAGGTGACAGAGTGAGAATCCAGCTAAAAAAAAAAAAAAAAAAAAAAAAAAGGTCCCACATAAGAGAAAAGAAAAAAGAGAAACTATGAGCCTGTGGTGCTCAGGTGTTGGCAGCTGGTCAGTGACTTCCATCTCCTGATGTTGTAATAGGAAACAAGCAATATCACTCAAATGAATGTAAAAGAAAGGACTGCAAGAACTGTTCATCTCAGGACACACATGCAATGATGTCATTTTCATTATCCCAGTGAGAATTTCTGGGCCAGGTTTTATACCATCGTGTATGTGAGTATATGAGAGTCTTTTCAGGATAAAACCTTTTAGCATAGAAAAAGAGAAAAGCTAGTTTTGACATGGACCTGGTTATGGAAAAACTGCTAATTAGACAGATTGATTTAGCATTAAGAAATTACCTTTAATTTCTCAGGATGGGGAATTCCTGTGATAGTCAGAGCTTTCCAGAAGAGATTCATTTCTTAAGACAGGGATTCAAGAATAAGTTATTTCTATATTTAGGTAAACAAAAAATGGGAAAAATCATAGACAGGAAGTTCTGTATGGCTACCTGAAATCTTCAATCACTAATGGAAACAAAATTGAATTTGACTCTAGATTCTAGGCTGCGTGGGGTGGCTCATGCCTGTAATCCCAGCACTTTGGGAAGCTGAGGCAGGAGGATCACTTGAGGCCAGGGTTTGACCAGCCTGGGCAACATAAGAGACCTTGTCTCAAAGAAAAAAACAAAAAGAAAGAAAGAAAGAAGAAAGAGAGAGAGAGAGAGAGAGAGAAAGAAAGAAAGAAAGAAAGAAAGAAAGAAAGAAAGAAAGAAAGAAAGAGAGAAAGAAAGAGAAGGAGAGAAAGAAAGAAAGATTTGTATTAAATTAGGAGTAATGTGATTCCTAAAATGGGGAGTTTGCCTTTGCAGAGACAAGGGGTGGATGCCATGTCTGAGGGCTTGGGAGCCCCTGAGCCCCTCCTGTGTTCTGGTCTCTCCTTCTCAGCCAGTTACACTCCCTAGGTTGGAGAGCTGATAGGGATGTTGAAATCTCAGGCTTGAGCTGTGCTGGTCACTTCTCTCTGGCTTATTCTATGGCCACGCAGACTCTGGCTCTCTATTCCATCAGGGCCACCTGGGCCACAAGTGAAAAGGTAAGAGTGTCCCGGGCTGTGCCAGTACAGCTTCCTAAACATGGCTCCAATTTCCTGCTCCTCTCCTATCACCGCTGCCCTTATTGTTTGTAACCGAAGTACTGATTGCATCTCTCTCCTCACCGACCTCCCTGTGTAGTCCTAGCTGTTGGAGTTTGAAGAAAGCTGTCATTTCTGGTATGCAATTGGTACCCAATAAGCTCACTGAAAGCAAATCCACTTAAAAGCAACATCAATATTTTACAGTAAATGATGAAAAACAAAAAGTGCAGCTGACACTTTACCCTGAAAAATGAAACATAAAATGATGATACTGACTGGGCGTGGTGGCTCACACCTGTAATCCCAGCACTTTGGGAGGCCGAGGTGGCGGATCACTTGAGGTCAGGAGTTCAAGACCAGCCTGACCAACATGGTGAAAACCCATCTCTACTAAAAATACAAAAAGTAGCCAGGTGTGGTGGCGGGTGCCTGTAATCCCAGCTACTTGAGAGGCTGAGACAGGAGATTTGCTTGAACCCAGGAGGCAGAGGTTGCAGTGAACCTAGATTGTGCCACTGCCCTCCAGCCTGGGCGACAGAGTGAGACTCCATCTCAAAAATAAATAAATAACATAAAATAAAGTAATGATAGTAAGTTTATATATATACACATATATCCATATGTGTATATTTAGTGATATATATAATGATAGATATTTATATGAGATATATATATATACATACATGTGTTAGATTAAAATTGTAACTCTATCAAATTGTTATCACATAGAATGAACCAAGTGCTGGTTTCTGCAATGATTTTCCTCACCAAACTGGAAAATAGCACTGCAAAATATGTTTGAATTTCACAACTCAGTCGCAGAGATGGACATCTTTGCAGAAATATTCAAGGACTCGAATATTTTTCCCAAGGGTCTTTCCCAACTTTTAGCCATTCATATCATTTTCTTTGTGAACCATCCCTTGCCAATTTTGTCTGCTCAAATGTTAACTGCTTTAATTCTACACAAAGTCATCTATTGATGGGTTAGTGTATAATGAAGGAGTTCTTGAATATCATTCTCATCAACTTGATGAAATTCTGCATCTTCTCCAAGAGTTTTGGTTTCACTTTCCAACCACTTGTGTTATTTTTAGCCTTGGACAATCAGTGGGAGACTAACCAGCAATCACATAGGTTCAAGCGATGAGGATCTATGCTGCTGCTTTCATAAGGCACCAAGTTTATATGTACAGATTTGGTTCAGTGGCAAATATTTTCTTGTTATGATGATTCTTGCTTCACTGTGTGGCCACATTTATAGTAAGGACTCAAATGATGAAGAGGTTGATAAGGAGCCATGCTCCCACCCCCATCCTTCTAACACAGAAGTCATCACTTTGGACTTTAAATTGCAGTGTGGACACACACACAACACTTCCACAGTGATGTGTCATAATGAGGGCTGTGTCAAATGCAAACAGGAGCACAGAAGCCGAAACAAGGCACTGTGCTCAGCTAGTGGGGAGAGGCGTATCAGTGAGACACTTGGAGAGTAGAGTATTTGCACAGAATCTCAAGATATGAGTAAGACTTTCCAGGGCAAATCAGAGGAAAGTGCATTCTGGGTGGAGAGAACACCATGTGCAAAGTTCAAGGGTGTGGAAATGCATGGCCTGTAAGGATAGCGAGAGATTTATGTGGCTGTGGGTTCAGCTGAGTTGGAGAATGGGAGGAGAAAACATCAAAGCCAGACAGGTAGACGGGGACAGAGATAAGAGCCTGTTAGATGAACCCCAGGGTTTCAACACTGACGTTGTCAACATTTGGGGCCAGATCCCTCTTTGTTGGGGCAGGGAGTCAGTTGCCAACTTGTGCATTGTAGGATGTTTAGCAGCATCGCTGGCCTCTACCCACAGATGCCAGTGGCACCCTCACCACCAGTTGGGACAACCGAGCATGTCTCCAGACAGTGCCAATGTCCCCTGGGGAATATCGTCCCTAGGGAAATTGTCACCTGCTGCTGTAGTGTGATAGGGATGACCCAGAATAGATGATCAGTTGTTATTTGTGCAATGACTAAATGAAGGGAGCACAGACAAAAAGACTGGAAAGGAGAAGGGACACATTATCATGGCCGGGCATGGTGGCACGCATCTGTAGTTCCAGCTACTCGGGAGGCTGAGGCAGGAGGATCGATTTAGCCCAGGAGGTCAAAGCTGCAGTAAGCCATAATCATGCTGCTGCACTCCAGCCTAGGCAACAGAGCAAAGCTCTGTCTCTAAAATAAAAATGTAAAAACGAGGCCGGGCATGGTGGCTCACGCCTGTAATCCCAGCACTTTGGGAAGCCAAGGCAGGTGGATCACTTGAGGTCAGGAGTTTGAGACCAGCCTGGCCAAGATGGCGAAATCCCATCTCTACTAGAAATACAAAAATTAGCCAGCGGTGGTGCATGCCTGTAATCCCAGCTACTCAAGAGGCTGAGGCAGGGGAATTGTTTGAACCTAGGAGGAGGAGGTTGCAGTGAGCCAAGATCACGCCACTGCACGCCAGCCTGGGAGACAGAGCAAGACTCTGTTGAAAGAAAGGAAGAAAGAAAGAGAGAGAGAAAGAGAGAGGAAGGAAGGAAAGAAGGAAGGAAGGAGGGAGGGAGGGAAGGAGGGAGGGAAAGAGAGAAAGATTCTCAGAGTTAAGAAGATATACGGAAAGGATTCATGAGAATACAAAGAGAAGAAGACAGTTGAAGGAGTTCACAGTGAATTTAGAGATAAAGGTCACTGCTGAGAGATTCAGAGGAAAAGGTGGCTTGGAGTTTGAGGAGAATGGATGAGAGTCCAAAAAGCACCTGGGAAGTTTGGAAGTCAGCACCAAAGTGAGACATGCCCACTTTGTGAGGAGACGAGAAGGTGTTAGGAAGGCCCACGGGGCTCACTGCCTTATTTTAAGAGTCATGTATTTAGCATTTATCAGGGTAAAAATACTGGTTTTCTAATGAAAGTAGTTATATAAAGTTTCCTTTCAAGTGTATTTGTAAGGAAGCTGATTCTGACAAAAACACATGGTTTTTCCTACTACTAGACTCTCAACACACATACGTTCCGACATAGATGTGTGGGAGTTCTCTCCACCAACCACACAATTCTCTAGCAGCCATTACAATTCCAACACCATCTACCTGGAGATGGTATCAAAAGGAGCTTGTTATAAATAATCAAAGGCATCCCTATCATTCAGGAAATCCCAAGGGTTTTAGGAGCTCTGTGACAAGAATGCGGGACAAAGACCAAGTACGTTTCTTCTTAGACCACAGTGATATAAAAAGTCAAGTAGCAATGGTGTGGCAGGCCAGGTCTCACTGATGCAGGCCTCCATAACAACTGTTTCCATGCTGACTGAGTGGTTAAATATGAAAAGCCAAAAGAGTCAGTGTCCTTACACAAAGGCTGGAATGTCACGAAAGCCCACCAAGAGTTTTGTCTAGGCCTTTCCTGGGCCTTGAAGTATGACAAGATGGCAAAGGAATTCTTAACAGAACCTGCTTAGGATTAAACAAGTTTTACTAGGGGTCTGAAGAAACTCCCCAGGCCTCCATAGACACATTTATTAGGGGTCTGAAGGAATTCCCCAAACCTCCATGATGTAGCAGGAGTAATCATCCCAGCACCTGGACCCATTTAGATTAAATAAATTTACTGAAGCTCCAGAGGAAGGTCTTCAGGACTCAGATCTTAGTTATAGATTAGAAGAGGTTAATCACTTATGTCTTTAGATGAATGCACACTTACACATAGACATATAGCTTAAAAGGTATATAAGCTCTGGAAAACTTTGTAATTTTAAGTTGGTCTGGTGATAATTTCCAGGCCTCCTCCCTGTAACCGGTTAACTCTCTTCTCTCCCAGTTCATCTGCATCTCGTTATTGGGCCTTGAGAATAAGCAGCCTGACCATTGATTTGGTCCGGGAACAATGGGACATGTGGAATGAAGATAGGGCAACAGCTGTAAAGGTGGTGTGCAAGTGAGGGGAATTTGGAAATAACAGTAGCTGAGGCCCAGCTGACGATGGAGTGCTTCTCCTGCCTGGCCTGTCTCTGGAACTGGCTAACATGGGGCCACTCATGTCAGTGCTGCCATCTGCCTCTTGCTATACCAACCCCTGATCCCAGCCTCTTAGCCAATCCTCCTCTGCCCACTACCTTCCATAAGGACCCAGAGGCTGCACTTCAAAGTTCTGGGTCTCTTGGCTGTGAACACCCAACCCTTCCTTTAAATATCCTCTAGTTGATTCTTGCTGGGCATGGTGGCTTATGCCTATAATCCCAGCACTTTGGGAGGCCGAGGCAGGCAGATCACTTGAGGTTAGGAGTTCAAGACCAGCCTGGTCAACATGGTGAAACCCCATCTCTACTAAAAATACAAAAATTACCTGGGTGTGGTGGCACGCACCTGTAATCCCAGCTACTCCAGAGGCTGAGGCAGGAAAATCACTTGAACCTGGGAGGCAGAGGTTGCAGTGAGCCAAGATCGTGCCATTGCACTCCAGGCTGGGCCTGGGTGACGGAGTGGGACTCTGTCTAAAAAATAAATAAATATCCTCTAGTTGATTCTTGACTTGTGTTTTGGTTTTGGTTCCTGGCCAGTTGTAAAGTTCCTTGTAGGTAAGAGTTAATGTCTGCATTCTCATCCCAGACACGGAGCTCGGCAAGATCCCAACAGGAGATCCCAGCAGGAAGGGTGTGGAGATGTGTGTCATCCCTGGGGCAAGGGCCATAACTACCAGTCACCTAGTTAATTTCAAATCAAAGTAATGATCTGTTGTTAATGACTTCTCTGTTTCTGTGAGAGGCACTGTCAAGTAATGCAGTGCTTAGGTATCTAAAAACCATTAATTTGCTTCCTCTGTGTCTCCTAACAGAGTCTCCAGGAGATAATCATTATGTAAGTCTTACCCTCCAAATCCAAGCAAGAGGTGGTATTATTTCTACCATGAGGAGACACGCAGAGAAGACAATTGGGTCCTGGATCTCCATCTTTCCATGCCCCATCCCACCACTCTAGATCTAGTAAGTAAAATTAGACTGATATAGTATGTGTGTTGGGGGCACGGGAGATAGGTGTCATTTAATTTTCATGACTAAAACACAGAAATTTTGAACTTGAGAGCAGAATAATGTTCTCTAAAATAAACAGAACAGGAATGCTGAATGGTGAACAGCCTCATGGAACTCCAGGAATAGCAGGGACAGGCTGTTCTGTGCTGATGGTTCTTGAACCAGTGTTTTTAACACCCAGCGACGTTAACTGCATCTTAGTCAAGGCTGAGGTACTCTCAGTAGCCCTTAAAGCATTACCTCCCCAAGAAATCACTCTTAAGTACTGTAGGTTTAAAAAAAGAAAATCTCAGGTACCACAAATTGCACTTAGCAACTACCCAACCATATTATTTCCTTCCTGTCTAATGTAATTTTTGTTTTCCTGTATAAAGGACTTATGTTATTTTGAAAAATTATCCTCCCTCCTAAATTAACCTGGCTTTTTGTCTTTAACAATCAAACAAGCTAAGAACAAGAATGAGGTGGTCCTTCTAACAAGCTTCTAAGTAACTAGATGTAAAGATTTTCCTCCATAACCTTCATTGAAAATGGCAAATTGTTCTGTTAGGAGGTAGACGGCTGTGGAGAGTGCAGGAGAGCAGGGTGGGAAGCCATATTCTGAAAGCTAAGCCAGGCAGTCTGTTCCCTGGACAAGGCTCATCTCTGAATGAAACCACATGCCACCTCCTCCTGCCCCAGCAATTCTTAGTCATTCTTTCATCCATTGATGCAACAAATAATTGTCATTTAGGAAGGGGGAAATCACTGAACAAGTCTGGCAAGAGCCTCGCCCTCAGGGGCTTACAGTCTAGCGGAAGTTACAACAAATAAACTAGATGACTCCATTAATTCATTCATCCCACAAATAGCTATTGATTTTTTTCATTTTTCAATAAGTAGTCATTGAGCCTTGACTATATGGGAGACACTGAGGATGATTTTTGAGCAAGACCGGCAAGATTCTTGCCTTCAAGAACTCAGTTCGATTGTGAATTTTCACAAATAAATTAACAAGATGATGTCAGAGGGGTAAGTGCTATAAAAAATGCAACAGGATATTGTGACGGAGCAGAGCAACAAGGTGAGAAACGGTGACGAGGGAAGTCTCTCTGGGAGAGACATCTCAGCTCAGATCCATCCTATGCACCTAGGGCAAGGTGTGCCCGGCCAGGAAGCTTTTCTACCCGACCCCTGGCACCGTGCTTCCGGACCGCATCCCTCGTAGGGGTATTATTCATGGGCAGGTCTGATGTTAGCTTCTCCGCGTCACGCCTTATTTATCCCCTCCGAGGGCTGCAAGCTCCTGGCGGGCAGGTGGGACTGGCCCAGCTGATCGGCTGGGTGGCTGGTGGATTTGGGAAAACAGCCCGGGCTGACCCAGGAGGTGGCTGGAACTCTCTATAGGGCACCAGGAAATTTTGCACAAGTGACCACCACAACGAACATCTATGTCAGCAGGCTGACCGCATGCGTCCACACGCCTCGAAATGCCAGGCGAGGATGTGCTGGGCCAGAAGGACAAGGAGGGCCAAGCGGGCGCGCAGGCACCTCCTGGACCTGACCCAACTCTGCCCAGAGGTCAAGGCTCGCTACAAGCCCGCCGCGCCTGCGCAGCACAGCGCCCGCGCCGGCCCCTCCAGCTGCCGTCGGCGGCACTGCGCCGGCGCGATGCGCCCGGCGCTAAGAGGCGGGGTTTCCTTGCGCCGCGCGCAAGGCTGGGGCAAAACCCGGGCCGGGATAGGGCGTGGGGCCGCGCGTCTGGACGTCCCTCGCGTCGGGCCCGACAGCGCCTGCGCACTGCGCCGCCGGCTGGGGTGCTGGGGGCGGGGCAGGGGCAGGTGTAGCCTCTGTGCCTCGTTGTCCCCTGGCGCTACCCGGACATCTCTCAGGGTGCCGGCACCATGAAGATCTGGACTTCGGAGCACGTCTTTGAGTAAGTTTGGGGCGCGGGTCGGCTCCGTGGAGGGCAGGCACGCCGGCCCTGGAGTAGAGGCGAGGCAGAGGCGGCCCGCAGGAGGCTTCTAGGCGTCGGGCCTAGCGAGGGGAGCGAACTCTGAAGCCTGCGGGCCCCGGCGACACGGAGGGCAGACCAAGGTCACGACCCCGAGGCGCCCTAGCCGAGGGGACGGCTCCGACCTCCAGACCCAGGCGGCCTTGCGACCGGCAGGGCTACGGGGTCACTTCCGGGCTGTCCCCCACCATGAGGTAGCCTCGGGCCGGCGGCCTCCTGAGGTCCTGGGGGCGTCGCGGAGCACGAAGCCCTTGACAGCACTCAGGGTTGCCCCATCCCGCCCTGTGAAACCACTTTGGGACGTGGACCCGAGGATCCCAAGAGGGAGGTGTTGGTTTTCTCCAGAGTGTACTTTCCCTGGCCGCCGTTTGGGTGGAGTTTCTACCTTCGAATGTGAATTTCGGGTGAACTCTGACCACCAGGATGTGAAGCCTTTTCACAACTCGTTCATCTACGCAGCAGAGCCTTGGATTTGGAATTCAAGGTCTAGCTCTGGCTGTAACAAGCGTGTGACCCTGGGTTACCCATTTTCATCTGAGAGATGGAAAAGGACGATCGTCAGGGCCTACCCGTGTTAGCTCTTTGAGGCCACGTTCAGGAACATCTTTTTGGATAATGTGAACTGTTTACTAACGAAACTAAGCCTTGAACCAGTTGGATGTGGAGAATTATATTCTCTTCTAGGTCCCTGATTCCATTTACAAAAGAGCCACAAATTTAAGCAGCGAAATCCTTTTTTTTCCCGAGTTACCTGCTCTGTTCCGCTGATCTTAATGTCGTTGCCACACTGTTTTAATTAGTATAGCCTTGTAAATAAATATGCTACAAAGCCATTTATGTTTTTAAAACTGTCTCTGAAGGCAAATTTTTTTTAAATTTCTTTTTTGAGGCAGAGTCTCGCTCTGTTGCCCAGGCTGGAGAGTAGTGGCGTGTTCTTGGCTCACTGCAACCTCCGTCTCCCGTGTTCAAACGATTCTCCTGCCTTGGCCTCCCAAGTAGCTGGGATTACAGGCGCCCACCACCGCGCCCGGCTAATTTTTGTATTTTTAGTAGAGACGGAGTTTCACCATGTTGGTCAGGTTGGTCTCAAAGTGATTCGCCCTGGTCAGGTCGCACCTGACCTCAGGTGATTCGCCCGCCTTGGCCTCCCAAAGTGCCGGGATTACAGGTGTGGGCCACTGTGCCCGGCCTCTGAAGGCAACTTTTAAAACGTTGTCCGCATTTGTACTCAGTGGGACACATCCTAGGGCCTGCTGTATCCTGCAAAGTATAGAATACTGGAATCAGAAGGAAGCTTTCTTTTCCCCCTACTGTTTAGTCTTTTTGGGAGGAAAAAGACCCGAAATTTGTGGTCATTTAGATGTTCATTAACCTGGTCGCATTCATCACTAGTCCATTTCAGCTCCGAGGATGTTTAATTTCAGTCCTCTTCCAGGTTTGCATGCTTCAGTCCTCTTCTGGGTTTGCATGCTTCAGAGGTTCTCGGCACTCAGTCTCCCTAGAACTGTCTTCTCCCATATCTTCCCTAACTCTTCTTCCTGGCTCATCCCCTCCTTCCCTCTACACTCTTTCTGCCTTTGTCTTCAGCGCTTCCCTGTCTTTTCCCATTCAGTGTAAATGTTCAGTGAGATTCTGTGTTGGCCTTCCTATATTGGATTTTACCTGTGATCTTAATTTCTTTTTTGTTTCTCTTTTCGTCACAGACTTTTTTTTTGTCCTGGGAGAAGCAGCCCTGATCCGTGCTTTCTCCCCACATAATCTGAGCTGTTTGGTCAAAGTCCCAAATGATAGGTATACATTTATGGCACCCAGATCTGTACCTTGAGCTCCAGCCTCTCTTGAGCTCCGCTTTTCATTTTCAGGTGCCTGTTAGGCATTGCTACCCTCGTGTCCCACAGGCCCTTAAAACTCAGCCTGTCTGAAATTGAAGTCATCATCTCCCCTGACAAATCTGAGCGTTGTTTCTGATCTTTAGGATGTCACTCTCTAACAATGTCTAAGTCATCATTCTACATCTTATCTGTCTTTGATTTTCCAACACTTTTCTTCTGAGGCCTATAGTTGGCATCCAGGTGAAGTCATTCATTGATTCCTTCAACTTATAGAGATGCCCAGTATGTGTCAGCCACTGTTCTTTGGATTGATTACATTTTCATAAGTAAATCAAGACCTCGATGCTGCGCCAGTGGAGTTAATAATGTCCTCACCTCGTTTCAAAGGTGAAGAAGTTGGACCGGTCAGTGAGCCATAGCCAGGTCCTCCTGATTCTACTTTGGCGTGGTCTTTGAATGTCTTCCATTGTGAGATCTTTTCCACGTAATTATGTTAATACAGCTCAGATTAATTGCTGGAAGATTAATCATAATAAGTATTGTTTGTAATGTTTGAGCTGGTTATGGTTCATAAAGCAATCTTGAGCCAAGCTAAGTCAACATCAGTGGTTTCAAGTTGGTTCAGAAAGGAGAGATGGACTAAATTACAAATAATGCATAACCACCCTGAAGTCATGCGATTATTAATTTTTTAGAGAGGGTTGGGGGAAGAGGTAAGGGCATGGAAGCCAGCTAACCATGGCATATGACTGGATGGAGACCTGGGGAGGGTTCATCTGATTTTCATTTTAGAGAGTTGCCTTGGTAAGAATCAGTGCTTGGCCTGTATGCTTCGATTTGTCGGGACACTTCAGATTGATGAAGCAACTCTGCTTATATACCTGCATTGATTGCTGGATAAGGCTGGAGACTAAAGACAGAATGAGGTTCATTGGTACAATATTGTATAGAAAAGAATATTATAATGAAAACATTAAAAATGATGTCACTGGTTGTCCAGGGTTCTGGGAAATTAATGGAGTTGAGATTTTCCTTTTGTCAACGAGATGTAGTTGTCAATCTGAGTTCTCTAAAAGGTTGGAATAATGTCTACTTGTTTTACTTTTAGAAAAATAAAAAGTAATGCTGTGTGGCTTAACAGTCATTGTGGCTTGAACATCATCCCCAGATCTTGTCTTTTTCCTTTAAATGAAGATGAGAGCACAGATAAGTAGTGTAGAAAGCATCCGAATCAGACTGCAGGTGGACTAAGTCACCTTTAATACTGATTGTACTTAATAAGGGGTCCTTTTGAAAATGATATTTTTTGTACAAGTGTCTTATTCACAGAAGTTGTGAAGTGAACAAAGGTTGCATCACATTTTGAATCATCCAAGCACATGTGCCTTTTTGAAGAAAATAAAGATACTGCAAGTTCTCAAGTGATGTGATATTATTACCACTTCAATACTAGGTGATAAGCAAGTGCTTATTATATTAAAAGAGAATATTAGAAAATAGTATATTAGGAGTGCACCTTAAGGACATTTTATTATATTGAGTGACCTTTTCAAAACAGAAATCAGAATCACTCTTTTGAGAAAAACAGTAGATAAAGATTGACTGGAGGAGCCATTGTTATGTATTACATTAAAATGAAGGGAAAGTTCAATAATTAAATCAATGCTTTGGATCTTTTTGTGATCCCTGTAAGAATTTATAGTGCCCATAAACTCTTTTACTTTTGTTACTTCCGTATAAACTGATAGAATTGGGGTCAGAAAAAATAATAAATGGCATAATGATACTTTTGGCTATTTGTTTCAGTAGAACATAATTTTTAAATACATTTTCATGAATCATTGGTTCTTCCTAGAAACAATTTACATGTGAAAGTGGATAAGGATAAGTAGGAAAGATGGTGTAGACTGCTTTGATCTTTATAGATATGAGTTTTTTTACATAGCCTGTATTGTGGAAAAATACTGAAGCCTGTTAAAAATGTAGATCAGTTTCCCATAATCATCAGTGTTTCAGAAGGTAATTTTTCCTAGGTAAACTCATTAAACTTACATTGTAATGAATGATTTGATAGATTATAAAAATTGTTTAACTCATATGCATAATTTTAAATGTCTGAATTTTTTTTTTTTTTTTTTTGGTTCACATCGGCAGCCACCCGTGGGAAACTGTTACAACAGCTGCAATGCAGAAATACCCAAACCCTATGAACCCAAGTGTGGTTGGAGTTGATGTGTTGGACAGACATATAGATCCCTCTGGAAAGTTGCACAGCCACAGACTTCTCAGCACAGAGTGGGGACTGCCTTCCATTGTGAAGTCTGTAAGTGTGTCTTTATTCCCGGAGAAATGTGACTGCTGTAGAGAAGTTTTCTAAACCGCATTATACTTTCAAATAGGTTGTGGGAGCCGATTCTGAATGTCATTTTTTGCATCCGTTCAAGTTGTATTATAATAAACTTGAATTATGAGTGTATAATGAATTGGAAATATTATTACAGTCTTCATGAAGGCACCCAATAAAATTTTCTTAAGGAAGCCAGCTAATGCCGTGTGATCTGAAAGGAGTTCTATTCTGCTTTTTCTGCTTTTGCCAGCAACTTGAGACCAATACTAAGGTTTGGCAGTAATGGTCTGGTCATAATTGTTAGGTGACAGTTCTGTGGTCAGTGGTGGGTTGTGTACATTAAGTAAGGACTATGTTCTCGGACTTGTTATTGCCACATTTGTTCCAAGGTCTGGAACTCCTTCCTGTACATTTAGAAACAATTCTATTCCCTTAAGAATGAGCAGGCTTTAGTGAGCAGATTTTACCAGGAAGAAACTAAAATGCCAGTTTACCATAATGCGAGAAAACTGGTATAATAAGTGGATCCAGGTTTCTTTAGAGGGTCTCTTTATGGAGAGTAGGTTCACTAAGAAAACTAAAGTACACATTTTCAATAGGAATGTACTTACTGCCTCCTTATGCAAACCATAGTGCAGACACAGAAATGAGCAGGGTCAGGGGGTGGGCTTGGGGTCATAGCACAGGGAGTGACAGTGGACACTGACGTGTGAGCCTCCATCGTAAGAACGCTGTTTTTCTGTCTGGAGAATGAAGCTGAGGTGCCCCCTCCCTTGGGCTGTTCTAGGAAGATACTGACAGATGCCTTTGAGTTCTCCTTTTTCTAGCTGCCATGTTGCCCCAAACCTGATTTCCATATCTCAGCCTCAGCGCTCCACCGTCGCACCGCGGCAGATTCAGCGTGCTGCCTCACGTTGCAGACGTTCTCAGTGGGCTGGTTTCTAATTGCCTCCGGGAAAAGTTTTTGTGTCTGGCAGTCTCCTCTCATCCATGATATGTGAATAGGCCTCCTTTCTGACCTTTGCTTGTTTCCTCTGGTTTTTAGAAAACAGATTTTTGGTTCAAAATATTGTAACACATTTTTTCCTTCAAATAAAATATTGATAGACTTGGTAAGAAATTCTTCCTCCTCTGATTCCTAGTTCTGAATGTTTTACTTAGCTTATTGGTGCAGCAAGAACGAAAACATATGTGCAAGAACATTCTGTAGTTGATCCTGTAGAGAAAACAATGGAACTTAAATCTACTAATGTAAGTCTTGGCTCCCTTTTGTTTCATTTCGAACTGTCTGGCTGAGTTCTTTGTCCCTCTCCTAGTTGCCGTAGAAGTGAGTGCGTGTTCATGATGTGGTTCAGAGAATCCCTGCTTATGTGCTGGCCTAACTTGGCCCTGGATGTTGCTTCCTTACCCTTCCTGCTCTCATGATCTTGCCTATCTCTAAGGGGATAGCACTCAATAAAATGAGTTTGGGATTATGTGTATTATCATTATTATACTTTATTTCCTCAACTTTGCTTTTTAAATAAAAAGTAGGCAGTGAATAGTTTATGCAATAATAGCAGCGGTTTATTTGTTGTTTTGTATGTTTAGTAAGATTTTGGCTTGTGTGTTGATTTTAGCAACATTTTGAATCTTCAGTTCCAAAATGATTTGATCTTTTTTTTTTTTCTTCATTCTGTAGATTTCATTTACAAACATGGTTTCAGTAGATGAGAGACTTATATACAAACCACATCCTCAGGATCCAGAAAAGTGAGTAAAAAATATTTTAACAAATGTATCGTAAAGGGTGTTTAAGGTTTTTTTATCAAGTTTTTTGAAAATGAAAGCTGGGTCATCTGAACCTGTGTGAATATGTTTTGTTCCAGAACTGTTTTGACACAAGAAGCCATAATTACCGTGAAAGGAGTTAGCCTCAGCAGTTACCTTGAAGGACTGATGGCAAGTACGATATCCTCAAATGCTAGTAAAGTAAGTGAGGCTGCTTCTTGGTTATTATTCCCTGGTTCATTTCCTGGGAATGGAATGGGGTGCTGACTGCATGTGTGTCCTTGTAAGCTGACCCTTGCCCATTCTACCATAGGAAACTGCAGCACGTTGGGCAGTTACTTACAAAGGCTCTGGGTTCACATCCAAGCTCTAACTTTTAGCCTTTTAACCTTGGGCAACTAAGTTAACCTTTCTATGCCTCAGTTTCCCGTTTTTAAAGTGGAGATTACCCGTTTTACAGGGTTGGCGTGGAGTGAATGAGATAACATATGGAAAGTGTGTAGCCTGAGGCCCAGCACTGAGGAAGTGCTCGATGATGTGTAGCTGCGTGTCATTTAAGGCACTGTTTCTCAACCTTTTTTCACTGTTGTCTCCCCCACAACTCGTTTTAGACATTTTTTCCCTAATTGCCACCTCCATTAAGTCATATATCATATACATATGTGTGGGCTTTATACATAAAAGAGGGAGATTTTTTCCATCCCCCCAAGAACCAATTTTTGCTTATTGAGAATGCATGATCTGAAACAGTAAGTTTAGAGAAAGATGCCATGCACTGTTACATAACACATGGTGAATGTGGTTATCAAGAGATACTCATGGATGCCTTCTCTGTGCCATGCAGAGTGCTAGGCTAGACAGGGTATACAGCAGGGAGCAAAACAAATGTGGTCCCTGCCCCCGTGGAACTAAGAGGCAGGTGACATTAATCATACAGCATGTAATTAGGAAAGAAAAGGTACAGAAAGGTATGAGAGTGCTTATTGAGTGTTCAGTAACTGATGTTTCTGCTGACTGCCAAATGGGGGCAGGTGGATTGCGAGGGGTATTCCAAGAAGAGTGTTCTAGGTGGAGGAGCTGCGTGTGCAAAGGCCCTGAGACAGGAAGTAGGGAATGCTCTGTTTTTCAAGGAACTATATAGAACACTAGGAGAGAAGGGGTGAGGAGTGAGTTGAGGACCAGATCCTGCAGGACCTTGCACAGGATTTTGGTTTAAAATGTAAAGAAAAGGGATTTGACCTTCTTGCCCCTAAAAAGGGGACCACTATAATCATGAAACAAATAAGACATTCTGTCATTTAATTGTAGATTCATTTGAGAACATCTTTTGCATACAAAGTAAAAGTCAGTTTATGGATCAAGCCAGTTGCTCAAGGCATTTGATGTTTGCTAAATAACATTAGAAAAAGCCAGGACAAAAACGATCTGTCATCCTGAGATTGAGTTAAACTTGTCACGCCCCTTGTTACTTCCTGGTGTGTCATTAGTTCGATATATGCCTTTGCTCTCCCTCAGTAACAATAAATGTATTGGATTTTTTTTAAGGGCCGAGAAGCAATGGAATGGGTAATACATAAATTAAATGCTGAGATTGAAGAACTGACAGCCTCAGCAAGAGGAACCATAAGGACTCCAATGGCAGCAGCAGCGTTTGCAGAGAAGTGATCGTGACAGTTGGTAGACAACATCGGGTACTCCAGGTCTCTCCAAACTGACTATATATTTATTTGTTATTTTAAAAATACAACTATATTTTGGGTAGTTTTTTTTTTTTTTTTTTTGATAAGTTGGTGTAAGGCTATGTGACTTGATCAAAACAGATGCAGGGCCTCTAAATAAAAGGGATCATCTGAAATTAATGTTGTTTGAAATTACTATCTGATTTTGAGGGTTCCAGTATTTCTGTGAAAATTCAACAAGAACTCCTTGGAAACTGGTATTGATATTCAGTCTCCTTAAGGTAGATTTTTCAAGCTTTTCATACATTGGAACTCCACCTGACTTTGGACCAACCCCAGAACAGAGCAGAGCCACCTCCTATAGACGCCCATTGCCCTGCTGCTGTACACTTCAGCAGCTTGCACAAGGGAGCTCACTTAAAAGGAGAAATTGTGTAGTTTTAAAATATATTTTGTGTAAAATACCTTACTATGCTATAAACCACCATTAAAAACCAGTGTTTTGATTTGGTACTTAAATATTTTTGGAGTGAAAATTATCACTAAAGTAACATGACTCCAACAAAAGTATGGTTTCATTATAAAAGAGTACTGTATTGATTTGCCCAAGTTTTGTAACTTAGTAAAGGTATTAACTTCCTTGGATTTGTACTTTGTGATTTAGTATGCTGTATCGTGGGCTGGTTATGTTAACTGAAAAAAATAAAGTCATTACCTGAGTTTTGCAGTGCTCTAACTTAAACAGAAGAACAGCTGTTCACATCTTTTAGCATTTTACATTTGCCTAACTTAAAAATTGCCATGTGTCAAAATCATGGTTTTGTAATTGCTAAGGCATGATATGTCAGGTTATTTGAATATAATTACTTTTTGAAGTAATTGTGACCACAAAACATCTTTTTTACATGAAGGAGCTGTGTATCATTTGAAATTACTCAAATGATGTCTTGCTCTGAGGCATAAATCCCAGGTACTTAGTGTTTTTAATAATATGGTGCCACTGCAGGATTTGGGGGCGGTGGGGAAGAACAAGCATAATGGTAGGGGGAGGCTTGGCCTGAAACTAACCACTGAGTGAATTGCACTGCAGGTTTTACTTAACGGGAATTCCTTATTTGGGATGTCAAGAGGGCAGCTGCAAACTGAAAAACAATCCAGTAAATGTACTTTGTTTTATGTATTGTAGCAGGCAATTAACTACTAAATAATAGCTTTGACATTTGCAATTGTTGCATAGAGACTATTTTTGCTAGAAGATGATTAGCTCTTGCCTTTATTTTACAGTGCTTAGTGTGATAAACTTCTAGTCATGTTTCCTATCCAAGAGACCAGTTAATATATGTACATAAACCACAGAAATAGTATAACACACTATTTTTAAATTATCGTTTTCCTACTTAAATTTTGTTTAGCTTAAGACTTCTTAGGACATTTGTAAAAGCAGGTTAAATTTAATAAGGTTTCTGATTTTTTTTTGTAACCGGAGATAGTTTTTACAAGTGAAATAACATTTCAGCTAAATAAAACATCGCTAAATAATTGATATTTGATGAAAATCTGCTTTGTATAATTTCTGTAAATTATCCTTGTTCTGAAAAAGGTGTAATGCCCTAATATTTTTAAATCCTTATCCTTTGATTTTTTAAAAACTGACCTATTGATAAAACTATAAATTTTCATTTTCCAGTGCAGTTAGTTACCTTTTTAAACATAAATGCACAACAAGCAAATGAATTTAAGAGAACTAAACTGGAATAAGTGTTCATAAATGAAACCCTTGGACTATTTAATAAAGTTGAAATGTGAATTAAGGAAAACTTTTGTTAATAAAAACTTTCTTTTAAGTGATGTTTTTCCTGATTATAATTTCTTTTTAGTAATTAAAGGTGAAGGGCAAAGGCTTTTTTTTCTTTATGAGAGAAACACTTTAATTCCTAGACTGTGAGCCTTCACTGCGTTGGGTTAGTTTCTCTAAATCACAGGCTCTGAGATGAGCATTTTCCCGGCCGCCTGGCAGTTCCCTGTGCCTCCAGTGGGTTTTCCTCACATTTTTCTTCCCATCCATTCCGGGCAACAGTGACAACTGTTGCCTTACCCTCCGTCTTGTCGCACATCGGAAGCAGGTCCTAGAACTACAGAAAACGCTAGGGGGTCCTCCACTGGGTTTCCAGGGTTTAGTGTCACTCCGAGAAAGGGGGTGCCCTAAGAGCCTTTCTAAATCTCAGCTCTCAGGACACGCTTGTCTGTCCACAGATTTAAAAAAGCCGGCGCCGTTTCCCTGAAGCGGGCGCAAAGCCAGGCCCTCGGGGCGGCCGTGCCCGCGCCGCCTCGCGTCCTCGCTTCCCGAAAGCACGCGGCTCAGTGGTCCTTAGCGAGCGGGGACACCCCGGCCTTCTTGCCCCCGTCGTCCCCGCCGGGGTAATACGGAAGGTCGGGGGACACACGCCCCGGGAGCTCTTGGAGCCAATAGGTGGGCGCGGCCGGCCGGCCCGCCCCGGGATTGGCACCCGCAGTCCAGACCGCGCGCGCCCATTGGCTCCCGGCGCCGGGGGGCTTCCGCGGCAGGGCAGCAGGGGCCGTGCTCAGGGGCGGGGCCGGGTAGGAGGCGGTGATTGGCAGGTCCGCACGCCCCGCCTCTTCCGCTTCTGTGGTCTGATCTTCCTGCGGCTGAACCGCCCGGCTGAGCCGACATTGCCGGCGTCTTGGCGATTCGGCCCGACGAGCTCCGCTTTCGCTACAGCATGGTGGCCTACTGGAGACAGGCTGGACTCAGGTAGGCCCAGGCCTCCAGAGGGAAGGGCTTCGCGAGCCGGCCCGCGCGCATCCCGGTGCCCAGAGGTCATGCAGGACACAGAGCAGCGGCCCCACGCGTGACCGGGGTTGGGCCAAGCCTCGGGCGTCGCCGCCAAGATGGCGTCGCTGTGGGCAAAGCGCTCAGGCGGGCGCGGCCTCGACCTCGCGTGGGAGCGCGTCTGTGTCCTGCCTCGCTTCCCGACGGTGCGGCCCAGCACCCACAGAGTGCCCCTGGACACCTTTGTGAATGGCAGGTTTCTCGAGAGAGAGGCCAGCTCTTATTTAGCAAACCTTTTTCTTCTAGAATGGTGCTGGAGCCAGGTGGTGAAAGTAGTACAGTCACATCCACCTCGGGAAACAGGAGATTTCTCTCCACGTGACCGCCGTTAGCAGCTTTGACCTTTAATCCAGCATCGAGGTGGAGCCTTTTACAACTTTACACATTTTTTTTTTAAACTTTTAAGTCCTGTTGATTTCAGGTTTCCTTATGTCTAAAAGGGGTGAAAGCCATAACTGTCGAGAGCCCCTCACAAAGATGAGAGGTGGCTCCTGGAAAGCTCAAATATGGAACCCACTTGAGGACATGGTGTCTCATAGTGGAACCGCAAACCATTGGTCTAGCTGTCACATCCGATTTTTTTTTACCCGTGCACCTGAGTGAGCAGAAGTACCTTGCTCTAGGTGACACACCTTGTTAGTTGACTGGATGGTGTAGCACTTTACATTTTGTGGGTACACTACAGCGGAGCTTCCCGACTTGCTGAGGTCAAGCCAGCGAAGTCTTGTAGAATTGGAAGGATGGAAGGATGATAGTCCCAGTAGTAGATACCGTTTATTAGGCAACCTACCCTGTGATCCATACTTTTTCACACTTGTTTTTCCTCCTCCCAGCTATCAGCAGGACAGGTATTATTGTCCTTTTATTCTGTTGTTTTTTTCAGGTGAGTGAGTAAACGTGCTGAAAAGGTTGAACAGCCTGAAGGTCACCCAGTTAGTAAGAATGGAAGCAGGCATTGGAACTCATACCTCTGAGTCCCCAAAATAAATTCTAAAACATGAGAAAATAGCACCCCTCCCCGCTTCCTGTTTTTCAAAAGTGGGAAAGGTGATCTGACATCTTTTGGAAACTACAGTGTTGATGGGAGTCCATCTACCAAACAGGAAGCAGGTTTTACAGTTTTGCTAGAATTGATGATGTTCTCTAAGCACTTTTCAGTTTGATTTAGAAATCTTCATTAGGAGGTTATTTTCAGTGGCAGACTTGTGAGACAGAATTCAGTATTCTCAGAGAAGAGTTTAAATAATTTAGAACGAATTGTTTTAATTCAAAATAGTTTTCTCTTATGTATACCTCATTTTCCAAGAATAATATAATTAAAGTTTTAAGGAGAGAAATCGAGGAGAGAATTCATGATTCATGTTATAGTCTCTAAACATTTCAGTCTCTTTTTTTCTATGCTGTGGGATTTTTAAAAACATTTATGCATCTTTCATTTTGAATTAATATACACTAAAGAGAAAACACAGTACAAAGAAGAAAAATCAAAGATCATCCATCCAAACACCAGTTAATACTTTGGTACATTTTTTTCTAGTTCTTTTTCTTTGTATAGATACTTTTTGGCATTAGTCATATTTTTAAATCCAATTCTACAATAAGGTACAACCAAACCAAAATAAAAAGTACAGGAAGAAAAGCGAAAACACAGTAACAGCTGTCTGGCTGGAATATTGATAATTAACCATATACCTTCTCTCATTTTCTCCCAGCTACATCCGATACTCCCAGATCTGTGCAAAAGCAGTGAGAGATGCACTGAAGACAGAATTCAAAGCAAATGCTGAGAAGACTTCTGGCAGCAACGTAAAAATTGTGAAAGTAAAGAAGGAATAATCTGTAAGTTATGGATTTATTTAGAAGAACAGTTGCATCTTAAGTTTTTGGAGCACCATAAAGATCAAAATAATTTTAGTTTTGGGTTCTATTCATTTTTTAGTCAGTGTATTTGGAAGTTAGTTATTGGGATGGTATAATTTAAAGCATGCAGGTTATAGAAGTCCCCTGGCCTAATAAAAAGAAAGTCTTCTTGGGCCCTGACAAGCAGAAGTAATTGGCACATTGATTTTCAGTTCATTTAGCAATGCTTAGGTAGAGAGCCATCGTATTTGAATTAAACCTGTTTCATTTGTCTGCACAAATCAAATAATTTGGAGGATGAACTCCCCACTTGTATAATTGCAATTGGAGTTACATAACAGTCCAAGAGCATGAAAAACTACAGTTCTTTACATTTTTATTTCCCCCACAACCACTAATGTTCTCACAAATCACTACTTCCCGAACATAATAACTACAGGCACAGGCAAGGGTCCTGCTGTTGTATCAAGCAATAAAATCTGCAAGACCCCGCAGCGAATACTGTTTTGCTAATTTATTATGCTTTCAGAGGGTTTGGTTCATTTTACTTTTCCAAAGATGTTGGTGATGTAAAGTTAAATTCTCGTGAAATAAAAAGGTCTGTACAGTTGATAAGTGTAGACTTTTGTGTTCCACATTATAAAAGTGGTTTGATCTCTAAAGTACTTTCTTGACATTGTTATTTCAAAAGTAGGCAAGGCAAATTATCAGAGAGATGTTTTTCAGATTTAATTTTTCTTGTTTTGCTTTTAAAAAGCTTCAGACCCATAATAGCACAGAAATGTGATAAATATTAATCCTTTGGCAGCTTATGGTTATGAGCAATTTTACTTATTGGAACTGTCTCCCCTAAGCACTTTTCATTTTCATTTTGAATTAGTAAATATTTTATTACAAGTCTGGAGATGCAGTGTTTTGAATTTAGCCCTTTTTCTAGGGGCTCTCTGTCTAATCTCATAATTCTGAGTAATGAGACCTGGTTTTATGTTGGGTTGTTTTGTTTTAACAGTAAGCTAACAGAAAATCATTTAGCCTCACTCGGCTCAGAGCTGCCAGACTGCATCTAATGCTGAGATTTTGCAAAGTCCTGGGGGTCAGGAAGTAGTGTCCGATCCCCTTAAACAAAGCATTAGCCCCTCTCTGTTATGCCCTTCAGGGTTACAGACCCCACCTCATTAGCACAAGGAGATGTTAGTGTCTTTTAAAGGCAAAGTAGTTTCTTTATTCTGGGAGAGTGTTTACTTTTACTCAGCAGGAAAATGCCTGCTTGACTAAGCCTGTGTACTTGAACCAGCACTTTTTACATCTGAGCCACGGCAATGTGAATGATAGCCACAGTTATACAGTTCACTATAAGGAAGTTATTTCTTATATTCATGTTGAGTTTTTAAGAAAACACAGAGAACTAGCCAGCAACTTGCATTTTCTTTTTCCTCCTAGACCCTGACTAAAGCTTGAAATGCTACATTTCCAAGGTGAAGATGTGTGGGCACATGTTATGGCAGATTGAAAAGGATCTCATTCCATGGGAAAAAAAAAAATCCTGTCTTGTTCATAAATTGACAATGTCAATAAATTGAAATATGGTTCACTGTTACTCTTGATTTTAGTTTGTGAGACTTTTTCATTTTCTTTAAAGGAACTGTCTGCACAGCTGCATGATTATGGCCATGTGAACCAGGGTTTCTTAAAAGCAGGGGAAGCCAGATTTAATATTTAGTGACCAAAGGGATACAGAAAGCATTTTGAAAATGTCTCAAAATAGTTGTTTCATGACATTAATTGGTGATCAAAATTATCTGCTGTCATTGAGGCTTCGTAGTCCCTTATTTTTGAATTGTTGTCATGTCAGAATAATGACATGGTTATCAGTAACAAATGGAAATAATTATTAAATACTAAAAGTGTAGATTAGAAGAAGAAATACTAAATTGTACTTGTTTTGTATTGTGCACTTAAAGCCTATAGATAAGAACGGTTACAGAATTTAAGCACAAAGTGTTTTTCACATTGTTTTGTAAATGAATCTTTATACTCTGGTAGCATTTCTCATAGGAAATGAGGCAAAGCTATTGAATAACTTGCTCATTGAGTTGATGGCCAAACTGAAATTAAAACCTAGGAGTTTTGACTGCAAGTCTGGGACACGGTGACCACAACAGCAGTTTCGTGGTATTTCCATAGTGATTCATTCATTCATTATTTAGGGATGAAAAATTGTTGCAAGTTATGTTTTTATCTTTCTTTGAAACTTGAAAGGGCTTGGGCAAGTAAAACACCATTGCAAAGTTAACTGCCTGATTTTAACTGTTTTTGGAGACTGGAGAAATAAATTTGAACTGGAAATTTTGAAACACCATTCTAGGATCAGTTCTCACATGGTACTTAAGCTCACAATGATTTATCAGGGCCACTGTCAGCAATGCCGAGGATAAGCCGAAAAGAACATCTTTGTTCTCGGCTTCTGGGAATGACTTATTGTCCCGACACTTGACCTGTAGGTTTTACTGAATTCTCAGCACAGAGCGAGCAGGGAGGCAGAGCCAATTGAGTGGAAGAGGGTGCCTCTGGAAAACAGCAGGTTAGGAGCCCTTGGAGTCCTCCGCCTCGGAGCTGTCATCCTGCTGTTGGCAAGTTAGGGCACCTCAGTTCAGTGCTGTGGCCCCCAAGATTAAGGTACTAGGAAGTATCCTCCATTACAGGGAACAGGAATAAATGAATCAAAAAGCTATCGGGCCTTTTTGACATGGGACGAATAAAGTAACTAATAGGCAAAGGGGCTAAATGATTTCCAGTCAAGTAATTAGAGATAAGTCATTTATTAAGGAGGCAGATGGGGTATTATTGGTATATAGATGGCATAGTAGATTGCTAGTATATTGGTAGATTATTGGTATATAGATGGTATGTTAAGGAGGCAGATGGGGTATTACTGGTATATAGATGGTATGGTAGATTGGTAGTATATTGGCAGATTATTGGTATATGGTATGTTGAGGCAGATGGGGTATTACTGGTATATAGATGGCATAGTAGATTGGTAGTATATTGGTAGATTATTGGTATAGAGATGGTATATTATTAAGGAGGCAGATGGGGTAATTAGAGGTGAGACTTAGGGACAGGGCTTGTGATATGGAAAGGAGTGAAGTCACTGAGTAAAAGACAAGTTTACTGTCAGCAGAGATTCTTAGAGGCTCTTTTCTCCGTGATTAAAAAAAAATCCTAAACCAGTAGTATAATAAACTTCCTGCCTCCAGCAGTGCTGGGTAGCTGGCAGGATGACTGTGCCCAGTGATGAGGTGACCCCAGTCAGACCAACTTAATGAGTATCCCACTAATTAGTTGGATGATGTTTGAAGCTGTCAGTTAATCTCTTAGTTCACATCGTTCTTGTGAGCAAAGTGAAGGAATCGGATAAGCTCTAAATTTCGGTGATGCTGCTGCTCTGAGAGACCAAGGTCGCTGGAGCAACCGTACTGCTAAAGGATAAGCTCTTCAAAATCAAAAGGGACAGATTTCTTAAGTTTCTAGTTTGTTTTGTGTTTTTACATCTATTTCTACCATACGAAAGAGTAGGATGGTGAGATGCATTTCTAAATATTTTTAACTACTCAGTCTGGATGGTTAGGCTTCAAGAAAAGGAATTTATTTAGTCTGAAATAAAGCAATTTTGCCATTTAAAATTGAATTACTTTGTAGTTTAATGATTACTATTGAGCAAACAAATCTTTACAGTAATATAAGTCAGCAAAAGTTTTTTAAAAGGTTTAAATCCCTCCTTCCTTACATCTATTTCATTGCTTTTTTAGGTTTGGGAAGTAAAGCACCAGAGGAAGCATGTGTAAATCCTTGTATAATCGCAGGCTGTAAGTCTTTAGCATCTCAGGAAGTTACTAACTTCAAACTAAGTATATAGGTAGAGTTTCTTACTAAATCTAGTGCTTCTTGAACCACAAGTAGAAAGCATTTAAAACATGAATGTTGTTTTGTGTTTTTTGAAGTTTGTAAATAGAAGACTTGTTGATGATCCGATGGCAAGGTATTTTTCTCTTGGTATGTATTTTAGTTATTTCCTCGTGATGCATAAGTGAAAAGAGTGAAGTTTCTCAGAATGAGCAACTGTCATCCATCTACCTGCTATTTTATTATTGCTGATTACAAAAGCAAATCAAGAGATGAGAACCCAGTTGCCTGCAAGTAAATATTTACTGCATTGAGGGTCGGAGCATTTTCCCATTACCGGTTATCCATGGATCAAATAGTGTATCTCAGTGGTAATTCTAGAGGGCCATTAAAACCCTGATGGTGCTGGAAGAGATGGCAGTGCTGCATGTCAGAAATAGGTAAACTGTAATTAAGAAGTTACAGATGATTTGATTACGCTCTTGTGTATTTGGTCCTGTTATAATGTGAGCAGATTAAAATCATGTAGTGCTTAAAGCTATGTCATTATGCAAACATTTATGGCAACTTCTGCAAATTAATTTGAACTGTAAAAGTTCCCTAATGAGACGATGTCCTCCATAACTGAGAAGGACACTGCAGCCATTGCTGCTTAATTCCTGCATTTGAATGGTTGCCGAGCGCATGGTGTGCCCTTTCTCAAAGAGCAGAGAGGCTGCAGAGCATTTTGGGGGGTGATGACTGAATGAAAGTGAAAAGACCATTTCAAAATAGCCTTTAAAAGGAAAGCCAAGGATGATTATTAATGAATTCCTGGGATCTAACAGTAGTAAGAAATTTAAACTATATAAACATATATGTTAAAGGCTAGCTCTTCAGAAATAAAGATCAGAAGACTGCAGTTCTTTAGTTTTGCTTGTCTTTTTGTTTTTCTTGTTTGGACCAGGTATTTTTGTGGAGAGGACTGTGGCTTTTCTTTTTTCCTCTTTTCCAGTTAGCATGTTGTATGCACAGGTCTACACAACATGGATATTTCTAGTGGATGTTGACTCACATTGACCTTGGCTCTGTAGCTCCCCATGTACTAGTCAGGCACCTGGCTCTTCTGGAGGCTGGCAGGCACTGGAAAGCAGGATGCCAGTCAGTGTTTGCTCAGAGGAAAGAACCTAAGGAAAGAGTCTTAGTAGCCCTCGGATACCAAGTGAGGATTCCAGGGTGCCTATCAGTGCTGCTAAAGTATAAAAATGTAACACCAACTCCAGTGGCTCCCTGCAAATCCACACGTGTAGTCTGGATGCCTGGCAAACACTTTGAAACAAAGGGAGCACTTTACAATAAATTTGCTATTTTTTTAAGTTAATAAGTATGCACTGAACATCAAACTCTTCAAGGTTAGTAGATGTCAGCAAAGACCCTAATGCCTGTCAGCTGCTCCCCACCTGTCTCCCTCAGTCCCTGTGTCGAAGCTAATGGTGAGTGCATATCATTCACTGTGCTGCAGTGCAGAGTGGGTTTTGGAGTGCTGCAGGAGAAACACTCATCTAATGAGAAACTGTTCTGTAAGCGACTCCGCGGCACAGCTTCTCTCACAGTTAATGTCCCTTATCTTCTGGCTCCATTTCTGCCTCCTCCGTGACCTCTTCATCTTCCTCTAGAACTGCTTTGGCATCTTGAAATTGTTGGTACTCGGATACCAAATCATGGATGTTATTTTCAGCTTCCCCAAATTCGTTTATGTCCATCCCTTCGCTGGTGTACCAGTGCACAAAAGCTTTCCTTTTGAACATGGCTGAGAAATGCTCAGAGACCCTATTAAAGATCTCTTGGATGGCCGTGTTGTTGCCAATGAAGGTGGCGGCCATGCTCAGCCCCCGGGGCGGGATGTCGCAGACAGCCACCTTGACGTTGTTGGGAATCCACTCCACAAAGCAGCTGCTGTTCCTGGTCTGCACGGAGAGCAGTTGCTGGTCCACTTCCTTGGTGGACATCTTGCCCCGGAAAATGCAGGCCACTGTGAGGTAGCGGCCACGGCGGAGGTCACAGGCAGCCATGGTATTGCGGGCATCGAACATCTGCTGGGTGAGCTCGGCCACGGAGAGGGCTCGGTACTGCTGGCTGCCCTGGGCCGTGAGTGGGGCAAAGCCGGGCATAAAGAAGTGCAGGCGGGGGAAGGGGACCATGTTCACCGCCAGCTTGCGCAGGTCTGCGTTGAGCTGACCCGGGAACCGGAGGGAGGTGGTTATGCCGCTCATGGTCAAGGACACTAGGTGGTTGAGATCCCCATAGGTGGGTGTCGTCAGCTTCAGGGTACGGAAGCAGATGTCATAGAGGGCCTCATTGTCAATGCAGAAACAGGCATCTGCATTCTCAATCAGCTGGTGGATAGACAGAACCGCGTTGTAGGGCTCCACCACAGTGTCCGACACCTTGGGAGAAGGCATGACGCTGAAGGAATTCATGATCCGGTCCGGGTACTCCTCTCTAATCTTGTTCATGAGCAGAGTGCCCATCCCGGAGCCTGTGCCCCCGCCCAGGGAGTGGACGATCTGGAAGCCCTGCAGGCAGTCACAGCTCTCACTCTCGTGCCTCACCACCTCTAGGACATTCTCGATCAGCTCGGCTCCCTCCGTGTAGTGGCCTTTGGCCCAGTTGTTGCCAGCCCCAGAGTTACCTGTGGCCAAAAAGAGAAACCAGCAGGGGAAGAAAGGTGAAAAGAGAAGGGCACCAGTAAAGCATCCCCCCCTCCTCCTGGTGGAACCTTCTGGAAAAACATACCATGGACAAAACTGTCGGGTTGAAAGAGAGCTCCTAATTTGCTAGATCGAATGCTGTCCATCGTCCCAGGTTCTAGGTCCACCAAGACTGCTCGGGGCACATATTTCCTACCTGTGTAGAAAAATAGGAAAAAGTCAGCCTACTTGTTTTTCTAAAAGTTAATGTTTTATCAAAATAGAACTTTGTGATACTGGTCCAAAAAAAATCATGGATATTCTAGAAAGGGGCCCTTGGTAGGTCGAGATTTGAGTATCTAACATCATATTTTTTACCCCAACAACAATCCCACAAATCTATAGAATACCCAGAAACAATCTCCATCAGTCTGCTCTGTGATATTGCCAGTGACAGAGATTCTCTTCCTTCATATTGGAAATGATCCTGGTTTCATTTGTGAAACCACAAAGGAAAGTGAGTACTTAACCTGCTTGTGTTAAGGTGTGTGCCATATCCAGCAGCTCCTTCCCCATTCCTGCGTCTTGACCAGGGCTTGGGGACCCACCACTCTAGGATCCTGCTGCCCTGCCTGTCGCCTCCCTGAGCATAGACATCACTGCTTTGACATTTCCATCTCCTGGGCCTCTGCCCTTCCTCTGCTTGTGTTCCCAGTTGCGGGACCACTGCTCCCAGAGCCCCGCCAGTCCTACCGTAGGCTTCGTTGTAGTACACGCTGATTCTCTCCAGCTGCAAGGCCGAGGCCCCGCGGTCGCTCCCAGCCAAGTCGATCCCGTGTTCCTCACCAATCATCTCCCAGAACTGAAAGCAGGAGGAAGGTCAGAGTAAACGGACCCCGAAAAAGGCTGTGTTAACCACAGAGAAAGTTAGCATTCCCAAGCCTGTTTCCCTCTGGTTGCCTGACCCTCCCCAAGACATTCTTTTAGGGCCTTTTCATAAATAACCATGGCATCATTCGCTTTTTGCCTCTACTAAGCAATGTGAAGTAATATGAAGATTGCATTTTCTCCCCACCTGAACTCCTTAAATAAAATGTCAAACACAAAGTACTAAATTGGATTTTCCTCCTATTAAATTCATGCCATTATATACATTAAAGCTGTTGTTTTAGAATTTAATGTCAATATAGCTCTAATTTCTCCTTATAATGCTCCAAGCTAGTAAAGTGTAGATTCCATTAAAGGAAAATAAACTGAATTCTTATCTGATTTCACAGTAATAACTCATTTCACTTTGGGGATTTCTTTTCATGAACTTTTCCAAACAGCCCATAACTTGGACCTCTGTGCATGATTTTAAGTAATTAGCGCCTTTTTTTTTTTTTTTTTTGATGGAGTCTTATCTGTGCAGTGGCGTGATCTCGGCTCACTGCAACCTCCGCCTCCTGGGTTCAAGCGATTCTCCTGCCTCAGCCTCCTGAGTAGCTGGGACTACAGGCACGCACCACCACGCCCAACTAATTTTTATATTTTTAGTAGACACGGGGTTTCACCATGTTGGCCAGGATGGTCTCTATCTCTTGACCTTGTGATCCACCCTCCTTGGCCTTCCAAAGTACTGGAATTACAGGCATGAGCCACAGCACCCGGCCTTTCTTTCTTTTTTTTATTTTTTTATGTTTGTTTGTTTGTTTGTTTATTTATTTATTTTGAGACAGAGTTTCACTCTTGTCACCTAGGCTGGAGTGCCGTAGCACAATCTTGGCTCACTGCAACTTCCACCTCCTGGGTTCAAGCAATTCTCCTGCCTCAGCCTCTCAAGTAGCTGGGATTACAGGCGTCCACCACCATGCCCAGCTAATTTTTGCATTTTTAGTAGAGACAGGGTTTTGCCATGTTAGCCAGGCTGGTCTCAAACTCCTGACCTCAGGTGATGCACCTGCCTCGGCCTCCCAAAGTGCTAGGATCACAGGCGTGAGCCACTGTGCCCGGCCAGTAATGTGCATTTTTGATTGTCAGGTATACATACAACTCACAATTACACATAGTTGTCCTCTGGTAACTATTTGAAACATACTGCACTTCCAGTCACATACACAGTACTTATTAATATAGATATGTGCCAAGCTCTTAATATGGAAACAGTTACTGGGAAGACTCCTTTTGATCACCCTGAAAGGCACATATTAAAATGCAATGAAAATGTATTCACATATATTAAAATCCCCAAGGGTATGTTAAAAACCCCAGCCATATCTTCTAAATGACAGTGCTGCTCTGGCCATGGTCTTAATAACAAGGCAGTTCATGGTAAACTGCCAGCACTGTTCAGGGAGTGGAAGAATAAATAAATTCAAGTTCTAAGATACCCCAAATTAAATGTGTCTTAAAGTTCTTATATCTCTAAATGATGAGTCAGCCAGGACTCTCAACGCTAGACCATACGATTCCAGAGTGAGAGCTAAAACCCTATCTAAACCTAACACTTTCTCTTGAGGGCCCCTTTCCGTATTATCTTCCAGCTTCAGAGCAGCAGGGCTCCTGCCTCCCACTTCTCTGTGTGTGAGTTATGAATGTCTTACCCCTGAGGCATGGAGGAATGGTGACTTCTTTTCAAGCAGTAATGTTCCTTGCCCCCGGTTTAAAACGCCTGCATTTAAAAGCCTTAGTTGTTTCCTGGCAGCATTACTCACAGTAGCCAAAAGGCAGAAACAACCCAAGTGTCATTGATGGATGATGAATGTAGGTGTTTCAAAACCTCACTTTTAATGCATCTCATATTAGTAAAAGTAATTTCACAGCAGCAAAGAGAACACGATAAATTTTGCACGGTGCAATTGGTCATCTTAAAATCAAGATTGGAGATTGTGGGTTCGGGCATCTGTGTTCTTGGGGTTGGCCAATTAAGTTACGTACTTGGGGGAAATTTTTAAGCAGGGGGGCAAGGGAAAGAAAAACTCATTTATATTCCAGACAGTGTATTTTAATTAATTATGTTACTGTACACAAAAAACTTTTATTTTCAATTAAATTTCTTAAATTTTCAATTGCATACTAATAAAACAGTAATTGATTTTTTTTAAGCGTTACAATAAACATGAGAGGGGAGGGGAAAGACACCATAGTGACAGGGTACAGAAAGTTTCTCAAAAAACTTCAAAAAGCTGTTTTGAGACAAATTACTGTTTTTAGATATGAAAAGTTCATTGTTAAGATAAAAGTGGGCCAGGTACAGTGGCTCACGCCTATAATCCCAGCACTTCGGGAGGCCCAGGCGGGCACATCACCTGAGGTCAGGAGTTCGAGACCAGCCTGACCAACATGGTGAAACCCCATCTCTACTAAAAATACAAAATTAGCCAGACGTGGTGGCGCATGCCTGTAATCCCAGCTACTGGGGAGGCTGAGGCAGGAGAATCACTTGAACCCAGGAGGTGGAGGTTGCAGTGAGCCAAGATTGCGCCATTGCACTCCAGCGTGGGCAACAAGAGTGACACTCCATCTCAAAAAAATAAAAGATGATAAAAGTGCCAGGCACGGTGGCCTACACCTGTCATCTCACCACTTTGGAAGCCTGAGGCAGAAGGATCACTTGAGCCCATGAGTTCAAGACCAGCCTGAGCAACAAAGTGAGATCCCTGTCTCTCAAAAAAAAATTTAAAAATTAGCCAGGCATAGTGGTGCATGCCTGTAATCCCAGCTACTCAGGAGGCTGAGGCAGGAGAATAGCTTGAGCCCAGGAGGTTGAGGCTATAGTGAGCCATGATTCTGCCACTCTACTCCAGCCTGGGCAACAGAGTGGGCAAAGAAAAAGATGATAAACGTATTATGTAATATAATGGTCGGCATGTATTGTACATATGTATCTATGGATAAAATTAACATTAATTAAATTAACACTCTAAGCACTTAATGTGTGTTGTAGCTCTTTAGTTAAAGATTGTTTCCTTCTTTTCCCATGTGAAATTTTTTTTTAAGAATTAAAGCCCAAAGGCATTGTCTGATATTTAGCAAGTACATTAAATCTGCTAGACTTATTGTCTTCCCTGCTAACTTAGGGTATTTTTTTGGTTGTCCGCCTCTATGGACTGTGGTAAAGCTAGGATTAGTAACCAGACATTACTTACCTTGGCTCCGATCTGGTTGCCACACTGGCCAATCTGAATATGGACAATTTCACGCATCCTTGCTCTGAGCCCAAGTCTGAGATCTTCACGGAATCCTCAGACTCTCAGAATCCAGAGCTTCGGTTCACTGGTGTGAGCCCAACACAACTGTGGTCACTGCAGTGGTGGGACTGGCCAACCAAGCTACCCTCACAATGTGACCAAGGGTGTGTCCACCCCAGAGGCCCAGCTCCCCGCCCTCAGCCAGTCCTGGCCCTTCTCTGCTTTCTGCCTGTCATGCTTTTGGAAGGGAGTGTTTTTCCTCCCTCAACACAGAATACTGCCCCATCATTTCCTAGAGAGTGAGTGCAAGATTAAAGGCCACCTCGGGGCACAGGGCCTGGAGGCTGGCACTGTTTGCAGGCTTCTAGGTGACCATGCTGGCCCTAGTGACCGTGGTATGATGACTGTGGCTCCTAGCTCACCCAGGTAACCAGACCACCTCCAAGGGCTTTCCCTGTCCATCTTCCCGGCCCCTTTTCCAGACTTTGGTCCCCAGAAGCCCCGTGCCCCGCCACAGCAGGAGGCTCCACAACTGGGCCTCGCAGGTCCCAGGTCCCGGGATGGCCTGCATCAGGCACTGTCTGCCCGCCCTCCCCCACATGCCCTCTCTCGCCCTGTATGCAAGTTACTCTGCAGTGTCCTGCAGGTCTCTTGGACCCCTGCCCTATCCATGCCAGGGCTGGGCTGTGCCCCAGCACCCTTCCCAGCCCCTGCTCTGTCGTCCCATCTCAGCTCATGGTGTCTGGGGTCTTAATGTTTGCCATAGGGTCCCTTTACCAGACCCTGAATTCTCCAAGAGCAAAACGGACTCCCAATTGTATTCCCTTAGAGCCGGGTGTGGTGGCTCACTCCTGTAATCCCAGCACTTTGAGAGGCCAAGGTGGGCAGATCACCAGAAGTCAGGAGTTCAAGACTAGCCTGGCCAACATGGCGAAACCCCATCTCTTACTAAAAATACAAATATTAGTCAGGTGTGGTGGCACACACATGTAGTCTCAGCTACTCGGGAGACTGCGGCAGGAGAATCGCTTGAACCTGAGAGGCGGAGGTTGTAGTGAGCCGAGATCATGCCACTGCACTCCAGCCTGGGCGACAAAACAAGACTCTGTCAGAAAAAAAAAAAAAAGCATTCCCTCATGCGGTGTACAGGAGTGGCAGCAGGCTGGGTACTCAGCAGCTTGAAAGCAGCTGTTCTGTCTCCTGGTCCTCAGTACCTCCCCTGCCACCAAGTTTCTATCATCGTCGAAAGCCAGCCCTAGGCTTTATTACCTCCAACCAGGCAAGGGCATCCAGGCCAAACACCAGCTCCATATCCTTGCCCAGGAGGGTGGCAGTTCCCCACCGCCTGGAGGACAGAAGGTGGAAGCTTCCAAGGAAGATGGGGAAGGGACTCCCTGAGAAGGCGTGAGAGCCCTGGCTCGGAAGGGGAGAGCCAGTGGACGCTGCCTTGTGCCTGTTGAGCTGTCGAGGTGCAGGTGGGCAGGTACAGGGCAAGGCCTCACTCCTGAAGCCCCGAGGATGTGGACAACCACCATCCGGTGAGCAACCACCTCTTGAGGCCTCTCTTTAACGTCTGCCGGGCACCCTGAGGTTGCCCCCATTCTTTGAACAGCTATGGACGGGGACCTGTCATAGGCTGGGCTCACCTTGGGCGCTGCAGACAAGGGAATGAAGGAGGTAGATGTGGCCAGATCCTGCACTCTTGGAACTCTGGCTTACTTAGGAAGAGAGCACTCCTAGCTCTGGAGCAGCTCAAGGACACCATCTCTCAGGACAGGGACTCAGGACAGGCAAGACTACTGAACTCAGAGCGAGAAGCCCTGGAGGTCCTTCCCTCCCCTGCCTCTCGCCAGACCCGTGACCTTGGTTGAAGCATTGGAGCCCAGCCTGGTCCATGAGGGGCCTGTGCTTCCTGTGCCCCAAGCCCAGGCTTGACTCCTAAACCTTGTGTTCCTTCTACAGGCCTGGTGGGGCCCAGGATGTGAGGTCAGGAACACAATCAGGAAAGTTCCTAACGATGGAGTGTCTGGGGGAAATCGCTTCTGCTTACTCCCAAAGGAGCTCAAACACACAGCCAAAGGGCCTGAGCTATAAACCAGAAGAGAAACCCAGAGGTGGGGAAGAAGAAAGCACTGTGTCCTAAGAGTGCCTGGACTGGGACTGCTTCTCACCTCTGTCTAGTGTGTAGATCCCAGGCTGCCCTTGAGTACTGACAGTGCACCCCATGATCCTGGGCTGGATCCAGGACCAGGGAAGAGGGCTGCTATAGAGGATGGTATGAGGATCATTGTCAAAATTCAAATAAGGATTGTGTACACTGGAAAATAGTATTGTATCAGTGTTCCATTTCTTGACTTTGATCATGGCAGGGTGGTTCTAAGTGGAAGTCCTTGTTTCCAGGAGATCCCATATTATGAAGCACTGTGCTTCAAGGTCGTTTTGATGCTGGCAGCTTACTGGGAAACAGTTCCACAACCACATAACGTGATAAACGGAGAGAGGGCAGTTCAGCAAAGGGGCAAAGTGGTAACAATTGCTGGTTCTTTTCAAAGTTAGCACAAGATTAATACCCTTGTAACATTTCTCTAAGTTTGGAACTTTTTTGTGCTCAAACCTGAATGTCACATGACTCACAGATGCTTCCGGTCCAGTCACCCCTCCTCCCTGCCCAAAGGTAAAGAGAAGAATGTGCAAATTCAAGAGGAGGATATTCACAGGTCCTCAGCAGTATTTTTCAGAAATTAAAACAGACCATTTTATTAATGATCTGTTTAAATTAAAACAGACCTATTCATAGGTCCCCAGCAATATTTTTCAGAAATTAAAACAGACCATTTTAAAATTAAGAATAGACCATTCTGTTTCCATAGACATTAGCCCATCTTGCCTCACTTCCAGCCTTTCTCCTGGCGTGCCTTGGCCTCTTTTCCCCTTGTCTCTGTCCCCACCAGCTCTCCCGAGCCTCCCTCCCCACCCAGGGGCCCCTGCCTACCAGACTTCTCCGAAGATCAAAGACAGCTCCATGATCTTCCCACAGGCAGGTCCCTCATCAGAGACACTTCCTCTCCTGGGGACCAGAGCACTTCAACCTGCAGTGCCCACACACAGTCCTGTTTGCTAATTACTTATACACATGCCTTATCTCCCGCCAGCCTGGGAGCTGCCTGTGTCGTTTCATCTTTGAGTCCCCAAAGTGCCTGATCCATGGCAGGGCCTCAGTAAATGTTTGTTAAGGGCACACTGACAGCTGGGCAGGTTTGAGCAGTGATGCTCAGAGCGGGCTGTGTTCTTAAAGCCAGTGATGTATTTATTCACGAGTGTGTCCTTCTCCAGGTGGGGTCACCTTTTTCCTCCATTCCATAAGAGGTGGTCTAGGCTGGAGATATAAACTGTTCCAAGAAACCTGGATGTTGGGGACAGACTATAGATGGAATAACCGCAGTGAGCTATTACGGGAAGGTGTGACCGGTGGGCAGCCGTGGCCTTCTGTGGCCCAGCTCCTGAAAGGAGCCCCTGTTGGCCACAAACCGCCTTGCTGCAGGGACCACGGGGCTGGGCCCAAGGGGCATTTCTGGTCTGCCTGGGTTCACTGTTTGCCATGTGAGCAGGATCCAGGCTGCTGGGGTCCTCCGCCCACCCTCCGCACTGCAGCACATTCCTCTTGGCCATCTTAGTTTGCTTAGGGAGGGGAAAAAGCCAGGTTTCCAGGTGGGCGCTTAAAAGGTTTTTCTGTTAATGGGGCAGTTGGCAAAAAGGAGGAAAAAGAGAGAAGCCCTGTTTGCTTTGATTCTTGTATCGCCGGCCATGTTAATTCAGGCCAGGCGAGTGCTGAGCTTTGGACGCTGGGCTGTGAGAGGGTGAGGGACGGAGTGGCAGCTCCGCCACCCAGGGGCCCATCTCCGCCCTAGACCTGAACTTTTTCACGTGAAAAATGAAATAAAAGTCCCCACGTCACAAGTCGGTGTGAGGACTGGGCCTGCCAGGGCTGACCCCTAACGTGTGGCTGCCGGTGGTATTTTTCAAGTGGGCTTCGCAGGGTGGGAGGGGGAGATGCATTCCACACCTACAGACGGAGCACCTACTGTGTGGCAGACTTGACATGGCCGTGGACATCGGGGCCTGTCTCAATTTAAAATGTCTGGGCAGAACAGAGTGGCAGGAAAGGCAGCAGGTCTGGAAAGCCGTGCGTCCCGTCTCAGCTCTCTTGTCCTTGTTTCTGAAGGTACCTGCTCCCCAGAGGAAACAGCTCTCCTCTGATTGCCACCTTAGTGCCAGCAGTGAGGTGGGGAATACAGTCTGCCTTGCCCTCGGACTGGTAGAAGCGGGCCCTGTGCAGGACATAGGCGAACACTGCCCCTGGAGATGCCGGCACGACCCCAAGGTCTGTTTTGCCAGGCTGAAGGTGACGGCCCCCGTCCTGAGCTGCAGCAAGCGATTCACAGTGGCCACTGTGATGAGTGACAAAGTTGTTTTCTGCCCCCCCAACAAAGGGCTGTGACCAAGGCAGGTTAGCAGTGCCTGCATTTAGGTGAGGAGATCAGCAAGCATTGCCCCAGAGGGCAGGAGCTTCCTCCTAGCAAGTGTGGTGAGGACGCTATGGCCCACAACACTGAGATTCCCAACCAGGACCAGCCCAGCCCTGAGCCTGAAACCCTCTCCTCCAGTGGCCTGTCACAGCCATCCACAGAAGGCTCCGCAGCAGCAAGCCTTTTCCTGCATGACACTTGCGTCTATTACAGAAATAGAACCGGGAAGATAAGAAAAACCAGTGTCACCCAGAAACCCCGAATCGGCTGCTTCCAGACTTCCCCCAGGAGTTATCCCCCAGGGGTCAGATGGAGCTGCCCCCACCCTCCATTTGGCAAATGAAATAGAATTCAGAGAAAAACAGAGCACTCAGAGAATTCATTGATTTCATCCGCCCCGATCTTCCACTTCTGAGTGCGTTGAAGTTCCCTGAATAACTCAGAGAAGATTGTTGAATTATACTGTTTGCGTGTGATTTAGAACCAGGAAATTTTTCCAAATGTCTTAGCAAGAAAATGACATCTGAGGGGCCATTATGGGTGACTCAGCGGGTGTAGGCAGCCCGCCAGAGGAGCTGAGCTCCACTTTCTTGTACCCTGCTCGGTGTGTGTTCTCTTACTGGAAAAGAAAGTTCTAGGAGGATGAGTAACTAACTACAAGAGGAGAGAGACTAGGAGGACATTGCTGGTTTTCGCTGAGCCAGGAGTGTTAACCTTCTTCCCCCACAGCTGAGATGCTCATGGTTCCTGTACCAGGCAGACTCTGGCTGCTCCTCACACCTGTCCAGCCTCCAAGCCCAGAGGGTGGAAACATCTTGCTGTCTCTCCAGGTGCACTGGTGAGCAGCATGCAGGCTGTGGCAACTCTGATTTACAGGAGATAACACACACACGCGCGCACACACACACCTACCACCACCACCACTTCCCCTGAACTGCGCGAAGATCTAAGAGATGGACACATGAACCTTCTCACTTGCATCTTTCCTGTCTCCCGAAGTTGCAGCTAGTGATAAGCGATGTTCTGTGGCATGAACAGATAAGCATAAAATGGGTCAGCACCTGGAGCTGAAATTGAACAAAAATATGTACTTCTTCAAGCCCAGTGTTTGTCCAAGAAATCTCGGATATATTAGTTTTGAGGGACCTCAGAAAAGTAGAAAATATGGGCCCTGCCCTCCAGGGACTTAGAGGGTGAAAGCAGCACTAGCCTCCCGCTCTGCCGGTCTTTACCAGTTTCTCTGCCGCCGCCACCGTCTCCCACATGCTCCCTCGTTTAGCCTGCATGACACCACCACCTTCAAGAAGAAACTAAGGCTCAGAGAGGAATTGACATGTTCAAGTCTCAGGATAATGTGGCAGAACCAGAAACGGATTGCAGGTCCTCAGACACCTACATCCAGGGGTACAATTCAAGGGGCCAAGAGGCAGGCTCCAGGAGCCCGGGGTGCTCACGTCCCCTGCTCCTCACTCTGTAACTGCATCCTGCAAGTCCTGCTCCCAGGTGGATGTCCTGATGCATCTACTCTCCCCTTCTCTCAAACAGCATTCCTCATCCATCACCTGTGGCTCTCCCCTCCAGGGCCCTTCCTGTCCCACAGCTGACTCCACTCACAGCATCCTTCCCACAGTCACCAGAGGGATCTTACAAACAGAAATCAGCTCTCAGCCACTGCCCTCCTGGAAAGCCAGTGGCAACCGGGAGAAAACCCAAACCTCTTACAAAAGGAAGGCCGATGTGTGCCTTCAGATCTTCCAAAATGCACACGCCCCATGAGACAGGGATGGGAAACCCGCTGGGCAGGGAAATTAGGTGGGGGATGAAGGAGGCCAGCAGAGCCTCTGTCAGATGGCAGAAAGGGGAGGGAAGGGGAGAGGTGGGCTGGCCGTGTGAAGCTGGCCTGAGTGCCCGCATGGTCCCTGCAGCTTGGAGGCTGAGCCCACCTGTCCGCAGCCTCCCCAAGGGCTTTCCCCAGTGCATCACACACTTACCCAGTGCACTCACATTCTCAGGCCTCTGCAGACACTCTTCCTTCTGCTGAGTCTCCTTCCAGCACCTTCCATGACTGTCATTATTCAATCCCAACTCACTGGATACCTAAAAGAATGGTCCCAGACCAAACTTCTCCAGAGACCCTCCGTCTCTCCTGTTCCCCGTTTTAACTGTTTGCAAGCACTTCCTACCTCCTGAGCATTTTACTTTTCCACATGTTCCCTTATGCAGAAAACATAAGTCCTTGCAGACAGGGACTTTGTTCACTGCCGAATCCCCGGGGAAGAAAACAGTAGCCTGCACGTACTAGGTGCTCAACAAATATTTGCTGACAGCCTAACTTTAGAGGGCAAACAAATTCAATCGGGTAGTCATTGAGTGCCCCTTTGAAAGACTTCCTGGTGAGTTCATGGGTGGGCTGTGTCTGTTACATGCTGTGCTGCACAGGGTGTGTCCCAAAGGTGATACTGATGAGGCTGCCTTCATCAATGTCAGCCCAAGGAGCCACATCCACTCCCAAGCAAGTGTGCACCACCAGTCACTGTGCAACTGTCAGAGGCGTTTGAACCAGAGCGACTCCATCTTGAATACAGACTGGGTAAAATAAGGCTGAGACCTCCTGGGCTGCATTCCTTGGAGGTTAGACATTCTACATCACAGGATGAGATAGGAGGTCGGCACAAGGTACAGGTCACCAAGACCTTGCCAATAGGCCAGGCACGGTGGCTCAGGCCTGTAATACTAGCACTTTGGGAGGCTGAGGCGGGTGGATCGCCTGAGGTCAGGAGTTCAAGACCAGCCTGGCCAACATGGTGAAACCCCGTCTCTACTAAAAAAAGCCAAAAAAGTAGCCACGCATGGTGGCAGGCACCTGTAATCCCAGCTACTCGGGAGGCTAAGGCAGGAGAATCACTTGACCCCAAGAGGCAGAGGTTGCAGTGAGCCAAGATTGTGCCATTGCCCTCCAGCCTGGGTAACAAGAGCGAAACTCTGTCTCAAAAAACAAAAACAAACAAAAAACCTTGCTGATAAAAGGATGTGATAAAGAAGGCAGCCAAAACCCACCAAACCCAAGATGGCGATGAAAGTGACCTCTGGTTGTCCTCAGTGCTGATTATATGATAATTATAATGCATTAGCATGCTAAGAGACACTCCTACCAGCACCATGACAGTTTACAGATGCCACAGCAGCATCAGGAAGTTACCCTGTATGGTCTACAAAGCGGGGGAACCCTCAGTTCCTGGAATTGCCCACCCCTTTCCAAAAAACTCATGAATGATCCACTCCTTGTTCAGTGTATAATGAAGAAGTAACAGTAACTATAAATAGCTGAGCACCCCGTGCTGCCGCTCTGCCTGTGGAGGAGCTATTCTTTTATTCCTTTGCTTTCTTAATAAACTTGCTTTCACTTTATGGACTTTCCCCGAATTCCTTCTTGCGTGAGGTCCAAGAACCCTCTCTTGGGATCTGGGTTGGGATCCCCTTTCCCATAACACAACCAGGCCAGGATGTGATGCATGGTGGTGCTTGGGGACAGTGGCATGGTGGATTGCAAACCTGGCCCGCCCTATCTGAAGGCCTGCACTGCAGAGATATCTGGGTGTTAGCGAGTGCCTCTGACCCGTTGACCAAGTGGATCAAGAGGAACTCCTGTAGCTGGTGAGGGAACCGTCGTGCCCTGCAAAACCAGCCTAGCCTAGCGAGCATTGTCGGCATCCACCCAAACAAATGCCGGTATCCAGGATGTGGCTAAACTCAGGAATGTGGAATAATAGGAAATGTCTGCAGCTTGCCGGGGTGGAAGCCAGACAATATGGCACAAAGGAAGAAGAAAAAGGATTTCGAGGCCATTCCACAGTCGATGAAAACTCATCTGTGTTCTCCTCCTCCAGGTTGGGAAGGTGGGCCAGCCGTGGCCTGAGTGCTGATCTTTATCAGAATGAGGAGAAAAATCAGCCTTATTTTTAGAAATGAATAGGCTTTTGTGTCTGTGGCCTTGGATCATGTGTTTTCCAGGAGAATTCATGGGGTTAAAAAAAAAAAAAAAAAAAGGGACTGGATTGGAACCTGCCACCCAGGAGCCTCGTGCTGAGCACAGGTCACCTGACATCTCCAGAGGCTCAGTCTTTTCGCCAGTAGAATGGAGTAATAGCATCTGCCTCCCAACCCCCACCCCCACCTCACAGCATTGTGCAAAGGATCAAATGCGGCTGCACAGTCCTCTAGAATGTCATTGGCTCAGCCCTCTGCCCTCAAGCACCACTGGGAGCAGGAATGACTCCATTACCTCCAGGAAGGAAAACCCAGGATAGGTGCCAAGCTTTCCAGGCAAAGTGGTTTCAGGGGAGACGCCTTGCTCTAAATACCTACTCAATTCTGCCCCAAGCTGGAAGGCGGTGGCACACAGCTGCTTATAAAGAGCTGCTAGAAGCAATGCTTAGGCAAGTAGGGCCTCAGAGGTAGGAAGGTCCAAGTGCCCTGCCCCAAGCCTCTTCGGATCCCGGCCCAGATGAGAAGAAGAGTCAGTATCCACAAAACCACCTTGCAGGCACCTGCAGCCAAGTCAGGAGGAAACACCTTTCCGGTTTCCAAGAGTCCCCAAGCTGCTCTGCAGGTGAGTCTGCTTTGAAGAGAGAGACACAGCTCTGGGGCTAAACTCAACCCCCAGCAAGCAGTCCCCAGCAAGAAATGGCTGGGGTGGCCTGTCTATCAGGTTCCCAATGTGCTCCCTCCTCTTTTTCCAGTCCCAGACACCTCCTGGTTTTATCTGTGTGCCCTTCAGAGAACTCCTCCAGCTAAACATCCTTCACTAATAGCAGCACTGGAATTTGAGTTTGGGTGGGTTTGTGGCCATCCCCAACCCCGCCCCCACAAGGAACATGTTTAAGATCTTGCATCGAGTTAAGGGAAAAACAAAAACAACCAACAAAAACCCCAAAACCAAGAAAACCAAAAATCCTATTTAGGATCCTCTGCTGCACGATTTTAGTAACCCCCAAAATGACACAGCCCGCCAGCTTCTCGGAGCAGTCTGGCAGCCAGACATGCATCCACTCGACTAGGGCCAGGTTCAGAGATGAGGAGCCCTGTCTCTGCGTGGTTTGCTGTGTTGGACCCATGAGAAGAGGCTGGAGAGATAAGTCTCATCAGGCCCCCTTCCTTCCTTCTTGGCTTGAAAATGATGATTTCAGACCAGGCGCGGTGGCTCACACCTGTAATCCCAGCACTTTGGGAGGCCGAGGCGGCAGGATCACGGGGTCAGAAGCTCGAGACCAGTCTGGCCAACGTAGTGAAACCCTATCTCTACTAAAAATACAAAAACTTAGCCAGGTGTGATGGTGTGTGCCTGTAATCCCAGCTACTCAGGAGGCTGAGGCAGGAGAATTGCGTGAACCCAGGAGGTGGAGGTTGCAGTGAGCCGATATTGCTCCATTGCACTCCAGCCCAGGTGACAGAGCGAGACTCTGTCTCCAAAAAAAAAAAAAGAAAAGAAAAAGTAAATGATGATTTCAAATGGATAGGCTCCCTCCCTCTCTTCCTGCCCTATTCCATCAGATTCTGATCTTGAATTGCTTCTATGTTAGGGAAACCCAGGGGGCACAAGTTGTCAACTTTGGACGTCCTTTTTGTTACCAGCCTAAAAATATCCTTCCCTTTAACCAACTTTCAATAGGGTAAATCCGGAGAGTCTCCTCTTTGGAACTCCCCAGATAAATTAAGCTTTGTGCCAGCATTTGGGAGCAGGACTGTGAATGTTTATTCCCCTTCCTGACCATCTCACCCCTCCTCCTGACCCCTGTTTGTGAGTTTGATTTGCCAGAGGCTCTGGGCTGAAAGCGGGTGATGTACAGGACTTGTGATGGAGCAGGTGTGGTTGCTGTCATCAGACCCAGCTACATAATTTGCAGGGCCCAGGGCACAGTGAACCTGGAGAGCCCCTCGTTCAGCTCTGCATTACACTTCTGGACTTAGGGCCTCATGTGACTGCAGGGGTCGTGTGCCTGCCTTGCTGACCATGCCTGTCATACCTTCTACATGCGCTGGACCTGCTCGGAGAGTCTCGGGGCATCTTCAGAGCACCCCAGCTCTCCCCATGCTACAGGAAAGAAAAGCTTACACCTTGGGTGCCTTTTCACCCAGATTCAGGGACCAGGGCCCAGGACATCACAGCTCAGGCATCAGAGGCCAAGCACAAGGGGCCCTCCCCTCTCCAGGCTTGTTTCTCATGCTGTAGAATGTGCTGTTGGACTTCACAGTACCTGGATCATAACTATGGGTACCTGGAGGGAGGGGCACGATATCTCTTACCACACAATTTTGTGAGTTCTTAGCTTTTTCTTTAGAAGAAGCCAAAAACCGGCCGCTTTGGTAGATGCCACCTGATGACCTGGCAAGGGCAGCTGTGTCTGGGTTTCTTCCTCACAAGGACCCAGCTCCTATAGTCAGGGAGGCCAGAGGGTTGACATGGGAGGAAGAAAGGCCCCCTCTTGGCAATTCTCTTTCCACTCCTTTTATGCCCAGAGGTTGGGAGGCCTCGCTCCCACCCCCACCGCCAGCTCAAGCTTGGGGACTTCTCCCAGGATGGCCACCCCACCCCGCCTTCTGATGACTGATGGACACTAATGGTTTCCATGAGCGACTTGCCAAACAAATAAGAGACACATCAGTAGGTAGAGCCCCGGGGCCACACTTTGCCTCAGTGACCACTTTTTGGGGAACAAGGACTGAAACTTCTGGGCTGACGAAGCAGCTCTCCAGCCTTGCTCTCCACTCGGACAGTCATGCGGGGATTCCATGGCCACCTCAGCGCTTCCGGGAATGGTCATGGAAGCTTCTGGAAGTCAGGAGGCAGCCACTGTGACTTCCCCTTGCCCACGTGGCACGCTTGGAATGTGGTGAGTGCCACTGAGTATGGAGAGAGTCAGGCAAGCTCATCTGTGGGCCCTGTGCCAAGGGCCCCCAGCAGGGGCCTGTCAGGTCGCAGCCCAGAATGCCGGGCCCTGTTCTTACCAGAGAAGAAGGCCATGGTGTGGGCCCAAGGGCCATGACAAACAGAGGGGCCGCAGGGAGCGAGAAGCCCTCCCCCAGTTACAAAACCACGTCCTGGGGGGCCACTTCTGCTTTTGGTTCCTCATTTGACTAAGAAGAGTTTCGTTAGCAGAAAACCTTTTCAAGGCGTCTTTGGAAGTCACATTGGATAACTCCTGATGCCTGCGCCAAGTGGAATCTTCCTTTGGGGCATTTTCTAGAAGGATCCCTCCTTCCTTCTCTGCAAAAGGGAACCGTCCCCCCGAAAGGGCCTGGGCCTTTGGGAAAAGGGGTTTAGAAAGCCAGGCGCGGGGACCCTTCTTTGGGGGCGGTGGCCGCATCCCAGGATCCCTTCCTAGGGGAGGCCTGGGCCCAGATGTGAGGCTGGGGGCCTCTCCCCAGGGCTCAGGGCCCCAGGAATGCAGGGCCAAGGGGGCCCATGAGCCTGCGGCCCCCCACCCCGAAGCCAGGAACCCCGGCAAATGAGTCCAGCCGGACAGTCCCGCGCTCAGGGCGGCGGCCGGCGGCGGGGTCAGGCTGGGGTCTGCCCGGCGACCTCGCGCCTGGCCCGCGAGTTCAGGTGCCCCGGAGCCAGGGAGGGAGCGGGGCGCGGAGCCGGGCGGGGAGGGCAGGGGTCACCGGGCGGGGCAGGAGCAGCGATGGGACAGCCCCGCCCCGGGGGAGTGTCCCGGCCTGGCCGCCGCAGCCTTAAGGGCCGGGCGGGGCAGGGGCCCAAAGTGCGGGGTCGGCCGGGTGCTGGGCCGAGGCCGAGGCCGGGGCGGGATCCAGAGCGGGAGCCGGCGCGGGATCTGGGACTCGGAGCGGGATCCGGAGCGGGACCCAGGAGCCGGCGCGGGGCCATGGCGAGGCGCGGGCCAGGGTGGCGGCCGCTTCTGCTGCTCGTGCTGCTGGCGGGCGCGGCGCAGGGCGGCCTCTACTTCCGCCGGGGACAGACCTGCTACCGGCCTCTGCGGGGGGACGGGCTGGCTCCGCTGGGGCGCAGGTGGGCACCGGCGGGGAGGCAGCCCTGGGGGGACGGGAGGCCCATCGCCCGGGCCAGGCGCGCGCTCTGCCTCCTGGGGGCCCTGCGTCGCCAACAGGCCTTGGAAGGTCAGATCCAGCCGCTTCGTTTTGGGGGTCGCTCCTTCTCTTCCACATCCAGGGTGAGCCCTGATGTTTGTGGGGTTGGACAAGCCCCACCTGGCCAGAAAGCCAGGCCAGCCCCACCTCCTCGGCCTCTGGGGGTGGCCCTTACGGCGCGGCATGGCTGGGGGAGCAACCCGGTTCCCTCCTTTCGGGGGTGCCCTGCCTCCTTCACATTCTGAGAGCGCTGGAGCCTCCTAGTGTGAGGTGGGCCCACACCTGGCTCACCTCTGGTGATTGTGGCCCCACTCCCATGCCCTCAGGTGTTGGGAAAGGCGGGAGGGCCCTACCGAGGGCTTCCTGGGCCCACGGCCCCCGGGAGCCCCAGCACCGATCTGGGTGGGGATGATCTCTTCTCAGCACATACCCCCGGCCTCATGAGTACCTGTCCCCAGCGGATCTGCCCAAGAGCTGGGACTGGCGCAATGTGGATGGTGTCAACTATGCCAGCATCACCCGGAACCAGCACATCCCCCAATACTGCGGCTCCTGCTGGGCCCACGCCAGCACCAGCGCTATGGCGGGTGAGTGGCCGCCCTTTGACTGTGGGCCAGGAAAGCCCATCCCGGCTGCCTGTTTATAGGCCCAGGCAGCTCAGCCCGCGGTTCCAGGGGCCTGTGATTCAAGGCCAGGTCAGCCTGGGCTGGGGTGCTAAGGCCGAGGAGCGCGGGCCTTTGCCCTCTGCTGAGGTGACCCAAGCTGGGTCATTCTGGGGCTTTTGGGTGACAGGCAGGACTAGGACTGAATCCCAGTGACAAGTGGCTGCCAGGTGCCCTCTCTCCCCCAAAGCTTGTGACCTCAGCCATTGGGATAGAAACAGAAATGCAAAATCACTGAGTCCCCAGGCTGTATTTGAGGATACAGAAGTAAACTGCTTCTCAGCACAGATGAAAGCCTGTCCTGGGCTTGGAATATTGGGTGAGGCTAGTTGGCTACAGCCCATGGCCTAACCTGGTCACTACCTCCAGCCTGGTGGGTTTCTATCTTAGGCTTTTGGCAGGAGTAGGGTAGGGAGGCTCTTAGCAAAGAGGAAGGGGAAACTAAGGCCCTCCCTATCAACGAGGCTGCTGCACCCTGCTTTGGGAGAGAAGGCGGGAGAAGGGACAGCTGCAAACCAGCCCCAGGCCCACCCCACAGCATTTGGAAGGGACTCTGCTATCCCCTCTCCAGTCACAGCACAGGGTCCAGGAGCCTGGATTTCCCCTGGAGATGGGACTTGCGTGGCCTGGGAGTTTGGCCCATGAGCACTGTGGTGCTGTTGCCTCTTCCCTGGCCTTGGTCCTCATGGGTCAGGCCTGCTGTACACCCATGTGAAAAGGATAGACTACAGTGTGGCTGCCGCTGTGGGCCAAGGCTGGGGGACATGCGTTTGCGTGTGCTCCATCTCACTGACGCCTCCTCAATGCCATGATTGCTTCCAGTTTGCAGATGAGGAAGCAGGCTTTTTGCAGAGAGATGGGGAGGCTTGAGCATAGTGTGAGTGACAGCTGAGATTTGAGCCCGGAAGCCTGGGCTTTGTGCCAGGATGTCTGATGGGCTCAGTCTTGTGAATGAGGGGTTCTTGCTCTGGGGGTAGGGTCTGGACCCCAGAGCCAGCCAGCTGAAGCTGTGGCATCCGTGGCGTCTCCCCCGGGGGCTGGAACACACTTCTGATCGTTCAAAGGTCCCTTTGATGTGGATGGAGCTGGAAGGTCTGGGAGACCTTGGGCGGGCTGCAGGGTGTGGGTGGGGCTAGAGGCAGAGGACTGGGCAGAGTCTAGGGGAAGTGTCCAGGCCTGGCACCCGCTGAGGAAGTGAAAGAGCCTTTGAGGGTGGGGTGAGGGTGAGGGGAGAATAGAAAGGTCAACAGGTGCCTGTGGGAAGCCTTGAACTCTTTGAGAGGGAGTCAGGTGACAAGATGTGCGTCTGTGAAGGACTGCGGGTAGAAAGGAGATGGCTTTCAGATGGATGTGGGACCCTGGCCAGGGGTCAGCCCTGCCGCATTTCCCCAGGGGACTCTCTCTGGGCGGATGACTGCTTCACCCCACTTTCTCCTGAAACCTCCTTCTCAGCGCACCCAGGCCCAGGCACTCGCTTCCTCTTTCACTGAGGAATAGAAGCCACCAGAAGGGGACTTCCACGGGGCCCTGGCCATTTGCCAGCCAAGGCAGCAGGTCCTCCATTTGTCTTCCCTCCTCTCCCCCAGGATCAACTGTCTTGTCCCCTCACTGAGCCCGTCCCTTCCCACTCAGGGAAGCTCTCCCACCTGGAAAAAAGGAACACAAAGCCCCCGGCCCCACCCCGCCCCAATTCTGGGCTCCCTAGGGAAGTATCTGGAGTCCCTCCACTTCCTCTTCTCTACCCTTGAACCCACTCCAGCCTCAGTCCCACCTCTGCCACTCCACCGGCACTGTTCTTTCCACTGCCACCTGGGGCCCACCGTGAAGCATTCTCCTGATCACGTCTCCCCAGGATGCTTCCTTCTCCTGCACCATACTGCCCGCCTCCACCTCCCTGGCCACTCCTTCCCCTCTCCCCAGCTGTCTGCTCCTCAGAGTTCTGAGTGTCAGCTTCCCCAGGACCAACCCTTCACCTGAACTCAGCTTGACATCCACCTGCCCACTCGCCCGCTGTCCCGGTCACCTGACACCTCCAGCCTCAGACCTTCAGGTCTGGATGGCTCCTTCCACTACTGTCACCTGACAGCCCATTTCTTCCCCAGTCCTCCCTGGCTGTCCTTCCGGCTATGCAGGCAAAAGCCTGGACTGGTACCCGACTCCTCTGTTTTCTGTCCCTCATATAATCCACCCACAAGTCTTGTCGGTTCTACCTTCGAAGCAGATGCAGAAATCACGCACCGCCCACCGCCTCCTCCAGGTCTAAGCCACACCGCCCCACTGCCGACTGCCCTCACTGGTCTCCTGGCCTCTGCCCCTGAGGCCACAGTGAGCCTGTGACAACCCATCAGAACATGTTCTTTGGCTTGAAACCCTCTCAGGATTCCACTCAGATAAAAGACAGAACCCTCTGGCCTTCAAGAGCCTTCACCATCGGGCTCCCTCCCAGTCCGCCCTTGCTCCCCTGCTCCTGCGGAGAGTGGAGCAGGGAGGTAGCTTCTCCCACCAGGCACCTCCTCTCTCCCTGAGGTCCCATGGCTCCCTCCCTCCCTCCTATGGATGTCACCTCAGCGGGGTCTTCCTCAGCCACCCTATGCATATGACACCCCACTTCCTGAATTATCTCCCGGATTTATTTTTCTTCATGGTGCTGTAGACTTTGCACAGTTACAGATGCTCCTTGACTTAACTGTGGGGTCATGTCCCGACAACCCCCTCGTAAGTTGAAAACACCATGAGTGGAAAATGTGTTTGACACACCCAGCCTCCTGCACACCCTGGCCTGGCTTTGTCTGCATTAAACGTATTCAGGACACTTGTGTTAGCCCACAGTGTGAGTAATAAGCCCGTTCCCAGATGGGGCTGGTGGGATGAAGGATTGAGTTTGGCCGTGGGAGAAGCTTGTGCATACCTCAGTGAGCTGGTTAGGCCGGGTCCAGATGCTTCAGGCAGGAGTAGACGGAGAGGCCAGAACCGAAACTGCTCATCCATCCGAGCTCTGCCTCTGGGCCAGGACTGCTGTCGCCGGGTTGGGTTGGGCATAGAAGGATAGGGCTCGGGGGCAGGCCATGGGACGCCCTGCACTGCCAAGTGGAACTCCAGAAGCCCAGGCAGGAGGTGCTTCCAGAAGGATGGAGCGACCGCTGTGCTGACTGCTGCCGGAGAGTGGTCAGCTCGGATGACAGTGGAGAAGTGACCTTTAGCAAGAGAGAAAGGGCTGAAGAGGAGCGGGGCAGTAGGGGTCGGGGCACTGTCTCAAACCATTGAGTGAAGCAGAAAACCGTGATAGTGAGTGGGAGGGGCCGGGGGCTTCCTCTGTTGTTGTGAGAAAGGCAAGTTTGGGGTGTGCAGATCTGCTTAGAGGGGGCATAGCTGACAAGGGAGCGGGGAGAAGGAAAGCTGGAGGGAGCCAAGTCCTTGGGAGGAAACAGGATGGAACCTAGGGTGGGTCGGTCAGGTGGGAGGGGACAAACCAGCCACCGGCTGCTCCAGGAAGAGGGTTTGGGGTGCAGAGCATGGGCAGGCTGGGTGGCGGCAGGATGGAGGTCTGCTTTGGGACTTTTCAGTGATGCGTGAAGTCACCAGAGCAGGGACAGTTCCAGAAGGCCCCTGGCTGGGCGACCGGGAGGAGGCCAGGTGGAGGAGCGGACTGTGGGGCAGTGTGGGAGAGTCTGGAAGGTGACAAGAGATGGAGGGGATGTGCAGGTCCAGAGGGGGCTGCCAATGGGCAGAGGGACTCCCTGCTCATTGTGCCCTGGGGGAGGGACAGGTGAGGCTGCAGGAAGAGTTCCGACTTGAACGTGGGGTCAGGAGATGAGGCCTGAGGCAGGTGCAGGGGTGTGTGGCTGTGAAATCATTGTCCTGGGAGGGCAGAGTGAGATGACCCTGAACATGGGCCCGGATTTCCTTCTAGGATCTGTTTTATTGCATTTGTGCATGGGAAGGGAAGCAGGTCCCTCGGTGACCACCCTGAGCTGTCCCTGGCTGCACCTTGGGATTTAGAGCCCAGCCACCTGGGCAGTGAGGGCATGGTCAGCCAGCCGCTGGGAGCCCTCTGCATCCCCCAGTGCCTTCGGGGCTGGGTCCCTGCTGGCCTTCCCCAGCCCTCAGGACCGCATCTGGCCCCTCACTGGGGCTCATGCGGCTCCCTGGGCTATACTCGTTCACAGAGCTGACACCTTGGCCCCCTGTCCACGAGGGCAGGGACGGTCTCTCCTGGCTGGCTTTGGGGTGTGGCCCACTTGCCATGGGTGGCTGAGTCTCTGTCCATTCAGCCCTTCATTCAGCAGGCACTTCTCAGGTGTCTGCAGGGCCAGATGCTGGTGACCGCCTGGCCCTGGCCCTGCTCTCATGGCATTTGTAGCGGGAGGTGTGGCAGACAGGACAGTGCCCAAAGAAGGCCAGGAGAGGCCTCTCTGCAGAGCGACGTCTGAGCGGAGACCTCCATGAAGAGGTCAGCAGGGAGAAGGAGACACAGGCAGCTGGGCAGAGCTGAAGGCAGGCCAGGCTGGGCAGCGCCTGCATCCCGCCTGAGGCGTCCAGGTCCGTTCGGGGAAGTGGGTGGAGAGTGGGTGAGTGCTGACTGGCAGGTGCTGACTGTTGCAGATCGGATCAACATCAAGAGGAAGGGAGCGTGGCCCTCCACCCTCCTGTCCGTGCAGAACGTCATCGACTGCGGTAACGCTGGCTCCTGTGAAGGGGGTAATGACCTGTCCGTGTGGGACTACGCCCACCAGCACGGCATCCCTGACGAGACCTGCAACAACTACCAGGCCAAGGACCAGGGTAGGCTGCTGCCCGTGCCCCCACTCCACCCTCCTGCCCTCCACTCCCTCTTCCACAGGCCTTCGTGGCTGAGGACCCAGCCTGACCCCGTGCTCCTCACATTGGCTGGTGGCTGGGGAGCTGCGGGAGGGCAGAGGTTGCAGCCCCCAGGGGCGCTGGTGCTCTTGACCATGAGGGGTAGTGTTCCCAGTGCCAGCTCCAGCCTCTCGCTGCAGAAGCCCCCTCTGCTATCTTGCACCCGCTTGGGCTGGGGATCAGAAAACTGGACCCCGTAGTCCCTGTTGAGAAGCCCAACGAAAAAGCCTGCTGCAGGAGCGGTCTGAAGAGCATCCTTGGCCATGCGCGCGGTGGCTCATGCCTGTAATCTCAGCACTTTGGGAGGCCGAGACAGGCAGATCACTGGAGGTCAGGAGTTCAAGACCAGCCTGGCCAACACGGTGAAATCCCGTCCCTACCAAAAGCACAAAAATTAGCTGGGTGTGGTGGTGCACACCTGTAATCCCAGGTACTCGGGCAGCTGAGGCAGGAGCATTGCTTGACCCGGGAGGCAGAGGTTGCAGTGAGCCAAGATCGCGCCACTGCACTCTAGCCTGGGTGACAGAGCAAGACTACGGCTCAAAAAAAAAAAAAAAAAAATACCGGCCCTGTCCCCATGTCTCCAGCCTCGTGGAAGAGTGTCTTGCTCCTGTGCCCCTTTGGCTGGGCCTGAATGTGGTGTTTGAGTTCTGACATGCTGGCATTTTGGTGGCTTTTTGGGCCTTTGTAGGGGAGAGGTGTAGGGGGCCTTGTGGAGGGAGAGTTCATTTTCCAGGAGCTTTGGTGGAGAGCAGGTGGGGAGGTGCTGCCCCAAACTGGAAGGAGCCATTGGCTTGGTTCCTGTTCTGGTGACCCAGGGCCCAGGTCCCCCACATTCAGGTGCGGCTACGGCCAAGGGGGTGCTGTGTGGATGAGCAGACCCAAGCTAGCCTGGAATCCCTAGAGCTGGCACATTCCTTTCAGGCTGCTCCCATTAGAAACAGAAGGAAAGAAAAGTCCAGACCCTAATCCCATAATTGGTAGGTTTTGTTTGTTTGTTTGTTTGTTTTTGAGAGGGAGTTTTGCTCTTGTTGCCCAGGCTGGAGTGCAATGGCACGATCTCTGCTCACTGCAACCTCCGCCTCCCGGGTTTGAGTGATTCTCCTGCCTCAGCCTCCTGAGTAGCTGGGATTACAGGCATGCGCCACCACGCCCAGCTACTTTTGTATTTTTTAGTAGAGACGGGGTTTCTCCATGTTGTTCAGGCTGGTCTTAAACTCCCAACCTCAAGTGATCCACCTGCCTTGGCCTCCCAAAATGGTGGGATTACAGGCATGAGCTGCTGCGCCCGGCCATAACTGGTAGTTTGTTTTTTTTTTTTGAGACGGAGTCTCGCTCTTTCGCCCAGGCAGGACTGCAGTGGCGCGATCTCGGCTCACTGCAAGCTCCGCCTCCCGGGTTCACGCCACTCTCCTGCCTCAGCCTCCGGAGTAGCTGGGACTACAGGCGCCCGCCACCGCGCCCGGCTAATTTTTTGTATTTTTAGTAGAGGCGGGATTTCACTGTGTTAACCAGGATGGTCTTGATCTCCTGACCTCGTGATATGCCTGCCTCGGCCTCCCAAAGTGCTGGGATTACAGGTGTGAGCCACCGTGCCCGGCCATAACTGGTAGTTTTAAGCCACCTGACTCAGATCTCCCTCACAGCCAGAGCAGAGAGCTGGGAAAGCCCAGCAGCTGCTTGCTTTGCTGCCTCCACCCCTGCCCCAGGCTATATAGGCTGGCCCCAGCGCCCTGTGCACTCTGAAGTGGCAGAAGGTCCTCTGGGCACCACCCTCTGCCAACGGGGCTCCCTTGCCTTGCCTCTCAGGCCTTATTGTTCAGCCAGAAATTCTCCTGGACTGGCTGAGTGAGTCCTTCGAGAAGGGGGACAGATGGAAGGTGCAGAGGGAAGGGCTATCAGATGGCTCTGGAAGCAGGAAGCAGGTATCAGGTGGTCTCCAGGGCCACGCCCACTCCACGCCAAAGTGCTCTCGCCCAGCTGAGGCCAGGCCCCTCCAACCCACCCAGCCTGACAGGAGCAGATGGAGCTCATCAGAAACCTGATTGTGTGACTGGTGACCGCGGTGGCTCACACCTGTAATCCCAGCACTTTGGGAGGCTGAGGCGGGCGGATCACTTGAGACCAGGAGTTCGAGACCAGACTGGCCAACATGGTAAAACCCTGTCCCTACTAAAAATACAAAAAATAGCCGAGCGCGGTGGCATGCGCCTGTAATCCCAGCTACTCAGGAGGCTAAGGCAGGAGAATCACTTGAACCCAGGAGGCAGAAGTTGCAGTGAGCCAGGATCATACCACTGAACTCCAGCCTGGGTGACAGAGTGAGACTCTGTCTCCAAAAAAAAAAGAAAAGAAAAGAATAAAAAAACCTGATTGCGATAAATAGTCATCTTTGTAGTGTTAGCAAAAGTGTGGCCACACATCCACCATTTTCCCGTAGTACTGGGCACTGGGCACTTGGTGTGCAAGGAACAAATTGAACCAGTGTCTGAGCCTCAAGGTGCTCATGTTCCTGGGGGAGGAATCCCGACAGATGTGTAACTATGACAGACAGGTCGCGCCAAAGCAGCGAATGGCAGGCCGAGGGCCGCCGTGTGGATGGAGTGAAAAGTGGGAACACAGTGACTCTGAGCCTTGCAAAACCGAGAGCTGTACTTTTTCTTTTTTTTAAATTAATTTATAAAATTTTTTTTCTGTAGAGATGAGGTCTCGCTCTGTTGTCCAGGCTGGTCTCAGACTCCTGGTATCAAGCCATCTTCCTGCCTCGGCCTCCCGAAGTGCTGGGATTACAGGTGTGAGCCACCACGCCTGTCCTTTCTTTCTTTCTTTCTTTCTTTTTTTTTGAGACGGAGTCTCGCTCTTGTCGCTCAGGCTGGAGTGCAATGGCGCGATCCTGGCTCACTGCAACCTCTGCCTCCCGGGTTCAAGCGATTCTCCTGCCTCAGCCTCCACTGAGTAGCTGGGATTACAGGCATCCACCACCACACCCAGCTAATTTTTGTACTTTATTAGTAGAGACAGGGGTTTCACCATGTTGGCCAGGCTGGTCTCAAACTCCTGACCTCAGGTGATCCACCCACCTCGGCCTCCCAAAGAGCTGGGATTACAGGCGCCTGGCCCTCTTTATTTTATTTTTTAAGCCTAATTCTTGATAACCTCTTAAGTCGAAATAACCAGAATTTTTTTTTTTGGTCCCCTCAGCGTGGGCACAGAAGAAAATGCTTTTTTGTGGTTGTTGTTACCCAAAGTATTGGCCTATTTATTCACCAGCCAGCAATAGAGACATTTTATTAAGTGCTAATCATTTGATTATGCTCCATTTTCAGCTAGAAAGTATTGTGGAAAGGTCCTTCTCCAGCCATTAGAGGAAAAAGGCGAACTCCTGGGTGCCTACTATGTGCTAATTAATGTCTGTCTCTTTTCTTCTCTGCCAAGGCCTGGGGAAGGGCTTTTCATAACTCCCTGGCAGCTGAAAGAAGAGCGTCATTAAGCAGCACCTAATAGCAAGATGATTTCCGTTCTTAGCTGCTGAGTGGTAGGCTGCATGATGAGAGTGGAGAGTGGGCTTGGCGGGCTTCTTTGTCAGTGGGTTGATGAGGAGACGGCCTCATGCTGACTTTTCTTGCTCTCCCCCAGAGTGTGACAAGTTTAACCAATGTGGGACATGCAATGAATTCAAAGAGTGCCACGCCATCCGGAACTACACCCTCTGGAGGGTGGGAGACTACGGCTCCCTCTCTGGGAGGGAGAAGATGATGGCAGAAATCTATGCAAATGGTCCCATCAGGTGAGGAGAGGTCCCGCGGGCAAAGAGAGGTTTGCGGGTGAGGAAAGGTCCCGCGGGTGAGGAAAGGTCCCGCGGGTGAGGAGAGATCCGCGGTGACAGCGCCAGTGTGGGCTCATGTCGGTGCTCATGTAGGCATCTCCGTCCTTCGCCACTTTCCTTCTGGCCGGTTGTACTCAGTAGGCTCGAGACAGCCACATCATTTCCCCTCTAAGAACTTCAGTTTTCTCAGAGTTAACACTCAGCTGATAGCAAGTCTGCCCCTATGGATGGTTGTGCGGAATGCGGATGAGACGCTCCAAGCTGTACCGAGGGGGCAGTTTCAGCAGGGAAGACACTATGTGAATAACAACAGAAGTTTATCCAGAACCGTCAGATATACACTACCTGAGTCGGGTTTACACTTTGTTGTCATACCAGATTTTTTTTTTTTTTTTTTTTTTTGAAACACAGTCTCACTCTGTCACCCAGGCTGGAGTGCAGTGGTATGATCTTCGCTCACTGCAGCCTTGACCGCCCGGGCTCAAGCTATCCTCCCGCCTCAGCCCCCTCCACCGAGTAGCTGGGACTACTGGCGCACACCACCACACCCAGCTAATTTTTGTATTTTCTGTAGAGGTGGGGTTTCGCCATCTTGCCCAGGCTGGTCTTGAATTCCTGGACTCAAGCGATCCACCTGCCTCGGCCTCCCAAAGTGCTGGAATTACAGGCGTGAGCCACGGCGCCCAGCCATATCAGATTATTTCTAATGACGGTAAATTCTCTCAATTTAAAAGTGGTAATTCTTTAACTGCTTGCTCTCAGCTGTGGAATAATGGCAACAGAAAGACTGGCTAACTACACCGGAGGCATCTATGCCGAATACCAGGACACCACATATATAAACCATGTCGTTTCTGTGGCTGGGTGGGGCATCAGTGATGGGACTGAGTACTGGATTGTCCGGAATTCATGGGGTGAACCATGGGTAAGATGTTTTCATTTTCTTAAGGTCATTCCTAGAAAAAAACGTCCTGGTACTCCTCTCGCTTGAATGGTTCTGTTTACGTTTAGCTAAAAACTGGGGCCTTGACAGAGGGTTCCTTGCTCCAGCTGTCTCAGCCACCGCGCGAGTGGCTTTTGGGGCCAGACCCTTCTCTGACATGCGCGGCTGCCGCCATCCTGTGCACTTTGGGTGTTCAGCAGCATCCCTGGCCCCTCCACCCACTAGGTGACTCCCCGCAATCCCAGTGTGACCAAAACCGTCTCCAGATGGTGCCTGGTGCCCTGGGGAAGTCCCTGTGAGCACTGCTGGAGAGGGGCTCTGCCACCCTCTTCCTTTACAACCAGCTCATTCTTTTTCCCATCATGGTTTTTGGGCTCCCCTAAAATACTGTGTCGGTTTTTCAAAAATACTCGAGTTGGGCCAAAAATCCAGGAGAGAGAAATTAACTGCCAGACCTAGTCTTAGCCATTAATAATTTAAGACACAGAAATTCATGATTAAGAAATGGGGGGAAAGCGGTTCATGTGCAGGTGATGAAATGTCGTCATTTTTTACTAGGTGACTAATGGGGGTAGTAGTAGCTGGAGGAGGCACCAGTCTAGAGTCAACATGTTTTGTGAGATGAATTCACTTCTGGCATAGAGGGCCCTCATGTTAAACATTAACCAAGTGAAATGTTTCACAAAAGGTATTTCAGAACAGGGGTCATGGGAAAGCTGAGGGGCAGCTGAGTGGGCTGTCTGGATCCCCCAAGGCTGGCCTGAGAGATGGAGGCAGAAAGCAGGGGGCAGGGGGCTGACGGCAGCAAGGGGAGCGGGAGACGGCTGCAGATGGGCTGACGCGCGATCCCACTTCTCACAGGGCGAGAGAGGCTGGCTGAGGATCGTGACCAGCACCTATAAGGATGGGAAGGGCGCCAGATACAACCTTGCCATCGAGGAGCACTGTACATTTGGGGACCCCATCGTTTAAGGCCATGTCACTAGAAGCGCAGTTTAAGAAAAGGCATGGTGACCCATGACCAGAGGGGATCCTATGGTTATGTGTGCCAGGCTGGCTGGCAGGAACTGGGGTGGCTATCAATATTGGATGGCGAGGACAGCGTGGCACTGGCTGCGAGTGTTCCTGAGAGTTGAAAGTGGGATGACTTATGACACTTGCACAGCATGGCTCTGCCTCACAATGATGCAGTCAGCCACCTGGTGAAGAAGTGACCTGCGACACAGGAAACGATGGGACCTCAGTCTTCTTCAGCAGAGGACTTGATATTTTGTATTTGGCAACTGTGGGCAATAATATGGCATTTAAGAGGTGAAAGAGTTCAGACTTATCACCATTCTTATGTCACTTTAGAATCAAGGGTGGGGGAGGGAGGGAGGGAGTTGGCAGTTTCAAATCGCCCAAGTGATGAATAAAGTATCTGGCTCTGCACGAGACTGAGGCTGCCCGTGCCTTATTCGCACACAAAAACAATGTCACATCAGGACTTAATCCAACCCAGCAGAAAGGCTTTTTAAAAATTTACTTATTACTTGTTCTTAGCAAATTAAGACAATTACAATAAAACATCAGCTAACTGGGTTCTTGTGAGAAAACTGAGGTCAGCTTGGAAAGGAGTTCCCCGAGTGGAGTTCCCAGCGGCCCGCGGCTGACGGCCAGATCTGTCCTGAGGGGTCGTGGGAGCCCAGCGCCTGCCTTGAGGGAAATGAACACTGAAAACAGGATTTGGGAGCAGTATTGGATTGACAGCAGAGAAGGGACTGTTTGTAAGGGCAGTTTCTCACTGAAGCTGCTACCATTTTCCTTTGTAAAGAAGTCATCCACCTCCTCCCAGCGGTGCCCATTTTCAAGACGCTGCCCGAGCCTCTTAAAACAGCTTCTTGAAAGGGTTTTTCCACAACGGGTTCTGGAATGTTCTGCTTCAGCTCTGGAGGATGCTCTAAATTAGTTCACCATGATGAAGTTAGATTTGCAGTGAGCTTTAACGAGGAAAACAGTGACTGTGTTAGAAACAGGAAGTAGAACATGACATTTTCTTTCTTTTTTTTTTTTTTTTTTGAGATGCAGTTTTGCTCTTGTTGCCCAGGATAGAGTGCAATGGCGCGATCTTGGCTCACTGCAACCTCTGCCTCCCAGGTTAAGCGATTCTCCTGCCTCAGCCTCCCGAGTAGCTAGGATTACAGGCACGTGCCACCATGCCCAGCTAATGCTGTATTTTTAGTAGAGATGGGGTTTCTCCATGTTGGTCGGGCTGGTCTTGAACTCCCAACCTCAGGTGATCCACCCACCTTGGCCTCCCAAAGTGCTGGGATTACAGGCATGAGCCACCGCGCCCAGCTGACATTTTCTATTGTAGTAAAGGGCTAGGCAGTCGGCCTCACCTATAAACTCCGTCACAGGGTCATGCTCGCCTTCCGTTTTGATGGTACCTGCGATGCTGTCATTCTCCAGGATGGGGAGGAAAAGTTGCACGAAGTCAGAGGTATAAGGAGGAGCAATGACGTCCAGCACCTGCGTGGGGGAGCACAGGGTGACTTCTTCCGCACACTAGTGCGGGGCATCCACCGACATCCGGGTGAAATGGCCATCAGTTTGGAAAAAATCCCTCCCCACCCCCACCGGCCGGTGACACCACCCATCTCCAACATTCAGATGCCCAGGGTGGTAATGGAGGTAAAGTGTGTCATACAGCTGCTGCAGGCAGAAGGTGCTTTTTGGTAAACGAGTATCTGTCATTGTCATCACTACATCAGAAAGCACAGTTCTCAGTTAGGTACAAAATGAACTAAATTAAGCCAAAAAGGGCAGTGCTAGTGTAAACAGTATGAAACATGAAACCAACGGTGCATTGCTGACCTCAGTGACAAAATAGCGAATGAGTGAAATGTCAGTGTCCAGCTTCTCCAGACACTTTCGGATGTAACTGACAACAGGAAGTACATAACCTCGACTCAGCAGGTGAACCATCCTGTCCAGCAGTGTCTTCTTCAACTCAAGCTACAGAAGAAGGGGGACAGGGAGCTGGTTAGAGAGGGTCCTCCTCAGCCCTCTGGCAAGCCCCACGGGCACTGCTCACCTGCTCCATCACGTCCAGCTGGGAGTGCTCAGTCTCAAAAAGCTTAACAAGCAGCTGCAGGACCTGGGGGTGCAGGAGCTGGTGGCAGGTGCTGATCTACAAACAGGCCAGAGGGAGCTTCGCTGAGCAGTGTGGTCACGCTCAGCACACAGAGAAACTGGGCACTGTCACAGCCACCAAAGAGCTTATCACTGTGGAAGAAGGTCCTGACACCTAAGCCAGGGCCATCAGCTTCCAGTAACACTTGACTGAGGTTAAGAAATTTCTGCAGTCAATGAAGCTAGGTCCTTAAGAGGAAAATCCTCAGGACAGAAATAACTATTTTTGAGAAGAGTATCCTCTAAACTCACTGAATAGATGCAATGTTAATGCCAACGTAAACAGCATGAGACAGACACTGTGTAGGCTGTGAACAGCTCTCCGCCCTCTTACCTCATCCAGCAACGCCAGGTGGACAGGGGTATGGTCAGTCTGCAGCTGAAAGTACCTTGGTTCTGATACAGTCCAATCCACCCACTTCAGCACACCCATTGCTACCACTGGAAACCTACAGTTAAGGCAGAATGCTTCCTTTAAAAAACAATTTAAAACACAAAATATGCTAGAAAAGCATTAAAGGAAAGTTAAAAACAAACTCAAATGACTCCATCATTCACCCTTCAATACGCCCCCCAACCCTTTTTTTTTTTTTTTTTTGAGACAGGGTCTCACTCTGTCTTCCAGGCTGGAGTACAATGACACAATCATGGCTCACTGCAGCCTCCCGAGTACCTGGGACTACAGGTGAGTGCCACCATGTCTAGCTAATTTTTTGTAGAGAGAGGGTCCACCATGTTGCTCAGACTGGTCTCAAACTCCTGGGCTCAAACTATTTTCTTGCCTTGGCCTCCCAGATTGCTGGGATTCCAGGCCAGAGCCACTGTGCCTGGCGTAAGCTCTGCTTATTAGTAAATAGTGTGAATGGATCAGCAGCCACTCAACATGCGGTGCAAGAAGCAGAGTTCAATTCTCTGCTCACTTTAAACCACTTATCGAAAGGAAAAGATCATTAATGAGTGATACTCAGTGAGTTTGGTGGACTGGGTTGAAGTTTACCTTTATTTAGCAAACTCTTTCTTCATCCCTAGTATAAATTATTAGGGGAAAGACATGCCTAAGAGGACACACTATTTCTAGGACACGTCTATTTATATGATTGGCATAATCACAAATCATTTCTATGTAAGCAATACTTTGTGGGCATAACTTTACCTATAAATAGACCCTTCAAATCAATTTTTGTTAACTCTGGCTATCTTTTACTTAGCCTAATTTGTACTCAACAGACTTCTGGCAAATAAACATCTGAAAATTACTCATGCTGCTAAAGCTGTTTAAAGTTCCCTACATACTGTTTAAAAATGAAAAAATAAATAAAATGAACAAGTATCGCTGAAGCTTTTGTTATTTGAGCTTTCAATATGAAAACTCAAACGACCTCCTCCCCAAAGGACTGATTTAAGAACTGAGTTTCGTTTTGCTTACCTAATACACTGATAAAGTGTGCTCAATTCTGCCACTAGTTCAGAGGCCCCTTTGTTCTCGTTGCAACACAAATTGTGAACGGTTTCGACAGCTTTTGACGTTGACTTCAGCTCATCTTTATTGATGCTCACTCGCTTGTTCTGAAAACACACACACAAGCTGGTGAGCCTGACAGGGCAGATATCCCTGCTGTCGGGGTGTTCTGGTGTCGGCCACTTCTTGCAAAGCACTTTCCCTATTTCTACTTAAGTTGGGAGTCAATTCAGCTGTCAAACTTCACAGTCACACAGTGTACAGAAACTGAAAAGCAATGAGACTAGTGTTTGTCCATGTCTTACGGAAATCAGTTTCATTTCTTTAGTCACATTTCAATTTACGGTTTGCAGAGCATTGGAGACATTACGCACATTTTCTGGAGACGTTTAGTGCTTTCTCTACGCAGAAACACAAGAAAACACATGCCTGATACTAGGGAGGGTCAAGATTTCTTGCAGCCAAAATTCCAAAATAATATCAAAGCAGAGGAGGATATTTGTCTCCTAAAAAATCCACAAATTCCCAGAACCGATGGTACCTTCTTCCAGGTCTCAACCACGCTTGCTGCGTACGCCAAGATGTGGATGTATTTGTGCTTGTGGTCCTGGTTGATCCGAGCCCCTGGTTTAAAGAGTGACTGCATGAACAGGTCCAGGAAGGCTGGAACGCGGATCTGAGGAGAAGCATATGCCCAGTTCGGGATGGCAGGCGTGAGGGCACTGCTCACCCACCTCCCCTCAGGGTTCCCTACACAGCAGGGGCCCAACAGGCTCCAGGCAGAGAGTGTGACTGAGGAAGGACCAGGACAATGATGGATTTGCATTCACAGCCTTCAGACAATCAGACAAGCACAGACTTTCCAAAGTCACCTTACCAGCTGACATTGGGGATTCTTGAGAAGCAACTTACAAGTTCAACCGGAGGAGGGTCCATGCTTGTGAACATCTTGAACAGGACGGTGATGTCAGCAGGGTTCAGGGCTCCTTTGGACAGCATGGCCCCGAGAGCCTGGCAGGCCCTGGGGTAGGAGGCAGCTGTGCCCAAGGCTAGTGTGATCTGACTGGCGTCATGACCTCTTGATGAGAAAAACCATAGACCCCGTTACTAACAAGGCAGCTTCTTTTTTCTGTTCTTTTTTACACATATAATACTTTGCATTGTTGGGATCTGTTTTTCTGTCATTCACGAGTATACTGACTGACCCACAAAAATAACATTTACAACACTGGAAAAGTGATTCCAATACAGCTTGCTGGCTCTATAAGAAAGGAGTCACACACTTTAAATACTTAGGAACACTCTATTGGTAGCAGAAAATAAAGCTAATATGAGCTCATTTTGCGACACTGTAACAATGAGATTGCTGAGCAACTATTTCTGGACTGACTTTGTTTGTTACTTCAGAACCCCAGTGTAAAAGCCCAGGCCCATAACTCCAGCAAAGGGAAGACGAATCAAGTGCTTTACACAACAGTCCTCAAAGCAGCACTTTAGAAAGCCAGCTCTCCAAGTATACCAAAAACAACTCCAACTTTTCCAGCTCTGCTGGATAAAAGGAAGTTTTTAATTTTTTTTTTTTTTTTTGAGACAGAGTTTTGCTCTTGTTGCCCAGGCTGGAGTGCAATGGTGCAATCTTGGCTGACCACAACCTCCACCTCCCAGGTTCAAGCGATTCTCCTGCCTCAGCCTCCCAAGTAGCTGGGATTACAGGCATGTGCCGCCACACCCGGCTAATTTTGTATTTTTGTTTACCAGAGATGGGGTTTCTCCATGTTGGTCAAGCTGGTCTCAAACTCCTGACCTTAGGTGATCCATCCGCCTCGGCCTCCCAAAGTGCTGGGATTACAGGCGTGAGCCACCACGCCCAGCCAAAAGCAAGTTTACCTCTACGTTGAACAGAAGGAGCTAGCAGCTTTGGCTGTGGAACACGGGCCATGGGAAGGGTTTTGTGGGGAGCACTAGGAAGGAAGGGCTGAGCAGAAACAGGGCCTCTCACTTCTCCTGGGCAAAGCGCTGCACTTCCTGGGCGATCCTGCGCACAGCGGAGCCCCCCTGCTCCTCCTGGGCCAGCACGGACATCATGGCCTGGGCAAACAGGTACGTGTGCTCCCCGTGGCACACCATCTTCTGCAAGATTGCAGGGAGAGAGGGGGCAGGGTTTACTACTGTAGCACAGACGGGCGGACGAGAGCCAAGCCTCCACCGTGCTCGGGCCCGGGAGTGAGCATCCTGGAAGGTGCCCTCAGAAATGGAGATTCTCTCCAGGGAAGGAGCATCTCATGCTTGAAAACCAAGACCCAAAGCAGCCTCCTTCTAATCTGAGGTTCATAAAGAAAGAACTTACGGCAAACTCAGGGAGATTTTTTTCAAGGTTTTCTTCTCCTCCATCTAAAATTGTAGCTAGAGAGGTCCGGAGCACTCTCGAGAACACTTCTAGCTGCTGGCATGCTGTGGACACACTGGTGATCTCCCCCTGGTACCCTGCGTCAGAAATAAGCTAGGACACAAAACAAGAAGTCAGAGGGGAGGCATGCAGTGACCGCACCTCCACGGGAAGCTGGCTTGTCAGTGTTCATGGTGAGGTGGAGTAAGTGTGCGCTGGTCGTGGGTCTCAGGCCTTCACTCCGCCCTCACCCTGCTATCACCTAGGTGTGTGCCCTGGGCTGACCACCTCTCCATCGTTTCTTCATATGCAAGAGGAAGATCAAGCAGGCACGCCTAAAGCTCCTCTCCAACCACAAGAGAATTCTTGTATCCCTGCTAAATCCTAAAACACAGTCAACACTGACCCAAAAACAGATACAAATTTTACACTTTTCTTTCTCAGTGTAAGGCTTATGAAAATAAAACAATAAAGACCTTTATGGAAAAAAAGCAAATATGAACTGTCAAAGGAAACAGACCAACAACCAAAAATAAACATTCATAAACACTTTTCTCCTTAACTCTAGAACTCTTCCTACCTTAACGGTGAAGTTCAGCATCAAACAGTCTGGATGGGCTTCAGCCAGTTTATAAAAAAGGTCCCGCCACGTGGTATGTGCAATCATCTGTTCCAGCCACGCTGGGGTCTGCCAACACACACACAAACAGCAAGATAGGAGGAGGCCCCACTTTTACTTGAGTGGAGATTCTGTTGTATAAACGATCACAGGAGATTGGTGCTGATGGACTCCCCATGGGCATCTAGTTCTGGGGGAGGCAGACCCAGAGCTGGCCACAGCCACACAGTCGGCTGAGTGACAGAAAGGTCCCTAGATGCCCGCTCAGCTTTTAGAAAATCGGACTCAACACAGGAGGGTACTGAAAGTTGCTTCCTAGGAGACACCGAGAACCGCATAGAGCTGCCTTGCACACACAGGGAGCTCATGCTGCCCCAGCTTGTATGCCCTTAGCAAAAGAGAAAGAGGCCATTTAAATGGCACAGGTGTTCTGGCCCATCACCACATGGAGTAGCCAGAAAAACATTTCTCTCAGCTCTCCTATGTGACGGATGTCCTCAAGGACTGTGCTCTGAACCTGCCATCCTGTTTGTGCCAAGGCCAGCTCCCCGAGGCTGCTCCCAGCCACAGATGGAATGCAGCAGGGCCTCAAAAGCAGGCCTGTCCAGGAGACGTGGGCTCCCAGAATGGGCACCTGTGGCTTAAAGATTCCCCACTGATATGGCTGGAACGTTCTGGAAACTGCACTGCAGCCTAACATTCTTCCTACTAACCCTCATTCCTTTTCTCTTGCCCTCAAGGGTCAGACTGCATCACAGCTACCCCAGCCTCCTCCAGCCCTACCCCATCTTCCCTCATAGTCGCTTCCCCATCATCTCCTGCAGGCCTAGCCCTGTCTTGGCAGCTGCTTCTTGGAGGAACCAAACGAATCCACCACAACACTCCAAGGGCTGTGCCCTGGAGTCAGCCTGAGAGGGGAAATGGTGGGAACTTGCTGTTCATTCTCTTGATCTCAGCACCTGTGTGCCTCTTGCGTGCAAGCATGTCACGACCCTGGGTACAGAGTTTAAAGGGCAATTCTGACTAGATGCAACTTCTGTCTCACACTCTGATTTTAGTCCTCAACTCTGCCATTACTTACATGATATGCCACGCTCCACTGTACACAGGGAATTTGCAAAAGACCCTAGGGCCTGGTACTAGGCAAAGAAAAATAATTTCTCACCTCTCCTTCTTCAGTAAAAATAGAATCTGCTTTGCGGGGGTCAAAATGTTTGATCAGCAAACTCTTCAAGTGATTTTCCACAGTTTCCTGAACCTGCACTGGCTCAACACCTGAAAGAGAATAAAAGCAACTAGACAATGGCAAGCTGTCCATTCACTGTGTGGCTTTAGAAAGCAAATGGTCAAAAGTCTCTATGTGAATCAAATACCAAAGAATTGCTTCTGACCACTTATACATGTAAGGTTTTGGAACTCTTCAAAGTAGTTATCAATGATAAGACCAAAAAGCAGCACAGAACAGAACACACAAGTCTGGTCCACCCCTAACTTCATGGAAAGGACAGCACCATCTGCAGAGCCTCACTGAGGATAAAGACAAATGGCCCCAGCAACAGGTAGGGGGATGGAAAAACATCCCTGCCCAGTGAGGAGGGAGCAGATGGCAGCCAAAAGAGACACACTTGTATCTAATCACCGGGACAGCAGTGTGTCCACAAGCTTCCGGACAGCACGCACTTCAGTGATGTCATCTGCACCCGGCTCCGTGGATTTACAGTAAGACTCTACTTTGATCATATTAACTAAAAGCCATAATCACAGCCAGTCCTAAATTATCCGTCATTTACTGCTTGCTGTAATAGACGTCTTGAAAATGACACACTGAACACACACTGTATAATCCTATAATTCTACAACATGGTAGGGAAAACAGCTCAATGAGAATCACGTTTGCAGGCTACCAGTAAACCTCAATTACTGAATCAAAGATAAGAGGCAAGCAGATACAAATGAGTAAGATAAAGATAAAAATGAGTAAGAAGTTCAGCTCTTTCTTACACAAGTCTCAGAAACCAGGAAATCAAAGAAGGCATTGTATCAGTGTTATAAGGACCCAAAAGTCTATTTTTAAAAAAGTGGGGGTAACTAGCCAGGACAGGGGACACCCACAAAGCACCTGTCTGAATGAGCCACTCGGCCAGCAGGTTCACAGTCTGGGCCACAGCGGTGTAGTTTTCAGATAAGAGCTGGATAACATTCTCTGGAGACCCTCCTGCCTGAAAATACCTAGGGAAAGTAACAACAGCAATTACACCCGAATGAATGGAATGATGGACAACAGGAAGGTAAGGAAGGAGGAAGAGAATCAGGTTTCAAAATTTTTAAAGCAGCGGAGGGGGCTGGGTGCAGTGGTGCACACCTGTAATCCCAGCACTTTGGGAGGCAGAGGTGGGAGAATCACTTGAGCCTAGGAGTTCAAGAGCAGCCAGGGCAACGTAAGGAGCCCTGTCTCTCCCAAAAAACAAAAACAAAAATAGCCAGGCATGATGGCAGACGCCTGTGGTGGCCACCTTGCAAGGCTGAGGTGGGAGAACTGCTTGATTCCAGGAGGCTGAAGCTGCAGTGAGCGGTGATTGTGCCACTGCAACAGAGCAAGACTCTGTCTTAAAAAAATTTAAAAAAAAAAAAAAAGTGGCAGAGGGGACCCCCCCTTGAAGCCTTTAGTTCAGTTCGCGTTACTCTTGCTTTACATAGCACCTTCTGGGTGTATTACAAAACTTTCTCTAAATTACCCCCAGCCTCCTCCCAATACAGACACCTTTCTCACATACCTCTTCAGAGTGTTGAAGATGGAGGGTTCCATGATATAATCCCGGGTGGAAAATTTATGCAGGCATTCTTGCTGAACCTCCGCATCATCCTCTCCTTCTCCAGAATCATCCTCCTGCTGTTGGTAAATGCGAAGAGCCAGGATATTTTTTTCATTAATACAAATACCCTAATCTCACCTTAAATCGTATAATGCTGCCCATTTTGAAAGTATTCTACACACATTATTTCATTTGACTTTCATGACAATTTCATGAAATGGGCTGGACAGATAGTGAGTGGCTAGGAAAATGGGATCCAGGATCACACTGAGTGGGTGTGTACAACTCCTCCCTGGCAAACCGCGTTCCATGCTCACACAAGTTACCCAACCTCTCTGAGTGTCCATTTCCTCCTCTGTTAAGTGAAGATAATAATAACGCCTATTCCCATTTGGCTGTTGTGAGGATTCCATGAGCTAATTTTTGGAAGAACCCAGCATAATCCCTGACATTTCGTAACAGTGCAATAAATAGTAAACTATTATTATTATTGTTTTCACTATTCTTATTTCATACATGCCACTGAAGAGTAACAACCTGATTCTTGAAAGCGTGAGCCATCACTTACCATTAGAAAGTAAAGACCACTAACTCGCCTTGCATCCACACTTCTGGCTGGACTCCAGTCCCAATTCTATGTGGAAGCAACTTCAGGCCTGTCACTCCATCTAAGGGCAAAGCAGGCTTCTTCACCTGCTAATGACCATGTGAGGATGGACTGTGATCCCAAACCCTGTCCAACTTTAACACTGCCACCCTAACTAACAAGCAGATGCTTTTTGAACATTCAGTCTGCACTATGCTCATCAACCAAGGAACCTAAGAAAATGTAAGACAAGACAAGGCTTTTTCCATCAAAGAAGTTCACAAACTAATAGGAGAGACAGACCTCCATGCAACCTACTCTAACATAATGGGGCAAGAGCTGGGCCAGGGGTCAGCAAACTATGACCCAGAGCCGAATCCAGCCCTCTCCTATTTTTGCAAATAAACTTTTACGGAACACAGCACACCCATTCTTTTAAGGACTGTCTATGATTGCTTTCCCCCTGTAAGGGCAGAGGTAAGTAGTTAAGACAGAGACAGGCACAACCTAAAATATTTGCTATCTAGCCTTTTTCAGAAAAGTTTGCTCACTCCTGATCTGGACTAAGATCCTAAAAGCAGTGCTTTGGGAGCAGACAGAACCCGATGACTTCCCAGTAAAAGCTGTGGAGTCTTCTCTCAGACCAGATTTGCATGGGGAACGCTGAGCCCCTAAGGGCATGACAGAGGCCGGACTTCACCCCGAGCTTCATTCCCACGTTGTCTGTTCTCTTGGGCTTCCACCCTGGGCACTCACCTACCTGCCTCTTCCACCACCTCTTGGGTCATGCTATCTACCTGCTCACCAATCTAGAATTAGCCTGGATCTCTCTCTCCGTCTTTCCTCTCTTAAGCTCCAGACTCAGGTATCCAACATTCCATTCTCATTTCCAGTCAGATGTCTCACAAGTATCCAAACTCTTTAGGTCCAAAACTGACATCTCTTCCCTAGAAACAGATCTTCTTCCTACAACCCATATTTCCGTAAAGGTATCCTTCATATATCTACTTGTTACCCCCCAAACCTGAAAATCATCCTCAGCTTCTCTCCCTCACCCCACCCCCACATCCTGTCACAAAGACTCATCAGTTCCATCTCCCATCTGTCTATCCAAGGTGGTCCTTCTTTCCACATTTGCCTCTGCTCTTCCTTATTTTTTGTATGCTTGCAGTAGCAACATTCCCCTGAAGTCTCAGTCTTATTCCTTCCTTTCAATCATCTTTCACACCGTGGCCACAGTGATCTTTGTAAGCCACAAAACTGACGTCTCTCTCCTGCTTAAAGATTCCCATCTCCTTCAGGAAAAAACGCCCCAGCTCTAGCAAGAGCGTGCCCTTCCCACTTCCCCTGTCCGTTCTGACCTCTCACCACTCCCCATTTGCAATCTGTAGCAGGACTCATCTATTTGCATGTCTGCAGCTCTTAGTTTCCACCATCCAGACTGAACATCACGGTGGCCTCCTTACACATCTTCCTACCTCCCACTATGTAACATGGCATCAGGCGAACAGAATTTGGGTCACCAACTATCTTTTAAAATCCAGTTCTTGCCACCCTCCTAACACCTTTCCTAACTTTCTGTACCTCTTCCAAGCAGAGTCACAGAATAAACATGAAATGAACGTCTGGTCCACCCCCCTCATCCATGAGAGCCCACTGGTGTCAGTGGGCCAAATTAGGATCATGATTAAAATTCCCCAAACATGAGACTCCCCAATCTCCCATCAGTGGGGTCTAGGTCTGACTGCACAAACTTGGGCAAATAACTCACGTGCTTGGTCTATAAAGTGAAGGTACTGATTAGATGGCCCTTATATGCCCCAGTTCTAACACTTTATGACTCAAAGCCTCAAGGTGAGGCCGGGCACGGTAGCTCACACCTGTAATCTCAGCACTTTGAGAGGCGGAGGCGGGCAGATTACTTGAGGCCAGGAGTTCGAGACCAGCCTGGCCAACATGGTGAAACCACATCTCTACTAAAAATACAAAAATTAGCCGGGTGTGGTGGCACCGGCCTGTAATTCCAGCTACTTGGAGAATCACTTGAACCCAGGAGGTGGAGGTTGCAGTGAGCCAAGATGGCACCACTGCACTCCAGCCTGGGTGACAGAGTGAGACTCCGTCTCAAAGAAAAAAAAAAAAAAAAAAGGCCGGGTGCGGTGGCTCACGCCTGTAATCCTAGCATTTTGGGAGGCCGGGGCAGGCGGATCACCTGAGGTCAGGAGTTCAAGACTAGCCTGGCCAACGTGGTGAAACACTGTCTCTACTAAAATACAAAAATTAGCCGGACATGATGGCGGATGCCTGTAATCCCAGCTACTCAGGAGGCTGAGACGGGAGAATTGCTTGAACCCAGGAGATGGCAGTTGCAGCGAGCTGAGATCAAGCCACTGCACTCCAGCCTGAGCAGCTAAGCGAGACTCTGTCTCAAAAAAAAAAAAAAAGAAAAAAAGGCTCAAGGTGATATACTAGATGCCCCAAACACCAACCTACCACTAAGCTAATTCACACCTTCTCATCTGGACCACTTTGGTAGTCAGCAATTTGACGAAGTGGCAACGGAGGCAAAGGATGTGGGTTTGGGTCCCCTCTCCTTCCTTTATTAGTTTCATGACCTTGGGCAGGTCAGTAAGTCTTTTCGTCTCATTTTCTACACTTACCAGATAAGTAGGGTAACACCCAACTCAAAATCCTGTGTGTGGAAGGGGATAACGCATGACACACATGGCCCAAGCTCTCAGTTAGCTAAGTCTGACTCTATCCACTCCACCCTAAGCCTCCAACACTGTGAAATGATCCAACATGCAAATCTACTCGTGTCACTCCCTGCCCCAAACTCCTGAACAAGCCATACCATTCAGCAGCTCTCCAAGGATCTTCAGAACCTGCTCCCTACTGACCTCCTGCCACTGCTTCCACCAGGCAGCTAACATCACAGGGCTTCTTTCAGTTCCAGAAACACATCGCCCGCCTTGGCATTTTAGACCATGGCTCCGAAGCCGCCATCACACCACCACCCATGTTTATCAACGTAAGCCCCACTTCATCCTTTATTCCCTTATAATACCACTTCAAAATGCACCAGACATCCCCAATCTTGATTGTTGTTAAAAATGCAAGTTCCTGGGCCACGAGCAGTGGCTCACGCCTGTAATCCCAGTACTTTGGGAGGCAGAGGTGGGTGGATCACCTGAGGTCAAGAGTTTGAGACCAGCCTGGCCAACAAGGTGAAACCCCCTCTCTACTCAAAATTTTAAAAATTAGCTGGGCATGGTGGTGGGTGCCTGTAATCCCAGCTATTCGGGAGGCTGAGGCAGGAGAATCGCTTGAATCCGAGAGGCAGACGTTGCAGTGAGCCGCGATGGCGCCATTACACTCCAGCCTGGGCAACAAGAGCGAAACTCCACCACAAAAAAAAAAAAAAAAAAAAAAAAAAAAAAAAATGCAAGTTCCCAGGCTCCCGTCCAGACCAACTGTTGGGCCGTCTCCAGGGGAGGGACGTGAGAAGCTACATTTCAATCATGCGCCTCAGTTGGGTCTTTAGAGTAAGGTGGGGACACACTGTCCAGACTAGAGCTACCTGCCCTGGCTCTGCAGTCCCTGTCCTCAGGGTGGAACAGTGATCCCTCCTGGGCTTCCACCCCAAACCCTGGAAGGTCAAGGCCCGAAAATCCTTTCCATCAGTTTGCCCAAAAACAGATGAAATCAGCCCAAGGTGCTGAAGAGTACAGTTTATAAAACAGTAAAGCACATGTAGGAATGCCCTAAGTTCTACTTTTTCCTCATGATGCTGCTGTGAAGTTTTTCCACTTTATTTTTGTTTAAAAGTCTGTGAGCTCCGGACCCAACCCTCCACCTTAGCGTTGGTGTCCCGCCCGCCGCGGGGGTCGCAGGGCCGGCGCCGGGCCTGGCCGGAGCGAGGGGGTACTGGGGGCCTCGGGCCGCCCCGCGCCAGAGCCTCCGGCGCCTCACCCCCACCCCAAGGTCCTGCAGGCGAGGAGGCGGGGACCCCGGCGGCCGCGCCGCGGGACCCCGGGCGGGCGGGGGCGGGGCGGGCTGTGCTTGAACCACACGGTGACCGCGCGGGCCGTGCGCGCGCACACCCCCCGCACGCCCGCAGCCTCGCGCCGCGCGGCCTCTCCGGGAGTGGGGCCGGCCCGCCGGCGGCGGAGACGAACGATTCTCTCTAGGGTGCGCCCAGTGCCCCGCCTCACCTGGCCGCCGTCAGCCTCGTCGCCCCACTCGGCCGCGCTCCCGTAGTAGTCCTCGTCCATGATGGCGCCCGGCACGGCCCCCGCCATGCCCTCCCGCGAGCGAGCGCGGCGCATGCGCGAGGCGGGGACGGGCGGGCGGGCGCACGCGCGGCCGCGCGCCTCGGCCCGGGCGGGAGGCGGGGCCTGGAAGAAGGGGCGGGGCCTGGAGGAAGGGCAGGGCCGCGGGCTCGGCACTGGGAACAAAGGGGACCGGCGGAAGGAACGCCCCCAGTCGATCCCGGAGCGATGCCCGGGTGGACCAGGGGCTTAGCTCCGGAGAGAGGTTTCCCACTGGATTCGTGCACAGCCCCTCCCCTGCGGCGCCGGCTCTGCGAGCCCCAGTTTCCTCATCTGGCAGCTGGAAACAAATCCTTCCGGAAGTGTCCAGGACCCACGAAAGTGTTTTAATTTCTTTTAGTTTTGGTAAAAAGTACTAAACGCGACCGGGCGTGGGGGCTCACGCCTGTAATCCCAGCACTTTGGGAGACCGAGGCTGACGGATCACTTGAGGTCAGGAGTTCGAGGCCAGTCTGGCCAACATGGTGAAACCCCGTCTCTGCTCAAAATACAAAAATTAGCCGGGCGTGGTGGCATGCGCCTGTAATCCCAGGTACTCGGGTGACTGAGGCAGGAGAATCGCTTGAACCCGGGAGGCGGAGGTTGCAGTGAGCCAAGATCGCACCATTGCACTCCAGCCTGAGCGACAGAGCGAGACCCTATCTCAAATAAATAAATACATACATAAAAAGGGCAGGGCACGGTGGCTCACGCCTGTAATCCCAACACTTTGGGAGGCCGAGGCGGGCGGATCACCTGAGGTCAGGAGTTCGAGACCAGCCTGGTCAACATGGTAAAACCCCTTCTCTACTAATAACACAAAAATTAGCTGGGCATGGTGGCGGGCGCCTGTAGTCTCAGCTACTCAAGAGGCTGAGTCACGAGAACCGCTTGAACCCAGGAGGTGGAGGTTGCAGTGAGCCAAGATCACACCACCGCACTCCAGCCTAGGCAACAGAGTGAAACTGTGTCAAAAAAAAAAAAAAAAAGAAAAAGAAAAAGAAAGAAAGAAGAAAGAAAGAAAAGAAAAGAAAAAAGAAAAGAGAAGAAAAAGTACTGAATGCAGTGGAAAGTAGCATTTTTAATTTTTTATAAAGTGGAAGATAGGCCCACAAAGCAAAAGTGCCCAGAGCTGACAAAAATCTCTGGAGAAAGGACCTCTCTGGTCGTTGCCAAAGGGAGCAGCTGACGCTGTTGTAAAGCCCGCAGCTCGATTCCCAGCGTGAAGTAGGGGGTGAGAATATGACAGCCTCCTGATGATCACGGAAAGGTTTTTGTTTGGTTGTTGTGTTTTTGTTTTGTTTTAATTTTAGATTCGGTGCGTGTGCAGGTTTGTTACATTGGTATATTGCGTGATGCTTCTAATCCTTTCGGCAACTTTTTCAGCCTTTACCCCCCTCCACACCTTCTGCCTTTTGGAATACCCCATGTCTGTTGTTCCCATCTTTGTGTCCAAATCACAGAAAATTTTAAACAGGGAGATTAACGCCATAAAATCTGGATGCTTTGAAAGGTAACGCCCGTGGCTGAGCGCCGCGGCTCACACCTGTAATCCCAGCACTTTGGGAGGCCAAGGTGGGAGGATTGCTTGAGGCAAGAGTTTGAGACCAACCTGGGCAACATAGCGAGACACCGCCCCCCCCCTTCCCCCGCCCCCAGCCAGGTATGGTGATGCACGCCTGTAGTCCTAGCTGCTCGGGAGGCTGAGGCAGGAGGATTGCTTCAGCCCAGGAGTTTGAGGTTACAGTTTGCTATGGTCGTGCCATTGCATTTCAGCCTGTGTGACAAAGTGAGACCCTGTCTATAAAGAAAAAAAAGAAAGGTAATGCCCATGTCAGTAAGGAAAGAGTATTAGAGAAAAGAGCTCCAGAAGATTGATAATAGTGACTACTTTTGGAGAACTTATCAGGGAATATGTCTTCATTTATTCAACAAATGTTTATTGAGTGTTCCCTAAGTGCCCAGCACTGCGCTGCTCCCTGGAGCTCGGTGAACAAGTTGGACCTGATCCTTGTCCGGGTAGAGCCTACATTCTACTGAAGGAGCTGAATGGGGGGAGGGGGTGGGGGGAACAAATAAGATAAAGACAGAAGGTGATCAGTGCTAGTATTCTGTGATAATAGAATCTTCTTGGGGAGATCAGAGATGGCTGCTGAGCAGCTTACATTTGAACTGAGTCATGTCATGAAAGGGGCAAGCTAGCTAAGACCCAGGCAAGAGCATTTCCAGAGAGCAGAACTGCCAGGGCAAAGGCCAGGCATGCGTACTTGGAACAGAAAGGCCACTGAGAGCGGCACCTGGCAGGCCAAGGAGAAATCTAGATGAGGTGGGCAAGGCAGGGAGGGCCAGATCTTGGGAGGGAGTTAGGTCTGTATTAACTGAGGGCCATCTCTAAGGATTGAATGTAATGAGGTATGCCAAGCACTGAGCAGAGAGCTTGCACATGGTAGGTGCTCAGCAAGTATGCATCATTATGAGGAAGATGAAACGTTTGGATTTTTTTTTTCTTGCTCTGAGCGGGTGAAAGGACATATCTGAATTTTCAAAGGCATTTCTCCTAGCTGAGGGGGCCTTACAGAAGGAAGTGAGAAGGTGAGAATGTAAATTAAGAAGCTTCCGTGAGCATTAATGGAGGGGGTTGCTGAGAAGGAGCTGTGGCTAACTGCTGTGAAGTTGGGGTCAAGTCCAGAGGATACAACAGCCTTGGGGGTGGGAGATGGGGGCCAGGAACAGGGGCAGGGAAGATGCTGCTGTGACCCCCAGCTTGTGTGCCTGGGGATGGCCCATGGCTGAGACAGGGAACCCAGGAGGAGGGCAGGTTTCTCCATGGGATGATAATGAGTTCATTGGGTTGTGCTGAGTTAGAGGTGCCAACAGAACACCCATGCGGAGATGTCCTGCAGGTGGTTGGAGGTGGAAGTCTGCAGCTCCGATTCAAAGGATCCAGCTCCAGCTTCTATTCACAAGATTAAAGTGTATTAAGTTAATGAGTGCCCCTGCTGTTGGCTTGTTTCAGGGTTCATTTTCACTTGCTTTCTCAAAATGTTGGAAAGAATAGATGGCTGTTAAACTCCTCCTACCTCTCCTCTTAGATTTTTTAAAAAATAGTGCCAGAATTGAAAGCGGACCAATTAATGTATGTATAACTAATTGTGCCTACGGAATTGGGGATTATTCAGCTCACTTCTCCTTCAACCAACAGGTTGGTTAATCCATTTATTGTTAAATGGATTAACAACCCGTAATGAAACCATTACATTCAGCCTATAAGTCACAATGATTTAAAAGTAATTGGGTCAGCCGGGCGCAGTGGCTCAGGCCCGTAATCCCAGCACTTTGGGAGGCCGAGGCGGGTGGATCACGAGGTCAGGAGATCGAGACCATCCTGGCTAACACGGTGAAACCCCGTCTCTACTAAAAATACAAAAAAATTAGCCGGGCATGGTGGCAGGCGCCTGTAGTCCCAGCTACTCAGGAGGCTGAGGCAGGAGAATAGTGTGAACCTGGGAGGTGGAGCTTGCAGTGAGCCGAGATCATGCCACTGCACTCCAGCCTGGGTGACAGAGCGAAACTCTGTCTCAAAAAAAAAAAAAAAAAAAAAAGTAGTTGGGTCTATAGGTCTTGCCTCCTGAGATATTGTGGATCTGTTGTTTTTTCCAAAGCCTTGTCTAGATTGTCCAGATTAGCTTGCATTGCTTAAATACTCCTAAAGTCATTTAAGTTCTAAAGTCATTTTCCTGTTTAAGAAGAATTCTGGGCCGGGTGCGGTGGCTCATACCTATAATCCCAGCACTTTGGGAGGCCAACACAGGCAGATCACTTGAGGTCAGGAGTTTGAGACCAGCCTGGCCAACATGGTGAAACCCCGTCTCTTCTAAAAATACAAAAATTAGCCAGGTGTGGTGGCGGGTGCCTGTAGTCCCAGCTACTTGGGAGGCTGAGGCAGGAGAATCGCTTGAACTTGGGAGGCAGAGGTTGCAGTGAAGTGAGATCACACCACTGTACTCCAGCCTGGGTGACAGAGCAAGACTCTGTCCCCTGACCCCCACCAAAAAAAAAGAAGAAAAAGAAGAATTCTGGTGGAGAATTTTTATGAAAATTAGAAGTTGGTTTCACTTAATCCATTGAGGAAATACTTACTGAGTGCCTACTAGGTGTCAGGTGCTGGGATATAGCTGAATCAGAGACACAATTCATCTGGTGCTAATGGCAAAAAAGGAGAAAAGAGAAGCTATCTCTAACAATTTTTTTTAAAAAATGCAGCGACCTCAGAAAGAGGTCAAGAAGTCCTTTCCAGGGAAATTATGTTTAAGCTGAGACTTGTGACTTCAATCTGGAGGACAAAGAGAATAGGGTACAGTGGAGAAAATAAGAAATGACAGTAAAGAAAATGGCTGGAGTGCAGACATCAAAAGGAGAGAGAGAGACAGTAAGGGGAGAGAGAGAGAGGCCAGACCAGAGAGAGAGAGAGAAAGGGAGAAAGAAAGGGCAGGCCAGAGAGAGAGAGAGTAAGGGAGAGAGAGAGGACATGGGGCCACCACGTCCTTAGTTACAAATACCAGACACCTGGAAATCATTTGTAACTTCTGTTCCCCCATGATTCCTATTCAACCCAAGGCAAATTCTGCATCAGATCCACGTGCAAAATCTACTTCAAATCTATTCACTTGTCTCCATCGTTATGCCACTGTCTTAGTTCAGGCTCTTACCAGCTCTCACCTGGGTGGCTGCAGTAGCCACAGACTGATCTGACTCATCTTTCTGTTCTCTATTACAGTCCATTCTCCAAACAGCAGTGTGATGGTTTACAAAATGTATCCACAACTTTTTTTATACTCCTCTCTTCAAGAGGCGGAGCTTAATGTCTTTCCTCTTGTGTGTGAGCTGAACTTAGTGATTCACTTCTAATGAATAAGGCAGTGACAGTGGGGGACTTCATGGACTAGGTCATAAGAAGACACTGGGACTTCCATTTTGGCCACACTCTCTCAGATCACTCACTTTGGAGGAGGCCAGATGCCACACTGTGAACAGGCCCATGGAGAAACCCATAGTGAGGAACTGAGGGCTCCTACAGCAGCTAAGTAAGTGGGCTTGGAGGTGGATTCTCCACTTTCAGTCAAGTCCCAGCTGACATACCACTTGCAACTTCATGAGAGACCCTGAGTCAGAACCATCCAGCTAAACTGCTTGCAAAATTCCTACAGAAACTATGACATAATAAATGTGCGTTGTTGTAAGTAAATCAATTTGGGGTAATTTTTTGTGCAGCAATAATTAACTAATATGAGTGTCTAAAGCAGTCTTTTAAAACACAAACAGATTATTTCCCTTCTCCGCTTAATACATCTCAGTGACCTCTCATTTCATCTGAAAAAAAAAAAAAACCCAACAAACCATTTTCTCATGTCTGACATGACAACGGAGTGAGGTCAACAAATCTTGCCCCTTAAATGCCACAATGATACTGGACAAAACTGTCAAAAATAACCATTGCAGGCCTCTGGAAATAATAGACCAAAGGCATACAGCAAACGGAGAAGCATTTATTAATTAAAATTACTAAACTTTAAGTAAGAACAGTGTAAATCTGTGATATTTTGGCCTGTGTATTTTCTTATTCTTGAAAGCAACAAGGGAAATGTGATTAATGACTTGACTGCTCATCAGAAAAAAAATGGAAGCTAAAGGTAGTGGAAGGACATATTCCAAATGTTTGAATAAAGCAAACTGTCAACCAAGAATTTTATATCCAGCAATATCAAAATAAAGGTAAAATAAATACATTCCCAGATAAAAACTGAAAGCATTTGTTGCTAATGACCTGCCTTACAAGAAACACTAAAGGAAATTCTTCAAGCTGAAAGTTACTCTAGATAGTAACTTCAATTCACAAGAGATGAAGAATATCAGAAATGGTAAATATTAAAGTCTGTAAAGAGACTAAAGAGACTCTAGTTCTTCTCTTGCCTTTTAAAAAATACGTAATATTAAATAAAGCATCATCATAATACTGTACAGTTGGAGTGAGACAAATACAAATTGGAGCGAGCGGGTTTTTTTGTTTTTTTGGTTTTTTTTTAGACAGAGTTTTACTCTTTTGCCCAAGCTGGAATGAAGTGGCATGATCTTGGCTCACTGCAACCTCCGCCGTTCGCTTGAACCATCATTCAAGTGATTCTCCTGCCTCAGCCTTCCCAGTAGCTGGGATTATAGGCACCCGCCACCATGCCCGGCTAATTTTTGTATTTTTAGTAGAGATAGTGTTTCACCATGTTGGCCAGGCTAGTCTCAAACTCCTGACCTCAGGTGATCCGCCCACCTCGGCCTCCCAAAGTTCTGAGATTACAGGCCTGAGTCACCGCACCTGGCCGAGGTTTCTATATTTTACTGAAATTAAGTAACTTTGGGCCAGGTGCGGTGGCTCACACCTGTAATCCCAGCACTTTGGGAGGCCGAGGCGGTTGGATCACGAGGTCAAGAGATCGAGACCATCCTGGCCAACATGGTGAAAACCCACCTCTACTAAAAATACGAAATTAGCTGGGCGTGGTGGCACGTGCCTGTAGTCCCAGCTACTTGGGAGGCTGAGGCAGGAGAATCACTTGAACCCAGGAGGCAGAGGTTGCAGTGAGCCAAGATTGTGCCACTGCACTCCAGCCTGGCGAAAGAGCAAGACTCCATCTAAAAAAAAAAAAAACAAAAAACCAAATTTGACAGACTGTGCTGAATTAAGATGTGCATTGTAATCCCTAGAGCAATCACTAATGAAAAAACTCAAAAAAAATAGTAAGAAAGAAAATCAACAGATAAATCCATGTAGTTCATGAAAACACATTTAACATAAAATAAGGCAGTAAAGCAGACCAGAAGAGACAGGAGATAAATATAAAACAAATAGCAAAGTGGCAGCATAAATCCAACCATATCTGGAATTTTATTAAATGTGAATAGACTAGATACCTCAAAAGACAGAGACAGTCATACTGGATGAAAAAGCAAGACCCCACCCATATGCTGTCTATAATAGAAACATCATAGATTTAAAGACATAAATAGGTGGAAAGCAAAAGGATGGAAAAAATTATACCATGCAAACAGTAACCATAAGACAGTTGAAGTTTCTGTATTAATATCAGACAAAATAGAATGTAAGACTTTGTCTTCCTCTTTCTTTTCTTCCTCTTCCTCTTCTTCCTCTTCCTCCTCCTCCTCCTCCTCTTCTTCTTCTTCTTCTTCTTCCTTCTACTTCCTTCTTCTTCCTTCTTCTTCTTCTTCCTCTTCTTATCTCGCTCTGTTGCCCAGGCTGAAGTGTAGTGGCACAATCTCGGCTCACTGCAACGTCCACCTCCCAGGTTCAAGCAACTCTCCTGCCTCAGCCTCCTGAGTAGCTAGGACAACAGATGCATGCCACCATGCCTGGCTAATTTTTTTGTGTTTTTAGTAGAGATGGGATTTCACTGTGTTGCCCAGGCTAGGCTTGAACTCCTGAGCTCAGGCAATCCATCCTTCTCGGCCTCCCAAAGTGCTAGGATTACAGGCATGTGCCACCGCACTTGGCCTTTCTTCTTCTTCTTTATTATTATTATTATTATTATTATTATTATTATTATTATTATTTAGAGCTGGAGTCTTGCTCTGTTGCCCAGGCTAGACTGCAGTGGCACTATCATAGCTCACTGCAATGTTGAACTCCTGCACTCAAATGATCCTCCTGTCTCAGTCTCCTGAGTAGATGGGACTACAGGTACATGTCACCACACCTGGCAAAAATCACTACATTTCTGAGAAGCTTTGCCCACTTGAAGATGAATTTGTAGCATCAGTTGGGGAACATCTGAATGAAGCTGTCCCTGAACCGTGAAGCTGCTACCAGAGTGGGTAGCAGAGCAAATCCCTCACCAGTGGCTGGGAGCACCGTGGCCGGGCAGAACAACGTTAGGTAGTTCAATTTCAAAGTGACCCCAGGGGCAGGAGGGAGGAACAGGAAAGGAGGGAAGCCAGTACAAGGGTGCTGTGCTGAGGTGGTTATGACTGTGGGCCATATTCTTGCAGGACCTTTGGTGGAACCATCTAAAATATGCCTCAAAATTGCTCACTTAAGGACAAAGGGGAACACGTTTACCTCCCCCTGGCTTTTGTTTTCTATTGGTCAAGGACTGCCCTACGGGGCATTATCTTCCCCACTCTTCCAGGCAGCCCAGTTGCAAGTGTCTTTCAGATTTCTGCAATTGTCACATATCACAGTGTCCTAGGAGTCCTGGGACAGGAAAGAAAAAGTAAGAGGTACAGCGGATGCGGGAGCAGCCAAGTCTCACCTGAGCAAAGTTGGCAGCTGTAGTAGCGCCTGGAGGGAACGGTGAGCCGAGAACAGGTGAGCTGGTGACACGAGGTGTCCAATTAATCACCTTTGGAGCACATAAGGGCGCCAGACTGTTATTTTCATTTATTTATTTTTATTTTTTATTTTTTTTTTATTTTTATTTTTTTGAGATGGAGTCTTGCTCTGTCGCCCAGGCTGGAGTACAGTGGCGCAATCTCGGTTCACTGCAACCTCCGCCTCCCAGGTTCAAGCAACTCTCCTGCCTTAGCCTCCCGAGTAGCTGGGACTATAGGTGCCCGCCACCACACCTGGCTAATTTTTTTTTTTGTATTTTTAGTAGAGACGGGGTTTCACTGTGTTAGCCAGGATGGTCTCAATCTCCTGACCTCGTGATCCGCCCGCTCGGCCTCCCAAAGTGCTGGGATTACAGGCGTGAGCCACCGTGCCTGGCCTATTTATTTATTTTTGAGACAGATTCTCACTCTTTCACCCAGGGTGAATGCAATGGTGTGATCATGGCTCACAGCATCCTTGATCTCCCAGGCTCAAGCAATCCTCATACCTCAGCCCCCTCCAAGTAGCTGGAACTACAGGCATGTATACCACCACACCTAGCTAATTTTTGTACTTTTTTGTAGAGATAGGGTTTCACCATGTTGTCCGGGCTGGCCTCGAACTCCTGGACACATGTGATTTTCCTGCCTCAGCCTTCCAACGTGCTGGGAATACAGGCATGAGCTCGGCCTCAAACCATCGTTCTGAAGTTGAGAACTAAAAGAAAAGAATCCCACCTCTCTTGTCCAAGTTATACAATACTTTAAGGCAACCAGATAGTGGATGAGGAAAAGTTCTCTTCTTTTTAGAATGGAAGTTGGCAAACTATGGCCCATGGACCAAATCTGGTTTGCAGCCTGTCTTTGTAATGCCTACTGTCTAGGAAGATTTTCACATTTTTAAAGAGCAATAAAAAAAGAAAAAGATTCGACAGACTATATGTGGTTCATCAGGCCTAAAATATTTACTATCTAGCCCTTTACAGAAAAACTGAGTCAACTCACTTTAGAAAGAATTCTAGCTAATAAATTCAGTAGGAATGATAGATAGATAATGGATACTGAAGAAGAAATGGATCCCAGCAATGGTGGTCAATATCTGCGAAAGCCCTCAGGCAGAAACCTGATGGGAAGCCCTAAAATGATGGCCAGGTGAGACACCTGAAACCTTTCTCCAGGCTCAGGAAAAGAGAAGCCAGCAGGCTCGCTGTCTCCCATCTTGATGCTGAGGGAGCGCCTGCCACCTGTGAGGTAGCTCACCTGCACACCCCAGCGTGGGAAAGGAGGCCTCTAGATCTACCAGCCAACGAGGTCAGACAGAGGATCCTGTGGAAAGACCCTGCAGAGATGCCACACAAGGCCTGGAATGCGGGGAACTCTAGATGGCACATGGCTCAGTTTCTTGGGGAAAAAAAAAGCTACAAGGAGGAAAAAAGAGGAGGAATTTGTAGATTGAAGGAGTCTGCAGAGACACAGCCACCAAATGCAATGAGTGAAGCTTGTTTGGATCCTGATTTGAAGCCAATTTTTCAAGTTTTTTTTCTTTTTTCTTTTTATTGAGGTAAAATATACCTATGTAATTTGCTCTCTTTATCATTTTTTAAATTTTTTGCTCTTATTCCTTTTTATTAACCCATATCAAAAATGGTCAGTACCTCTTTACCATATTTAAGTATGCAGTTCAGTGGTTATAAATACATTTATATTCTTTTTTTCCCCTTTATTCCTCCCTCCCTGCTCCCCTTCCAGCCTCTGGTAACCAACATTCTACTCTCTCTCCATGAGAGCCGCGTTTTTAGCTCCCATGTATGAGTGAGAATGTGTGATATGTGTCTTTCTGTGCCTAGCTTATTTCACTTTACAGAACAACCTCCAGTTCCATCCATGTTGCTGCAAGTGACAGGATCTTTTCTTTCTTTCTTTCTTTCTTTCTTTTTTTTTTCTCGATCTGCTGCCTAGGCTGGAGTGCAGTGGTGCAATCACGGCTCATTGCAGCCTTGAACTCCCAGGTTTAAGCAATCCTCCCCTCAGCCTCCAGAGTAGCTGGTACTACAGGCACACACCATCATGCCTGGCTTTTTTTTTTTTTTTTTAATATAGTAGAGATGGGGTCTCCCTATGTTGTCCAGGCTGGTCTTGAACTCTTGCGCCAAGAGATTATCCTGCCTCTGCCTCCCAAGTGTGAGCCATCGCTCCTGGCTTTTTTTTTTAATGGCTGAATAATATTCCATCGTGTGTGTGTACTACTTTCTCTTTATTCATCTGTTGATGAGCACTTCAGTTGCTTCCATGTCTTGGCTATCGTGAATAGTGCTGCAATAAACATGGGAGCATAGATGTCGCTTTGGTATATTGATTTTCTTTCCTTTGAATATATACACAGTAGTGGAATTGCTGGATCACTTGGTAGTTTTATTTTTAGGTTTTTGAGGAAGCTTTATACTGTCCCCCATAGGGGCTATACCAGTTGACATTCCCATCAGCAGTGTAAGACGGAGGGTTCCCCTTTCTCCACATCCTTACCAGCATCTGTTACTCTTTGTTTCTTTTGACACAGCCATTTTAACTGGGGTTAAATGATACTGCACTGTGGTTTTGATTTGCATTTCTCTGGTGATTAGTGATGTTGAACATTTTTTCATATACCTGTTAGCCATTTGTATGGCTTCTTTTGAGAAATGTCTATTCCAATCTTTTGCCCATTTAAAAATCAGATTGTATTTTGTTTTGTTTTGTTTTTGCTGTTGTTTGAGCTTCTTATATATTCTGATTATGAATCCCTTGTCAAATGGGTAGTTTGCAAATATTTCCTGCCATTCTGTGAGTTGTCTCTTCATTTTGTTGATTGTTTCCTTTGCTGTTTAGCTTGATGTAATCCCATCTGTCTATTTTCACTTGCTTTTGTTGTTTGTACTTGTGAGGTCTTACACAAAAAAATCTTTGCTTGCCCGAGACCAATGTCTTGGAGCATTTTCCAAATGTTCTCTTTTAGTAGTTTCATAATTTCAGGTGTTACATTCAAATCTTAATCCATTTTGATTTGATTTTTGTGTATGCTGAGTGATAGGGGTTTAGTTTCATTCTTCTGCATATAGTTTATCCAGTTTTTCCAGCAGCATTTGTTGAAAAGACTATCCTTTTTCCATTGTACGTTCTTTGTACCTTTGTCAAAGATGAATTGGATATGAATGTGTGGATTTATATCTGGGTCCTCTATTCTGTTCTATTGGTATATTTGTCTGTTTTTATGCCAGTGCCATGCTGTTTGGGTTACTATAGCTTTGTAATATATTTTGAAGTTTGTAGTGTGATGCCTCCAACTTTGTTCTTTTTGCTTAGGATTGCTTTGGCAATACAGAGTCTTTTGTGGTTCTATATAAATTTTAGGATTTTTTTTTCTATTTCTGTGAATGTCATTGGTATTTCTGATAGCGATTGCATTGAATCTGTAAATTGCTTTGGATAGTATTGTCATTTCAATACTATTAATTCTTTCAATCCATGAGGATGGAATATCTTTTCACTTTTTTGTATGTCCTTTTCTATTTTTTTCATTGGAGTTTTATAGTTTTCCTTGTATAGACCTTTCACTTCTTTGGTTAGATTGATTCCTAGGTATTTAATATTCTTTGTAGCTATTATAAATGCGATTGCTTTCTTGATTTTTTTTAACAGATTGTTCGCTATTGACATATATAAGTGCTACTGACTTTTGGATGTTGATTTTGTATCCTGCAAATTTACCAAATTTGTTTATCAGTTCTAATGGTTTTTTGGTGAAATCTTTGGGTTATTTTAGGTATAAGATCATGTTGTTTGTGAACAAGGCTAACTTGACTTCTTCCCTTCCAATTTGGATCCCCTTTACTTCTTTCTCTTGCCCAATTGCTCTGGTCCAGTTTTTCAATTTTTAAGACAGCTAGAGAAATGTGAACACTGGTTGACTATGCTGATGGTATTAAGGCATTTTTGCTAATTTTTTAGCATGATATTGGCATTATGATTAAGTTTTTAAAACTCCTTACGATACGTCAGAAGTATTTCAGAGGAAGTGACAGAATATTTGGGATTTGCTTTAAAATAATCCAGTGGAGGGTGGATGTACAGATGAAACATGATTGCCCGTTTGTTGATAATTGTTGAAATCCAGTGATGAGTACATAACATTTTTTAAAAGTACAATTTTTCCACTTTTGTTTGTTTTAATTTTTTGTCACATATGTGTATATATATATATGTATATTTTCCTAACGAGTCCTCATGGAGGATTTTTCAAGCTCAAATTGGAGAAAGGCTGCTTTTGCCTTCATTGTAGGGATGGTCAAACATCAATCTGAAGGGCCTCCTGCCGTGCTTCCTGGCATGATGCATATGAGGTCCCAGGCGGAGAGGATGAGGGCATTCCATAGGGAGAAGCAAAAACGAGCGGAGAAGACAGAGGGTCAGACAGTGTCCTGAGTCCCTGGGTCCTGGGTCCAGTCCTTCCAGAAGCCACCATGACTCTGTCCTTCCTGCTGAGGTGTGCTGGTTCATTGCCTCCCACTTGCCCTTTTTTCTCTTTCACTTCAGGTCATTTGAATTTCAAGACTCACCATTGAAAAAGGTCCTGACCATTACAGGGACCCTCCTTTGCTCCAGTCAGGAGTGGCCTGGGAGTCAGGATCACCTGGCAGAAAGTAAGGCAGAAAGTAAGGCAGTGTCTCTGGACGGGTGCCCTGAAGGGAGGTTTGAGCAAGGCGGCCCCTTACGGTTTCTGCACCTGGGTGCGGAGTACAGAGGCACTTCAGGGAGGACTACCCAGCTCCTGCCTTCCCTGAGAACGGCCTGTCCCCCAACGCTTTCTAAAGGGACAGTGCCAGCTTCTGTGTCAGCGTTCCATGCCCTGATCTCACCTGGCCATGGCAGATTGGACTGGGGTGGACCCTTGCCCCAAGGCTGGGCAATTAAGTTCTCTTTCCTAGGTATTGAAACTGGGACCAAAGACTGCAGTTCAGAGACGTTGGTGGCTGCAGCAGAGAGGTGGTGCAGGGCTGGAGCTGGGGAGTCAGACACCGCTGAGCTGCAGGGCCGAGGGGTCATGTGGTTCCTGAGAGACACCACAGTACACTCTTCTGACTTACTAGGTACTGATTCTTCATGAGTAACTGCATTTTTGACCATTGTTGCCATGAGGTCCCATTCCTTTGTCCTTCCAATTAATTCCTTTTTTTGCTTGACCTAGCTTGAATGAGTGAGCAAATGTGTCCTAAGATTCTAAGAAACTTTTAGAACAATCTCACTTGTGTCATTTTCAGTTATTTCACTCTTCGTAATATAATTTCAATGTCTCTTACCTTTATATTCAGCTTTATTGGAGGAAATTAATTATTAATAATTCCATACTATGTTACATTTACCTAATCCTGTTGATAAATACTACTGAGTGGCTTGGGGACTCCTTTAAATGAAATTTTCAATTTATCGCTTCCTTGCTGGGTTGGTAAGGAAATTTGGATTCAAGAACTAGGCTGGGCGTGGTGGCTCACATCTGTAATCCCAGCATTTTGGGAGGCTGAGGCAGGTGGATTACCCAAGGTCAGGAGTTCAAGACCAGCTTGGCCAACATGCTGAAACCCAGTCTCTACTAAAAATACAAAAACTAGCCAGACATGGTGGCATGCATCAGTAATCCCAGCTACTTGGGAGGTTGAGGCAGGAGAACTGCTTGAACCTGGGAGGTAGAGGTTGCAGTGAGCCGAGATCGCACCACTGCACTCCAGCCTGGGCGACAGCAAAACTCTGTCTCAAAAAAAAAAAAAAAAAAAAAAAAAAAAAAGCCGGGTGCGGTGGCTCACACCTGTAATCCCAGCACTTTGGGAGGATGAAGCGGGCAGATCACTTGAGGTTGGGAGTTCAAAACCAGCATGGCCAACATGATGAAACCCTGTCTCTACTAAAAGTACAAAAAATTAGCTGGGTGTCGTGTCATGTGCATGTAATCCCAGCTACTTGGGAGGCTGAGGCAGGAAAATCGTTTGAACCTGGGAGGTAGAGGATGCAGTGAGCTGAGATCACGCCATTGCACTCCAGCTTGGGTGACAGAGCAAGATTCTGTTTTTTTTAAAAAAAAAACAAACTAGATAGTAACCTAAGTAAATAGACAATTTTGGCTCACGCCTGTAATCCCAGCACTTTGGGAGGCCAAGGCAGGCAAATCACGAGGTCAAGAGATTGAGACCATCCTGGCTAACATGGTGAAACCCCATCTCTACTAAAAAAATACAAAAAAATTAGCCAGGCATGGTGGCGGGCGCCCGTAGTCCCAGCTACTTGGGAGGCTGAGGCAGGAGAATGGCATGAACCCGGGAGGTGGAGCTTGCAGTGAGCCGAGATTGCACCACTGCACTCCAGCCAGGGTGCGAGTGAGACTCCATCAAAAAAAAAAAAGAAAGAAAATAGAGGATTTATCATAAATTCCCTTTATGTGGAAACAAAGACAGGTGGGCAGGGAAAACAGCCACAGGCTGTGGAATGCTGTCAGGACTCTCCTCATTCTGCATCTGCTGCCGTCTCCCTCTCTCAACAGAATGTCCCATGCATTTCAGTTTACATAGCAGAAAGTATCAACAGTGCCTATATCCAAGCCCCACCATTTAATAAGTTATTCAGGTGAAGACTGAAAGCCAGTAGCACAGTGGCTCGCACCTATCGTCTTAGGTACTTGAGAGGCGGAGGCAGAGGTGGGAGGATCGCTTGATCCCAGGAGCTGGAGGCTGCAGGGAGCTATGATTGGGCCACTGCACTCCAGCCTGGGTGATGGAGCAAGACCCTGTCTCTAAAAACAAACGAACAAAAACCCATGCAATATTCTAGCCTCGAGTCCAGTATCATGCGTTAGAGACTCTGATAACCTAACCTAGATGATGGGTCTATTCCTGGATCAAGAAAATGTGGCCTTGGGGCAAGAGAGGGCTACCAAAGACACGAAATGGCTACCAGGAACTCACCATTGTTACAGCGCTCTGATTGACGAGCTTGAGTACTGTGTATTGTGTCTCTCAGCAAGCACATTGTAGCCACAGCCCTGCAGCTAAGCGGTGTCAGACTCCCCAGCTGCATCCCTGCACCACCTCTCTGCTGCAGCCACCAGCATCTCTGAACTACAGTCTCTGGTCCCAGTTTCAATACCTGCGAAAGAGAACGTAATTGCCCAGGCTTGGGGCAGGTATCCACCCCAGTCCAATCTGCCATGGCCAGGTGAGACTGAGGCATGGAACGCTGACACCATTCCTTCAACTGGGGGAACAGGCAGTTCTCAGGGAAGGCAGGAGCTGGGTGGTCCCTCCCCAGGGGCCCCCTGTGCTCAGCGCCCAGGTGCAGAAACTGCCAGGGGCCGCCTTGCCCAAACCTCCCTTCAGGTCACAATATCTTGAAGAGACCTGTCCAGAGATGCTGCCTTGCTTTCTGTGACCCAGCTCCCAGGCCACACCTGATTGGAGCAAAGGAGGGTCCCCGTAATGGTCAGGACCTTATGACCTGGAGTGAAAAAGAACAAAAGGGCAGGTGGGAGGAAATGAACCAGTTCCCCTGAGCAGGACAGACAGAGTCACGGTGGCCTCTGGAAGGACTGCACCCAGGGACTCGGGACACTGTCTGTGCATACACACACACACATATATAAGCATATATACATTAGCATATATAGAAGCATACATATAACCAAGTAAGTTGTTGGTATTATTATTTTGAAGAAAGTGCTATCTTTTAAATCAACTAAGAATAAGAAAAATAGAAATTGTTACTTTACATTGACTAATTTCTTCTCTGATGCTCTTCTTTTCCCTATGCAGATCCAAGAGTCTGACCTATACCAATTTCTTTTTCTCTAAAGAACTTCTTTTAACATTTTCTGCATGACAGATCTACTGGCAACAAATTTCCTCAATTTATGTTTGTCTGAGAAACTCTTCATTTCTCCTTGACTTTTGAAGGACAATTTCACAGGGTACAGAATTCTAGGTTGGAGAGTTTTTTTCTCTCAACATTTTACATATTTCACTCCACTCTCTTTTTGCTTGCATGGTTTCTGAGAAGCTGGACGTAATTCTTTGTAAGAATTATGAGGCAGGATTTTTTTTCCTTAGACTTCTTTCTGATTTTTTCTTTATCTTTGATTTTCTGTAGTTTGAAAATGGTATGTCTAGGTGTGGGTTTTTGTTGTTGTTGTTTTTGTTGTTTTTGCATTTATCCTGTTTGGTGTTCTCTGAGTTTCTTGGCTCTGTGGTTTGGATCATGAATTTGTAGAAACTCTCAGTCATTATTATTCCAATATTTCTTCTGTTCCTTTCTTTCCTTCTTCTTCTGGTATTACACTATGCATCTGTTACCCCTTTGTAGTTGCCTCATTGTTCTTGGATATTTTGCTCTATTTTTTTTAAGTCTTTTTTCCTATTTGCTTTTCATTTTTGGAGGTTTGTTTGTTTGTTTGTTTTTGAGATGGAGTTTCGCTCTTGTTGCCCAGACTGGAGTGCAGTGGCACAATCTCGGCTCACTGCAACCTCCACTTCCCAGGTTCAAGAGATTCTTCTGCCTCAGCCTCTTGAGTGGCTGGTATTACAGACGCCCGCCACCACACCCAGCTGATTTTGTATTTTTAGTAGAGATAGGGTTTCATCATGTTGGTCAGGCTGATCTTGAACTCCTGACCTCAAATGATCCACCCACCTCGGCCTCCTAAAATGCTGGGATTACAGGCGTGAGCCACTGCGCCTGGCCTCATTTTTGGAGGCTTTTACTGAGATATCCTCAGGCTCAAAGATTCTTTCCTCAGTTGTGTCCAGTCTACTAATAAGACCATCAAAGGGATTCCTTTTTTCTGTTACAGTGTTTTTGATCTCTAGCATTTCTTTTTGATTCTTTCATAGAATTTCTAACTCTCTGCTTACATTGCCCATCTGTTCTTGCATGATGTATACTGTGTCCATTGGTGCCTTAGCACACTAATCATGGTTCTTTTAGATTTCTGTTCTGATCATCCGACATCCTTACCACATATGAGTCTGGTTTCGATGCTTGCTCTGTGTCTTCAAACCATGTGTTTTTTTTGTTTGTTTGTTTGTTTTTTTGCCTTTTAGTATATCTTGTAATTTTTTCTTGATTGCTGGACATGATGTACTAGATAAATGGAACTGTTGTAAATAGGCCTTTAGTAATGTGTTGGTAAGGTGTAGGGAGAGGAGAAGCATTCTGTAGTCCTATGACTAGGTCTCAGTCTCTCAATGAGCCTGTGTTCTCAGACTGTGAGTTTCACAAGTGCTTCTCAGTCCCCCTCTCGTCTTAGGGGGATAGAACAGCCAGAGTGGGCTGGAGTTGGTGATTTCCCTTCTCCCGTGTGGAAGGCTGGGGCCACCTAGGTTTTGAGTTTTTTTGCTTTGTTTTGTTTTGTTGTTTTGTTTTTGGCCTGGGTCAGTTAGGTTCTGATAAAAGCCCAGCTGGTTAGGCTCTGGTTAGTTTCTCCTGTTGACAGACCTTGTAAAAAAGAACAGAATGCCCTGGTATATTTCAAAATGATTCCTTTTCCCGTCCCTCTGCCAGGAGCCTGAGGGGATTTTTCTCTGACATTCACTGTGAGGACCCAGTAGCGCTCCTGGAGGTCAAACACAGAAGTGGCGGCGGGGGGTTGGGGGGGGGCACCCTGACGACTGGGTCCCCCTGGCATTTTTATCTCTTAGACTTGTTCGCATGGAGCCCCCAGCAATTCCTGACTCTCCGTTTGGCCTCTTTCCTTGCTTTTCTTTCTGTAGTGGACACTGTGGTGCTCCAGCCAGGTTCTCTGAGAACCCCTGACCAGCTTGGCACATGCATCTCCCAGCTTCTGAGGTCTGTGTTTCTAAGGGCTTGCACTTGCGACTATCTTCAGTCTATCTTGGGTTACTGATGCCACCTCCCAAGAACTCCCCAAGAGCAGAGATGCTGGAAAGTTTATATGTCCTTGGGGCAGAGTTCTTAGCCAATGACTGACACATGCAGGAGTATGAAAACCAACCTCAACGTAGGACCAACTCTGAAGTGTAATTTATGCTCTAGAGATACCTAGAGGATCATGATGAAGTGAGATTTTGCAAGATATGACACCTCACTTCACTAATCAACTTCTCCTGGGAGTAAATAATTATTTGCACGTGAATTGTCATCTCAGGGTCTGCTTTAGAGAGAACCTGACCTAAGACAGTCATGCTTGCACTGCACAGTGCATATGTATTCATTCAGGCTCTTTGAGCTATAAGAAGTAGAAAACGGGCTGGGAGCTGTGGCCCACGCCTGTAATCCCAGCACTTTGGGAGGCCGAGGCGGTTGAATCATGAGGTCAAGAGTTCGAGACCAGTCTGGCCAACATAGTGAAACCCCGTCTCTACTAAAAATACAAAAAATTAGCAGGGTGCGGTGGTGTGCACCTGTAATCCCAGCTACTGGGAAGGCTGAGGCAGGAGAATCGCATGAACCCGGGAGGGCAGAGGTGGCAGTGAGCCGAGATGGTGCCACTGCACTCCAGCCCAGGTGACAGAGTGAGACTCCGTCTCAAAAAGAAAAAAAAAAAAGTAGAAAACCAAATATTGGCTAATGTATCTGGGAAGTCTGTGGGCTGACCCAGCTTCATGCATGAATAGGTCCAGAAACTCAAACAAGAAATTAGGAACCTGCCTCGTCCTGTATTGCTTCAGTTTCTTGCTCTTAGTTGGCATCCTCTTCTCTAATGGCAGGCGGACTTTGTCTACACACCAGGGAAGATGGCTTCAGGCAGTCCACATACTCCCATGCCTATGACACAAAGGTAAGGCTGATTATTCTCTAACTCCACTGCCTTGGTAAGGAAGGAATTTGATTGTGGCAGCAAAGGTCAGATGTCCTCTCTGGACCAATCTATCTGGCCATGGCGGCAGTTTTTAAGGTTACTTGTGGATTGCTGTCCAGCATCCATTTCCCCTCCTTCTATAGCCTCCCATTTCCTTTAGAAACTCACTCTCCCCCATCAATGTATCCCATCAACAGGAATGGAGTGACTGGTTCAGGATGGATGTGCAGCCCAATCGGGGCCTGACAGGAGAATTACACTGGGGCCTCCTGAGAAAGGGAAGTTTCCTTTTCCTTCTGTGAGAGCCAACAGGGCACTCTCTTTCCCAGGGAAGAGTGGCATAGGGTTGTTACCTTGGTAAACTGGAATGGTTTTTTTTTTTCTTTTCAGACAAGGTCTTGCTCTGTCACCCAGGCTGGAGTACAGTGGCATAATCTCAGCTAACTGCATCCTCAGCCTCCCCAGTAGCTGGGAACACAAGTGTGCACTACCACACCCAGCTAATTTTTTTTTTTTTGTAGAGATGGGGACTTGCCTTGTTGCTCAGGCTGTTCTTGAACTCCTGAGCTCAAGCAATTCACCCGCCTCAGCCTCCCAGAGTGCTGGGATTACAGGTGTGAGCCACTGCACCTGGTCAACTGTACCTTTTGCCAAACTGAAAGGGGATTTTAGAACTGCTGGGGGCACATTACACGGAGCCAGAAGGTGATATCAATACTGCAGAAAAAGAGGGGAGAGCGACAGGGAGGGGAGGAGCAGAGCAGGAGAGGAGAGGAGGCAAGTGAGGTGGGCAGGTTCTTGATGATGTTATTAAGTTGCTGTATCAAACTTGCCTGAAGTCTACTTCTGGACATTTTTGCTTTTGAGCTAATTTTGTTTAATTTTTTATTGTAGGAAATTTCAAACATATAGAAAATTAGTAATAATAATAAATCTTCAATAATTATCAATTCAGCTAATCTATGCCATCTACGTTTGATTTAGTACTCACTAACCCTCCCTACATAATTATTTGAAGCAAATTTCTATCAAACATCTTCATCTTAATATGTCAAATAAGTATTTAAAACACACACCGTGAGACGTTACACATAATATATATTAACCATGATACATATTATATCAACTATGATATTATGATACCTAACAGAATAATTTCTTTTTGTTTTCTGAGATGGAGTCTCACTCTGTCACCCAGGCTGAAGTGCAGTGGCATGATCTCAGTTTGCTGCAACCTCCACCTCCTGGGTTCAAGCAATTCTCCTGCCTCAGCCTCCCAAGTAGCGGGGATTACAAGTGCCCACCACCATGCCCAGCTAATTTTTGTATTTTTAGTAGAGTTGGGGTTTCATCATGTTGGCCAGGCTAGTCTTGAACTCCTGACCTCAAGTGATCCTCCCACCTCAGCCTCCCAAAGTACGGAGATTACAAGTGTGAGTCACTGTGCCTGGCCAAGAATAATTTCTTAATATCATCAAATATCTAATCAGTGCTACATTTCCCACATTTTTCTTCAATGTTTATGTCCTTTGGATCAGTAATTTCCGTTGATCTTTCCTCTGCCATCTCAAATATGGTTTTGAGCCCATCTAGTAAAATTTTAATTTCATTTATTATACTTCAGAGCTCTAGAATGTCCCCCCAAATAGCTTCCATTTTTCTATTGTAATTTTATATCGGCTTATTCATTTATACCATATTTTCCTTTAATTATTTGAACATCTTTCTATCCTCTTGGAAGCCTTTGTCTGCTAAATCCAACACCTGAGTTCAGTCAGATTCGGTTTTTATTGACTGTCTTGTTTTCTGGGTATTTTTTGGTTGTTGTTGTTCTGTTTTGTTTTCGGGGTCTTGGGGGGGCATGTTTGATAATTTTGGGTTGAAAATTGGACAGTGTAAGTAATACAATGTGGACTCTGGATTTTGGTGTGTTCTTCTGAGGGACGTTGTCTTGTTGTCATTCTAATAGGCAATTAACTTGCCTGGATCCAAACTACCAAGTTTTTTTTCCCCTGTAGTGTTCAGCACCTGAGACCTCTGTCCTATGCAAGTTTCTCACTGCTGCTTTTTCAGCCTGGGCCATGGGGGTCTCCCTTGTCCCTGCTTAACTTTGTGATCAGCCTTGTCCCTGCTTAACTTGGTGATGAACTCAGCATCTCTGTGGCTTCTTGTTTGTGCAGGTTCCTGCCTAATTCCAGCTGCTCTGCGGGCTTTCGGGTCTGTCTTAAGATAATTGCGTTCCTGTAAGACTTTCGTGCTTGTTCATTCAGTCTGTGTATGGTTGGGGAATGGACTCAGAAGGAACAAGAAACAGAAAGCAGACTCACAGATCTCACCTCCTACATAGCTTATCGTTCGAGAGATTTCTCCTTGGTCTCTGCCTCCTTTTTCACCAGGACCCTGAGAAGTTTCCCCTGTGTGGCTTGTTTTCCAGCCAGGGAATCGGGCAAAGTTTACATTCAGAATTTGTTTCGCTCCTTCAGTGAGTCTTTCAATGGCAGTATTTCCTGTTAAAATTCCCAGCCACGGGCTGGGCACAGTAACTCATACCTGTAATCCCAGCACTTTGGGAAGCCAAGGTGGGTGGATCACCTGAGGTCAGGAGTTCAAGACCAGCCTGACCAATATGGTGAAAATTTGTCTCCACTAAAAATACAAAAATTAGCCAGGCATGGTGGCATGTGCCTGTAATCTCAGCTACTTGCGAGGCTGAGACAGGAGAACTGCTTGAAGCCAGGAGACAGAGGTTGCAGTAAGCCAAGATCATGCCACTGTACTCTGGCCTGGGCGACAGCAAGATTCGGTCTCAAAAAAAAAAAAAAATTAATTAATTAAAAAAAAAAATCCCAGCTGCGTTTCTCCGCTTGCACTCTGATTGATAATTCCTTGAAACACTGAGGCTGTGGTTTCACCGCAGATTTCCACAGCTAGTAGCTGTGGGGATTGGGGAATAAGCTCAGGTCAGAAAGTTACAAATGTACAGGTTTTGCCACTTCCAGTTGTGTTTTATATTAAACTTTCCTCCAGTTTCTGCCTGGTTTTGGACATTTTCCGTGTCTTTAAATAGTGGGGTTTTTTTGTTGTTGTTTTATCCAGTTTTTACTTTTGTTACGTACGGGAGGGTTTGCCCCTCTGTCCTGACCTCATTCACTGGTTTTAGCATGCATCAATACATCTTCCCTCAATTAATTATTACGAGGGCCATAAGATAATTTTCTAATTTCATCATCTTCTCTTCTATATGTTGTCACTGGCTTTCTATTGTCAAGATCTCCCTTCTCCCTTGTCTGTTTATACCAGTGAGGAGTTATTATTATTATTATTATTATTATTATTATTATTATTTTTGAAACGGAGTCTCACTCTGTTGCCCAGGCTGGAGTATAGCAGTGTAATCTCAGCTCGCTGCAACCTTGGCCTCCCAGGTTCAAGCAATTCTCCTGCTTCAGCCTCCCGAGTAGCTGGGACTGCAGGTGCACACCACGACACCCGGCTAATTTTTGTGTTTTTAGTAGAGATGGGGTTTCACCATGTTTGCCAGGGTGATCTTGAACTCCTGACCTCAGGTGATCCAGCTGCCTTGGCCTCCTAAAGTGCTGGGATTACAAGCGTGAGCCACTATCCCCAGCCTCATATTATTATTTTTATAATTATCCATTTTTTTATATTGAAATTATCCCAAGTGGGAAGACTTTCAAGCCAGTTTCTGTGTCATCTAAATATGTCTCCATCTTCTTTAGAACTTCCTTACTTTCTGGTACAAGAAAGTGCTCCAGGCTCCCCGAACCAGCCCTCTGGTATAATCATAAAACCAGGAACATTGTTGTTTACTATCATTATCAAATCTTGTATATGCTGTAGGAGCCCTGATTTGTTTGGGGGCGAACAGCATTTAGGAACTAAGATATGACCACTAGGCCTGCTCATTGATACAGAGCTCTTTCAGTATCTGAACTCACACACATTTAATTAGAAAATAAATATATATGCACACTACAGTCATGTGCCACATGACATTTTGGTCATGGGTGGACTGCATAGATGACAGTCCATAAGATTATAATGGAGCTGAAAAATTCCTCTTGCCTAGTGACCTCATGGCTGTCAGAAAGTTGTAGCACAAGGCATTCCCCACGAATTTGTAGTGATGCTGGCATAAACAAACCTACTGAACTACCACCCATATCAAACTATAGCATATACAATATATAATACTTAATCATAATAAAAAACAATGTTGCTGGTTTATGTATTTACTATACTATGCTTTTTAAAAGTTTTATTTATTTATTTATTTATTTATTTGAGATGGAGTTTCGCTCTTGTTCAGGCTGGAGTGCAGTGGTACCATCTCAGCTCACTGCAACCTCCACCTTCCGGGTTCGAGCAATTCTCCTGCCTCAGCCTCCCAAGTAGCTGGGATTACAGGTGCCCGCCACCATGCTCAGCTAATTTTGTGCGTGTGTGTATTTTTAGTAAAGATGAAGTTTCACCGTGTTGGCCAGGCTGGTCTTGAACTCCTGACCTCAGATAATCCATGCACCTCAGCCTCCCAAAGTGCTGGGATTACTGGCATGAGCCACCATGATGGCCTATACTATATATTTTTTTATCATTGTTTTAGAGTGTATTCCTTCTACTGATGAAAAAAAGCAAAGTTAACTGCAAAACAGCCCCAGGCAGGTTCTTCTGAAGATATTCCAGAAGAAGGCATTGTTATCATAGGAGATGCCAGCTCCATACCTGTTATTGTCCCCAAAGACCTTCCAGTGAGACAAGACATGGAGGTGGAAGACAGTGACTTTCATGATTCTGACCCTGCGTAGGCCTAGACTAATGTGTATGTTTGAGTCTTAGTTTTTACTTTATTTGTAAGTGTGTCTTAGTTTTTAACAAAAAAGTTTAAGAAGTTAAAAAAAATTTAAAAGAGAAGAATGCTTATCAAATAAAGATATAAAGAAGGAAAATATTTTGTATGGCTGTACGATGTGTTTGTGTTTTAAGCTAAGTGTTATTACAAAAGAGTCAAAAAGCTAAACAAAAGTCCCGGCATGGTGGCTCACGCCTGTAAAATCTCAACACTTTGTGACGTCAAGGAGGGTGAACCACCTGAAGTCAGGAGTTCAAGACCAGCCTGGCCAACATGGTGAAGCCCCATCTCTACTAAAAATACAAAACATTACCCAGGCATGGTGGCAGGCACCTGTAATCCCAGCTACTCAGGAGGCTGAGGCAGGAGAATCGCTTGAACCTGGGAGGCAGAGATTGCAGTGAGCCGAGATCACACCACTGCACCTTAGCCTGGATGACAAAGCAAGACTGTCTCAAAAAAAAAAAAAGTTAAAAAATTTTAAAGTTTATAAAGCAAAAAAGTTACAGTATTCTAAGATTAATTTATTATTGAAGAAAAAAATGTTATAAAATGAAGGTAGTGTATCCTATGTGTACAGTGTGGATAAAGTCTACAGTAGTGAACAGTGACGTCCTAGACCTTCACATTCACTCACCACCCTCTCACTGACTCAGCCAGAGCAACCTCCAGTCCTGCAAACTCCTTTCATGGTAAGTACCCTACACAGCTGTACTATTTTTTATAATCATTTATACTGTATTTTTACTGTATCTTTTCTATGTTTAAATACACAGATACTTACCATTGTGCCCACAGTGTTCATTACAGTAACATGCCCTACAGGTTTGCAGCCTAGGTATGTAGTAGGCTATACCATCTATGGTTGCATAAGTACACTCTAGGATGTTTGCACAATGATGAAATTGCGTAATGACATGTTTCTCAGTATACATCCCCATCGTTAAGCACCACATGACTGTCTATAAAATAATGTATAGACGTATACACGTACATGCGTACAAACATGCATACGTATGCGTGTTTGTATTAGCTCCCATGGTGTGTTTTAACATGTTCTTTTGTCCCTTGTATTTCCTTGAAATCACTATGTTGATCTAGAAACTCGGTCAGATTCAGAATTTTTGTTTCTTTTAAGATAGGATCTAATTCTGTTGCCCAGGCTGGAGTGCAGTGGCACTATCATAGCTCACTGTAACCTCCATCTCCTGGGCTCAAGTGATCTTCCCACCTCAAACTCCCATGAGTAGCTGGAACTAAAGGCACATACCACCACGCCTGGCTAATAGATTTAATTTTTTAAGGCTAAACTATTTCCTGTGTAGTGTCGTGTGGTTCCAGTAGGAGTTATGTAACATCTTTTTTTTTTTTTTTTTGAGACAGAAACACTGATGTGTGAACATAAGCTTTCATTCCTCTTGAATTGAATTTCATTCCTCTTGAATATCTAGAATTCGGTTTTTTGAGTCATATGGAAAATATAGGTTTAACTTTATAGGAACCGCCAAAATGCTTGTTTATTTTTAATTTTTTAAAAATAGAGATAGGGTCACACTAGGTTGTACTATGTTGTCCAGACTGGTCTTGAACTCCTGGACTCAAGTGATCCTCCTGCCTCCACGCCCCAAAATGCTAGGATTATAGTGGTGTGAGCCACTGCACTGGCCCCAGATTGTTTTTTCAAGTGGATGTATCATTGTGCATCCCCGCCAGCAGCAAATGAAAGTTCCAGCTGCCCTACATCCTTGTCATCTTTGATATTGTCAGGTTTTTTCTCGATTTTTTTTGCTTTTTAGTTTTGTCTTTGCAATAGCTGTATCATACTGTGGCTTTAATTTGCAATTCCCTAATGACTAATGCCATTGAGAAGCTTTTTTTCTTTTCTTTTCTTTTTTCTTTTTTTTTTTTTTTTTTGCACAGAGTAACAAAACTGAGCCATGGAGCATCATTTTATGTGCATATTTGCTGTTTTTTTAAATTCAAATCCTTGTTCAAACATTTTGCCCATTTTTGTATTGAGGTCTTTGCTTGTTTGTTCTCATTTTTTAAATTTTATTTCAATAGTTTTTGGGGAACGGGTGGTTTTTGGTTACATAGATAAGTTCTTTAGTGGTGACTTCTGAGATTTGGTGTACCCATCACCTGAGCAGTATACACTGTACCCAATGTATAGTCTTTTATCCCTCACCCGCCCCTAGTCTCTGACATCCATTGTATCATTCTTATGCCTTTGTGTTCTCATAGCTTAGCTCCCACTTACAAGTGAGAACATACGATATTTGATTTTCCATTCCTGAGTTACCTCACTTAGAATAATGGTCTCCAATTCCATCCAGGTTGCTGTGAATGCCATTATTTCAATCCTTTTTATGGCTGAGTAGTATTCCATGGTATGCGTGTGTGTGTGTGTGTGTGTGTGTGTGTGTGTGTGTGTATCACATTTTCCTTATCCACTTTGTTGGTTGATGGGCATTTAGGCTGGTTCCATATTTTTGCAATTATGAATTGTGCTGCTAGAAACATGCCTGTGCAAGTGTCTTTTTCTATTTTTTCTTTTTGAGACAGAGTCCTGTTCTGTCAACTAGGCTGGAGTGCAATGGTGTGATCTTGGCTCACTGCAACCTCCGCCTCCTGGGTTCCAGAGATTCTCCTGCCTCAGCCTTCTGAGTAGCGGGGATTACAGAAACCTGCCACTACGCCCGGCTAATTTTTGTATTTTTAGTAGAGACTGGGTTTCACAATGTTGGCCAGGCTGGTCTTGAACTCCTGACCTCAAGTGATCCACCCGCCTTGACCTCCCAAAGTGCTGGGATTACAGGCGTGAGTCACTGCGCCCGGCCGTGTCTTTTTCATACAATGACTTCTTTTCCTCTGGGTAGATACCCAGTAGTGGGATTGCTGGGTCAAATGGTAGTTCTCCTTTTGTTCTTTAAGGAATCTCCATACTGTTTTCCATAGTGGTTGTACTAGTTTGCATTCCCACCAGCAGTGTAGAAGTGTTCCCTTTTCACCACATCCATACCATACCACATCTATTTTTTTAAAAAATTATGGCTGTTCTTGCAGGAGTAAAGTGGTATCTCATCATGGTTCTAATTTTCATTTGCCTGACAATTTGTGATACTGAATTTGAGAGATCTTTATATATTCTGGATATAAGTCTTTTACCATACACACACTTTGCAAATATTTTCTCCAAGTCTGTGGTTCCTTTTTTCATTTTCTTTAGCAGTAACTTTCAAAGAGCAGAGGTTCAAAATTTTAATGAAGTCCAATTTATTCATATTTTTCTTTTATGGATTGTGTTTTGATGTTATCTTAGAAATCTTGGCCTAACCCATAGTGACATACATTTTCTCCTAGAAGTTCTGTAGTTTTGGCTTTTATGTTTACACCAATGATTCATTTTGAGTTGATTTTTGAGTATGGTGTAACATCTGGGTCAACTTTCCTATTTTTTCATATGGATATCCAATTATTCCAGCATCATTTGTCAAAAAGACGATCATTTCTCCATTGAATTGCCTTCATCTCTTTGTCAAAAATCAATTGGCCATATAGGTGTGGATCTTTCTTTGGATTCTATTCTATTCCATTAATCTATGTATACATTGATCTATGTATCCATCCTTTCAGCAATAACAAACTGTATTGATTATTGTGACTTTGAAGTAACTCTTGAAATCATCAGGTATTTTGAGTCTTTCAACTTTGTTCTGTTATTTTGGCACTTCTAGTTCCCTTGCCTTTACATACAAATTTTAAAATCAGGTTGTTTACTTCTACAAAATTCTAGGATTTTGTTTGGGATTGCACTGAACTTATAGGTTATTTTGATGGAATTTATATCTTAATAATATTGAATCTGCCAATTCAAAAATATGGATCATCTCACCATTTATTTAGATCCTATTTTCTTTCTTTCATCAGTGTTTGGTACTTCTCAGTATGCTGATCTTGCACATATTTTGTCAGATTTTAGCCTACATATTTCATTATTTTCAGTGTTCTTATAAATGGTACTTAAAATTTTTTCATTTTTGTAATTATTTATGGCTAGTCTATAGACATTCAATTAATTGAACTGACCTTGCATACTGTGACCTTGCCAAATGCCTTTACTAGTTCTGGGAGATTTTAAAATAGAATCTTTTGTATTTTCTACATATACAATCATGTCACCTTTGAATCAAGAGTTTTATTTCTTTATCACTAATCTATATTGCTTTTTTTTTTTCTTGTTCTTGCTTTATTCCACTGGCTAGGGCCTTCAGTATGATGTTAAATATAAATGGTGAGAGTGAACATCATTGCATTGTTCTTGATTTTAGGAGAAAGTTTTCAGTCTTTAATCATGAAGTATGACATTAGTTGTAGGTTTTGTGTAATTGCCCTTTGTTTGATTGTGAAAGTTCCCTTCTGTTCCTAGTTTTGGAGAGTTTTTATAATGAATTGATGCTGAATTTTGTTCAATTATCTTTTTTTTCTTCTATTGAGAAGTTTATATAGTTTTTCTTCTTGGGTCAATTGAATTACATTCATTGATTCTTAAATGTTGAACCAATTTTGCATTTCCGGGATAACTCCCCCACTTTGTCATGATGCATTATTCTTTTTATATGTTGCTGAACACAGTTTGCCAGTATTTTGTTGAGGATTTTTGTTACCTATGTTTATGAGGGATAATGGTCTAAAGGATTTTTTTTCTTGCAGTGTTTATTTCTGGTTTGGGTATTGGTGTAATGGCCTCATAAAATTAGTTGGCAAACATTTCTTCTTTTCAATTATCTGGAAGAATCTGTGGGAAATTGTATTATTTCTTCCCTAAATGTTTAGTGGAATTCACCACTGAAGCCATCTAGGCCTGGAGTGTTTTTGTTGAAAAAAAATTTTTTTTTTTTGAGACGGAGTCTTGCCCTGTCCCCGAGGCTGGAGTGCAGTGGTGTGATCTCCGCTCACTGCAACGTCCACCTCTCAGGTTCAAATGATTCTCCTGCCTCAGCATCCCGAGTAGTTGGGATTACAGGCACCTGCCATCACGCCCAGCTAATTTTTGTATTTTTAGTAGAGGTGGGGTTTCACCATGTTGGCCAGGCTAGTGAAATATTTTAAATGACAAATTCAATTTCTTTGATATATACGGGAATATGTAAGTTATTTATTTTCTCTTTAGTAAGCTTAGGGAGTTTGCATTTTCCAAGGAATTTGCCCATTTCATCTAATTTATCAAATTTATAGGCATAATATTGTATTAAATATTCCTTTATCCTTTTAATGTCTAAGATCTACAGTGTAATATTTTTCATTCTTGACATTAGTGATCTGTTTTCTTCTTTTTCTTGGTCAGGCTAGAGGCTTATAAATTTTGTTCCTGTTTCTGAGGAACCAGTTTTATGTTTGATTTTCTTTATTATTTTTGTTTTCACTTTCATGAGTTTCTGCTTTTCTCTTTATTATTTGCTTATTTCTACTTGCTTTGGGTTTAGTTTACTCTTCTTTTTATAGTTTCTTAAGGTGGTAGCTTAGGTCATTGATTTGATAGCATATATATATATATGCTATTAGTTTTCCTCTAAGCACTGCTTTAATTGCATCCTATACTTTTGATAAGTTGTTTGTTCGTTTTAATTCAATGCAAAATATCTTTAATTGCCCTTTTGACTTTGACTCATGGGTTATTTGAAGTGTGTTAATTTCCAAATATTTCAGGATAATCCAGACTTCTTTTTGTTATTGGTTTTTAGTTTTTAATTCCTTTGTGTTCAGATAACATACTCTATTTAATTGCAATTCTTTAAAAATTGTTGAGGTTTGCTTTATTTCCTAGAATGTAAACTACTCTGGCATATGTACTACAAGCATTTGAAAAAAAAAGTGTGTTCTGTTTTTGTTGTGAGGAGTGTTTTATAAATGCCACTTATATTTCTTTCATTCATAAGACATTTTTGTTAGGTATTCTATGTCTTGTCATTTAAAATGTTTCTACCAATAAGAACCTATTATCAGGCTGGGCACGGTGGTTCACGCCTGTAATCCCGGTACTTATGGGAGGCCAAGGCAGGTGGATCACCTGAGGTCAGGAGTTCGAGACCAGCCAGGCCAACATGGTAAAACCCAGTCTCTACTTAAAATACAACAATTAGCTGGGCATGGTGGCACATGCCTGTAACCCCAGCTACTTGAGAGGCTGGGGCAGGAGAATAGCTTGAACCCAGGAGGCAGAGGAGACAGAGGGTGCAGTGAGCCGAGATTGCGCCATTGCACTCCAGCCTGGGTGACAGAGTGAGACTGCGTCTCAAAAACAAACAAAACAAACAATAACAACAAACAAACAAACAAAAAACTGTTATCAGCCTGGATTGTTTGCCCAATCCTGTGGCCACAAGTCCAGGGTGATCTGATTGGCGCCCTCTTCTGTATTGCATGGCTAGAGTTGAGGGTAACTTTTTTCCAAAGGCATCTGGGCTGCTGACTAGACAAAAACAATAAAATGTTCACTGCAGTCCACCGTTTGATTTTCTTTTTTTTTTGATTTTTAATTTTAACTTTAAAAAATTATTTATTTATTTTATGGAGATGGAGTTTCCCCATGTTGCCCAGGCTGGTCTCAAACTCCCTGACTTAAGCAAACTCCTGGACTGAAGCTATCCACCAGCCTTGGCCTCCCAAAGTGCTGGGATTGCAGGTGTGAGCCACTGTTCCTGGCCTATGCTTTGATTTTCAAAGGCTCATGCACACCTACACCTGTGCACAGACACATGTTCATAATCCCAGCGTGTATGAAGTTGAAAATTTTTCCCGTATGCGTCTTTTAAATAACTCAAAACCTCCCTTCTTTTACAAATTAAGACCATGTTCAGTCACATTCAGTTAAAACATAGCTCCAAGCCCAGCTTCACTGTGTGAGATGCATACTCCTTTTGATCATGTTTGAACATTATTCCTCTTGTTTCAGCAGCCTGTGTGCTAGATGATAAATGAACACACTCCTACCCATCCAAGGAGGCTGTGGTGCAGAACAGCCAGAAAAAGTACCCTCTGTTGGGTGTGATGGCTCAAGCCTATAATCTCAGCACTTTGGGATGCTGGGACAAGAGGATTGCTTGGGTCCCGGAGTTTGAGACCGGTCTGGGCAACATAGTGAGATCCTGTCTGTACAAAAAATTTTAAATTAGCCAAGTGTGATGGTACGTGCCTGTAGTCCCAGCTACTCAGGAGGCTGAGGTGAGAGGATCGCCTGTGCCTGGGAGGTTGAGGCTGCAGTGATTGTGTCACTGCATTCTACCCTGGGCAACAGAGCAAGACCCTGCCTAAATATACTATATATGAAATATATATGATGAATGAAATATATATATTATATATGGAGTATAATATATATAATATGTGGAATATATATGATCTATATTATATATAGAGTATAATATATAATATATATAAAATATGTATTATATTATATATTAAATATATATATTATATATGAAATATATAATATATATGAAATATATAATATATAATATTTATATAGTATATTTCAAATATATATTATGTTATATATTCTATATATTCTGGTTGGTGCAATAGTAATTACGGTTTTGGACTGTGATTTTAAAATTATAACTAGGCTCAAACACATCTTTATTAATCAAAATAGGAACCATTACAATCAACACATTTTTACCAAAGAGAAATAAGTTTGTTTATTCCTGTAATGTAAAAATCTGTGCGTCGGGATTCGACAAACTCTTGGAAAGCATTTTCTGCATGCTGCTGGTTGTGGAAGCGTTTTCTCTGGAAAAAGTTGTCAAGATGGTTGAAGAAGCAGTAGTTTGTTGGTGAGAAGTCAGGTGAATATGGCAGACGAGGCAAAACTTTGTAGCCCAATTTGATCAACTTTTGAAGCATTGGTTGTAGGACCTGCGGTCAGCATTATCCTGGAGAAGAATTGGGTCCTTTCTGTTGACCAGTGCCGGCTGCAGGCTTTGCAGTTTTTGGTGCATCTCATCGATTTGCTGAGCACAATTCTCAGATGTAATGGTTTTGCCGGGATTCAGAAAGCTGTGGTGGTCAGACCGTCAGCAGGCCACCAGACAGTGACCAGGACCTTTTTTTGGTGCAAGTTTGGCTTTGGGAAGTGCTTTGGAGCTTCTCAGTCCACCCACCGAGGTGGTCATCGCTGGTTGTCGTATAAAATCCACTTTTTGTCGCACATCACAATCCGATGGAGAAATGGTTCATTGTTGTTGTGTAGAATAAGAGAAGACGACATTTCAAAACGACAATGTTTCTGATTTTCGCTCAGCTCATGAGGCACCCACTTATCGAGCTTTTTCACCTTTCCAGTTTGCGTCAAATGCCGAATGACCGTAGAAAGGTGGACGTTGAGTTCTTCAGCAGCTTCTGGTGTAGTTGTAAGAGGACCAGCTTCCGTGATTGCTCTCAGTTGGTGGTTGTCAACTTCCGACGACTGGCCGCTACGCTCCTCATCTTCAAGGCTCTCCTCTCTTTTGCAAAACTTCTTGAACCCCCACTGCACGGTATGTTCATTAGCAGTTCCTGGGCCATTGATGTTGCGAGTTGTCTCCACTGCTTTACAATCCATTTTGAACTCGAATAAGAATATTGCTCAAATTTGCTTTTTGTCTAACATCATTTCCATAGTCTAAAATAAAGAAAAAAATAAACAGCAAGTAATAAGTCATTAGCAAAAATAAATAAGTACAGAGAGAAATGCTCATTAAGATGATGTATGACATAACCACATTTAAGAATGTATTGCAGTCCTGTAATGGCTGCTTCCTGGAAGGTAGTGTCACGTGGAACCTCTTAATCTCAGCATCCGGAGCTCCAGGAAGGGAAAATTTCAAGTCAGATAGAATTCTATATACACCATTTCTTTGGAACCTTCAGCCCTCAAGATTCCAACATCATGACCTCAGTTTCAACACAGTTGTCCTTAGTCCTCATGTCACTGCTTTTGGTGCTGCCTGTTGTGGAAGCAGTAGAAGCCGGTGATGCAGTCGCCCTCTTGTTAGGTGTGGTTCTCAGCATTACAGGCATTTGTGCTGCTCGGGAGTATATGCACGAAAAAGAAATGGACAGATGTGAGTGTGAAAGGCCTACTGAGTCAAACCTCACCCTGAAAACCTTTGTGCTATAGAGGCTAAACCTGAGCTTTGGGGTCTGAAAGTTTCCAAGAATCAGTAAATAAGGGAGTTTTACATTTTTCGTTGTTTCCATGAAATGGGAACAGACATACATATATGAATTGAAAAAAATATGTTTTCTTTACAACAAATAATGCACAGAAAAATGCAGCCTATCATTTGTATTTGCTAGTTAGAAAGGAGGTCAAAGAAGTAAGATAGCTGAAATTTACATAAGTAATATTTCATAGTTTTAGAATTCTCAAAGAATGTGAAATAGGAAGAAGGAAGTTCTTGCCCAGAATCTTAGGAAATCACCAATGTTCGGTTATAATCACTGCCTCCCGAATCGTTGGGGAGTTTTCTCCATCTTTTTATTAGATTTTTGTTTTGTTGTCTCCCAAGTTAATATTGTATTTAGATATAAGAGAGTCAGCCAAAAAGGGAAACTTTTTTCTCTGGAGAAAAAACATTTCGAAAAATGTATTCAGTGTATCTAATACTGAAATGCAGAAAAAAATTAATGTTAAAAAAAACTATAGACGTTGACATGGAAAAGAGATTTAATGTTAAGAAAAAAACTTTACATTAACTTAGCAACACCCTCCTGATAAGTACTATATTAAATATAAACCCATTATGTTGTTAAAAGAAGAAGGTATTCCAATATCCAACGGCAAATTTCAACAATGCAAAAACTGCAATTACTTTTGTACCAACCGTATATTATATGGATATATAATATATATGTATCTTCAAGATAACTGTTCCTCTTTTTTTCCTAGTCTATCAACGTGTTGCTTTTAATGTAATAGACCAATTAGCTGTTACGTGCAATGTTCCATTTCACTGGGAACAATGTATGTTCCAAAAGGAGAGAGGAATCTGAGAAGAACTGTAAAGGAGTAAAAGGAAACATCATCTGGTATTTTCTCTTTCATGATGGAGAAAAATGCGTTTGCACAATCAAAAGTGTATATACCAGGGCCAGGCACGGTGGCTCATGACTGTAATCCCAGCATTTTGGGAGGCCAAAGTGGGAGGATCACTTGAGGCCAGGAGTTCAAGACCAGCCTGGCCAACATGGCAGAACCCCATCTTTACTAAAAATACAAAAATTAGCTGGGTGTGGTGGCACATGCCTGTAGTCCCATCTACTCAGGAGGCTGAGGATCGCTTGAACCCAGGAGGCAGAGGTTGCAGTGAGCCAGGATCACGCAACTACATTCCAGTCTGGGCAACAGGGAAAGACTCTGTCTCAAAAAAAAAAAAAAAGTGCATACCAGGCTAAGTGCAGTGGTTCATGCTTGTAATCCCAGCACTTTGGGAGGCCAAGGCAGGCGGATCACTGGAGGTTAGGAGTTCGAGACCAGCCTGGCCAACATGGTGAAACCCTGTCTCACTAAAAATACAAAAACTAGCCGGGCATGGTGGTGCACGCCTGTAATTCCAGCTACTCGGGAGGCTGGGACAGGAGAATCGCTTGAACCTGGGAGGCGGAGGTTGCAGTGAGCTGGGGTCACTCAACTGCACTCCAGCCTGGGTGACAGAGAGAGACTCCGTCTCAAAAAAAAAAAAAGTGCATAACAGTTTCCAGGCATTGTATTGATTTTTCCTAGTGAGAGGAAAATGGGAGTTGGGTTGGGATCGACACTTGGAAAACCACCTGATTAAGCTAAGGCTAATTCAACTGGCACCCTGTGCAGCAGCTGAATTGCAGATTCAGTGGGGATGTCACAGGGGTCACCAAGCACACCCTTTCCAAGTGTTTGATGTTTGGGACTATCTACAATATACTACAACCACTGAAATGTGTACTTAAAACATTTTTTAGAGGTAACAATGCTTTTGGTTGCTATTTTGGAGGAAAGAGGAAGTTCCAGTGTCTCGTTTTTGGCCCTGCCCACCATGGTGGCATTTACTCCAGGCCTTAACAAGCCAATAGGTGATGATGCCTGATTCTGAGGAGATCCATCTATCTATCTACATCTGGACAGAAAAGACCCTCGGGGTGGGCTTGCTATTGGTGGACTCGATCCCCACTCCATCTCTGGATCCACATAGACCTCACTCCAAAGGGCAGACCATGGTGATGTCGAGGTTCCTAGGATCCCAATAATTCGCATTACTTAGATTTGATCCAGTATCCAGTAGACCAAAGGTTTTGGTATGTTCTTTCTCCCAGGGCACATTTCTCTTTGGGGAAATGTGAGGAAGAAGCCTTCCAGGTTGCCTTGGTGATTATGTGGGTCTCAAGGCTACCTAGACCATGTTACTTATGGTCTCCGGTCTCTAGACGAGAGACTCTGGATCAATGAAGTGACCCAGCGTACAGAATTAGATACCAGTTCTTGACTTCCTTATGTCTTGATTTTCATTAGACCTGGACTTATTTTATTCTTTTTTTTTTTTTTTTTTTTTTGAGACAGAGTCTCACTCTGTCACTCAGGTTGGAGTGCAGTGGCACGATCTCAGCTCACTGCAACCTCTGCCTCCCAAGTTCAAGCGATTCTTCTGCCTCAGCCTCCTGAGTAACTGGGACTACAGGCTCCTGCCACCACGCCCGGCTACTTTTTGTATTTTTAGTAGAGACAGGGCTTTACCATGTTGGCCAGGCTGGTCTCGAACTCCTGACCTCAGGTGATCCGCCCGCCTCGGCCACCCAAAGTGCTGGGATTACAGGTGTGAGCCACCGAGCCCCGTCTATTTTATTCTATTTTTATTTTATGGTTGCATACAAAAGGATGGAGCACCTGTCACTATAATTCCTGGGAACCCTCTAATTAACCACAACTAAAGATCTCTGGGCCTTGCACCAACCATGTTGTGAACCTAATAAGCACACCTGCCTTGTTGCCTATTATGATTACCCGGCCTCCTTGGCTTCTGGCAGGTAACTGTGGCCACGTGGACCAAGCCAACGCCGGCTCCTCTCATTCCCATTGAGATCAGCAAGGCAACTCCAGCCTGTACCACCAATATCCCCAGGCCAGGAGAACAGCCAGTGAAAGCCCATTTGAAAGACTGCCATATTCCTCACCAATCCGTTTCTCAAGGCCAAGGTGAGTGGAGAGCCTTCCAGCCCTCACGGGAGCCACATGGAGGCGGGAGGAGCTGGTAAGGGGGAAACCCACTGCAGTTCCAGTGCGGCATTCCTGTCTCCTGAAGTCTTTGAATTCTTTCTCTGTCTTATGCCAAAGTGTCTCTGGCTTTGCCATGTCATTTTGCACAGAGCAGCATTCAGAACATTAGCCAAAGCAGCAAACTGCTAAAGCAGCTGCCCACACCCCCTGAAAGAATGCACCTAAATCAATAACTTCATTCCAGGTGAGAAATAAACGCCACCCTCTATGCCTGGGGACCTTAAGTCCCTTCTCATGATGACTATACATATCTTTTGTTTGCTTTGTTTTTGTTTTTATTTACAGTATGACTATACATATTGGTGCAGCCATGCTCTTCCTTCAAGAAGCAATTCTTCATTCTCCTTCCATAATAATGCATTTCACTCCCAGGCCTGGTTGAGTTTCAATTCTGGTTACCAGCCAGGTAAAAATGTGTAGTAGCAGGGCATGAGAGCGTGGTTATTTTCCCTCAAAGGGCGAGGACTCTTCCTAAGGGAGGAGAGGCACAGTGGAGTGTTGTAGAGTGGTAGGACCGGGGGAGTCTCGGAATATTTCTGGATATTTTTATTCCAGTTCCATCTTGTCGGGCTTTCTTTCTTTCTCAACCATTGCCCTCACTTTTGGTTAAAAGTACTGTAGGCCAGGCATGGTGGCCCATGCCTGTAATCCCAGCACTTTGGGAGGCCGAGGCGGTTGGATCATGAGGCCAGGAGTTCGAGACCAGCCTGACCAAGATGGTGAAACCCCGTCTCTACTAAAAATACAAAAATTAGCCAGGCCTGGTGGCGGGCACCTGTAATCCCAACTACTCGGGAGGCTGAGACAGGAGAATCACGTGAACCCAGGCAGCAGAGGTTGCAGTGAGCTGAGATTGCGCCACTGCACTCCAGCCTGGGTGACAGAGCGAGACTCCGTCTCAGAAAAAAAAAAAAAAAAGAAAAAAGTACTGTAGACTGTGAATTCAACTGTGTTAATATACAAGCTGCAGGTTCAGTCTCGGATGGGTTCAGTTTTCAGCCTACTTATAACCAGTTACAGAGTTTTTAAAAACTTAGTTGTAGAAAGACTTGAATATCCCCTTTTTTTTTTCTTTTTCTTTCCCTTTTTTTTTTTTGGATACACAGTTTCACTCTGTTGCCCAGGCTAAAGTGCAGTGGCGCAATCTCAGGCAACCTCTGCCTCCCAGGTTCAAGTGATTGTCCAGCCTCAGCCTCCCGAGTAGCTGGGATTACAGGCACCTGCCACCACACCTGGCTAAATTTTGTATTTTTAGTAGAGACGGGGTTTCACCATGTTGGCCAGGCTGGTCTCAAACTCCTGACCTCAAGTGATCCACCTACATTGGCCTCCCAAAGTGCTGGGATTATAGACGTGAGCCACCTTGCCCAGCCAATATTCCCTTTTTTGAGGCAAGCATTTTTAGATTTGGGTTACTATCATTTTTAATTTGGCCAGTGCTCACAGAAGCCACCACTGTATTTCATATTGCATGTCTCGTCCCCTTTTAATTGGCCTCTAGATGATGATAAGGGAAAAAGGCAAGGCATATGTATAATATGCTACTAATTTTATTGAGAAGTAATTCACATATTATAGAATACATTTTTTAAGTACACAATTCAGTGCTTGTAGTATATGCACAAGGTTGTACAACCATCACCATTATCCAGTTCCAGAACATTCTTATCACTCCAAAAAAAAAAAAAATCCTGTTCTCATTAGCTGTCACTTCCCATTTTTTCTTCCTCCAGCAATCTGTTTTCTGTCTCTATGAATTTGCCTCTTCTAGGCATTTCACATAGATGAAATCATACAATGCATTGACTTTTGGGTCCAGCTTCTTTCGCTTAGCATGGTGCTTTCAAGGCTTAGTGTGTTGTGGCATGTATCAGTATTTCATCTTTTTGGCTGAGTAGTATTCTATTGTATACATTTTTAACACAGTTTGTTAACCAGTGGATAGACATTTGGATTGTTTCCACTTTGGGCTATTATGAATAACATAAACGCTGGAGTACAAGTTTTTGTGTGAATTTGTGTTTTCCTTTCTCCTGGGTATACACCTGGGGGAGAAGTGCTGGCTGATACGGCAAGCGGCTGCACTGTTTTACATTCCTTCCAGCAGTCTACGGAGGTTTCAATTTCTCCATTTCCTTGCCAGTGTAGCTATCTTTGATTATAGCCATGTGAGTGAGTATGAAGTAGAGTATGTTGCCTTTTATGTAAACACAAGAAAGAAAAATATATCTGTGTGTAATTGCTTAGATATACACAGAGTGGCTCTGGAAGCTTACATGGGAAACTGGCAACACTGGTTGCCTCTAGGGAGAGGAACTGGGTAGCTGGTGGCTGATGTAGAGGGGAGATTTTATGCCACCCACCCTTCTCTAAGATATTAAGTTTAGAGCATGTGCAAGTATTACCTATACAAATAATTAAATTAATATGAACTTTAAATTTGGCCGGACACGGCAGCTCACACCTGTAATCCCAGCATTTTGGGAGGCTAAGGTGGGTGGATCACCTGGGGTCAGGAGTTCAAGACCAGCCTGGCCAACATGGCAAAACCCTGTCTCTACTAAAAATACAAAAATTAGCTGGGCATGGTGGCATGCACCTGTAATCCCAGCTACTTGGGAGGCTGAGGCAAGAGAATTGCTTGAACCTAGGAGGTGGAGGTTGCAGTGAGGGGAGATCATGCCACTGCACTCCAGCCTGGGCAACAGAATGAGACTCTGTCTCCACAACAACAACAACAAAAAATTAAGTTAAATGTATTATAGCAGGGATTGGCTAACTATAGCCTGTGTACCAAATCTGGCCTGCCACCTGTTTCTGTATGGCCCGTGAGTTAAGAATAGTTTTTACATTTTTAAATAGTTAAACAATCAAAAAAAGAATATTTTGTAGCACATGAAGTGATATGAAATTCAAGTTGTAATATCCATAAATAAGCTTTTATGGGGACACAGCCATGCTAATTTGTTTACTTTTTTCCATGGGTGCTTTTGTGCTGCACTGGCGAAAGTGAGGAATTGTGCCAGGGGCTGGATGTAGCATTCTCATTGCCTTAAACTGCCACTTGGCACAATGAGAATTGCAGTTACACAGTTAAAAAACAACAGGATTTTGAGTGCTACATATATTGCCACACTCTAACTTTAAAAAAATTATGAGTACATATCTTTCATGTTAAAAAAAGAAAGAAGATAAAAGTAGACTTTGAATGTCTGTTTCTAAGGCATAATGGGGTGTGAATTATTTTCTGTCACATCACATGACAAAACATTGTATCTTGTGCGATGACGTGCTAGCTCTTCTAGAAGAGGATGAAATGCATCAACATTGCAGAGATCATGGCAGAATTTCTTCACAGAAATTAAAAATGACAAAGAATCCATAACTAAAGTAAATTATCAAGTAGTTCGTTTGTTAACCAAGAAAGAAATCTGTTTATAAATGGTAAGTTAATTACATGATGTTTGATTACAATGGCTGAATAAATGTACCCAGAAAAAGCAAACTTGTTTAAGAATATTAGCCTTGCATTGAGGATAGTTGGTTGAAGAGTTTGGGACATTGGGAGTAGCATCAATAGTCCACTAAAAAACAGGGAGTTTTTTTGTTTGTTTGTTTTGTTTTGTTTTTTGAGATGTAATCTCGCTCTGTTACCCAGGCTGGAGTGCAGCAGCGTGATCTTGGCTCACTGCAATCTTTGCCTCCTGGGTTCAAGCGATTCTCCTGTCTTAGCCTCCTGAGTAGCTGCGACTACAGGTGCACACCACCACACCTGGCTAATTTTTGCGAGGTTTTTTTTTGTTTTTTTGTTTTGTTTTGTTTTGTTTTGTTTTGGGGTTTTTTTTGAGATGGAATCTTTCTCTGTTGCCCAGGCTGGAGTGCAGTGGCGCAATCTTGGCTCACTGCAACCTCTGCCTCCTGGGTTCAAGCGATTCTTCTGCCTCACCCTCCCGAGTATCTGGGACTACAGGCACGCACCGCCACACCCAGCTAATTTTTGTATTTTTAGTAGAGAAGGGGTTTCACTATATTGGTCCTGCTGGTCTCAAACTCCTGACCTCAGGTGATCCACCTGCCTCAGCCTCCCAAAGTGCTGTGATTACAGGTGTGAGCCACCGTGCCTGGCCAACAGGCAGTTTTTAAAAATCTTGAGAAGTCAATGCCCAATTTTAAGTGACTGGAGGAGTAGCTTTTATACATGTAACAGCTATAGGGGAGAATTTTTTTTTTTTTTTTTTTTTTGAGATGGAGTCTTGCTCTTTTGCCCAGGCTGGACTGCAGTGGTGCTATCTCAGCTCACTGCAAGCTCTGCCTCCCGGGTTCACGCCATTCTCCTGCCTCAGCCTCCCAAGTAGCTGGGACTACAGGTGCCCGCCACCATGCCCAGCTAATTTTTTTTTTTTTGTATTTTTAGTAGAGATGGGGTTTCACCGTGTTAGCCAGGATGGTCTCAATCTCCTGACCTCATGATCCACCTGCCTCGGCCTCCCAAAGTGCTGGGATTACAGGCGTGAGCCAGCGCGCCCGGCCAGGGGAGAATATTTTTAAAGAAGTTGAAAAAATATTAATTCATTACAATCAGAAATGGAATCTATTAAGGTGTGTTACAACTGATGATAGTAAAAATATGTGTGGAGCAGCAAGAGGCTTAGCTGGACAACTCTATAAAGCGTGCAGAAATGTAAGAGGTTTAAAGCCTATGAAATTCATTGTATTATATATCGATATTTTGAGGAAAATATTTGAATTATGTGTTATTGAATGAGTACTGTTAACACTGAACTTAACTCTTGTGGACTTAATCATCATGAATTTTTATCAGAAGTAGATGATAAATACCTTGACTTGTTCTACCACACAGAAATTTGAAGGCTCATTGGTAGTGAAGTTTTATTGAGATATTTTGAGCTCAGGACCAACAGTTAAGTTTTTCTGAACAAGAATAGCCTCTGTCAACCACTATTATACCGTAGTATAATAATGCTTAGAATTTGCTGTGAATTTGAAAGTATTTCTTAATAAATTCAAGCTAATATTAAAAGGCAAAACAGTGCTTATATGCAAAACTTATATTGTGGTAAAGTCATTTTGCCTTTACTAATATTGTTTGGGTCACAGCTGATGTTGTGTCACTTTAAATACTTCCCATGCTGTCAAAAGTTGAAACAAAAAGGAAGATCTCCATTTCCATACAAATTTCCTGTGGAATTGTTTTTGGAATTCAAGCTACAGAGTAAGCAGTGTTTCTTAGAATGTGATGTATGCTGAAAGGAAACTTACATGCTTCAAAGTCTATTTAACTGTGCAATAGAAGAGTTTCCAAATAACCTTTAATTCGAAGTGATTAATACATAATGAAATGAGTGATTAATACATGCTAAAAGGCAAATATCAAGGAAAAAATCTAATAGAATTCTGTAAATGCCTTACATGTGATGAATATAAATTACATTTAAATCACAACTGAATTCAATTCAATCACAATTAAATTCAATTAAAATCACATGCTTGTGGACTGATATCAGAATTGGCAGTACCTATCTTTGTGAAAAGACATTTTCAAAGATGAAATACGCAAAATCTCTTTACAGGTCAGCACTGATAGATGAAAATTTGCAATTGGTTATGATGATAACCCCCAATTAAGTAAAATGTTACCTCCCCCCAAAGAGCTTCATTCTTCTCATTAGTAGAGCTATAAAACAAAAAAGTACTTATTATCATATTTTGAATTTCATCAGTTAAAATTTTGTGAAAATTTTTTTCCCTCTCTTGTTATATAATTGCCTGTTTAACATCCTTGAGTTTGCCCACAAAGCCTAAAATATTGACTTCCAGGCACTTACTTTAAAAGTTTACTGGAGTAACGTTAGTGACAATTTCTGAGTAAGAACCTCTAAAAATTCTCTTCTCCAGAAGAGCAATGAGAAAACTGACAAAATAGTCAAAATCAACAATTTTTTTTTTTTTTTTTTTGAAACGAAGTCTTGCTCTTGCCCAGGCTGGAGTACAGTGGTGCTATCTCAGCTCACTGCAACAAAATCAACAATTTTAGAACTCTGAAAATTAACCAAAGGTTTGCAGCCATTAGGAAAGCATGTATTTAAGAAAAATGGCTGAATCTTGATAAGAATAGTGAGCTTTGTGGTATCTTAACTTCCCCTATTTCTATTTCCCTTTCTCCAGTTTTCTGGCAGCCTTGAAAACCAATAGCAGGCAATCAAAGTGAAAACCAGAGCTTGTAGTTACCAGAGAGAATGAAATGAGGTTGAAGCTCTTTCAAAGCCTCCTTCTCAGGAATTATCATTATTTTACCCATCTGGTTTGCTTGCCATGACTGGAAGTTTGTTTAGTGTTAAAAGCCTTTTCCTTGGGGGCATTTGTCAAAACAATTAGGAGCAATTGCTTAATTTTATGCCTGCTTGAGGCAGTAGGTAACAGTTGGGACAAGCAATAGGCTAACCAAAAAGCTGAAAAGGAAAAGTTGGGGAATGAAATGCCATGAAAAGCCATAGGATCTTTGGAAAGCACTCACCTAAAGCTATGCACAGGCTTATGATGAACCAGTGAGGTTCTTTCATCTCTGGGTCACCTTGAAGCTCTATGCAAGAAGGAAGTAAAGACGAAGGCAGATTTGTCAGCTGCCTGGTTCAGTATTGAAGGCATGCTCCAACATACGCACAAAGCTCCCTGGCAAAGACTGGGAGAGTTGCTGATAACAAGAATTTAAGAAAATGTCTTTCTAATAATTAGCTGACCACTAAGCTAACAGAGCAGAGACTTCAGTGGCCACACATTATAAGAAATGCAGATTTTATGGAATTTATTCAGAAAAGTCACAAAGAAACGACGACAACAAGTAGCAATAACAATAAATAGCAACATCAACAAATCCTGGGGAAGGGAGAGAATTTGATTTTCAGAGTTGACATAATATGTTATTTTAAGAGGCTGGTTTTCAACAAAAAATTATGAGACATGCAAGGAAATGAAGTATTGCCCATACATAGAAAAAAGGAGCAATCAGCCGGGTCCAGTGGCTCACACCTATAATCCCAGTGCTTTGGGAGGCAGAGGTGAGTGAATCACCTGAGGTCAGGAGTTCAAGACCAGCCTAGCCAACATGGTGAAACGTCATCTCTACTAAAATACAAAAATTAGCTGGGCATGATGGCGGGTGCCTGTAATCCCAGCTACTCAGGAGGCTGAGATGGGAGAATCGCTTGAACCTGGGAGGCAGAGGTTGCAGTCTGCCGAGGTCGCACCATTGTACTCTAGCCTGTGTGACAGAGTGAGGCTCTGTCTCAAGAAAAAAAAAAAGCAATCAATAGAAACTTCAGAGGAAGCCCATGTAATCCCTGTCAATATCAACACAGTCTCTGTCAATATCCAGCAAATATTTTTGTGGAAACTGACAAGCTGATACCAAAATTCATAAGGAATAGCAAAAAACCCAAAATAATGAAAACAATTCTTGAAAAAGAACAACAAAATCGGAGGACTCACTTTCTAATTTCAAAACTTACTACAAAGCTACACTTATGAGGACTATGTGGATACATCATATCATGTGTAATAGAATTGGGAGCTCAAAAGTAAACTCATGAATTCATGGTGAATTGATGTCCCCCCCCGCCACCCCCAAGCTTTCCTTCAGTATAAGAGTCAATTGATTTTCGACAAGAGTGCTAAGACAATTCAATGGTGGAAAGAATAGCCTTTAAAAACAAAATGGTGGTAGAACGACTGGATATCCATACCTAAAAGAAGGAAGTTGAATCCTCTTTTGAGGTAATATCCAAAATATCATTGTCCAGATCAATGTCATGGAGCTTTTACCCTATGTTTTCTTCTAGTAGTTTTACAGTTTCACATCCTTTTTTTTTTTTAGACAGAGTCTCACTCTGTCTCCCAGGCTGGAGTGCAGTGGCACTATCTTTACTCACTGCAACCTCCACCTCCTGGGTTCAAGCAATTCTCCTGCCTCAGCCTCCCAAGTAGCTGGGACTACAGGTGTGTGCCACTATGCCTGGCTAATTTTTTTGTATTTTTAGTAGATATGGGGTTTCACTATGTTGGCTAGGCTGGTCTCGAACTCCTGACCTCAGGTGATCCACCTGACTCGGCCTCCCAAAGTGCTGGGATTACAGGCATGAGCCACCACGCCTGGCCCAGTTTCACAGTTTCACATTTTTAATCCATTTTTTGTTTGTTTGTTTTTTATACGTGAAGTAAGGGTCTAATTTCATTATTCTTCATATGGCTATCCAGTTTCCCCAACACCATTTATTGAAGAGATTGTTTTCCCCATTGTATGTTCTTGGCATCTTTGCCAGAAATCAATTGACCGTAAATGCATCGATTTATGTCTGGGCTTTTTATTTTGCTCCATTGGCCTATGTGTCTGTTTTTATCCCAGTACCATGCTGTTTTGGTTACCATAGTTTTGTAGTGTATTTTGAAGTCAGGTAGTATGATGCCTCCAGCTTTGTTCTTTTGGCTCAAGATTGCTTTGGCTATTTGGGGTCTTTTATGGTTCCGTACAAATTTTAGTATTGTTTTTTCTGTTTCTGTGAAAATTTCATTGGGATTTTTATAGTGATTGCATTGGACCTGTAGAAATCTTTGGGTAGTATGGATATTTAAACAATATTAACTCTTCTAAACTATGAACACCAGATATTTTTCCATCTATTTGTGTATTCTTCAATTTCTTTCATCAGCAATTTATAGTTTTCAATATACAGATCTTTCACTTCCTTATCACATTTATTCCTAAGTATTTTTATTTTGTAGCTATTGTAAATTAGTTATTTTCTTGATTCCTTTTTGAGATAGTTTATTGTTAGTATGTAGAAATGCTACTACTAATTTTTGTATGTTGACTTTCTTTCTTTTCTTTTTTTTTTTTTTTTTTGAGACGGAGTTTCACTCTCATTGCCCAAGCTGGAGTGCAGTGGCACAATTTCGGCTCACTGCAACCTCCACCTCCCAGGTTCAAGAAATTCCTGCCTCAGCCTCCTGAGTAGCTGGTATTATAGGCATGCGCCACCACGCCCAGCTAATTTTTTGTATTTTTAGTAGAGACGGGGTTTCACCATGTTGGCCAGTTTGGTCTCGAACTCCTGACCTCAGGTGATCCACCCACCTCCACCTCCCAAAGTGCTGGGATTACAGGTGTGAGCCACTGCGCCCAGCCTGTATTACAAAGCGCCTAACCTGCAACTTTACTAAATTAATGTGTTCTAACAGTTTTTTTAATGGAGTCTTTAGGATCTTCCATATATAAGATCATGTCACCTGCTAACAAAGACAGTTTAACTTCTTCCTTTCCAATTTGGATGGCTTTTTTTTTTTTTTTTCCCTTGCCTACTTGCTCTGGCTGGAACTCAGTATTGTGTTGAATAGAAGTGGCAAGAGCAGGCATCCTTGTGTTTTTCCTGATCTTAGAGAAAAAACTTTCAACTTTTTACCATTAAGTAGAACACTCGCTGTGGACTTGTGATATATGACCTTGATTGTGTTCAGATACATTCTTTCTGTACCTAGTTTGTTGAGATTTTTATCCTGAAGCAATGTTTAATTTTGTCTAATGCTTTTTCTGTACCTATTGAGATAATGATATGGTTTTTATCTTTTATTCTGTTAATGTGTTATATCACATTTATTGATTTGCATATGTGGAATCATCCTTGCATCCCAAGGGAAAATCTCATTTCATCATGGTGAAGGATCTTTTTAATGTGCTGTTGAGTTCAGTTTGCTTATATTTTGTTGAGATTTTTGCATCTGTGTTCATCAAGGATGTTGGTCCATAATTTTCTTTTTTTGCAGTGTTCTTGTCTGGCTTTGGTATCAGTAAAACTGGCTTTGTAAAATGAGTTTGGAAGTATTCCCTCTCTTCAATTTTTTGGAAGAGTTTGAGATGGATTGGTATTAGTTCCTCAAATGTTTGGTAGAATTCACCTGTGAAGCCATCAGGTCCTGGGCTTTTCTTTGGTGGGAGATTTTTGATTACTGATTCAATCTTCTTATTTGTTATTGGTCTGTTCAGATTTTCTATTTCTTCATGATTCAGTCCTGGTAAGTTGTATGTTTCTAGGAATTTATCCATTTCTTCTAGGTTCCCCCTTTTGCTGGCATGTAATTATTTATAATATCTTATAATCCTTTGTATTTCTGTGCTATTGATTGTAATTATTCCTCTTTCATTTCTGGTTTTACTTATTTTAATCTTCTCTCTTTTTTTCTTAGCCTAGCTAAAGGTTTGTCAATTATGTTTGTCTTTTCAAGAACCCAACTCTTAGTTTCACTGATCTTTTTTATTATTTTTCTAGTCCCTATTTTATTTGTTTCTGCTCTGATCTTTATTATTTTCTTCCTTCTACTAACTTTGGGCTTTGTGTGTGTTTCTTTTTCTAGTACCTTGAGGTATGATGTTACATTGTTTATTTGAGATCTTTCTTCTTTTTTGATATAGGTATTTATGGCTATAAACTTCCCTCTTAGAACTGCATCCCATAAATTCTGGTATGTTATGTTTCCATTCTTGTTAGTCTCAAAATATTTTATTTTATTTATTTTTAGAGACAGTGTGTCACTCTGTTGCCCAGGCTGGAGTGTAGTGGCATGATCATAGCTCACTATAACCTTGCACACCTGGACTCAAGTGATCTTCCCATCTCAGCCTCCCAAGCAGCTGGGACTACCAGCATGCACCACCACACCTGGCTAATTTTTCTGTGTTTTATAGAGACAGGATCTCACCGTGTTGCCTGGGATCAGGCAATCCTCCCACCTTGGCCTCCCAAAGCGCTACGATCATAGGTGTGAGCCACCGTGCCCAGCCCTCAAGATAATTTTAAATTTCTTTTTAGCTTCATTTGTTGTTAAGGAGCCTGTTGCTTAATTTCCACATAACTGTGAATTTTCTGAAATTCTTTCTGTTAGTGATTTCTAGTTTCATACCATTGTGGAAAAGATAAGATACTTGATACGATTTCAATTCTTCTTAATTATGTTAAGATTTGGTTTTTGGCCTAGCATATGATCTATGATCTATCCTAGAGAACATTCTATGTGTGCTTGAGAAGAACGTGTTTTCTGCTGCTGTTGCACGAAATGGTCTGTATATGTCAGTTAGGTGGAACTTTGTTTGTTTGTTAGTTGGTTTGTTTTTGAGATGAAGTTTTGCTCGTGTTGCCCAGGCTGGAGTGCAGTGGCGCGGTCTTGGCTTACTGCAACCTCCGCCTCCTGGGTTCAAGCGATTCTCCTGCCTCATCCTCCCAAGTAGGTGGGATTACAGGCATGTACCAACATGCCCCGCTAATTTTTGTATTTTTAGTAGAGACTGGGTTTCACCATGTTGGGCAGGCTGGTCTCGAACTCCTGACCTCAAGTGATCCGCCCGCCTCAGCCTCCCAAAGTGCTGGGATTACAGGCATAAGCCACCGCGCCAGGCTTGGAACTTTTTTTTTGAGACAGGGTCTCACTTTGTCACCCAGGCTGGAGTGTACAGTGGTGCCATCTCAGCTCACTGCAGCCTCGACCTTTTCGGTTCAAGTGATCCTCCTGCCTCAGTCCCACAAGTAGCTGGGACTACAGACGTGCACCGCCACACCTGGCTAATTTTTGTATTTTTAGTAGAGATGGTGTTTCACCATGTTGCTCAGGCTGGTCTTAATCTCCTGAGCTCAAGTAATCTGCCCACCTTGGCCTCCCAGAGTGTTGGAATTACAGAGGTGAGCTACCAGCCAACCAAACCCTTTTTTTTCTTCTGCATTCTTTATTTTTTATTTTTATTTTAAGTTCTGGGACATACGTGTGGGATGTGCAAGCTTGTTACGTAGGTAAACGTGTGCCATGGTGGTTTGCTGCACCTATCAACCTATCACCTAGGTATTAAGCCCAGCGTGCATTAGCTGTTTTCCCTAATGCTCTCCCTCCCTACTCCCCGACGGGCCCCAGGGTGTGTCGTTCCCCTCTCTGTGTCCATGTGTTCTCACTGCAGGCTGAACTCTTTAGATATTAATAAGAATAAACCTGCAATAGACTGAAGCACATCACATCGAAAATGTCAGTATGATACTAAATAAATTATAATTAATAATGACAGTAATAATTGATCACAGTTGGAGGATGCCAGGGGATCTATACATTGTTTTGAAAATGAGTAAAGAGAGGGGATCAAGCACTTATCTTGCCTTTCCTATAACGACTGTATATTCATGTAACCAAATATGGATGGGAGGAAGTTTCTTTTTCAAGAAGCATAATACATGGAAAGAGAATGCTAAAATTGGATTTTGACGATTTTTCAGCCTCTGGAGAATTAGTGAATGCAGATATTCAATATCAATGGTTGTTCACAATAAAAGGAGAGAAAGCAAGACGTTCTGTTTTTCCCAATGGAAGTACACAGCACCGCCTGTAAAGTCATCTTGTAACAAAATCAGATTTGAATCTGATGAAGCCTCTAGGCCCAGCGGCCAATCTTCGTTATTGAATTCAGGAATTCAATAAACGAATTCCAGACTGTGGGAAATAAACCATTTTAAGGAAGAAAACAGGGAGATAGAGGAGGACTTATAAATTCAGAGACCTGGAAGTCATGTCAAGGAATCTTGTTTCTTGAATTCTTATCTTTTTAATGCTAAAATAATTCATGAGACAATTTCAAATTGAAAATGGACAAGTGAGGGGTTATTTGATGATATTAAGGGAATGTTGTTGATACTTGTAGGTGTGATAATGATATTGTGATATTTTAAAAGTACTTATCTTCTAGGATAAATAGCATTTTCCAACAGAGACAGAGACTGATTTGCCGACCTCTTAGTGGTACAGAGGTGCTGTGATTCATGGGTCCATTAGTTTTGCTACAAACAGAGAAGGAGAAATCCTTCACATGAAAGGTGGGAAGCCCTGTGAAGCTGTCAACCCTCCAATAGTCTGATATTTTTCTGCCAATTTACCTGAAGGTCCAACTTCAGTGGTCAAATGATCTAATTCTCACAAGCAAGCAGCCAGAGTTTAACACCAGCTTATCTACTACATAATGACATTTCCAACCCGCCTCATCTCACTTCAGCCAGTTCAACATTTTAAGATTCTGCTTCTTTTAACCCTCTACTTCTGTTAGCAACTTTCATTTTAGTTGAGGCCGGTGGGTGGGGGGGTGGTTTCTTAGTCTCTTAGTCTGTTCAGGCTGCTATAACAATATACTATAGACAGGGTGGTTTGTGAATGGCAGATATTTATTGCTCACAGTTCTGGAGGTTGAGAAGTCCAAGATTAAGGCACACAGGCAGCATCTGGTGAGGGCTTCTTTCTTATAGATGGCACCTTCTTACTGTATCTGTACATGGTGGAAGGGGCAAGGCAGCTCCCTGGGGCCTCATGTTTTATGAAGGCACTAATCCCATTCATGGGGGAAGCTCTCATGATCTAATGACCCCTCAAAGTCCCCACCTCCTAATACCATTGCCTTGGGAGTTAGGGTTTGTACCTATGAATTTGTGGAGAACACATTCAAACCATAGCAGGGTGCTTTGAATTGCAAACCTCAGAAACCTTATTCAAACTAGATTGGTCAAAAGAGAGGATTACCTGTCTCATGTAACTGGGGAATCCAGAAGCTCATTTTACACATCACTGAAACCAGACATCCGAGTTATCAGGATCAGACTAGGTCTCCTGCCTCCCTCCTCTCTCTGTGCCACCTCCTCCTGTCCCTTTGTCAGTGTGCTTTCCTTGTGACAAAGAGGATGGCTTCCAGGACCCTACAATTCCCTTTTCCCATGCCTGCGTCCCAAAAGGCATTGAGGTGGCTGGATAGTGTTCTGTTTTATTTAACCAAGACTCAATTAATGAATATTTGCCTAGTTTCAAATCTTTCAATATTTTATGTGATTCTGTGATGAAAGTCCTTGCAAGTAGGGCCAGTGGCACAATGCTCTTTTTCAGATAAAGTCCTAGAAGTAGAAATGCTGAATCAAAGTTTATACATTAGTTCCCCCCAACCCCCACCATCACACACACACACACACACACACACACGCACACGCACATGCATACACACACACACACACACACTGATTGTTCTCTTTCCCCAGCTTCAGTTTCATGGTCCATCCTGTCAACCACCCTCTTGCTAACACCCTAAACCCATTGCTCTTTACCCTCTGATGACATGTGTTGGCAGAACCCCAGTCTGGGATGAATCAAGTATGTATCATGCATATACCTAAGTAGCTAAGTTCTGCGGACAGAAGCCCACAACAGGATAACCTGATTTCCCAGCAATTCCTGATCACCAACATCAACTAAGCCATCTGTTCTCAAATCCTTCTTTCCTCAAGTCAACACATTCTCCCTTTCTCTACAAAGATGTGTCAAACTTTCTATTCTCTCCTCAAACCTCTGACTTCACCATTTCCTACCTTCACCCTTCCCACCTTCTATTGCGGAGAGAAAACAGTCCACGTGCAAGCACCCTGTCACCCACCTAGCACTGAAGGTTCACCCTGTCAGCATCGGGCTGTCCCTCCCAGGGCCCCACCTGTGCTGAGGATCCTCTGCACTCCGCCCTCTCTGGAGTCGTCTTCTTTGGATAATTCCCCTTTCATCTGCATATTCAATCTCTCCCTCCTTTATCCTCAACATTGAAACACTCAGATTGCTTCAATCTTAAAAAGCAAGGCCAGGCATGGTGGCTGACGCCTCTAATCCCAGCACTTTGGGAGGCTGAGGTGGGCAGATCATCTGAAGTCAGGAGTTTGAAATCAGCCTGACCAATATGATGAAACTCCGTCTCTACTAAAAATACAAAAATTAGCCAGGTGTGGTGGCACATGCCTGTAATGCCAGCTACTCGGAAGTCTGAGACAGGAGAATTGCTTGAACCCAGGAGGCAGAGGTTGCAGTGAGCCGAAATCACGCCACTGCACTCCAGCCTGGGCAACAAGAGTGAAACTCTGTCTCAAAAAAAAAAAAAAAAGCAAAATGAAACAAAAACAACTTTTCTTGGCTTAACTTCCTCTGGCCACTACTCCATGTTTCTCCTTCTCCACAGACGAACTCCATGTGAGAGTTCTCTCCTGTTCCAGTTCCTGTGGCTTCAATACACGCTTCAAAAAAGTGTGTGGATTACCCCCGCACTTAGTGACGTTGATTATTGTAATAGTTTCCATGGGCCAATAATTCAGACAGCGCTCAGTAGGGACAGCTCATTTCGGCTCCACCAGGTCTGAGCTTCAGCTATTTGCTTCAAAAGCTGGGCTGGGATCACCAGAAGGTGTGTTTGCCCACAGGTATGGTGGCTGAAGGTCACTGTCAGCTGGGGCCTCAGTTCCTCCCCACTTGCACCCCTCCATGTTGTCCTGGATGACTCTGGGCTTCTTCACAGCAGGGCACCTGCATTTCAAGCACAAATATACTAAAAAAGAGAACCAGAGGTGGTCAAATTCATAGAGACAGAAAATAGAAGGGTGGTCGCCAGGGGCTGGCTGGAGGTGGAATGGGGAGTTGTTGAATAGGGACAGAGTCAGGTTTGCAAGGTGAAGAGGGTTCTGAAGACAGATGGACAACACTGGGAATGTGCTTAACTCTACTGCACACTTAGAAATGGCTAAGATGGGCCGGGCCCGGTGGCTCAGGCCTGTAGTCTCAGCACTTTGGGAGGCCGAGGTGGGCCGATCACGAGGTCAGGAGATCAAGACCATCCTGGCTAACATGGTGAAACCCTGTCTCTACTAAAAATGCAAAAAGCCGGGAGTGGTGGCGGGCACCTGTAGTCCTAGCTACTCGGGAGGCTGAGGCAGGAGAATGGCGTGAACCCGGGAGGCGGAGCTTGCAGTGAACCGAGATCGCTCCACTGCCCTCCAGCCTGGGCGACAGAGTGAAACTCCGTCTCAAAAAAAAAAAATGGCTAAGATGGCAAATTTTATATTCTGTGTATTTTATTGCAACAGAGAGCGAGAGAGAGGGAGAATGAGAATGAATATGAATCAGGAAAGCTTATGCTTTTTATGACCCAGCCTCAGGGGTCACAGCAGCAAATCACTGTTCTCTGTTGGAGAGAAGAGTGAAGCCACAGGTGTGTGTGCCCAGATTAAAGGGTATGGGGGTAGACTCCGCCTCTTGATGGGGAGAGGGAAGGTTCTGGAAGCGCATGTGGAACTGAACATGTTGCTAGGGGCATTCATGAGAAACACAGCCTTCCATTTTGACTTTCCTAATCTCCATTTCCTCAGTTCCCACAAATCTCATTTCTTCCCAGTCTAGCTTTTGCCCTTTACCTACCTGTCTAAATTCATAAATAATGCAGGCTAGGTGCGGTGGCTCAGGCCTGTAATCCCAGCAATTTGGGAGGCCAAGGTGGGGGCGGATCACCTGAGATCAGGAGTTGGAGACCAGCCTGGCCAACATGGTGAAACCCTGTCTCTACTAAAAATATAAAAGTTAGCTGGGCATGGTGGCATGTGCCTGTAATCCCAGCTACTCAGGAGGCAGAGGCAGGAGAATCACTTGAACCTGGGAGGCGGAGGTTGCAGTGAGCCGAGATTGTGCCACCGCACTTCAGCCTGGGCGATAAGAGCGAAACTCCATCTCAAAAAAAAAAAAAAAAAAAAAAAGTGTTCAAACGTATTCAAAAGAAGAGAGACTAATATAATGACCCTCAGTTTCCCAACTTCAATAATTATCAATATTTGCAAATCTTGTTTTATCTGTCCCCCTACTCCCACTGGATAAGTTTGCAGGGATTTCATCTTTTCTGGCCCCTAGAAGCACTAGACAGAGGTGACCACTCCATTCCTCTTGAAACACTGGCTTCCCTTGGCCGTCTCCTAATTGCCGTTTCCTTCTCAGAACTTTCTTTCTCGGCTGGTTTCTGTTATGGTCCTCTCGGAACCTCTAGGTGTTAGAAGACTGCACCTCTTGGTGCTGCTGTTGTTCTTAGTCACCTGTCTTATGCTCTGGAGAACACTCCAGCACTCTTTAGTGAAATTAAGTGCCTGCTCTTCTACCCAGAAACCCCACTGCTGGGTATGTGTCCCAAAGCTGTGTCCTCTGGGTCTGTAGGCGCCTTGTGCAGGCATGAGTCCACACAGCCTTGTTTGGTGTAGCAGGGAGTGGAAGGCAGCCTGGGGGGTCCATAGTAATCATCAGGATCATCAGGACTGTTCTAGAAGTGCCAGCTTTCCTCTCCTGCTGCCACATGCTAGAATGGAACTTCCCTGCCATATGGGGTTAGGTGGAGCCGGGTGACTTATCTGGGCATGGAAATGTGTGCAGAAGTGACGTGTACCACTACCAAATGAGTCAGGGAATGCTTTGCTGTGCCTTTTTGTCTGGCATAGCAAGCGACAGTAATAGAGAGGGCACCTAGGTCCCTGGGTGATAACAAGAGCAGAACCCTCCTGTTGGTCTACAGTGGTCATGCGGTCTGAATGAGAAATGAGCATTTGTGCCTAAACTGTTACTGTCTCAGGAGTGTATGTTACAGCAACATAACCTACTCTATCCTGACTGACGCAGGGAAACATGTAGACACTGGAAGCAATGACAGCACACACACAGCAATGTGCATAGATCTGAGAAACAGAGCCGGGTGAGGAAGACACAGAATGAGATCTGTAAGCATATCATTTGTGCCAATTAAAAATAATGGGCCCTTTGGCTGGGGATGGTGGCTCATGCCTATAATCGCAGCACTTTGGGAGGCCAGGGCAGGCAGATTGCTTCAGCCAAGGAGTTCAAGACCAGTCTTGGTGACACGGTGAAACCTCGCCTCTACTAAAAATACAAAAATTAGCTCAGCATGGTGGTGTGTGTCTGTAGTCCCAGCTACTCACGAGGCTGAGTGGGGAGGATCGCTTGAGCCTGGGAGGTCAAGGCTGCAGTGAGCTGAGATTGCGTCATGCACTCCAGCCTGGGTGACAGAGTGAGACCCCGTCTCAAAAATAAATAAAATACATAAATAATAAAAACAATGTGCCCCAAACAATGTACATGTTTTTCAATAACACAAAGAGAAGGAACATATCAGACATACTGGAATTGCTGCCTACAGGCAAAGAGAAGTGCAGCTAAGGGGAATAAGTAAATAAATAAAACAAGCACCTTGCACACACCAGTGAAAGTCTGGCCACAGAATGAGGAAGATAACGATTCCCACCTCCGGAGATCCAATAGGGGGGAAAAGATCACTGCTGTGTATCTCCTCCCTGGGGCATCCAGTAATACCAGTTAGGCCTTTTAAGCATATTCACACAAAGATACATTCTCCCCTCAACACCACATGCACACTAACCGCCTTTTAATAGAAATAGAAGCACGCCAGTGAATACACTGCTCAGCCCGTTGCCTGCTTCTCAGCCTGTGACGGTGAGGTTGGAAGCTCTGAAGCTTGGGACAGGCTTTGTCACAGACTGAAAAAGAGATTTGGTCTAGGGGAATGAGGCCAAATGCAGATATACACCCTTGCTCTTTACAGAGTATTAGGAACCTTTCAACTAATTTTGCCTTTTGTTTAAGGTATTTTATATTGCATTTCTGTTACATATAACAAATCCCGACTAATACATCTGAATGCCCCTTTGATCATATATTAAATTTCCATAAACTTTGGCCTGTTTCTGGTCTTCTGTTTTGTTCCCAGGCTCTGTCTGTTCCTGTACTAGAACCACACTAGAACGTGTTATAATATGTGTGATATCTGGTAGGGCAACCCCATGGCCAACAGCCTTCACTGTTGGAATTCTATTTGCTATTCTCTGAGATAATTTATTCTTCCAGATGAACTATAAGATGATTTTGCCACATTAAAAAGATCAGGTTACTCTGGGGTTGCATTAAATTTAGAGTTAACTTAGAGCAGAGCTGTCCGATCTCTTGCCTTCCCTGGACCACACTGGAAGAAGAATTGTCTTGGGCTGCACATAAAATATACTAGCAATAGCTGGTGAGTTAAAAGAAAAATCTCCTAATGTTGTAAGACAGTTTATGAATTTGTGTTGGGCCACATTCAAAGCTGTCCTGGGCTGCATGTGCATGGCTAATTTTTGCATTTTTTGTAGAGACAGGGTTTTACCATGTTGGCCAGGCTGGTCTCGAACTCCTGACCTTAAGCGATCCTCCTGCCTTGGCCTCCAAAAGTGCTGGGATTACAGGCGTGAGCCACCATGCTTCATCTGGGATTTAAAAAATGACTGCCTTACACACACGCACACGCACACACACACTCTTGCACACACCCCACACACACTGTTATACACACCCATACTCACACACATTCATACAACTGTGGCCCTTGGCAGGGCTGTTGCTACTTCCTGTCAAAGTAGCGAGTGAGCAGGCAGGTGAAGCTCCCCTCCACCAGGCAAGGTCTTGGACGGTTCCTGAGGGTTAAAAGCTGGGCTTCTGGAACCAAAGTGGGGCTGGAACCCCAGCTCTGCCCGTGAGCTGCTCCCTGACTTCTGGCAAGGGACACCTCTCGGAGCCTCAGTTTCTGCCTTTATAAACAGTGAGATTTTAAAATATAATGTAAGGTAGTCTAATATAATATAAATTATATATGGTTTAATATGTAATATGTAATTCACCTTATACAGGTGTAATTATATGATATGAAATATACTGTGTAAATATAAATATGTAGTAATGTAAAAGTACAGTGTTATAATATATAATAAAATATAATGTAGCACAGTATAATATAAATTATATAATTTAATGTAATATATCGAGTTATGCATATATAATTAGAAAATGATATAAAAGTTATACATTTAAATTGAAGTTATGTAGCCTTAATCCATATAATAAAATATAATATATTGTCATATAATATGATATAAATTATATATAACAATATACAATATCATATCACTTTGTACATGTATAATTGTAACACATGAATATATAAATATAAATATGTAGTAATATAAAATATAACAATATTAATAACCTATAACATATAAACTATATAATGTAATATAAATTATATGCAATTTAATATGTAACATATTACATAAGTATAATTACACTATAAAGTATATTATAGAAATACATTTGTAGTAATATGTTAATTTATATTATGTAACAGAAATAGGATTTAAAGCCTCTTAATTGTTATGAGCATTAAAGTATTTCAACAGGGTCTGGCACGTAATAGACACTCAGTGCCTATGAGAATCTTACCGTTGTGGTTGTATGGTGTAAGAATAGCAAGCACTTAAGTAGTACACGTGTGCATGGTAAGTACTCCATCAATGCTAACTTTTATTATTATAGTTAGATAGTATACGAGTATTAAGAGACTTAGAATGGGGCCTGGGCACTCAGTGAGTGTTAAGCTTTTATTATCGTACACCAGGTGAATTTTCTGTGGGGGTTTTCTAAGCTGTACAATCATATCATCCACACGTAATCACAATATTACCTTCTCCTTTCTCATATTTTCGACTTCAATTTTTTTTGGTCTAATTGTGCGAACCATCACTTCCAGACCAAAATTAATAGTGGTGAGAATAGGTACTGTTTTGTTGTTCCTGACTTCAAGAATATTAAGAATATTGCTGGCTGTTGGATCCATACATGCACAGGCACACACATGAAATGACATCAAACAAGCATTTTTTAATTATCATTTTGCCAAGGGCTTTTGTTTAAAAAACAAAACAAAACAAAACAGAAAGGGACTCAATGCTCTTAGATGCCTTTCAACCCTATTAAGCTGCCAAAGGCGTCTTCTCTTTTGACCCATTAACATGGACGGTATATAGGCAAACTTCGTGATACTCATCCTTTGCATTCTATGGTAAGCCCTTTCGCTATAGTCTGCATTTTGTTTGCTATGATTTAGAGCTTACTTTGTAAAAAGTGTGTCAAGCATGGGAGAAGGAGACCCAAAGCATCAGTATCATTGTAGGAAAAATCAAATGAGCAAGAAGCAAAGCCCAATATGGCAGCATTCTTCTAAATGTTACCATTGTTGAACTAGCGCTAACAAATGCATGCAAAAGAAAATTCATTGGCATTGTTTATTTCAAGAGCAGCGACAGAAATTAATCCTCAAAACTCCAATGAATTTAAACTCTCACAGTGAAGATTTGGGTTTCAGAAGATGCACTGAATTATCCATGACAAAGCCCTCACTGTGGTCAGATGTGTAGATCAGTTAATTCTATGTCTTTTTATAATTGCAAAAAAGTGACTTTTTTTTTTTTTTTTTTTTTTTTGAGAGAGGGTCTCACTCTGTCACCCAGACTGGAGTGCAATGGTGCAATCCTGGCTCACTGCAACCTCTGCCTCCTGCGTTCAAGTGATTCACCTGCCTCAGCCTCCCGAGTAGCTGGGACTATGGAACTACAGGCACGTGCCAGCATGCCTGGCTAATTTTTGTATTTTTAGTAGAGGCGGGGTTTCGCCATGTTAGCCAGGCTGGTGTCAAACTCCTGACCTCAAGTGACCTGCCCACCTCGGCTTCCGAATGAAAATTTAAATGTTTATTTGAGGTAAGCAAGTGAAAAAGCTTTTTTCTTTCTTTTTTTAGACATAAAGAAATAAAAGACTCAGCATTTATTTTCAACCTACGTACTGCCTTTGTGGAATCAAGTTTCACTGAGACTTGAACATGACTTGAGTGAACTTATATTGTCACAGGCTCTCAAAAGAATTCTTGGCCCACACCAAGAATTTCAATGGTTTCTCCACTACTATTAGTTCTTAGTAAAAGTAAAAACCTTAAGGCAAATGATAAACTACTATTACAATTTCAATTTATTGCTGAAACTGCTATGAGAATATTTTAACTTCTATAGGAAGGTAACAGAAATGCTTATAGTTGTGGATGAAGGCAATTATATAATTCCATGTGGGATAATTTCTCGGTTGTACAATGAGCTATAATTTTATGGGTAAAGGCTTAACACTTTGTTGTCATGTACTGTTGCTGTAAATTGAACCAGGTAAAGCAAGTTTAATTCACAGCAACAGTACTTGCAGGTAATCAATTTTTGCATTTCCACTTCTAATTAAGAAAAGGCCTCTACTCTTTTGTGCAATTTAGCCATTTCTGCATTCAATTCTTGTTCCTAGAAACAAATAAGAATTATTCTAGCTATTCCAGTGATGATAATTCTCTTCTTTGAGAAGATGAGTAAACTTTAATATTTCCTTAAAATTTTGCATATCAGCAGTCTGGTTTCTCCCTCAGCTTTTACCATTTCTCATTAGGAGCCTCTGTTTCTTTGACTGATAGCTTTTTAAGGCCAATCTAAGTATGATCTGGTACAAAAAGTTTTTCGGTTTGGAATTAAGGATAACATTTTAGTACCCAATTAGCTGAATGAAACTAGATTAAAGAGCTCCCCCATACTTTAGGAGGCCAAGACATTTCAATCTCAAGAGCCATCAGAAAAAAATTTGTCATTCTGAACACTGCTACTGAAGGCTATAATTCAGACGGAAGGATGAAACTGAGAGAGGGAAATATTGAATAACTACAGATTTACCAAATGCAATGTGATTTTTAGTGATCCTTCAGTTTCAAATCATAAAAACCTAAAGAACGCAGTTCAGAATGCCCTCCCTGGCCAGTTCCTACAATTTCCAAGAATGCTGTTTGCTAATGAGCTATAAAATACTAAAGCAAGTACCAATCAGGGGATAAATGATGGGAAAACACAAAAGCATTCTTAACCTTTGCTCCAGGAGCTGTTTGGTAATCCCAACCCTGCACTCAATTTTCCATTTCTCAATGTCTTTCTTCCCTCAAACTCCATTTGATGGGACACTCTGTTTCCTTTGAGACAACCTGACCTTGGGGAACAGGGTCACAATATTTTTTCTTTATTTCTCTCCTTTTGGAAAAAGAGAAGAACCAATTCTTATCTCTGGTTCATGGATCCTTATTTCTATTGGCTGATCTCAATTTTTCTCAAACTTGAACTTCATCTCTGAAGCAGTGAAGTGTGTATGTGAGGAGGACTGCAGGTAGACGGGGTTCCTAGACTTGCCTTCCCATTATTGCAAAAGCCACCTTGACAAGGCCGTCAATTTCCAGAGAAAAGTGATGGAAACGCCCCCCTATTTCCCCAGTTGGTTCATTTCACATCTCTTCAAGGACTGTTGGCTTTGTGCCAGGCACTGCTTTGGGCTCCACGGATACAGCAGCGCCTTTTATCCCAGACTCTGACACCTGAGCCCTACCCTCCTTCACTCTCCTCTGCATGCAACCCCAAATCCCACCTCCTCCCAGGAAAGTGTGTGTCACCAATTTTGGAAACGGAAGATCCTTAGAGATGCAAGGATCTCTAAGCAGCAAGATGTGAAAGTCATTAATTACAAAAATACAGTTTTGTCTCAAAATGTATGCTGGAAATTTGTGGTGTGCCCCAGGGCCTTCCTCGTGGGGGCATCTGCCACCTCAAGCTCCTTTCTCCAACCTTCACCCTCTTCCCACCCTTTGAGTCTCAGTTCAAAGATTACCCCCTCAGAGAGTTCTTCCCTAGCAACACCTTCTAAAATGATACCCCTACAACCACCACACCACATGAGCTTGCTGTAGATAAACTTTGTGACTGTCTGAATTATCTTAATTATTTATTTGGTTACCATTGTATCATCTCAGTTCTCCCTCTAGCATGAGAATGGTTTTCTACCCCATTGGCTGCTGTCACCTGACCACCTAGCACAGGGCTTGGCGGATTGTTGAGTGTCTAATAAATACTTGCTGAATGGATAAAAGTCTGTGCTATGACAAAGGATGAAAACATTTGTTCTTAAAATATGAAAAAATTACTCCTAGTAGATTTATACCAAGAAATTACCAGACCATCATGGTGATGAAAGACTAACCCAGAAATTTATATCAATAATCCCCCTCTCCTCTACCTCACCAAGCCCCATATAGATGAAACCCCACTTTGGAAATGTGATTTGCCTCACAGTACAGGGAATGCCCCATTTGAACAAAACCAGCCTGTCCTGGGCACCATCATCTTGTTCAGCCTTAGCCCTAAGGAGGCACTCAACAAAGTTGTGGTTGGGAAAAAGATCTCCTAAACAACATATTATCCATCATTCAGCAACACCACTGCATTTCTTTCCAATCTTACAATCTTGGGTGTTTTCTTGAATCAAGCACCTTGCGTTGGGGGTTTTCTCTCTGTTCAAATCCCCCCTCCTTCTGTCTCTGTATGGGGGAGCTGTTTTCTTGTTCCTTCTTTCTTGCCTGTTAAACTTATTCTCCTTAAAAGCAAAAAAAAAAATGTGTCTTGGGTTAGAATTTAAAGTTGCAGGAGCCTGGCTACCTGGGTTTGAATCTGGACTCTACCACTTATTAGCTATGTGATCTTGAACCAAGGAAGTTGTTCAACTTTCTTTCTTTCTTTCTTTCTTTCTTTTTTTTTTTTTGAGACAGAGTCTCACTCTGTTGCCCAGCCTGGAGTGCAGTGGCATGATCTTGGCTCACTGCAACCTCTGCCTCCTGGTTGGAGCAATTCTCCTGCCTCAGCCTCCCTATAGCTGGGACTACAGGTGTGCACCACCATGCCCGGCTAATTTTTGTATTTTTAGTAGAGATGGGGTTTCACCATATTGGCCAGGCTGGTCTTGAACTCCTGACCTCAGGTGATCCACCCACCTCAGCCTCCCAGAGTGCTGGGATTACAGGCGTGAGCCACTGCGCCTGGCCAGTTGCTCAACTTTCTACTCCTTGGTTTCCTCATCTGTAAAGCAAGGATAAAAACATCTTGAGTTATTCCCTGTAAAGTGCTTAAATTAGGGACAGGTAGATAGTAGGCTCTCAACAACATAGTTGCTCTTACTATTAATCATCATTCCTTTTTTTTTTTTTAGACAGGGTCTCACTCCATTGCCCATGCTGGAGTATAGTGGCTCCATCTTGGCTCACTGCAACTTCCACTTCCTGAATTCAGGCGATCCTCCTGCTTCAGCCTCCTAAGTAGCTGGGACTACAGATGCATGCCACCACGCCCAGCTAATTTTTTTTTTTTTTTTTTTTTTTTGTAGAAAGACGGGGTTTTGCCATGTTATCCAGGCTGATCTCGAACTTCTGGACTCAAGTGATCCACCCGCCTTGGTCTCCCAAAGTGCTAGGATTACAGGCATGAGCCACTGTGCCTGTCCTAGTGTCATCATTAACATTGGAAGTTTTAAAAACGTTAATCTGGAAATGTAAGATTTTTCTTTCTCTTTTTCTTAATTTGTTTTACTTTATTTTATTTTAGAGACAGGGTCTTGCTCTGTTGCCCAGGCTGGAGTACAGTGGAGTAGCTCACTGCAGCCTCAAACTCCTGGCTTCAAGGGATCCTACCACCTTTGCCTTCTAAATTACTGGGATTACAGGTATAAGCCACTGCGCCTGGCCCCTTGTTTGTAAACTTTTGCTTAAAATAGCCAACACATAGAAAATTAGAATAGTGCAATGGACCCCCATGTACTGATCACCCTGTTTTAACAAGCATCACCTCATGGCCAATCTTGTTTCACCTCCACCCTCCTATCAGTGGTGTGCTGGAGCTGACTGTGCCCATCTCTTCCCAACTCCATATCCAATGGCATACTGCTGGGAGTTTGAAATCAATCACAGTGGGGGATTTACACCATGGGAATTGGCAAACACTAACATCAAGGCTCCCCACGGTCACCCACTTACCACAGGAGAGCCTGTAGCAAAACAATTTCCAGCATGGCTCCAACTCCTGCCTTCACCCCACTGTATGATTTTGGAACATCATATTATTTTGTTTCAGTAGGTATATCTGAAAGATAAGAATTCATGAAAATCATGATGCTCCTATCCACACAAAAACGTTAACACTAGTTTTCTTAGTATTGTCAAATATCCAGCCATTGTTTAAATTTATCTGATGATTTCATACTTTTTAAAAAATAGTTGGTTTGTTCAAATCAGAAGGTTTATAATATGGGGATGCAATCAGCAAAATCTGGAATATGGAAAACTCTAGAGGACAAACAACTCAGTTTCTGAGTTGGAATCGTATAAGGGGCGAGAAAAAGAGAAGAGGTAACCCACAGATGACACGGGATTTAGGAGATGAATCAGCCAAATGTAACATGGGGACCGTACGCAAGCAGTAGTCTCTTGTATTTTCTTCTTCTTCTTCTTCTTTTTTTTTTTTTTTTGAAATGGAGTCTCGCTCTGTCTCCCAGGCTGGATGGAGTGCAGTGGCACTATCTTGGCTCACTGCAACCTCTGCCTCCCAGGTTTAAGGGATTCTCCTACCTCAGGCTCCTGAGTAGCTGGGATTACAGGCACATGCCACCACATCCAGCTAATTTTTGTATTTTTAGTAGAGATAGGGTTTTACCATGGTGGTCAGGCTGGTCTCGAATTCCTGACCTCATGATCTGCCCGCCTCGGCCTCCCAAAGTGCTGGGATTACAGGTGTGAGCCACCACACCCAGCCTGTATTTTCTTCTTAAAGCTTTCTTGTTTTACCTTTCACATGCTATTGATTAAAAAAATTTTTTTCTTTTTAAGAGACGGGGTCTTGCCATGTTGCCCAGGCTGGTCTCCAATTCCTTGGCTCAGGCAATCTTCCCACCTTAGCCTCCCAAAGTGCTGGGATTACAGTCATAAGCCCCTGTGGCCAGCCTGCTATTGATTTTTTAAAATATTATTATTATTTTAGAGATGGGGTCTCGTTGTTGTTGCATAGGCTGGAGTACAGTGGCACAATCATACCTCACTGCAGCCTCGAACTTCTAGGCTCAAATGATCCTCTTGCCTCAGCCTCCCAAGTAGCTAGGACTATAGGCATGCACACTGTGCCTAGGCTGGTATTGATTTTTACATGTTAATCTTATAAATCTGTACTTTGTACTTTACTAAATCCTTTCACTTTTTAGTAATGATTTTTCCGTGGATTTTTGGAGGGGAGAGTTATAATAATAATCACCTGTTATTTTTATTTTTTTTTGCAACAGGGTCTCACTCTGTCACTGAGGCTGGAGTACAGTGGCATGAACATGGCTCACTGAAGCCTCGGCTTCCTGGGCTCAAGTTGTCTGGCCACCTCAGCCTCCCAGGTAGCTGGAACTGCAGGCATGTGCCACCACATCTGGCTAATTTTTTAATTTTTTTTTTTTTTTTTTTTTTTGGGACGGAGTCTCACTTTGGCGCCTAGGCTGGAGTGCAGTGGCGCGATCTCAGCTCACTGCAAGCTCCGCCTCCGGGGTTCACGGGACTACAGGCGCCCGCTAGCACGCCCGGCTAATTTTTTTGTGTTTTTAGTAGAGACGGGGTTTCACTGTGTTAGCCAGGATGGTCTTGATCTCCTGACCTCGTGATCCACCCGCCTCGGCCTCCCAAAGTGCTGGGATTACAGGTATGAGCCACTGCACCTGTCAAAAAGATAGTTTTGCTTCTCCCCTTCCAATTCTAGGTCTCTCATTGCTTTCTTTTGCCTAATTGAATTGGCTTATTCATCTCATACAATGATAAAGAGAGTGATGATGTGAGGCATCCTTGTGTTTCTTGTTTCTTATTCCTGACATTAGTGGAAAAGCTTTTAGAAGCTCCTCATTAATTAAAATGTTGACTTTTGGAGATTTTATTTATATACATGATATATACTGTACTAAGTATATATAGATATGTGGTATATATAGAGAGAGTCTTTATATTAGAAAAGCATCCATTCATTACTATTTTGTTGGATTTCTAAAATATGAATCAGTATTAAATTTTGGCATATATTACTGTATTTGTTCATATTGAACAAACCTTGAATTCCTAGAATAAATCTTACCAGGCATGATGTATTATTTTTAATGTAATATGGAATTATGTTTGCTTATATTTTAAAATATTTATATTGATATTCATAAGTGAAATTAATCTGTAATTTTATTTTTGGGTGCAATCTTTGGCATGTTTTGGAATCAGTGGTATACTTTATAAAAATAATTTTGAGGTTTTCCTTTTATTATGTTATGGTCTGGAATAATATAAGTAGCACAGGGATTATTTGACTTTTAAAGGTTTAATATAATTCCCCTGTGAAACCACCTGGGCCTGGTGCCTTTTTCCTTTTCCTCATTAAAAAAAAAAATATATATATATAATACATGTACTAAAAAGTTCCAAATCCTAAGTGTACAGTCAAATGAATTTTCTCAAATGGGATATATTTGTTTAACCAGCATTTAGATCAAGAATAGAAACTTGCTAGCACCCCAGAAGTTTCCCTCATGTTTCCTTCTTGTCATTAGCTTCCCATCCCAGCGAGAGTCTGGAGCCTTTTTGTCATGGAGGCCTCTCACTGTGCTTTGTGTTTTTCTATGGTAACTGGTCAGCTTAGATTTATGATGTCTCTGCTGGGGTCAATTTTGGTAAGAAGTATTTTTTTGGATGATTTTCTATTTCATCTAGGCTTTCTAACTTATTTACGTAGAATTATGCAAATTGTTCTCTTATGACTTGAAAGGGTTTTATTCCCCCTAATATCTTCCCTAAGCCTTAAAACTACAGGCATTGGATATGTTTTTTTCAGATGTTCCGTCAAGGTGCATACAACAGGAAATTATAAATCCCTCTCAACCGGGCGCAGTGGCTCACGCCTGGAATCCCAGCACTTTGGGAGGCCGAGGTGGGTGGATCACCTGGGGTCAGGAGTTTGAGACCAGCCTGACCAATATAGTGAAACCTCAACTCTACTAAAGATACAAAATTAGCTGGGCGTGGTGGCGCATGCCTGTAATTCCAGCTCCTTGGGAGGCTGAGGCAGAAGAATTGCTTGAACCCAGGAGGCGGAGGTTCCAGTGACTGAAGATTGTGCCATTGCACTCCAGCCTGGGCAACAAGAGCGAAACTCCATCTCAAAAATAAAAATAAAAATAAAAAATAAAATCCCTATCTATGTGTGTATGCATAATAGTGTTATTGAAAAGATACAGCCAGGTTCAGTGGCTCATGCCTGTAATCGCAGTCCTTTGGGAGGCTGAGGTGGGTGGATCACTTGAGGTCAGGAGTTTGAGACCAGCCTGGCCAACGTGGTGAAACCCCATCTCTACTAAAAATACAAAAAATTAGCTGCGCGTGGCAGTGGGCATCTGTCGTCCCAGCTACTCTGGAGGCTGAGGCAGAAGAATTGCTTAAACCTGGGAAGTAGAGGTTGCAGCATACTAAGATCACGCCACTGCACTTCAGCCTGGGCAACAGAGTGAGACTCTGTCTAAAAAGACAGAAGAAGGAAGGAAGGAAAGGAAGGGAGGGAGGGAGGGAGGGGAGGGGAGGAAGGAGAGAAGGAGGGAGGGATACTTTTCTATCTGTTACTTTTACTTTTCGAAGTACGCATATATAGCTGGGTATCTATGTGTATTTCACATGGTGAAGCATGAATGAAGAGGCCTCTATGAAACACTGACAAAAAGAGGACAAAAGAGATTAGTTTGGGTTGTCTCTCCCTTCCTCTTCTGCCTTCAGCTGTTCTGTGATACTGTCTTGCAACCATGAGAGAGAAGCCAAGAGAATTGTGGACACATTAGTCCTGCCATTGATGAGCTGCTGAAATAACAGGAACCACCTACCTCTAGAATTCTTGATAAGTGGATATAAACTTCTGTTTGTCCGTGCCACTCTGGGTCAGGATTCTGTTACTTGCAGCTGAATGCATTCTTAACTGATACGGTAAATAAAATAGGCAAAATGAGAAGACTTGGTGTTCGTAGCATATGCATGCATTTTTTAATGTGGGAAAATTATCCTAGAGATGCAAAGTCCTCCAGCTCTGAAATAGGAACCTGTGTAACAATTACTTAAATTAAGTGCTTATTGCAATGACCTTTTTAGTGTAACCTTTATTAAAAAGCATAATTTGCTTAAATTATTCACAATGCTTTAGATATGATTTACCTTTTTCATGTTTGAGCTAACTACTGCACAATGGGATAGGACCTGTTGTACAAATGATGGGATGGTTTTTAATAGGGCTTTGAAAGGATTAAATGAGATCATCCATATACAGAGTGTAGAACAGTACCTGGCACATAGTAAAGTCCTCCAAAAATGTTTATTATTATTATTATTATTATTATTGAGACAGAGTCTCGCTCTGTCACCAGGCTGGAGTGCAGTGGCACGATCTCAGCTCACTGCAACCTCTGCCTCCCAGAGGCAGATTCTCCTTGCCTCCCGATTCTCCTTGCCTCAGCCTCCTGAGTAGCTGGGACTACAGGCACCTGCCACCACGCCTGACTAATTTTTTGTATTTTTAGTAAAGACAGGGTTTTACCATGTTGGCCAGGATGGTCTCGAACTCCTGACCTCAGGTGATCTGCCCGCCTCGGACTCCCAAAGTGCTGGGATTACAGGTGTGAGCCACCGCACCTGGCCATTAATTATGTTTTAATAACAATTTTAAATAATGATGTTAGCTATTAGTACTTGATGGCTGGCTGCTTCTCATCCTTCACATTCTCAGAAGAAAATGTACTACATCAGAGAGGCCCTCCCTAGCTGTTCCATCTAAAGTGAAATCCCTCCTCAAATATCTCCCATTCCCCACTGCCTGCATCCTGCTTATTGCTTCAGAGATTTTGTCACCATCTGTAATTCTTTTTATTATTTATTTAGTAAGTGTGTGTCTCTCTCGCTAGAACATGAACCCCATGAGATCAGGATTCCCACTGGCTGGCATGGATCCCATAGTCTCTATGTATTTATTGAGTGAAAAGATGACCAAAGCCATCCAAGAAAGTACTATAATAAGAGGATGCCATGGTCTACATAGAAGGGCTATGCAGATGTGGCCATTTTGGGAGGCATAATTTTGTGCACATTTAAGTAAAAGTGGAGGTAAATAAAAATTCTGTCCAATTCTAGACCCTTCTCATACTGTGAAGGGCCCTAATGGTTTATTATTATCATGTTCAATCCAAAAGGTCAATGAATAGTCATTTATAATATTTGGTTTACACATCTCTACAAAGTGTGGTGCAAATCGCTACCTTTAGAAAAATAGGTTGCTTTGCACTTTAATAGAGATTTAAACGTCAGATTAAATTTTTTTTTTTTTTTTTTGAGATGGACTCTTGCTCTGTTGCCCAGGCTGGAGTGCAGTGGCGCGATCTCAGCTCACTGCAAACTCTGCCTCCCGGGTTCACGCCATTCTCCTGCCTCAGCCTCCTGAGTAGCTGGGACTACAGGTGCCCGCCACCACACCCGGCTAATTTTTTGTATTTTTAGTAGAGAGGGGGTTTCACCCTGTTGGCCAGGATGGTCTCCATCTCCTGACCTCGTGATCCGCCCACCTCGGCCTCCCAAAGTGCTGGGATTACAGGCATTCAGATTAAAAAAATCTTTTTTTTTAAAATGGCTTCTTGTAATCAAAGATTTAAATGAAAGTCTTTATAATTTTTTGTTTTTTGAATATCCTAAAATTTAGATTTGAAAATAGCTCTGTAGAAGTTTTGCTTGGCACCAGGGTCAGAGGGAAAAGGGAAACAAAAATGTTTTAAATAGCAGCAATGAAGCCTAACATAGGGAAGCAAGTCTCAAACGCAACGGGGTGACTGGTGGGGACAAAGCCCTGACCTGGTAGGGAGGCAGGAGTATGGCCAGTGCCACGGTCTGTGGGAAGAGGCCCCACTCACCCACCTGGCTGTGGAATCCCATGGTGACCTGCAGGATTTTCGATGGGGGTCACAGGTCATGGACTCCTGATAACTGACATAATGGGAAGAACACCAGGAGACCTTTTTCTCTTTTCTCCTGCATCTTCCAGGACAACAGTATCTTGTAGGGACCAAGCAGTGGCCTTTGGCTACTTGAGTTTGAAGCGCATCTTCCCTGCTCACTGGAGACGTCTCTTGGGGTCTCTCTGGGCCTCTTTTACTCATTGTCAAAATAGCAGCTGAACCTATCCCATTGGGTAATGGCTAGCACTAGTAGATACCTGATAACTGTGACTTTTGTGACCCTTCTTCTAGAAGATACCATGAAGTCTCTGTCAGTTATGACCAACAAGGTGGGGTTCTGTGGTATCATTTTCCTTGGCATCTCTGGCCTGGGAATTTTGTGTTTTCTAATTTTGATGGATATGTGGCTAGAGCTGTGACAATCTCATGTGGATTATGCTAAGAAGGTTCCAGAATTTCTATGTAAAAGGGACATACAGGGAGCCATCTTGGAAGAGGAGCTAGGGGCTGGAGTTCAACCTTGATTTTCACTGAGCACAGCCTTTACCTGGATGAATGTTTGTGTGGCACGCTGGTCTTGTGGTTGCACTTGATAGCCACTGTCCAGGTTTTATGTGTGTTTATTTGGGGTGCTTTGGAGGATTATGGGAACTTGTGGGCTAGTCTTTCAGCTGTATTTGCATAGCAAGCCCCGATTTTTACTTGGATTTTATATTTGGGGGGCTTTTGAGGGCTTTGTACTAAAAATTGCATAGCAAGAACATGTGGACTGAATGTTACGTGAAAGTTGGATGGAGATGCAGGTATTTGCTACTTTTCTGCACCCCCGTGGGGCTCATCGCTCACCTCTGGTGAGCTACACTATATGATTAATTTGGGTGAGAGTAATTTGATCTGGAAACTAGAATAGGAAGTGGATTTGGGACCTGGATTACAGAATGAACTTGAAGTCCCATTTGGCCAGCTTCAGAGGGCACCATCGTTGATGCTGATCACTTCCTCCCACCCTTCCTGGAAGCCACCCAGGAAGTGACCACATATGAGACTACACCTTGGGGGATAAGCGTAGGGGTGAAAGTCTAGGGAACCCACAGGACCTCAGAAATAAGCCACACTTCAACCCGTGAGTGTGGACCCCCATCCCCACTCCCAATTATGGTGAATATTTATGAGTGATGTCCCACATATCCCCAGAGGCTTATTATTTGTATTTAAGTTGCATGCTTATATACTGTGCCCATTTTTCTGATGGTTTTGCTTATTAATTCATAAGAACTCTTTGCTTATTAGGGAAGTAAACCCTTTGTTAAATTTCTACCTGACCCAGGCCCTTCCCCCATTCAAATTTTACGTGTGATTTTCGTTTTTATAGTCATCCCCAACCCCGTTATGGCCTTTAGGTCTTAGGTTATGCTGCAGAGAGGCCCTTTAAAAACCCAAGGTTTTAATTATAAAATAGCCACTTTAAAAAGTACCTCTTTTATTTAGATGTATGTGATCAACTTATGTCAAATTCATTTTGGTGTGTGCAATGAGGTAGGGATCCAGCCTCAATTTTCCCCAAATGGCTACACCATTTCTTGAATAACCCCATTGATTGGAAACACTGTGCTCCTCTATTTCTCCTCCACATAATTTAGTCCCTATCTTATCTTATAGCAAAACATACACTACTTTTCTTGGGAAGCCTGGGTCAGCAGGCAAACTGTGTGATGACGTAACGGTGTGAGTTGTTGGTAGAATCTTTGGATAGGATGGCAATGATCAAAATGCAGAGGTGACTGACTGGGGCATAGTGGTTCACTATGGGGTGAAATTTAGGAGGAACAGGAGTGGACTTTTCCTATTGTCTGCAAATTGTTTCAAGACACCTACAGATTAGGGTCACCAGAAAACATACAGTGGTGAGATTTTATACCCACTTCACCTTGGGGCCTCCCAACTTTTGACCTAAGGACCAAGTCAAAACCATGAATGACGGGAATTTGCTCAGAACCACAAATAACTCACGGGAGTCCCATCATTCTTTGCTCACATTTAATTTTTATTTTGATTTTTTTTAATGCTGCACAACACAATATTTATTTCATTTGTTTCTTTTATTTCATTTTATTTGTTTGCTGCTGCTGTTTTATTTATTTTTACTGAAAGTGAGAGGGAACTTTTGTGGCCTTTTTTCCTTTTTCTGTAGGCCGCCTTAAGCTTTCTAAATTTGGAACATCTAAGCAAGCTGAAGGGAAAAGGGGGTTTCGCAAAATCACTCGGGGGAAGGGAAAGGTTGCTTTGTTAATCATGCCCTATGGTGGGTGATTAACTGCTTGTACAATTACGTTTCACTTTTAATTAATTGTGCTTAAGGCTTTAATTAAATTTGGGGGTTCCCTTCTTAGAGCAGCTCGTACTGACGAAGGTGCATGCGCTGAATGATGTCACGGCAGTCGTTGAACACACGGCGGATGTTCTCAGTGTCCACAGCGCAGGTGAAATGAGGGTAGCAGTAGTGACGCCCATCTCCACTGGCAGTGCTGATCCTCTGCGGGCACAAACAAGGGGACTTGTCAGTGACACCCTCGCCAGGAACCACCCTATCCCTGATGGGGACACCTACCAGGGACGGCTGTCAGCCAGCCTCTGATGTCATATGAAAACAAAAGCAAAAAGAGGGGCGCAAAGAGCTCAAATCCACACTGGATGTGCGTGAACTAAAACCATGGAACTGGGTAGCTGAACCCCTGAATTTGGAATTAAGTAAATTTACATCCATGAGAAAAAGAGGAGGAACAAGAGAGGAAACTAAAGACAGGCTCGACTCACCAGAAACTCATCTCGAATGAAGTACTTGGCCCGGGTCACGCGTGGGTCCTCTCCGGGCTCGGGAGTAGCTATATAAAAAGGGAATACATATTAATGTAATTTAAAATTCAAGCAGAGCTGGGGTGCTAGCATCTCTGTAGCTCCTGAAGTCTTCAAAACCCTGATTTTTCCATATGAGAATTAGTGGGAGTGCGTTTTTCTTGCTTCTCTTATAGATCCTTTATGGTTTGGTGGTGGGAGGGGGATGGGGGTTTTCAGCCTGACCGTTTGAAAAAGAACCACCGCAATGAACAGCCAGCAAGAGTGGAAGCCATACACACCATCCTCAGGAGTAGTGTAGCGAGCAAATTCTGGAAAGTAGTCCTCAATCTTCGATTTCCCAGCAAGGACTTTCTCAGCGAGCAGATCTTGCTTGTTGAGGAACAGGATCACAGAGATGGTGCGCAGCCATCTACAAGAAGGGAGGCCGTGTGAATGCTTGGGAGAAGCGCGCTTTCGGCCAGGGGTCTGGAATGCTTGCACGGGGTTCTTCTCTATAAACAGTGCAGACCAGGGCCTCCTGGGCAAGCGCAGGGGGTGGGCGGTCACTCCACAAACCTGTTGTTCCAGATGCTCTTGAAGAGGTTCAGAGCCTCCTGCAGGCGGTTGGTCTGGTTGTCCTCCCGGATGACCATGTTGTAGCTGCTGCTGGCCACCACGAAGATGATGGCAGTCACATCTTAACCAAAGAGAGCAAAGCCAAGAGCGTGAGCAGCGACCCTGATCCCTAACAACACAGAAGCAAAGCGTTCTTTACGAACAGCCAAGCCCACAGCATCCTACCGTTGAAGCACTGGATCCACTTGCGGCGTTCATCGCGCTGGCCACCCACGTCAAACATGCTGGTGGGGAGGAGGACAGCTGGTTATTCCAGAGGGACTGGGGTGAATGTCAAGAAACCATGATCTCTGTTATATAAAAAGGTAACAGTTGGCTTACTGGAAGTTGACTTTGTCCACCTGGAACTTGGTCTCAAAGATTCCAGAAGTCAGGACACGGCAGCGAAGCAGGTCCTGAAACAAAATTGAGGTCAATGGATCTCACCAAAGCCAACCGAAACAGTAATAATTGCCAATCTAAAGCAAAGGTCTGGAGTAGTTTGGAAAGAGGGCTCAGAGTCCTCTGGTGGGGAGGGGTTTTGCACACCTGATCGCTCGGCACATAGTCAGCCTGCTTGATCACGTCGATCTTGTCCAGGAAGCTGGGAGAAAAAGAAAGACACGTGGGGTGTTCACAGCGCTCACATCAATTTGCCAACTATTTGTGTCTCTCTACAAGGTCAGGCTCAACGGAAGTGACCGTCCCACAGTTATGCAGCACTAAGTCAATGGCACATTTGCTTGTGTGTTGGTTACATTTGTAACTCAAAGCTGATGCCTTAAGAAGGTTAGGGCAAACAGGATTTAAGATAAATAATTTTAGGAATCAGGGAACTCTAGATGCGTCTAGCAGCTAGCCTGTGGCCTCGACGCAGTGGGGCCACACAAACAGCACAGCACGGTGGTGGGGCTTTGTTCTTCGTGTTTATTTTTATTTTTTCTATTTTTCTTTTTTATTCTTTACTTAGCTTCTTTATTCCTGTTGCTCTCTGGCAATATTCTTGATTTTTAGAAGGTTTTATGCATATCAACCAGTAGAGAAAGGACCCCAAAACCAGGCTGGCCTATCACATTCTGTGCCATTTGGTAATGCCTGACAAAAACATTTTAATTTTCAAATTGCTTGATTAAAATGGCAAACAGTTTGAAAATTGTATACCTCTATATCATTCAGTTAAAAAACAATAAAGTGACATTCTTAAAAACATCAAGGACTTTCCCCTCAAGGGCACACGAGATTGTTTTAGTTACTGAGAATCTGTATCCCTTCCTTTTTACTTTTTAAGAATCTCATTGATTAAAGAGAACAAAAGAGGTTGGCACAAAGGGGCCCTTCTCGCCCTAGCCATCCTGAACAGGAAACAAACACAAAGTTCTCTTCCGTTCTGTTTGGTCCATGAAATAGAACACTCCAGATATTACGCTTTTCATTAAAAAAAGCATCTTGTTTGTGTTGCTTGACTAGACACACAGGAAAATTTACTTTTGAAAGATTGGGGTAATTAATATGGAAAATTAATGTTAAAACCAGTTATTTTTTGGAGGGAGGGGCATGTAGAGATTGGAATTGTTTTAAAGCGGGCTAACGAGAAAAGAAAATCATAAAGAGAGAAAAGTTTATTTAAAGAAACTGCCTAAGTTTTCTGTTCCCCTCTTCCTTTTTACTAGTTCAGAGTTAGTCTGGCTTAGAGGATATACTAACTTGCCCAATCAATCTTACATTACAGCACCAGTCCAGAAATAGCTCCCCAGCCGCCCTGGCCTCCAGCATGTTACCATGGCAACAGAACCACAGTTCTATAAATAGATCATCAGCACCAAATCTTGTGAGAGAGACATCTGGAGTGGAGCCAGCCAAACCCCAGCTCAACAAATAAAAATAGACAGCTTAAGAAATGGGCACACTACCAGTATCTGAACTTTAACATAAAGGCAGTTCAACCAGAAACGTGCCGGCCACGGCAGATGCAGGGCTGTTTGAGCCACGGGTGAGGGAGGACATTTTAAAAGTTTTAAGCTGCGTTGTTCTCTTTTTCTCTGAGTTTCCTTAAAACTTTTCATGATCTATACAAATGGTGCGTTTTCAGACAAAGTTTCAGGAGTAATTAAGTGTTGCTTAAAAAAACCCCAAAAACTTCTAAATGATTTGAGAGAGAAAACGAAACCCGACAAAATTCAACAATCTGGCTAAGCTACTGTTAATTAACGAAACTGGGTCTCCCTGCCCCCCCAGCATTCAAAACTGGGGTGGTTAAACTCTCTTAATCTTGTACCTGTACTTAACTTCTGACTTGGATCCAAAATACAAAATGCAAACAATTCCAGGATTTCCATTTGTTTTGCGTTACTATAATTAGCGCTTCCAGCTTTTGGTTCGAACTTTTGAGAAAATCAGGGACTTTGTTGAAGAAGGAGTGGGGGCTGGGGGCCATAGGGACCAGCCAAGATGGACTGTTTTTTTCTGTTCCTTGAAAAAATATACACATTTGCTTGTATATTAAACCGTGGAATATCTATGTATGTGGCAATTGAAAATAAAGGAATTTCCTATGGGAAGGCAGGGCTGGGGTTGATAGATTGCGCAGACCCTAACAGAGGCTTATATGATTTATAGATGAACAGTATTACCTCTTCCTCCCTCCTGTTTATTCAGGTGGTTTTCACAATCAGTTCCTTGGGCTTGAGGCTACTAAGTAAAGCAATCTTAGCCCTTGGTGAGTCAGCCTGGCACCTTGGTTCTGATTAGCTAATACTTCCTATAGCAAAATCAGTTCCGAGTTTCAGCTACTTGTAATAAGGATGGCTAAAACATCAAACCTCTACTAGACTCCCCTGCCCCAAGTCACAGGACACTCCTACTTCAGAATATCATTAACTGAGACTGCTTTGTGCATTTCTGCAGCATCAACAAACAGAAGATATCTTTACATTTTTGGCTGGGCACGGTGGCTCATGCCTGTAATCCCAGCACTTTGGGAGGCCGAGGCAGGTGGATCACAAGGTCAGGAGTTCGAGACCAGCCTGGCCAATATGGTGAAACCCCATCTCTACTAAAAATACAAAAATTAGCTGGTTGTGGCGGCAGGCACCTGTAGTCCCAGCTACTCGGGAGGCTGAGGCAGGAGAATCACTTGAACCCAGGAGGCAGAGGTTGCAGTGAGCCAAGGTCGCACCACTGCACTCCAGCCTGGGTGACAGAGTGAGACTCCGTTTCAAAAAAATAATAATAATGTTTACATATTTTTTAAATAACCCTGACCACCACATGCTTGCTATATCATGTGCAAGATGAGGGAAGCCATAAACTATTTCAAAGGCAACTTTCTAGCTATCGGGTACGATGTCCTCTGGGAGAGACCATGGTGGGTGACAGGGACAGAGGGCGATCCCTGAGGCAATGGTAAGTCAGGTGTTAGGCAGCAAGGGAAGCAGCCTGGGCATCAGGTAGAGTTGTGCAATAAAGTCTGTGTTTTAAGTTCCCCCTTCTTCATTTGCCAACACACCAACCAGGTGAGCCCACCTTTATGAGTGACTTTGGAGAAAGATGCTTTTCCCATTGCTACTGCAGGCCTTAACCTGTCCTCCTCGCAGGTAGTAATTTGTTTTATTTGAAAATAACCCCACCACGGTATTGTACTGCTTAGGTGTACAGTTTAGGATTTAAAATCCATTGACCACTTACCATCCTTGAATCAAGACCCGGTGAGAAGGAATAAATAAGGATATGAAATAGAGTTCAAAAGTCAAGACAACACAAAAACAAACTCTACCTAGAGTCACTAGGATCTAGTAACACTAGGCAGCTACTAGAGTCGCTTACCTGAGAGCAGAAATAGATCAATCAACAACTACCAAGGAGAGAGGAGGCGTAGCTATGTCTTCACCATTCCTCTTTGTTATGTTTTAAAATTACAGCAATAAAATATAGTATTTTTACATTATTCAAAATGTGAGCACAGCCCTATTTCCCTAAATGCTTAGGGTCAATTCAATTAATTACTTCCTACTAATTAGGAATACTATGAAACTCATCATCATTTTGCTCTAACAGGCTTTAAATGTTTATGTAAAATAATGTCGCTGCACTAAAAGAAAAAAAATGCAATTAAGGACTTTATAAATAAACAATTGAATCAGATTAGAACTTTCTGCCAGTGGGGTAACTGGTTGGCTTCTAAGAAAGGAATCATCAACAAGTAACTTTCAAAGCAGGATCACAGGTTTTCATGTTTTCTTGTTTTTGTCTGTTTTATGTGCTGATGGGTTGGGTGGCGGTTACTTACTACTGGGCACAGTCAATCAGCTGGTACTCGTTGGAGCGTTCGTAGCAGGCACGCACTCCTTCATCCTCCCACAGAGCCTTGGCATGCTCATAGAATTCCTGAAAGTGAACACAAGAAAGTTTAGAGAAAGGCAAGAGCTTGAACTAATCAACAACACTGTCATTCAAACCCTGAGACCAGAGTTCCCTATGTGACCGACACTTGGTGTGATTTTGAATTTTGAGCCCAATTAATGAATTAATGCTCACAAAGAACTTTAATTCAACACGTTAAACATATTCAAAAGTTCACGCAATTAGCTGCTGGGTCTTATTGTGAATTACTGGTTTTGGGTAGTTTCTTTTCTCGTGTGTAGGGGGAATGGGGTAAGCTACTGAGTAATTTAGTTTCTTCACAGAATTGTTTAGGAAGAATATACACTAAATGTGTTAGAATATGCCAATAAATGGTTCAATGTTGTGAAAATAAGAAACTTCATTTGTAAGATGTGCTGGGACTAAATTTTCCTCCTGGGAAAATGTGAATCTTACCAAAAAAAATGATGATGGGGGACTTGTAGGTAGGAACATAAAAGTTCAGATGTTAGTAGGACTAATAAAAAGTTATTGTTCTGATACATTTTTAATAGGCTGCTGTTTCCTTTTCCTATTAAATATAGAATCATATTTCAAGAAAGTCAGTGGGTTATATTATACATATTGTGTTTATTGCTTTTTTTTCAAAATAATGCTATTTAAAAAGTTTAGCTATCCATACTAACTATATACCACTAAATTTCTCCAATTTAAGTTTGCAGCCAAGTCCATCTAAAATATACAAACACAAATTCCCACGAAAGCCTGACAAAAGGCAACAATAACTCATTGTTTTAGCTGTAGACAAGTCTCTTCCCTGTGGGTCTTACAAACGCATACATCTTTCCATCTCGTTTCCCGTTCCCCGCTTATAAGCCATTCTCCCCACGAAGGGGCCTAAACTTATATGCTTGGGCTTGAACAGTTTTTTGTTCCCTAAAAGTAGTTCTTTAGGGAGCCAACAGTGTCGTGCATCCAGAGGAAAGTCTTTTCCATATGTTCTATTTTATGATTTTTGAGTTATGATTTAGATATATTTCATTTTTTTTAATAATGAGAAAAGATTTCATTTGCCCCAAGGACTTTAGAAAACTCTTAATAAAAAGGTCACCTGTTTAAAATGAGAATGTCTTCCATTTGGCACTTCACTGAGGCATCCCAAGGTACCTTAGGGCACTTCCAGTGGAGTAAATGGACAATTAGTATTTGTGTGCCATATTTAACATACAGTTTTGTCCTAAGATGTGAATGAGGGAATAATTAAGCCTGCCATAGCTCAGGACCTTTTTCCTCATAAAAATTTACAATCTAATAAAGTGAGATTGTAGTATTCAAGAGTGATGTTTATTTGTGAGGACAGGTGAGCTAAGATGTAGAAGGGGTGACAGAATTTTGCTCATCCATCTTGAACAAAGCCCTAATGATTATTATTATTAAATTAAGGTTACACATGAAATTAACTTTTTCCTAAGGATGGACATCACTGAAATGTAGTTTTGCCTGAAGTGTGGTTTGGATGCTCCTGCCCATGTGCAGGGCTGTCACTCATGTTCCTATATGGACACTGTGCTCAGGTGGGCGGGGCTAAGGCCACACAAGTCGGGGTGTAGCTTACGGGAGGGAAGTCAAAGTCAGGCACGTTCATCACACTCAGGATGTAGTCCACTCTGAACTGGTTCTCGGGGTTGGCCAGCTCCACGGGGGGCACCAGGTTGCTCATGGCGGCCACAATGGTCTGAAAATGATTTAGCAAAGCGGTCAGGGAACAGCACTGGCTGGGAGGGCGCTACAAGACAGACAGCACAAGGAGCCAGCACGTACTTCAATCGCCTCTTTCAGGTTGTTTTTGATGTCCTGCACTTTGGTTGCCTTCTCACTGCAGTGGGATTGAAAAGAAAAGAAAATCATATTGCACCATGTCAGTTAGGAGTACTGCTTTCATAAAGACATCCCGACTAAAAAGCATAGTATTCTGTTCTTCAGGGAGTTGTGGGTTCGGATCTGTGCAAAGATTGGAGGTAGCTGAATAAACATAGTTGCAAATTATAACCTCCCAAATGTGCCCTGAGGACACGCCCAATCGGGGCAGATTAGCAAATTGCCTTAGCAATCATGACTGTACCAGAAGTTGCATGCAGCTCATTTAATCTTTCATGGGTTTGAAGCCCCCACACTACATACTAACACTTCCTAAAGGCTTCTCCTGGTCCTATCAACATCTGGGTAGGGGTGAGGCTGGAGTGATAGGTCACTATGAGGTTGGGGTGGAACAAAACAGTCCCATGGTTTGACTTGGAATTAACTCAGTTGCTAGCATACTGAGAGAACCAGTGAGCACAGGTGGTGGTGTTTATAATAGTTCATTACAGGAGCCCGGGTGCGGTGGCTCACACCTGTAATCCCAGCACTTTGGGAGGCTGAGGCGGGCAGACTGCCTGAGGTCAGGAGTTGGAGACCAGTCTGGCCAACATGGTGAAACCCCGTCTCTACTAAAAACACACAAAAAAACTAGCTGGGCATGGTGGCATGCACCTGTAATCCCAGCTACTAGGGAGGCTGAGGCAGGAGAATTGCTTGAACCCGGGAGGCGGAGGTTGCAGTAAGCTGAGATGGCACCACTGCACTCCAGCCAGGGCGAGAGTGAGACTCTGTCAAAAAAAAAAAAAAAAAAAAAAAAAAAAGTCGTATGTGCGATGCTCCAGGCACTGCAGCTAGCAGCAATGAAACTTCTAGTTCATGATGTTAGTGCATGTTGGTCCATGTGCAATAGGAATCAAATAAGATTCCACCCCCTAGAAGGCCTTATAATCTAAGGGGGAGGGGAGGTCAGATCCCTCTGGTAAGTAGAGGTTGAAGGTTTTGTAGCTTTTCCTTGAGTTTAACTCAGCCACATGGGATGGCCTGCGTGGTCTTTATGGAATGATCTATATTCAGGGTCACTGGTCCCACAGGTAAAGGACACACCCTTTGGCTTCTGGGGACCATAACAGAATGTTAATTTTTGTACCACATTACACTGATCCAAATGCTGTATGTTTTTCAGAAACTAGCCTTCATTAGAAGCACAGCCAGGGAAGGTTCTCGAGTTTATGTTTTTAGAGGGCAAGAAAAGGCCTCTTGTGTGGAGTATGTATCTCATCAGGTCTATAGCCCAAAAATGGAACCAGCACACACAGCACACCTGCTGTACCTGTTAGGCCCTGGGAGGTGAGGGCGTTGTCATGCGGAAAAAAGGTGCTACGGTCCTGCCTCTCTGACAGGGAAACTGAGGCCAAGAGGGGGGGAGTCACCGAGGCAGAAACCAATGGGAGATGGAGGGGACAGAGTTTATCTTTTTCACGGTTTGTATATATATATTTTTTAATCTTTTGAGAGTCCCAGTTTTTGAAGCATTCACTTGGCTGATTCACCAATTCATAGACTGGAGTAGAAATTAAAACATATAATCTCTCCAGACTAGAACACGACAGTTAAGGCAGAGGAAAGGCGAAGGGAGGTTAATTAGCAAGAGCAGACGAGCAGACGAGCAGGGCAGGGCAGTCAGTGGAGCAGCAGGGGTGGGGGGCGGGGACGGACGGTGGGGTCAAGTGCGGGCCTGTCGACAGGCCTTCCACAAATCATTTGGTCTTTCCTTTCTCAAAGAATTATACTTACAAATTTATTCTTTCTGAATAAATGTCTGTGTACTTCTGGGCCTTCACCTGCTGAAGGATCCCATCTCGCCCCCTTCCTACGTGAAGCCCCTTTCACAGGTCACTGCACCACTGCTCTTCTACATTGGGTGAAGAGCTGGGGAAGTTCAGAGGGGCCACGCTCATTAGTGGTGGGGGGTGTCTGGGGTGGGGAGGGGGGACAGATGTTGCCAGGAATCCCCTCAGGGCCATTTAAGTAAAAGTGCTGCAGGTCCGGAGAATCTCAGAAACACAGATGACAGGGAGGTGAGCGAGCTTCAGGCCTTGTGTACAAATCTGAAATCTGATTCTGGCCCCCAGACTCTTAAAGCAACCACCTTAGAGTGAAAGGGAGTGAGTCCTGACCGCTCTGTGCGACTGTCTGCTTTGTATGTGCAGAATCAAAGCTCATTTCTGAAATTAAGAATCCCCGGCCTTGGTATTACAGTCTAACATCGATTATTTAGATGTTATAAATTAAAAGGACATGTGTTTGATGGTCCCCAATGTTCACTTTTGAATTCAGAATTTACCCAAAACCCCCTAGGGCAAATCTATTCCCATTCATTAAAAGCAGGCTCCACTTCACAGGTAATGAAAGCTATTAACCTTTGGTTTTGAGGTTCCACAATAGTAAAATTAAATACATTCGGGTACTAAATATCCAAATCTGCATACAGCAAGAGAAAGTATTTCCAGAAACAAGTTTCTTTCATTCAGTTTGATATTTTGGTCTAAGCAGTAGTATGATAATTGGAAAACTTCCCGTCTTAAAATACGGATATTTTGAGAACGTGTTCAGTATTCATCTACGTATGTGAATAGGTGTGGGAGTATATCAAGTATAAAACAGCTAAAATAGAAATCTAAAATCTAATTCGGGTGTGTAATACTAAAACATAAAATTCTTCCATTGAAGCAATTACTATGTAGATGGAGATATTATACTGGGGGTTGGCGGGTTTATCATCACTTTTACTATTGCTTAATGAATTTAACGTTGATTGTGAAATTCAGAGAAAATTCCTTAGATGTCTTTAAACTACTCAACAAAGGCAAAACATATGCCATTAGCTAGAATTCTGATTCGCTACAAAATTGGGACTAAGGCTGGAAGTACTTTTAGGGTCTTGGTTCCTCCTCCTCCCCCTTCTATGTATACAGCAGATGGGATGCGTTCAGTTTTTAAGAGCTCCTCCCCTCCCCCCGCTTCAGCTAACTAAGTGGTGGGGGAAGCTATTCAGGTCTCCACCTTAATCCTTGTGCTTTGGTGGGAAAAGACAGACAAAGGAAGGAAGACAGAAGACAGACGCGAGATACAGGGATTGCTGAAACATGCAGAGAATTTTTATTTATCACGAATGTTAATACTTATATTGACTTGCAGAACAGAGTGAGAGAGACGTGCAGGCCAAGGTATTAGTAGGGTTCAAGGGTTTAGCAGGACATCTAGTACACAGTAGGTTGCTCACTAAGGACTTGTCATATCTTGCTCAAATGCCAACTTTTGGTACAGCAGATTGTCAATTAGTCATTTCTTATAGAGATGCCTTTTTGGATAGTTGTCATACTACATTTCTGCCAATTAAGGATTTCAGTTCATTTTTCGTTTTTTCAATCATCGTTTAAGGTCAGGTAGCAGGGGCCCCATCCCCCCTCCCCCCTCAGATAACAGAATAGTATTCTTATTAGAAGTTCCTAAGACCGAGCAATTCCAGCATGCAAATTGTGATAGGACATAGCCGGGAAGATGAGAAACTGTAGCCATCATCTAGGGATATTATATTCTAAAAGAAACAGATGAACAAACATGTGTCAGTTACTTTGTCCCCAGACCCCAATATCTTTGCCCCTCCCCTCCCCGGCCACAGAAGCTGTTTCTTTGAGATGCCCTAAACTAAGTCAATGGTTCTGGATGGTCTCATGAGAAATAGCCACTCCACCACTGCATGCTAAATACACAGCAGAGCTAGAGTGGTTACCTGGCATGCGTGTGTGTGTGCGCGGCGCGTGTGGCTGTGTGTGCGTGTGATGTGTGTGCGTGTCTGTGTATGCATGTGCATGTGTGTGCGTGTGTGTGTGTGTGATGGGTGTGGGGATGCAGGAAGCAAAGAAAAAATAATTTGATAATGAATGGAAAAATAAAAGATGCCATCATGAATTTCCTTATCCACCAAGCTAACGTAAAGTGCCTTTGATTCAAATAAATTTGATCATTTTTAAAAGGCCAGAGGCTTTTCGAGATGATTCTTAACGACCTGCTGCAAGGTACCAAGGCGTTTTTCAAAATTAAAGACGGTGCAGCATTGCATATTTTAATAAAGGAAACAAATTTTGTTTCAAAGAGGTCTGAAATTTTAAAATCAGACCAACCAGTGGGTAGATGGAATTTAGTAGATAGTTTTAAAACAAGCAGCTGGTTCAAATGGAGAGCTGGGGGAAAACAGAAACCATATGGAAAAACATCAATTCTCAAAATCCTAAACTGATCATCCAAGGCTGAAATCTATAACTTTCCCCCAGCTGGATCTCATTCTACTTTAAGCATGGCCAAAAAAATTTATGTTACGCACTTTACTTGCTCCAAAATGTCAGGAAATTGTGTGTTATTCACAAATGTATGCCAATATGGCTGATGGTCCTTTAAATGATTTTTATTTTCTTCCCGGGTCTCTGGCCTCAGTTTCCCAGTATGATCTTCATGTTTGTTTGGTTTGTTAACAATTTTTTCTGGTTTTGAATGTGCCTACCCATCGCTGTTGCTCCTTGCAGCCTGCGGGTCCTCTTCGCCGCCCCTTTTAAAGAGAGATTGAAAGCTCACCTAATCTGCAAGGCACCGCAGTGTCACACAAACCCCACACAGTCTCTCTACATTCCTCAACCATCAGCCAAGAGCAAAAGCAACAATTCGCGCGCCAGCCATCCATCCTCCCGGCAATTCTTAGGTCGCCTTTCTGGCTAAATTGGAACATCCACTGAGACTGCAGGCCATGGGGGAAGAATCCCACACCTTTGCTGCAGTATTAACAGAGCTCTCTGGAGACTCTGGTCGGAGACAGGAGGGATGGATAATTGTTTTCTTGTGCTTTCACTAAACGTACACGCATTAGGGAGCTAAAGCAGTGATTTATCTCACAATTCTTTGGAGAATATGGCAGCGCATAAGGCTCCTAATTCTCCCAGGTCAGAATCTTCCCAAGGTTGTAACTTAAGGCATAAAGGCATAAACGGGGGAGATTTCTGCCCAGGATTTCCTGCAAAACTAATGACCTCACTTCTTGCAGTGGAAGGAAACTACCTATAAAATGGTTTTATTTATAAATAATTGTTCCCCATAAATTGTCATTAAACTATGTCTGGACTGTGATGTAGCAAAAAAAATTTCAAAGAACAAAAGCCCACCCACCACCACCACAGAAAAAACAAAAAGAACAAAAGCCCACCCACCACCACCACGGAAAAAAGAAAAAGAAAAAAAAAACCAAAAACCCAAACCCGATCTTCATAAACAGTAGGAATTCCTCCTTGAAGGCCGAAGGGCAGCATTCTACAGTTTGGTAATTGATTAGCTTAGTTCAACCAATGTTAATGGTGTTTATGTTTTGTTTTTGTTTTGTTCCTGGCACTAAATGTAAGAAACAGAGTTAGTTTTGAGTTAGAAAATCCGCATCCAACCTCTGTATTTCTGAAGGTCAAATCAGTATTATCTTACTCTTAAAAATGTAATCAGCATGGCAGCCCGCAGAGAGTTAAGGCAAATTTAATAGCTCAGCCGAGCCCTAACAAAACGCAAGATCAGGGAGGAAGAACCCTGTACCACCCAGACCACCCTTTAGGGACAGATGTCACTGTCTCATAGGGAATTCCTAGTTAAGAAGGAAATAGCTTTTGTTGCAATACCGCAGTGAGGAAAAAGAAAAAAGGAGGCAGTTGGATGAGATAAAAATAAGGTATCTAGGCTCCCATGAGGAATACCCCTGTAAACCCTCTCACAGGCTAAATTTAACGTATCTGTGCCCTTGTCTGCAAAGAAGGCAAACTGGGAATGTTGCTTCCTCTTTCCAAAAAGAAAACAGAAAAGAGAAGTTCTGGTTTAAAACCCTTGCCTGGTGTTACAGGCTGGCTCGCTTAGGGAGGAGAATCCTTTCTATAAAAATTTTTAAATTTTAGGGCAATCTGTAATGAAGCTGTCAGTAATTTATTTCAAAGGTGACTTAGCTTCCATCCGACTCAAGCTAAGGTAAACAGTGGCTGCTGCATCTTTGAAAAATGCTAGCCATGTCCAGTTTTCATCAAAATATTTATCTAGAGGATACATGGTCAAATTATTTTTGCTTAACTACTCTCATGAATAAGTAAGTACTCCTGCAAGTTGCAGGGGGAAAATTTATGCAAGATTTTTCTTCAAATGACAGATTCATGGTTGGAAGTCTGTCTCAGGGTTATTTATTTATTGTCAGGATGGCAGTCTCCGCTGGCAGGGCTTTATCGAGGGGTGTGTCAAGAATTAATTTCGGAATTGGTTGGTGACAAGTGATGCTGACTTACTCAATAGCACGTATGTGCATGTTGATAACCCATTGAGAGTCATAATCAGATGAGTGAAGAAGCCCCCTGTGCATCCCAACCAATCCTTCTGAATTCAGGGTTAAAGTAGAAAAAGCATCCTCAACTAACAGGACTATTCGTATGGGTGATGTCATCCTTCTCTAAACAATTATTTGATCTAACAAATTCTAGAATTCTCTATAAGGAGCTGCCTGCCTTGCTCTGAAAGGTGAAAAAGTTCACCTTTGTTTCCTGGATGCTTAGTGACTAGTAAAGGTTTTTTTGTTTGTTTTGTTTGTTTTTTTGGGGGGTGGTTGGTATAATTAAACGCTACCACCTTGACTCCAACTCCCCTTTTGAAATGGAAGCTGAAGCAACTCAAGGTTAAATTTTCAATCGAATCCAAGTTTAAGAAAGGGAACAGGACTGTGCCAACCAGCTAGTAATTACAAACTAGTGCCTTCAGGTGCTTGAAATCTAGTGCGGTTAATGCTCTCATACCAGTGAAAACAGACTGGTCAACTTAGTTTTTTTGTTTTGTTTTTTCTTTTTCTTTTTTTTTTTTTACACGTTTTGTTACACGAGAACGATGGGTAGGCCCCATCTGGGGTCTTGGGGAGAAAAGCAAGTTCCCCGATTTATTGAATGTTCCCTGTTTGCATTCCCCATGCCAGGCAGGGCTTCCTAACTCGTCTCACAGGTCTAATACAAAGTCTCTCCTGTTTAATCTTCATTCCCACTACGGATTGCCACATTGTGCTATACCAGGATACCTGGGAGGACTTCTCAAAGGCAAAAATGCCCCTCAGTGAGGCTGGGAGTGCCTAACTCCCAGTCTTTCCATCCTTTAAATAAATGTTCCCTCTTCTTTTCTGTAGGCAGGGGTACTGATTTGTTTTTTGTTTTAAAGGGAAACAATGATTTACCCATAATGGTAATTTAAAGGGGGACAAAAAAAATGAGAAACTGTAAACACGGGCTGCCACTTCCACATCTGTTTCTGGTGAGAATATTATGGAAACAATGTTTCCCTAATAGTTTAAAACATCCTGTGTTGGTTCATTACATTGAAATCTGCGTGAGGTGGGGTGGGGTGAATTTGCAGTGATCAGCGTGGGCCGGACGAGGGGGCGGCCAAAGCCACGTTGAAGACACTGCAGTGATGTCCGAAGACTGTGGCAGGGACCTGGCCCGGAGAGGGGCTGTCACGGGGCCAAGTGCTGTCAAGCGTCCCCTGCAACCAGGCACGATTTTCTTGGGATAGGGAGATGTTTGTCACAAACACTGGTGCTTTCATCAGTAGTATTTGTTGCACCAAAGATCCAAGGGGGTGGGGGGTGAGGGACCCTAAAGAGCCCTTCCCAGGATTTTCTAATATGTAAATCAGGAAAAATTAAGTGAAAACTGGCTGCCCAGCCCCCAAAGCCCACCTATACTTCCTAAAGGTTAGTATAAAGTCTGTTCCTCTTACTTGGTGCCCCCCTGCACAGATTTGACACTTACTCTCCATTAAACCCATTAACATGCAGGATCCTCATCTGCTTCACAATGGTGCTTTTACCAGATTCTCCAGCACCTAGAAAATGAAAGTAAGTCTCAGGTTATGAAGGAGGCATTTTAACACTTTGGGCAGGGAGGTCTGCTGTTGTTGTTTTGTTTTTCCATAGAAGCAACATGCAAAAAACCAAACACAAAATCACAGACTTGCAACTTTCCTTGACATTTCGACGCAGAGAAAAGGAAATCAATGTCCAATTCAGTGTCTACCTGCAGTATTTCACCATCCAAATAACAAACAAGAATTTAAGGTTTGCTGGTTTTAATTTTTCTTTTGATTGTTTAAAAAATTGTGGGGTGGTGTTGGAAAGGGGCAAAGAGAAGGAATGACGCAATTTTGTCATTTGTGGGGTAAACAAGAAAATTGAAGTTAAAACTGTGAAACTGAATCCCTGATACATGAACATTCACACATAAACATATCTAGACACATAATTTGTTGTCAGATGTTTCATGGTTAAAATACCCGGGATTCCCAACAATGCCCAGACACTGCAGTCTCTTCCACATCACGTAGCGATGCAGCACTTTCCTCCTCAACATTTTCACAACGCAGCTTCTTTCTGTGCAGGTTTCCTACCCCTTGGGCTACTTAAAAATCCACCCCTAAAACTGCATTACATTTTATCCACTTATCCATCCTCCTCTTTCCTCACAAACTATATCTTTCTAAAGATAAATTCCCTCTGGGTACAACTATGTTGCTGAGGAAAAGGGGAGACCATCAATTATCTGTCATCTTCTGGAAAAACCACACTTTAACATCAAATACAGTTCCTGAGACCCTATTAGCATTAGGTAAACTGCAAAAACAACAGTAAAAAGTAACATAAGAACAAAACTTTAATCAAAAGGAAAACTATCCCTGGGAAGTACTGAATTTGAAAGATTCCAAGCCCTTCCCAACTCAAAGAGTAGAAACACATGCCTCCATTTTAAATCATCTTTCATTTGTAAAAATACATATATGTTTCATGGAAAAAACACATTTCCATCAAGCTAGAGGGAGGATTGCTATTTTGCATCTTTTTTGCAATGCACATTCTCCAACAGATAATCCACGTGTGAAGTTTTTTTGCCCTCCTTCCACACAAATCTGTTATTACCTTTTTCTTTCTTTTTAACTTTTAATTGTATTGTTTTGTTTTAATGCCCAGATAGCACAGCATTCCTCCTTTACTTGCCTTTTCACAAGCCCGTAATCAATATCTGTAAAAGTTAAAATTAGTTTCCACAGAAACATTGATTTCAAAGCAAACACTATCTTAATGAGCCTAACTCTGGTAAATTAAAAATATAAATGGCACTATTAAGAGAGGCCAAGGAAACAATACGTAATATTTAGCAGGATCTCTAATATTCTAATTTCAGAAGTGTTAAACTGTGTAACAGTTACAGGACCTATCTTTCATAGGCAAAAACAGATCCGTGCCTCAGTTTCCACATTTATGAAATGTGGCTGAAAAATTATTTTAAGATCATTGTAGTTCTCTAATTCACTTAATTTTTATGTCATTAAGATGGAGTAAAAAGAGGATTTGGGGCATTATTAGGTTTCCTCTTTTGTGGGGAGGCATTATTTGGTGAGAATCACCATTTAAAAATGCAAAATATTGTGTCACTGGCTTAAGCTGCAGATTCCTAGGCCAGAGGCAATCAATACATCATGATGTAATGTAGTCATATAGACTAGGACACTTAGATTAGCCCCCGTGACGCAAGGCGTGTTCTGAGTAACAGTCTCAAATTAAGTGGAGACTTTGTGATCACTGCACAAAAGGTGTTGGAAATTTTAAGATATCATTAGCATCACACTTGACTTAAAGTAGTACTGAGATAGCATTCACAGAAAAGATTCTAGACTTTTCCAGATTTATACTTTGAAATCAAGTTATACGCATACTAATATCCCAACAGCATAATTCTGCCTTTAAAAGTTTTAGACAAGACAGCAACACATGTACCATTTAATTACTGAAATTGCAAATGCATAAACACCAAAGACACTTATTTTGACTTAATTAGTAATTTTCTGCTTTTATAAATCTGGACCCAGGAGAACAAAGTCATGACCTATGCAAAAAGAGCAAACCAAAAGCCACCAAAGGAAAATAAATAAGAACAGCCTTTTATTATTTTCTTTATACTCAAGCTGTTTTGTTGAAATGTGACCACGAACTAGGTCTTAACCTAGCAAATTCACAAATTTATTCAGATAGCCAAATTATCAAGGAAGTGGAAAACTTCCATTTTTAATTAATGCTGTGTAATTCTTTTGGTCATTTCATTACATTTTTTTCCCCCAAAACAGCACCTTAAGAAAAAAAAGGAGGAAAGGCCATCTCCTTATAGTTAACCTTTTTTTATTTTATTATTATTTTTTTAATCAGAGGAAAAATCGCAATCAAAAAAAGAAAACCCAAAACCAAACAACTAAATGTCACTTGATAAACAACTAATTAATGTCTTTTTATCTCTTCCCACCTGGAGGAAAAGTCTCCTTAGAGCACTCTCAATCCCCCCTCCCACCTTGAGGAGGACAAAAAAAAAAAAAAAAAAAAAAAGAAACCACGCCATTTCCAGACCAAGAAGCCATTTACAGACAAATGTCATTCTCCAGTTTTATCTGATTTGTGAATGTCTTTGTTTTTTCTTTTCACAAAGCACTCTCAATGTGGCCAGCCAGCAGGAAAATGTGTTTTTTTTAATGGTTTATTAAAATAGTGTTGGGGGGGCGCTGCTCGTGGTGGGTGGGGGGGGCAGCTGCTACAATTAATTCTCCGCTCTGCTTTTGAAAAAGCCTGCAAGTCTGGAAGGGGAAAAAAAGGTCACACTGTAAAATGACGTGTCATTTGGCTTCACTGGGCACTTCTCGTACTAACTCTATCCATTTTTTGGTGTTGGGGGGTGGTCTTATTTTATTTGACTCTCCTTCTCCTCCTTCCACGGCCCGGCCTGGCCCGGGACACGTCTGCTCCGCGCACACACAGTCAGTCGGTCCTGCCCGAAACGCACCAAGTCGCGCCCAGCGGCAACCGCCCTCCCTCCTCCCCTCGCCGCCCCCCTCCCGACTCCGGCGCCACGACTCCCTTGCGCCCCCTCCCCCCCACTGCACCACCTTTACCGCTCCGATCCTTTCCGAGGGGCTGATGTCACCAGCCCCCCCACTCTCCTCGGCCACTTCTCCCCGCCAAAGCCTCCCTTTGGCGAGGCCCCCTCCGCCACCACGGCGCCCCCCAGCGTCACCCCCTCCTCTCCTCGCCCCTTTCTTCCCCTCTTTCCCTCTCCCAACAAATCTCACACCCCACGGAGGCGGGTCCCCCTCCCTCTACCCGCCACCCGGTTTCCTGTCCCCGAAACCCTCTTTTTGTCGCAGTCTCCGGAGCCCCATGGGCTCCCCCTCCCCCTCCCCAACACGCACCCAAACCCCTGGCGTCGTGTAGGCCTCGCGGAAAAAGAGAGAAAGAGAGAAAGAGGGGGAGAGCGAGAGCGAGAGCAAGAGAGAGACACTGAGCGGGCAGGCCGGGGGAGGGGGACCCGCGCCCGCGTCGCCACGGCCCCCCGCCCCGTTTTTGAGCCCCCGCCCGGCCGAATCCGCGCCCCTGGGTCCCCCTTCCGGCCTCGCCCCCCACAGACAGAGCCCGCGAACGGGCGGGGGGCTCGGGAGCGCGCGCCCGGGGCGGGGGGCGGGCTCGGCGCGCGCGGCCTGCGGGGCGCCCTTCGAGGGCCCCCGGGCCGGGGCCGGCGCCCCCCGCCCGCCCTTACCCAGCAGCAGCAGGCGGTGCGTGGCCCGGTAGACCTGCTTGTCCTTCTGCAGCTGCTTCTCGATCTTTTTGTTGGCCTCACGCTGCGCCTTCTCCTCGTTGCGCTGGTCCTCGGTCTTACTGTTCCCGAGGCAGCCCATGGCGGCGGCGGCGGCGGCGGGGCGCGGCCGGGCTGCGGCGGCGGCGGGCGCGGGCGGCCTCACGCGGGCCGGGAGGGCCGGGGCAGCGCCGGGCGGGCGGGCCGGGCGCGGGCTCGGCTCCTCGGCAAGGAGCGCGCGGGGCGGACTGCGGGCCGCGGGCCGCGGGGCGCGCGGACGGGCGGGAAGGGGAGGGTGTCGGTCGGACCGAGGGGCGCGCGCAGCTCCCCGCCCCTCGAGCCGAGGCCGAGGGGGCTGATGGCCGCCGCCGGGCCGAGGCGGACCAGAGCAGGAGCTGCGGGAGCTGCTGCCGCCGCTGCCGCCGCCGCCGCTCTTATTGCCTCGGCCGGGCCCCCGCCGCCGCCCCGAGCCAAAAGCGCCGCGGCGGGCGGGGGGAGGCGGGGGGAGGAGGAGGCGGCGGCGGCGAGGGGGGTGGAAGGAGGAGGAGGAGGAGGAGGGCCGAGGAGCGGCCGCGGCGGCGGCGGCGGCTGGGAGGGCGGGAGCCGGCGGAGGGAGGCGGCCCCCCGGGAGCCCGGGGAGGGGGTCCCTCCGCCCGCGCCCGGCCGGGGACGGGACGGGCCGGGGAGACGCCCCCCACCCCCCGGGCTCGGGCAGCAGCCCGGCTGAGCCGAGGGGGGAGAGGGGGCGTCTCCGCGCCAGTGACGACCCCTCGCACGACGCCAACGCTCCACCCCCCGGACCGCGTCGCCCGGCGCCCCCGAGGCCTCCTCCCCCTCCCGCGGGCGCCGCCGAGGGGCTGGGGTGGGCGGAAGGGGAGGGAGCGCGCGCCCGGACTTAGGAAAATTTTCGAAAGAGCGAGAGACACAGAGAGCCAGAGAGCAGGAGTGTGGAAAAAGCGAGGCGAGCACGAACCAAAGGACAGAGCAACCGAAAAGGAAAATGTGTCCACACACACACACGAACACGAATAAAAACCCACACTACACAGCGATGGTGGTGTCTGGTGGCGGTGGCGGGGTGGGGGGTCTGACTAGATGAGCCGCTCCTCGCGCCCCCGGCGCCGGGCGCCATGGCCCGAGCCGAAGGCGCCTCTGGCCCCGGAGCGCCCGCGGCCTCTGCGCTTGGCGCGGCCGCCCAAGTAGGAGAAGAAGGCGCAGCCCAGGAACACTCGGAAGCAGCAGGTCGCCCCGAACACGAAGCCGCAGCCGCGGCCCTGCTCCGTGCGCTTCTGCAGCAGGAAGTTGAGCACCCACGAGGGGCTGCGCACCGAGAAGACCAGGAACACCACGAGGGGCAGGTGGGCGCTCAGCGCGCCAGCCTTGAGCGGCCCGGGCCGCCACACGATGCCCCCAACGCGCGGCGCCGCGTAGTAGGCGTCGTCCTCGTCGCTCGAGTCCGTGTCCCAGTCAGCCCAGGCCCTACTCGTGCCCCCGGCGGCGGCGCCCTCCTCGGCGCCCCCGACGGCGCCCTCCTCGGCGCCCTCGTCGTCGTCGGCGGCGGCCGCGGCGGCGGCGGCCTCGGGGCATCGGGCCTCCTCCTGGGCTTCTGGCACCTTCTTCTTCTTCTTCTTCAGCATCTTCTCCATCTTCTTCCTCTCCTTCTCCTTCTTCTTCTCCTCCTTTCGCCTCTGCTCCAGCAGCTTCTTCTCGAGCTTCTTGCGCTCCTTGTCTGTTAGGAACTTTTCGGGGAGCGCCTCCCGCGCCGGGTTCTTGGGGTTCTTCGCGAGCTTCTCGGGGTCCCCGCTCTTCCGCGGCGCGAGCGGCTCTCTCGGCTCGGCCAACGCCGCAGCCGCCGCCGCAGCTTCGGCAGCCACCTCGGCAGCCGCCGCGGCCGTCTTCTTCTCGCTCTCCGCCGCCCGGGCTTTGAGCTTCATGGCCATCTTCAGCATGGTGGCCCGGCCACCTCGGGGAGCTCGGCTCGCGCCTGGCCCGGGCTCCCTGCTTGCCCCCGGCCTCGGGCTGCCCGGCCCCCGTGCGCCCCGTGTCGGGGGGCTTGGCTGCGGTTCCCGCCGCGCTGCCCCGGGGCCGCGGAGCGCGGCTGCCCGGGCTTCGGGCTGCTGGGCTGGCTGCCTAAGAGTTAGCGCCAAAAAGGATGAGCAAACGAAAAAGGGACAAGAACAAACCAAAAAGCACCCAACAACAGCGAGAAACCAAAAAGCACCAAGAAATGTCAACTCAAAAAGAAAAGTGCAAAGGCGCGGATGGCAGGAGTCTGTTTACCCTCAGGCGCTCCTTGGTTTGGCTCTTGGGCACGCCAATGGAGAAGAGAAAAGAGAGAGAATTGGGGGGTGCCCGGAGGCGCCCCGGGGCAAGGCAGCGGCGCCCGGGCGCCCCTGCCTTGTCCCGGACCCGGCGGCTCTTGCCTGCGCCGGGCGACTCGCACTTCCGCGGGAGGCCCCGGCGCTCCCCGACTTACATGTGAGTGAGGTGCACTCACACGCAAGGCAGCGCCTGCCGGCCGCCCGCCGCCGCCCCGCGCCGGGACAGGGGCTCGCTCCAGCCGCCGCGCCGCAGCCCGGAGCCAGAGAGCAGGGGAGCGCCGCGCCGGCCAGCCACCTGACGCAGCCCGCTCCGCGGTGCCGACGCGACTGAGTGTCCCCGCCGGGGAGCAGAGCTTCTAACCGGCCCCGATGACGCCCCAGCCTCTTCAGAGGACCGACCCATAGCAGCGGCCCCTATAAACCGAAGGGGAAGCGCGAAAAATCGGCCCACCGGGGACGCACCCAAATGGGCCGCCGCGCACCCTGGGGGTGCAGGCCGGTGCCGGGACCGCGCGGGCGTGGGCCGGGGGCGCGGGGGCCGCGATGGCGGGGGGCGCGGGCGCGCCCAAGGCGGTGGGCGCTCAACCCCGCCTCCCAGACCTGCCTCCCAATTTTCGGTGAGTGGTGTAGCCCTGGGCGGCGTGCAAAGTGTGCGACGGCGGCGCTTACCCCTGCTGTGCGCCTCCTTACCTCCAGCCACCCACCCCGCCCTCCCAGCGGCGCGCGCCCGCCGAGGTAGGTGTCAGAGAGCCGAATTCGAATTATTTGCGACGCCCGGACGGAGTTTCGTATCTTCGGACGAGAAAAGTGCGATGGGAGTGCAAAGCCTCCCCTGCTCGAAGCAGCAGGCGCGCCGGTGTCACGGGAGCCGAGGAGCGGTGGCCGTGGCTGTGGAGTCGGTGCTCGAGGCGTCCTCCCAGGTGGGAGAGGTGGCGGCCTTGCCTGGGCGCCCTGGGGGCTCTGGAACAGAGGGAAAAGTAGTTTACGGAACGTGAACTTGTTTGAGGGTTCTTTCAAAACTCTCAAGTGTCCCGCCGCACACTAGGATATAGCAGTGCACGGGATTAGGAGCAGGGTTACTAAATTTTCAAGCAGTTGACCCCAGCCCGCCTTTCCTGGGACCTTGGTTAGGTCATCTGCTGCCACCATGGTGTCTGCTGGGATACGGTTTATTCATTCAATAAATGTTTGGTGCCTGCCAGTTCCGCGGCTCACCATGTGCCCAGGTGAGCCGAGGCGGCCAGGTAATCAGGCTAAGACGTGAGCAGTGTCTTGGATGGGACACAGGCCTACGTCCCGGAAAGCCCAGATATGCAAAGTCCACAAACTGTCTTCCAACTTTTTCTTTGACTTCTTAACAGAGCCCATGAAACTTAAGATGTTTGATGGAGAAGGAGAAAAAAGAAAAGTCTACCTATAAATGGAAACACATTTAACAGTCCCCAGGGGTATGGGGCGGCTGATACCACCAGAGGCCTTGAGCAAACTTGTATCATTTTAAGTTAGCTTTGAAAATAAAAAGACACTGTTAGCCATTCAACCGGATGACTGAAATTCCCCCCTTTTCCCCAGTTTGCTCCACTTCGAGTAAGAAAAGGTGTGACAGATGAAGATGCCACATATTATTTTTCTTGGCCCCTTCAGGTACACTGCTGCCCCCATTGTACAAGGCCTCTTTTTTATGAATCTGAAAAGACAACAGAGGGCGATTCAAAGTCACCAAACAACACTTGGAATTAAGAACAGGAAGCGCAGCCTAGACACCGTCCTGCCCTGGGCTGCTGCAGACCCCTGACTTTCTTGAACTTGGCTGAAAAGTTGGGGCCAGGTTTTTGTCACACTCCTGATCATGGATGGCCTCTCTTCCACACAAAAATACACCTTATTTTGAAAATGCTCAAAGGAACTATCCTAGGTTGATGCTTTTCACCTAACCAAAGATGCATAAAAATATTGTGCAGATACACCTGAATGTGCTCATAGGAGAACTCAGCAGTAAGGCCTCAGAATCGATGATTCCTAGGCTGCCTGTACTAGTGATAGTGAGGCTCACTACCATCCACCACCTAAATTAGAACCGCTTGATGACACAGCACAGGTTCTATATCTTTAGATGGTAAATTAAAAATTCCTGGCTGAATTTGATTGATTGTCATTTTTAAAAATTGTTAAAGACTTGTAAGAGGGAAGAATAGGCCAGACATTTTTGTTATGCTCCATTTGTTCAAAAGCATCTTCCTTCCTGCTTCTACTGTGGCAAAGCACAGATACATTGTCTTTAAGAGGTACAAGGTAAATAGTAACAAATACAACCTAGATACTTATGCCAGGAGCTACAAAGTTATACAATGAATATAATGAAGAGCCTCCTTATTTGGAAATCTCTGAGCTCCATTACCACCTTCCCCTTTTAGATAAACATCACACCTGAACTTTAAAAGGAGTGAAACTGCCCCATGTCATATACTAACATGCGTCCTAGGCAAGGCACAATTGGGACTATTGTCCTAGAAATGGGTAACGCAAGATCAGGCTTTACTCCTTTCAGCTCTCAATCTATGAGGCCACTCTTCAAAACAAAAATTTTTTAAGTGTAGGTTTCACCTATATTTTATTATGACTAACTACTGATGGATAAATAAAGCATTCACTTTGTAAATAAATGACAGCAGGTGGAATCATGGGTTTACAGGTAAGCAAATGACACCCAGAGTGCTGAAACACAAGCTGGTTTGTGGTCAGCTAGGCTGTCTGTTTTCACTCCACACAAAGTGAAAGAAGAGATTTTACTGAGCTTTTGGCCTCAAATTTGACCTCTTGAGGCCCTAAAAGTTGTGATTTTTTTTTTTCAAGTCTTTTAGTTTTGGAGGCTACCATGTGTGACCTTTTCATATGAGTTAGTAATTTAATTGATCATTACTGTTTTAAGTACCTAGTTTATGCTTTGAAAGTGGGGCAATCTATTGGCATAACTCTTGGAACAGTCCAGATGAGAGAGCTTTCCAATGGAAGGGGCCCCTCGTCTGGCTCAGGAAGAGAAGGGAGTTATGGAGATTTCAGGGAGGGACAAAGGGCAGAATATCTTGGGTATAAAATGCCCAAGGAAAGCACAGATCTCTGGCTCAGGAGACTTGCTTCATGCCCAAGCCAGCCAGTTGAGATCATAACACATCCCTAACCTAAAACACTAGGTCACCTAACGAAAAAACTTGTTTAAACAGATGGTGTCACACACTACATGGAGATATGGCCTCGAAACATTTCTTTCCAACATTCCATATTTGACAACAATGAACAACGTCCCACATCAGGGTTTGAATTCTGTGGTCTTGTCAGCTTCGTGGTGATAAAGGCAGTTTGTGTTCCTTGGCCCCTGGGTATCCTCCTTTCTGAGTAAGAATGCCTTGTCTACCTTTTGAAGCAGTGGACTTGCTACAGCTTAGAATCTTGAAAATACTGTTCTGCTTAATGCTGTCACTCAGTTTTTGGACAAGAATGTTATCCTTGGCCTTTCATTAGTTGGGGTCATTTTAAGTTGTCTTCCAAGAGCCCAGAGCAAATGTAATTATAATATTATTTTAATAGCCTAGGAAACAATAAATAGGTTTCCACTGAAACAGAAACTTTAGCTGTAAGGTTTTAATAATAGTATTTAGCACTTCCACAGTGTTTCCTGTCTTCAAAGCACGTTCTGCACTTTAATTAGCTAGAATGACTGAAACTGCTATTGCAAATGAATATCAAAGCCTATGTCATGCAGATGATGAAAGCAGGAATTGTAAAAAGCATTTCCTAGTCTCAGTTAATCCTTGTAAGAAGGCTCTATTACTTTAGACCATAAAAGTTCTTAGAAATCGAATGTAGTGATTATCTAGGACATTTTTTTTTCTTGTCATATTCACTAGTTAGTAACTCCAACCATAAAGTAACCCTAAACTTGTATTCAAAACTAAACATGATATAAAACTTCATTTCAGAAGACTTGAAGTCAATTACTGAAGAATTAACTACATGGCCATATGACATTTTCCTATTTATTATCCATCAACTCATTTTAAAATGATCTGTTTTTAATTCAGAACATACTCTAATTCAAACAGAATGTGGACGTACATTGGCCAGTGTATTTGGACCCAATTTCTTGAGCCAGTGGCTTTGAGATGCTGTTCAAACATCTACTTAAAAGCATGGCACATAATATGAGGGCAAAGAGGACGTTTTGCAGCCCTTCTTGATCTTTCCTGACTCTCTGATGGGGAGGCACCATCTGTGAGAGAGGCTTCCTGGTCTCTGTGGACAGACGCCCAATTCCCCAGGCCATCAGTGCCTTTCTCACCACATCCCCATGAGCCCCAGCGTGGGCAGGAATGGACTTTTAACAAAACCACCATCTACCTCAAGAAGGGGGAAGCTAACAAAAAGAGATGACATGTATTACTTTGTTCCTTTTAGAAGCCTAAATGATATGATGCACATGTTACCCTTCATTGAAGATTCTAGGTGGACACACAACTTGGATATCAACAGGGAGCAGAAAACAAACCCACTAGCAGGACCAAAAGGCAGACCCATCAGCAGAACACAGGCGGCAGCTTCCACAAGTAACTCCAAAACTGAAAGTCAAATCCAGGAGAAGACTGAGGAAGCTCCATTTTCTTTGAGGTACATCAACATCAATAACAGATCAATGGACCCACTTAATGGAGCTCTTAATTGAGTAGAAAAAAATATTTAAGAGTTTTGCCGCTCTACGGCAGGAAAGCTAATTTTCCTAAACTGAAATATCCTTCACTTCCCTTGGGGAAAAATTTTCATGAGGACTAAGGTAATGGGAAAACCTGTTGCTTAGAACTTTTAACTTGGCCTTGAAGATGGAAACTCATCCAGGATGGAGAATAATGTAGGGAGACTAGTTAAAAATAGACATGGACCAGTTTACTTTCCTGCTTATTTACAAGATGCCTTATTTAAATGACACTTTGATCCAACATCTTACTAAACAAGTGACAACAGGAAAAAATAAGAGGCAGTTGGTGCACCTGGAGATGTGATATTGAGCCCAGTCAGGAGGCCTGAGGTTCTAATAAAATTTCCTTAGATAAAAGAAGCCCTTTATAATTGTTCTTATTTTAAAGATTTTAGGGTTTTTTTCATGGTATTCACTTCTTCAAATTTAGCTCCATAGAATTGGAGTTTAGACAGTTAAAAACACTGGATTAATCAGGCAATTCATTTTGTTTAGTTAAATGCTGCTTTGTGGACATATACAAATGAAACGACTGCTAAATAGAAGTTTTACATCTTCAGATTTTATCTACCTGCCAACCAAATGTAGGTGATCATTTTCAAACAGCCCTGCCGTTATGGTCTAGCCTCAGTTTGGGAAAACTGAGATTTAGACTGGGCCTCAGGTGTCATTCGCCTTCAGAGCTAAAACCCCCTCTCCAGTCCCACTTCCATCTGCTGTTGGTAAACCAGGAATTAAGCAATTAACGTGACATAATTAGTCACACATTTAATTCATCTAGAAATGTAGATACCTTTTCATCGTTTTGTGTTTGCCCACACGTTTTAGTTGAAATTGAAAAATGTGTAATTACCGCTTAGCTCCACCTATTTCCCTGGCTTTTATTTTGAGGGGGGAACTAACCATCGGGGCACAGTCTGCACAGCTCCCAATGAGGAGGGCTGCCCCCTCTTTTCGTACAGGCTCTAACTCTCCTTCCCAAGGCCACTGCAGCCTTCCTCTGCTTGATTTCCATGTAGCCTCCAGTTGGTTGAAATTCAGCATTTGCTGGGGAGCTCAGGGCTATGCCCTCTGCTCTCCCACTCAGCAGTTTATTGAGGGCTTGGCAGTGTGCACAGAACTCTCACTGGCCTGTCAGGAGCCCACTCAACAGCAGAGCCCAGATGGCACTGTGTCTTTCTAAGGTCCTTGCTGACCACTGGAAGTTATGAGAAGGGGAAAATTATTCAGCCCAAGCGGCAAGCGTTTGCAACCAGTCTGGGGATCAGATGAAAAGGAGATTTTTTATGAGCTACAGACCTCAGCTCTACCCACAGCCACGTCCCAGGGTCTCTGTCACGCCGCCCAATACTGGGAAGGCTGCCTCTGCCTGCTTTCTTGAACATTCCTGTTTTTCGGTTGCCTTAGTCTCTACTACCTTCTCAGATTACGGCTCCTTTTGTGCTAATTACACCGAAAAAATTGAAAGAATGTCGCTGACTTTACAAAGAACACAAAGCAGACTTGCTTAAAAAACTAAATATAGCCAGTTTCTTTCAGAAGGCAGACAGACTCGGCCTTCCAATGATTTGTACTATGCAGATTAATTGCAGATGGCCAATTCATTTATTAGGACCCAAATGACAGAAGGGCTCAGCTATCGGCAGGACAGATTAAAAATGTGTGTTGCTTTTGGGGGCCATTTACATAAAATGAGAAGGTCTGATTAATGACGAACTTTTTTTTTTCCCAGCACTTAATTGTAAATTAAGATTTGCTGATGATGATGGGCTAATTTAAGCTACCGTGGAAAGAGGGAAGAAATGGAAGCTGCTGATCGTAGGAAGCAGTACCTGTACTGCGCAGGTAAAAATATAAATGAAACGAAAGAAGAAAATCTAACTTCTCATTCTGGAAGGCAGTGGCTGCCACAGATCAAGAGGATATTGTTTTGCAGCCCCTCTTCTCCATTATGTAAGAAATGGCCATTATGTAAGAAAGACAGACTTGGGAAGGGGGTATTATCTCTGCTAGCCAAGCAAATTATAGATTACTCCCCACCTCCACCCCACCACCATGAAATCCTGAAAGAGTTAATAGGTGAACAGTAGCAGCTTGGAATGATTTACTTTTTTTCTAAGGAACATTAAATACTGAATTGCTCATGCTGAAATAACGCTACAGCTGTGATCCATGGGGCTGAGTTTTGGACACTGGCTCGAGTGACAGGTGTACTCGTTGTTTGCCCAGCTCGGCTGAAATTGTGATGCCTAACTCAAATTTTTTCCCAATTAACTGGTGAGGATTCTGGAGCCAGCCAGGAAAGGGCCTTTTGCCACAAGCACGGAAGACATGCGTGCTCAGCCTTCAACAAAAATGTCAGCCTTAGGGGAGAATGGAGCCGTTGCTCCCTGATAATAAAAACAAAAAAATGAGGCCGGGCGCGGTGGCTCACGCCAGCACTTTGGGAGGCCGAGGCAGGCGGATCACGAGGTCAGGAGATCGAGACCATGGTGAAACCCCGTCTCTACTAAAAATACAAAAAAATTAGCCGGGCGCAGTGGCGGGCGCCTGTAGTCCCAGCTACTCGGGAGGCTGAGGCGGGAGAATGGCGTGAACCCGGGAGGCGGAGCTTGCAGTGAGCCGAGATCGCGCCACTGCACTCCAGCCTGGGCGACAAACCCAGACTCCGTCTCAAAACAAAACAAAACAAACACAAACAAACAAAAAAGAAAATGGAGATGGACCTGCAATGTCTAGAAAGGTAGGGAAAAGAGACAATCTAACTGGGACAAAGCCCTTCTAGGTTCTAAAGCAAACAGGTTTGTCCTACAATTCAGCTCTTGGAGGATTTTAGGGATTGAAGCAAGTCCAGGATTCTAGGAAATGTGTCACCAAAATTGGTATTATTAGAGAAAGTGGCACAAAGCTACAAGTGCAGAGTCTGATCTGCAACATGCTAATTACATCTATTTTTATCCCAGGGTTGCAGTGACCTAACACCAAGAAATAAAAACTCTGGAAAACTAGCCCTTCACATATGGAAGGTATGATTACCCCCGGGTATGGGAGCCCCTGGGAGAACTTTCACTGGGTCCATGGGTTTAACCTGAGGTGAGAAAGCAGCAGTCACCCAGGAAGGTGGTTGACTTTCAAGAGCACTTGGCAACAGTGAGGGAAGGCACATGGGGAGTTGCGGGATGATGTCAGCATGTAGTAAGAGGGGAACTCTGAAATGTCCAAGGCCAGCCCAAGCAAACGGCGCTATCTCCACGTGGTGCCCTGGTCTGGAGAGGGAAGGAAGAAGGCTAGGCTATGTTTTGCCAAGCCAAGACTTATCACAGAGGAAGCTTTCCTCAATCCCTTCCACTGGTAGCAAAGGCCCTGGATCCCTGTCTTCTGCCAAGATGGTGCCAAATAGCTCAACCATACAAAGGAAATGGATATAAAACTTAATTGGGACCCAGAGACATCTAATCTCTAAGTTAAAGCACCACTCCTTTTACTCATAACCATTGGAGGCATCCCAAAGTCTAGAAAAGCCGAAATGACCCTCAATTCATATTCTGGTGTTATTTAACCCACGCCTCTGGGAGGCGCTCAAGAACAGGATAATTTAATGTCATTCTCAGCCTGAAAAGTTCCTTAGTTTTCTTTTAATTAAATCAGTAATTATTTTAAATGCATCATTTCAACAAGATACCATAAGTTAGTTGAATGAATGCATGTAAAACCAAAATGTTGACTGGCATAATCCCCAAATCGAATTAATATTTTAATCTTAGGTATAACATACTTTATATTTCATACCTGGCACGTTCTTAAATGTGTTAAATGTGTTTTCCACAACTTGGCATAACTATACATCCACTCAGTTTATTGGGTGGGGAGGCAGAGAAGAGAACTTTGTTTAAAAACAAAACAAAACAGAACAAAAAACTATGACTAAAGGATAGAACTCTACAGCAGACATTTAGTTTCTACAATTGATGCCAAAGGTAGAAGAGATTTTGAGAGGAAAAAAAAAAATAGATGGATAATTTCTAAAACATGTAAAGCAAAACAGCAAATATGCAAATGCAAGGGAAAAAATACACAACTAGCAGCATGAAAACCCCAGGGAAACAAACAAGAACATCATTGTAATTGATAGTAATTGAACCCCTGCTTAACCTTCCTCCCAATACCTGATAATTCTGTGAAATCACCCAGCTGTCACGCTTGTCCTTTTAGAAACATGACATTGATTTGTCTAGCAAAGACCCATCATTAGAATTCTGAGGTCTGCTTAATGGGGCCACTAATAAATCTAAGTCATCAATTCTTGACCTTTTGTTTCCTGAAATTCTCGGTATGTGGTAAACTGCTGAAAACACATTTTCAAGGTCTGTGACTGTAACATGAAAAATAAAGGATCAAGGCTGCGCTTTGAAGGTCTGATCATATCTGGGCTCTGCCCTGCCTGCACCCCCGAGGGAAAATAAGTAAGATGGATTCGGAACAGCATCTGGGGGTCATATCAATACCCTCTTTTGGGCTGAGCTATTTGCAAATAAAAATGGACTGTGTAAGACTGAACTACAAAGGGAGATGTGCCAAGGAGCCATTGCCCCTTCTTCTGCCTCTCCATGTTCCCTTCTTCCCCCATCTGCCTGGCTTTTTACTGCACTGAGAGATCAGGAAAAATTCCAGCCAAGAGAGTCTAAACTGGCTATGCACACGAGGAAAAAGAGAGAGAGAGAGATTATCTAGTCTCAGTTTTGGTGACTTTGAAATAAAAGGTTTGGGTTGGGGAGGGTCAGCTTTTTTTTCAAGGAACAGAATCATGGAAATTTTTTCTTTTTCTGTAAAAGCGAAATGCTTCTCAACCTTATTTTTTGCTGGCTGGATTGAGCTGGTTGTAACCTAAGACAAAATGTGGGCAGGTGCCTTCAGCTTCCTCTAAATTCTAAGATGGCTGCAGGCACCAGATTCTGACAGTGATGTTGCTGAGAGTCTAGCCATAAAGATATCTTTCCACACGGTTCTCTCTCCACGTCTGCCTAGAAGGACTAGCCTGCTGCTTCATTTCCCCCCTCCTCTGCAGCCGATTTCAGATGGCTGCAGCAGAGAAAGCGAGACCCCCACACCTTGTTTGTGTGTACCCTTCCTTCCGCACCCCTCTGAGTGCATTTGGGCTGTGTTGGGGTAACATCAGGACAGGTGGTTGGCTGAGCTGATCCTCTCAAATATTCAGGCAAACTGGTTGTTTATAGACAAAACATCCAGATGCTTTTTCACGATTGAACTTTTGACCAAATTGATTGTATGCTTTGGTGTCAAGAAGACAAAAACCCAAGTCAAAAAGGTCCCCAGAACAGGACATCTGCAGGCAATGAATAGTAGGAAGAATTACATATTTCTAGCAGTGAAAAATGTGAGTTTTTTAGATTGTGCTAAATGACTCGATATTGACCAGAGCAAAGCTACAAGTGAAAGAATGGATCTTTTTAAGGTTATATTGTTCCCATTTATTTGGCTTTGTGCTGCCAGAAAGTGGCTTGGAGGCTTGCTTTTTAGTGCTCTGTAAAATGTAAATGGTCTAAATTAAGAAGCTATCTAATCTCAAACAATATTAATTGTGACATGAAAAATGAGACCAATTCTTCCGACGTTACAATCACCACCACCTCACATTAACTGATCACCTCACTGTGTTTCTCAAAAGCCTGCATATTTTCCTTTTCCAAAGTGCCTATTTTTAAGAGGAGACAAAAATCCTCAAATACTTTACTTATTCTGATGCTGAAAATGTGGTCTCCTGAAGTGGGCTTCCTTTGGCCTCCAGGCTCTGCAAACCTCTACATCTGATTTGTCTCCCTCCCCCCCCCACCCGCACCCCCACCACCACCGCTGCCTCTGCATTAAAACTCTTTCTAAAATAAAACCACTAAGCAGCCACGCGGTCATAAGCCAGGATGCTGCTCCTGCATCTCCCTCCTTCCAGACAGAACTGCCGGACCCTAATGTTGCTTTCCAGAAGGAATAGGGGGAAAATGCATTTTCACATATTTTTTAAGTGTTTTTCCCTAAATGGGCCCATTAAAATCAGCCAGATCACTGTTCCTCCATCTCTGTAGCAGGCAGAATCACCACGCATGGAGATAGGAGCAAATTTGTATTTCCAGTTGGCTCTGATGGGGAGATTGCAGTTGTTCTAGGGAAAGGCGATCTCTATCCCTGCAGTACTGCCTCACAATTTCAAGACCACTGCCTCCTCCCATAAGATTCTGCAGATGTTGCACTTTGCTTGTTAAACCTCTTGCTAAATGTAAGAAGTAAAGTTGTTTTACTTGTAAATGTCCGTAATTCACCTACTGCAAAGCCCTAAGTCCTTGCTGTTTCATTACCAGCTGCCCATTAATAACCATCAAATTAGAAGTGTCTCTAGCAGCATGACAATTTAGTGAGGGGAATAAGAACAGAAAATCACAAATTGTTCAGAAAAGTTGCTGCATAGCAGGCCTCCTGGGGCCGGGGCCCGATGCCCCTTGGTGTTTAGTTCAAGGCCATGGGGCTCTCTTGGGTGACATCACTTCTAACATAGATACTGTGTAATTCAGTTACACAAAAGCAGCCCAGACAAGCAGGCTCACATCATCTCTTGTGCTCTGCGTAAGTCTGCACCAGAGGCTCTCAACACAGCCTGCACTTCCTGTTGCATGCCAGGAAAGGGCCCTAAAACCAAGGAGGGAGGTGAAAGGAAACACAAAATAATGCACCTTCTTTGTTTTTGTTTTTTTTCCGCCCTCTCTGCTCCCTTCATCTCTAAGGACTCCACAGCTAACCTGGACTCATTTTGTTACTTCCCATTCCCAGGAAGAAAGGCTTTTTCCAGCTGTGAGAGTCTAGGGTTCACTTATATCTCTTTCTAAACACTAGCAGCCCAGAATTCTCAGGCCACTTTTGGGCATTGTGGCAACACAATAGGTGCCTCCTGTGGACCCCATGCCTCCAATCAGAGCAGGGATTACCGGCAAGGCCGGGAGGTGGGAAGTCAGTGACAGCGCCGTTCTCTCGTTCTTGCTTGAGCTGACTGTAGCCTCTTAACATCTGGTGCTCCAACTCTTTCCCCATTCCTAAAACACGGCTGGCTTCTGCCCATCAGAGCATCAGTCCTGGGCTTCCTGGGCTCTGTCCCTTTATCCTGCTCTGAAGCCCTTAAGTGTCCATTTCAACCTCACACCTGACTTAGCACCTGACTTTAAAGAAAAACATCCTTTTCAACAATAAGGTATGTGACCACTTGAAACCCCTCCAAGGCTTTCAAAGCTGGTGGAGCAGAGCACAACTAGGAGAACCAGCCCTGGGGTTAAAATCTCACGGAAGGAAAGGGGGAAGCTAGCATGTAGCAGGTGGCTCCTTTGGGCCATCCTATTCACCATTTGCCCCTGGCTGACTAGTCCTGGGCCCCCACAGAATAGGCCACTGGTGCACAGGCTCAGGGAAGGGCTTCTCTCCCCCTCTCCAACTGCATCTGTCATTTGGCAGTGACAGCCGCTTTGCACTCTGTACCTTGGCAGCTCACATCTCTTTCAGAGCCCCCTCCTTTCCCCCCACCACGAGCCTCCTCTGTAAAAACCGGAAAAAAAAAATCTTGTTCTTTCATCATAATTAAAGTGCTGTCAGGGAAAATGGCATGGCTGAGTTTTGCTGCTGTTGAAATGACCCTCCTCCTCCACTCCTCTTCGCTTCTCTCATTTGCTAAAGTGGTCCTTTCTCTGCCTGAAATCAGGCCCTTTGGTGATGGAAATTTTAGCTTAAAGCAGAGTTCTAAGCAGAATCCTAACCCTGCGAGGGTGGGGAGAAAATCAATGTTTTGAGCTGGTGTCTGTTTGCAGCGAGGTGCTGGTGAGGCCATTTTCATCAGGAGGAACGGTGGTGGTGGCTACTTCTGGGCTTTAGATCCACGCAAGGTCTCCTAAATACAAGTCACTGTCATGGTACACAATTTAGCAAAACTTGGAGGCTGATTTTCCCCGTTGACTTAGCTAAGGGTCAGGAGGAAGCTGTTTAGAAGTACAGAGGTTCTGCATCTGGGAGGGTAAAATCCAAACGCCTCTCATGCTCAGAGGGAAAGCATGCCTGCATGTTTACTATCACTGCTGGCCTACGTGCTTGTGTGTCTGAAATAAAACTGTAACTTATATAATTCGATGCTCTCCTCCTCACTGAGTGTTACTGAGTCATGCTTGGGTGGGGGGGTACTTCTTGTGCGTTGTGGACACCGCATCATGTAGGGGTCTTTTTAACACCTCATATCATTTTGTGACAATGTCATTCTAATCCTGTTAGCCATTACAGAACTTTCTGAAAATAATTTCAGGTGGGTGACATTAAAAAAATAAAAACCCGCCCCTCTGAGTGACTTTGAACTCTGCCATTAGAATCCATGACATCTATTCAAATACACATTATGGGAGGGACTCATAATATTCATCCCAGCTGTCACCTACTTACATTATAAGGAAACTCGAGTGTTAGGAGCTTTCAAAATTAGTTTAATTTCCTTTTCCTAAAGATCACGCATCTCAGAAAGGCCCCTTTTAACTTACACTGGGGAACTTAATTGGCAGGCTTTTGGGTTTCTATAAGAGTATTGCTAATATCTGGCAAGTCAAGATGGCAATCTGGGCCGCCCTCAATGGAATCATTAGCTGTTAATACACCTCTGAGTAACTCTAAGCTAAGGTGTGAAATCAACCCAAGCGCCACTAAGCCCCAGTTTTTCCTAAGGATATAACCGCAGGACAGTTGGGGGGGCTGTTTATGTAACATACAAACAACAAGGTTGTTTTGCTGCTGGCTTATTTGCTGGCCTGGACTCCTGCCTCCTTGCTCCTTCCCCCATGCCCTTCACATTATATTTCTTTTTTAAAGAAAGTAAAGCAACCGTATAGTACTCAAGCCTCTTTTATTTCCTGACTGTTGTATGTGTCATAGCCGTGGACGCTGGAGAAAAACATGGGGCTTGTCATTATCGACCGGAGCCGGAATGAGTCAGGCACCCTGAAGGCTACGATCTGAACCTGACTGCCACTGAATGGGGTGGGGGGGGCACCCCGCTGCCAGGCAGAATAACACTAAGCACTATGCTGCTACTTGGAGATCTGGTGTGAGGGGTCCACGTGTCCTGGGGTCACAGTGGAAGAAAGTCAACTCATTGCTTAGAGGGCTGCTAGGCAGCCATAGACTTGGGTTGGGAAAACAGGGTATGGGGCTGGAACTAGAAGTGGGGAGGGGGTGACTGCCCAAATGCTCTCCCCTGTTCCCCCCAATGCCTCTTGTTAGAATGCTACTCTTAGGAACCCCACTATTAAAAATGTGACTCTCTGGGCTTTTGGGCCTCTAAAGCTCTTTATGAAAATGCACATGTCCCTTACGAGTAGCCTCATCAGCCTTTGCCAGCTAATGGGATTAACTGAAGAGAACACAGCCACCTGCAGGGAGGTAAGGAGGCCTGGGGCCAAATCACTTTTCAGATGTGCCATGTGCTCATCCACGATCACCCAGAACACAAAATTCAGGCATTCTTGTTTCGGTGGCAATTTTTAAGAAGCCACAACTTAATAATTCTATAAATCTCAATCATATTCACTATGGAGCAAAGTTCACCTGAGAGTTCTTTCAGTTCAGTCATCCAGACAACCTTCCCTTGTCTTATTTTTAACATAAAAAATAGCTAGCAATCTGTATTACACAGATATTTTCAAAAAAACATAAAGGTCACTATCATATGCTGTGATAGTTACAGAGACCTATCCATAAGACATATTATTTCAAGGGTAATAAATAGATAATTTAAAAGTATTTGTGAAAGGAAAGTTGGAAATTAAATTCTGGAAATTAAAATGTGTTTTTCATTCCACAATGGCTGGAAATTAATTATAGTATTTGAATATAGACTATCTCTATCTGCATTAGGGAACAAAACAAAAGAGACCCAAAGCTCAGGATCTAAGATGGAGGACTGGAACTAAGATAGAGGGCAGGCCAGGAACTAAGATGGAAGGCAGGCCAGCAGCAAAGATAGAGGGCAGGCCAGGAGCAAAGATAGAAGGCAGGCCAGGAGCTAAGATGGAGGGCAGGCCAGGAGCTAAGATAGAAGGCAGGCCAGAAGCTAAGATGGAGGGCAGGCCAGGAGCTAAGATGTAAGGCTAGAGCTAAGACGGGGGCCAGCCCAAGAGCTAAGATGGAGGGTTGGAGCTAAGATGGAGGATGAAAGCACTAAGGTGAAAGCACTCTGTAGTACATAAGGATCTGGCTGCAAACTACACTTTCCCATCTAACTCTCAAAACACTAATCCTAGACATAGAAGATTTCTAAGGTTAGGTGGGAAATATTGGGCCCATCTTCCTAAGAGAATTTTAGTCTTGAAAGATCCTGGAAGGCATAGTTTGGCTCCAGAGAGTGCACAATGAAAGAAAGAAGTTGGCAAAAGGCAGTTCTCAGCACCACTCTTGGGCCAGGCCTCTGCAGCCCCTCCTGGAAGCAAGACTGCCTCCTCAGCATGGCCAGTAACCCTCTGGGCTGTGCCTCCTGGAGAAAGGCCTCATTCAGTCCCATGACTGACAAGTTATCAACAGGGAGGTCTACCCTATCAACAGGGAGGTCTATCCTGTGACTAGCAAAGGTTCAGTCACTGCTGTTTGTGCAGAAATTTTCAGCCTCAGAGTGGCATGAAAATCTGAATGGCTGTGCCTGTCAAATGTTGCTTGTTTTGACCCCAGCAGATCCTTCTAGGTTTTCTGCAGTTTAATTATCAGCACTCATGACACTTTTAGGTAACCTCTGATTTGGTGTGCTCAACTGGGCTGGAAGACTCTTAGCAGGTTGTTGAAGTCTTTTGGTTGACAATCTTTCCATCTTTCCTTATTTATTCCCTGTGTAATCGCTTAGCAGAGACTGCCCACTCTTGTTAACTTCCTGGGTTTGTTTTGATTCCATCAAGGGAGTAGCAGTGTCTCATACTTTTGTCTTCCCCACGGGGAAGGGCACATATTTGGCACTCAATACATGTATATCGAATGAATGAACAAATGAAAATGCCCGAATTGAGGCAAACTCACCGACCAGGCAAGGATTCGTCCTTCTAAGGGGCGTGGCAGACACGTGAGCAGCTACTGCAAGCTTAGAGATGCTACTAGACAGACAAAAAGGAGTAAGGCTATTTCGACCTTCAAGTTAACCAAAAAATTAGGAAATAACTTATCAGTGAGAAAAAATGGGTACATGTGCTAGTCCCTGTGTACCAAGGACTGGGCAGGATTCCATGCTTTTGCCAAGTTGGACATAACCTACAGATGAGTAAACCTCAGACCTGCCAATAGTCAAACATTTGAAAAATTAATTTGTGACAACTGTTTTCACTTGGAACCATGATGGATTTAACTGTTTTCTTAAATTAGGCATGTCATTTTATGCTAAATTTCCACTAAACATTTCCCAACAACATTTCTTTCTTCCTGAAGAACCACCGTGACCCCTAACTCCCTGACAATTCCAAAATGTCACAGAAGGCCCATTTTATAAACATATTTGTGAATGAGTTCCTTTTCATAGCTATTAGATCAGCAATTATTTTCCCCAACACTGGCCCCTAATCAGCCATTTTGCTAAGTCTCAAAGCAACACAAATTTAGCTCAAATCAATTAGCAACACATTTCTAACTCTTGGTGCTTGGGGAGAGTCTGAACTCCTCCTGATGGGATGAGGCTAACGCCTTGAGAATGAACTGAGAGGCAGGTCAGCCCAGGAAGCCACTTCTGCCTTTGTGGTTGTGCTTTACAAGAAGGCCAAAATGTGGGAGAATGGGGTCCAACCACAACAAATTAGGATGAAATTTTGATTTTATTTTTTTTCTCTTGAGCTGATGAATGAAGCCCAGGACATAGAAAGGCAGCTGACGGAATATTTTCCCCACCAATGCCAGGAAGCTGAAGGTCTGCTCTTGTGATTTGCATCTGGCTGTGATGTTCTCTCTCTGCCCCCCACCCTCACCCCAGCACAGAGCAATCAACCTTGTCCCTGTTCTCCTCTGGCTGAATTCCCCCCTTTTCTCTTCCCCTCACCTTTCCTTGCTGAACAGAATTGTCTTCCCTCTCTAATGAACATAACCCAAGAGAATAAAACTTGTTTTTCAAAGTGGGGAGGGGGAATGGGAGGAAGAAAGGAAGGAAGGGAGGAAGGAAGGAAAAAGAAAAAAAGAAAACAATGCCTACAGTGGGTCTGGCTGGAACCCAATTCTCAAGGACATCGATTTGTAAAATTCAAAGGTTTCCCCAACATCAAAGATCTATACTTAACTTATAGGATGCTCACTTTTAACCTTAGGGTTTGCTTTGTTTTGTTCTGGATAATTATCAAATTTAAAAATTTATGATTTTTTTTTTTAAAGAACTAGAAGGTTCTCTGTGTGCCAGACTTTCTAAAACAAAACAAAACCACTTAGTGGGATAAGGCATGTGAAAACACTTGTGCTCCATGAAGTGTGCTACATGCAGTGTGTTCCTAACTTTAAAATAAAACAAAAATTGGACCATCGTTTTAGAATCAGGAGGTAAACACTTGGGAAAGCAATAAGAGGTGAGAGGGCAGTGGTCAGAGCTCAGAGGGTGGTGGTGGCCCCCGTCTTGGCACACAAGAGAGGCCTCTGTCCCAGCTCTTCTGGTTGGCACTTGAACGAACAAGGGACCTCATGGGGCAGTGAGATGGGGAGGAGAGGATGCCCCAGCCTGGATTGTGAACCTGCCTCTCCTCCCCGTACTCCTGTCCGGTCTAGCCAGCCTGGCCCCTCAGCTGTGCCAGCCACACCCTCCTTGGCAGCGCTCCACCCCCTGCCTGGTAGAAGGATAATCACTTGCAACCTGATCCTCTCCTCTGTTCTGGACTAGAAGTTCCTAGAGGGCAAGGACCCCATTTGGTGCTTAGAGCTAAACTTGGCAAAGGCACTCTTTTCTTTTTTCTTTTCTTCTCTTTTTTCTTTTCCTTTCTTTTCTTTTCTCCCCCTCCCTCCTCCCTCCCTTCCTTCTTCCTTCCTTCTCTCTTTCCTTTCCCTCTTTTTTCCTCCTCTCTCTCCCTTTTAATTTTTTTGGTTTTTTTTTTGTTGTTTGTTTTTTTTTTTTTTTTCGACGGAGTATCATTCTTGTTGCCCAGGATGGAGTGCAATGGCACAATCTCGGCTCACTGCAAACCCTGCCTCCCGGGTTCAAGCGATTCTCCTGTCTCAGCCTCCCGAGTAGCTAGAATTACAGGCATGCGCCACCATGCCCAGCTAATTTTGTATTTTTAGTAGAGATGATGTTTCTCCATGTTAGTCAGGCTGGTCTTGAACTCCTGACCTCAGGTGATCTGCCCACCTCGGCCTCCCAAAGTGCTGGGATTACAGGCGTGAACCACTGCTCCCTTTCAAATTTTTAAATTTAATCTCTATTTACTTCTTTCCTTCCGTTTGCACCTTAATTTCTCTTTGTCTCTCTCTTTCAACAATAAACAACTGGCCAAAGGGAATTGGTTTTAATTTCTGAGTCGTTCACAAGGACCCCGGGATTTCAAAAGATCAGAGAAGGAAAAACAAAGGGAGGGAACCTCAATTCTTTCCCTGCTCTTCCCCGCTAGCGAAAGGACTGAACAAGTGAAAGAACTGTGGAAGGACGATGGCGAACATGGAAGAGCTCTAAGGAAACTGTCCTGTAGTGTGTGTTTGTGGAGCAGGGGGATTAATATGAAACTGCACACCATGATTCATGCCCTCTCAAAACTATGCATACACCTGAGTAAAGAACAGGGGGAGATAATGATCAGTAAAATCACAGCAGGGTGAGGGTAGGCTGGGGGGATTTCCTGTAATATTATGATGTCATTTTAACAATAAATACAACTAGAAGAAAAGGCGCCCGGCCAAGTGTGGGATGTGGGTTCCATGTCATGTGGGAAGCGAAAGTGGGCAGTTGGGCCCCAGAAGGGAGAGTTCTAAGAGGGTGTGGTTCCCTCTAAGGGAGGGATTTGTGCGTCTGGCGCAGGGAGAAGACTGACCAAGAAAGCCACCAAATAAACAGACCAAACCCCCAACCACCCCTCCCCTGAGAAAAGCACAGAATGGCTGTATTGGTGTTAAAAGTAAGGTCCCCGGGACCCAAGACAGGATGAGAGCCCCAACCAAAACACCCTGGAAACATGGGGCTTTTTTTCCATTTGGGCATCCTACATTTCATCTAGAGAATTCCAAGATCCCAATTTCTGAGAGCAGACCCAGCCATTCTGAGCTCTCTGCTGACCTCTGGTGGGGAGGAGCTCCCATGGCCCAGGAAAGGTTGGAAAGAGGCAGCCACCTGCCCTGGCCTCCTCTGTTCCCCACGGTCTACAGGGTCACCTGCCCTCAGCCACCACTCAGGGCTAGAAGTCAGGGACTGTGAGGAGGAGAAAGTGCAAGAAAAGCTTTAAAGAATCCTCAGAGGAATATGGGCATAAGAGAATCATGTTGTAGGAAAGTTATCAAGTAAAAGAAAATTTTTTAAATAGATGGGTGGGAGGGACGTTTACCTTAAATCAACCCTGTGTATTCAGTTTCTTTAACTTTACAATCTTAAGAGAGAGGGGAGAAAGAATGTGTATATGAATGGGGTATGGAGGGTAAATTTGATCAGAAAGAAATAAATTCCCATTGGAGGACTTTGTAGGTCCTTGTGTGGGAGGCCTGTGTGGCCCTTCTCAAATAGATGACCTCATCATTTTCCAGCTGCTGGGTGGGGTGGTGCAGGGGGCAGAAATGGAAGGGAATGGCAACGGTACCTGTTCTTGGAACCAAGGAATTTGACCCAGACACCATCGGACCCAGCTTCCCCTCCCGTGGAAACGAGGCCTAAAGAAGCCAGAAGTGGCCTGCCCCAAGGCAGTGCTGAGCCTGAGATGGACAGTAGGGGTCCCATCCTTAGAGAGGACACCTTCGCTAGTGAGAATGCCCCAGTGTGCCGTGAAGCACTGAGAAGTGGAGAGGGGTTGAGGAGGGGAAGAACTTAAAACTAGCCCTGAGGTCTCAGAGATCCTGAAAAACACAATGATACTTGCATGAATGGAAAAGCAATGATGTATCCCTAGCAAGTCCCTTCTCTGTAAACAATCATTGACCATGCACCTCAAATTCTACTTCATCTCTCCATATTGTCTTAAATGCTAACTTCTCCAGGTAGGCCCCTTAGATTTCCCTGGTGGAAACTGGAGCTCTGCTCACCTATGAACCTCTTTTCTAGCCCTTGATTGAGGTGTGAAAGAGTTTACCACCAAACTCTGCTCCCACAAAGATTCTCCCGGTGATTGGGACCCAGAAACTATTAATTATTTACCAAAGGACAACAGAGGGCCCTACCATTTGATTTCCTATACAATCTGCCATTTTGGAACAGACATTTAAAAAAATTTGTGTTGGATAGGGGGTTGGCATACCTCATCTATTGAAACTTTATAAGATAATTAAATAAGTTTTAAAGTGAGAAAGACATCCCTCCTGTTTTTTCAATTGAGAAAAACTAGAACCAGGGATTTGTCCAAGATCTCAGGACCAGTTCCCAGGAGAACCGGGGCACCAGGGCGGTGAATCTGGAGGTTACCTGATCGTGTGCTTTCCTGCCTTGGCTAAGATCTTCAGATCCACTCGTTAAAAGTTGCCGGGATTTGTCCTTAGATGTCAATTGCTCAACTGAAACCTTTTAAAAACATTCCTCAGCCTTAGGGGCAGGGGCCGTGTCCTTGGGAAGGAGGATTTAGGGAGGGGGATGCGGGTTCTGCCTTAGGCGCCGGCGCAAGGGTGAATTTTTGAAAGCCAGGCTGTCAATCGTAAAAGCCGAGCGCCATCTGCCAGCCGGTTCTGAGTAGCCTTGCTTTCTTTCATTGTTTCCACTTCCCAGCCCTGAATAATTTGTGTTCTCATTTATTTCCCTCCAAAAAAAAGGTAGTTCCTGCTCAGAAAGTCCCCCCAAAATAAGAACCCCATTTAAAAATAAATCTTAGAAGAGAGTGAGAGAGCGAGAAAACAAAGGAAAAGTGAGAAAGAAATTCGAGAACTCCTTAGGAGGCTGCTTTCCGTTCTCCCCTTTCTGGATTGTGAAACTTCTGAGAAAATGAGAGATGAGCCCCCTTTCTTCAACTAAGGCAGCCCTAATGGTCTTGCTTCTTCTTTCTGACCTCTCACCTTCTTGTGGCGAGCAGATGCCCCACTTTGAGCCTGCCTTAACATCTGAAATCAGACCCTAACTCTGGGGAATCAAGATTGCAGGGCCAGAAAAAAAAAAAAAGCTGGCTGCGGTGGTTCACGCCTGTAATCCCAGCACTTTGGGAGGCCAAGGTGGGCGGATCATCTGAAGTCAGGAGTTGGAGACCAGCCTGGCTAACATGGTGAAACCCCATCTCTACTAAAAAGACAAATATTGGCAGGGCACGGTGGCTCACGCCTGTAATCCCAGCACTTTGGGAGGCTGAGGCAGGGGGATCACCTGAGATCGGGAGTTTGAGACCAGCCTGACCAACATGGAGAACCCCATCACTACTAAAAATACATAATTAGCTATGTGTGGTGGCGTGCGCCTGTAGTACCAGCTACTCAGGAAGCTGAGGCAGGAGAATTGCTTGAACCTGGGAGGTGGAGGTTGCAGTGAGCCAAGATCATGCCACTTCACTCCAGCCTGGGTGACAGAGCAAGACTCCATCTCAAAAAAAAAAAAAAAAGAAAGAAAGAAACAGGAGAGGTGTCCACTATCTGCTATATGTTAGCTTAAGTCTGAGGCTGAGATGCCTGCAAGCCTTTTGGATTCATCCCTGGCACCTGAGTTCCAAGTCTCAATCTCAAGCCTCCTTTCTCAAGCTGTCCCTGTCCTGCCCCCATCTTGTGTCTTGACTTTCTCATACATAAAGCTGAACACAGAGATACCCTCTGCTTCTTCCCTGACAACTCATCAAATTTAAGGTGCTCTCCTGACCATGGCAGGACCCCAGGAATACTTGGCAGAATCATTCCTAAATGGGGCCTTGTCAATACTTTCAAGAATCAAACTTTAGCCTTTTCCCGATGTCAGCTTGGCAAATTCATGGAATCCTAGAATAAAGTTCTATAATCAACCAAGGTCCCAGGAATGAGAACCCCCAACTTCTAACCCAGTGCTGTTTGTACTATTCTAGGACCCTCCCAAAGAGCTGGAGCTCCTCTGCCCACTGCCTCCCCCATCAGATCAGACCTATGGTAGAAGACAGCAAGGAGTAAACGCTGTAAGCTCACAAACACCAAACTGCCCTAGGATGAACGATTTCGTAAGAGCGCTCCAGAATGACTGGATCCCATCAGGAACATTTCCAAAGACTCCCACTCAGAAAGGGGAGCCCTCCTGGGAGTGTCCATCCTAAAACCCACACTGGCCATTTGTTTTGCAAAACAAAATGATCTAATGTGCTTCCTTTTAGCAGCTAAAAATGCTTAATTATAAATAGCTAGAAGTTTTCTGGCAATCCAACTTTTAAAAATTTTCCCCTAACGTCTGGCATTTGTTTTTGGGTTCTGCCCTGAGTCTTCTAAGCATTTGCTTGGAAAGATGTTGCACTTTCGCAGGCAAAATTTCAAAATCAACATTCAAGAAGCTTGCCTTTGGTAATTTCTAGGATTCTGCAGTAAGGAGGTTTTATAGTTAGGGGACACTTTGCTTAGCTGAACTTGTGACATAAAAAGCTAGTCTTCAGACAAGTTTTGATTTCAAATGATACTTTAAATTTTACATGTCTGATATATAATTTATCAAACTACCAATATATTTCTACACCTTCCCCTAAAGAAATCCTGATAGTAAAAGCTAAAGTGTTGAAATACACCTGCATGTCTGGAGTGGAGAGTGGTCATTGTCTATCTATTTATTTATTTTTCTGGCCTTTGCAATGAAGTCAGAGGTCATAAATTTGAAACTCCCTAGGGAAAAAAAAAAAAGAAAAAAATCTCCTTTGTTTGAAAAAATTAGATCCCTAATGAATCTGTTTCAGTTGTTACAATCAGATGTTTCAATTTGAAAACTTGATGAGATGAATTCAGATGTTACAATCTGAAAACTCTATAGAAAGACCAAATGGGGGCAAAAATGTAAATGTGTTATGTCAAAATATAACAAAGAAGTTATAAAGTCCCCTTCCATAATGGTTACTTGAGAGAGGCTGGTCAGATGCAAATTAGGGGCTTAGACCACTGTTTAAAATTAAGATCACAATTTAGTCCTATTATGATTATTCCAAGAAATAATGGTTACAGAGTCTGCCCTAGGATGGAGAAGGGGGTGTCCACTTTATCAGAGACCAAGCGCAAGACTCTTGACCAGGAAATGTCCTTGGATTGTTACTTCTATTGGCTTAGCTATGTATTATTCCTGAGAGATCTTATGCTCTTTCTCAGTCCAGTCATTCAGAGCCGTTCCTTCCACTGCCCCTCTCTCCTGCAATCTAACTGTCTGTCTTGAAAGATCAGTTGCTGAAAGTTTATAGGTCACCTCCATGCAGTAGGCTGGTTCTCTATGGGCCTGAGACTAGGGAGACCCAGCAACTGGGGCCCACACACTGCTTGCTGGTGTGTACACATTATCAGTTAAAGGCTCTGCTGTTGTTTTGGGGAACACATATAAAGTGGGGCTCCTGCCACCCTAGAGCTGATACGTTGTCAGCAGCCATCTGACAGATGGGTCCTTCGTGTCTTGGCATCCTTCTCTACAATGCAGAGTGAATTAATTGAGTGTGCACCAGTCAGAGAGAGAATTCCTAGCCTGCTACAGGAAAAGGCATCCTTAAGAAACCCTAAGTGGAAGATGTGATCATTTAAGGGTAAAGGCTATTTAAGCATTGATTTAGCCTAGCTATGGGACTGACTTGGTTAATCAAAGTCAGCTCACTATTTACTTCCCTGAAATAATTTCCTTTTCTATTCTAGTTAGGGTCATCTGGGTCACTTTCTTCTCTGAGATTTCTAGAAATTACTTCTGCAGGGTTGGACACGGTGGCTCATGCCTGTAATCCCAGCTACTAGGAGGCTGAGACAGGAGAGTCACTTGAACTCAGGAGGCAGAGGTTGCAGTCATCTGAGATCATGCCATTGCACTCCAGCCTGGGCGACAAGAGTGAAACTCCATCTCAAAAAAAAAAGTAACTGCAGTGGACAAACTTTTCTCTGGAAAAAAAAAAGTATTTTATATTATAGATGATATATATTATATATGTATATATTATATGATATATCATATTATATATATTTTGTATTATATATGATATATATATAATATAAAATATATGTGTATATATATATTTTTTGAGATGGAGTTTTGCTCTTGTTGCCCAGGCTGGAGTGCAATGGTGCCATCTTGGCTCACTGCAACCTCTGCCTCCCGGGTTCAAGCGATTCTCCTGCCTCAGCCTCCTGAGTAGCTGGGATTATAGGTGCCCGCCACCACGCCCGGCTAATTTTTTGTATTCTCAGTAAAGATGGGGTTTCACCACGTGGCCAGGCTGGTCTGGAACTCTTGACCTCAGGTGATCTGCCCACCTTGGCCTCCCAAAGTGCTAGGATTACAGGCGTGAGCCACCGCGCCCAGCCCCAATATATATATTTTTAAGATACGCAAGTTACAGTATGTATGATCTTGAACTGTCCCCAGAATTTGATACTGATGATGTTAGGGCAGTAGTTATCAATGAGGGGTGACATTTGGCAATGACTAGAAACAGTTTTGGTTGTCAGAGAGAGAGAGAGAGAGTGTGCGTGCGTGTGTGTTTGTGTGTGTGTGTGTGTGTGTGTGTGTGTCTGGTAGGTAGGGGTCAGAGATGCTGCTACACATCCCACAGTGCATAGGACAACCACCCCATGAAAAAATGTCAATAAAGCCACTTGGAGGACCCCTCTGTTAGACTGAGCCCCCCAAAATGCTTCTAAAATCCTGGCATATAGCTAACTAGGAGAAGTCACAGCGTAAAAGTAAAAAGCTGGTCTGGCTAAAGCTTTGGGGCCTATTTGAATCCAAGGTCTGTCCTGGGGTGGGGGCTGGCATTAAAAGTCAAGGGGGACCCTTCTTTGCCTTTGCCAGCCCTGGCCATCCCTCTCATTTTCACAGACACGTGCCACCTGTTTTCTGCCTTATACTGTCTCACCATCTAGTGGTCACCTGAAATATCAATTCACCTTCACCATCTTTGGGCCCTTCTAGAGCCAGTCATTTAAAAATTCCCATGTTGGGGGGCAGTGGGCAAAAGGAACCCCCTGAATGACGTCAATGATTTAATTAATAAGTGAATTCAGCATCTTGAAGGCCCTAGTAGAGCCACAGAAAGAGCAGCTATAAGGAATTAGGATGGACACTTCCTAAGATTTCAAAAGCCCATGAAGGCCCCCCCAAAAAAATCGAGGGGCTGATTATAAATAAGGTCTGTCTTTTGAAAAGAGAAACCCACAGGGCTTTCTGCTTAAATCCCTCGGACACAGATGTTACATAACCATAGATTTTAAAAAAGGTATCTATTTAAAAGGATGTGTTCAAGTGGTCTCAGTAATGTAAGTACCTATATACTTCCTAAATAACACTATCTATTCTTGACAGGTTTCCTGTTTTCATTTTTTTCAACTGGACCACCAGCTACTACAACCCTAGAAAAATGGAGGCACAGATATGTGGGTCCCAGAGCCCTGGGGGAGCTGGAATGGATACTCGCTAACACACGGGACACGAGATTCTCTTTCCTTTGGAAGGGTCCTGTCCATGGCCCTTCTTGGGTTCTGGACTGTCCTACAATGCCTGACTTTAGTTTCTGTGGATCATGATAAGCATTATTCATTTTTTCCCCCTCAAATATCCCACAGCTTCAAACTTACCTGAATGCAGGTTCCCTGTAAAAATACCATCATGTAATTTGCACATTAGCAATCAGTTTGATGAATGGCAAAATCGTTCAAATGGAAAAGAGGAGAGAGATAGTGTGGTCTTTTGATGGAGGGGGAGAGGCAAGAGCCAGATAAATCAGAAGAGAGAGGCGAGGCTCTTGCAGCCCAAGTCTTAATTTCCTTGTAAGAATCGATGCTCACTCAGTGGTGACACTGAGCTTGTGAAAGCTCAACTGTGACACTCTTTAGAAAGTAGTACAGAGATTTTTTTCCTTCCCATTATCAACTCATTAAAGGAAGTTAAAAGTACTTACTCTGTCCCACACACAGTGTGTGTGTGACAATGTCGGAAACATTGACTGACTCATAATAAATTTGAGATTGGATAACAATTTATACTACCTTTATACCTCTCTCCTCGCCCCAAATTGAATCATTAAAAAACATTTAGTAAGATCCAATGTGCAGTTCTGTGGGCAGAACTCCACAAGTCAAAATACTCCTGAATTTAAATACTCCTGAGGTTTAACAAATTACTCTGCAATGCAATTTGGGATTTTACTCTAAGGAAGTACAACAGAGGCACACTCCCTTAATTTCCATTGCCCTGTCACAGATCAGTTGCCTAACATTCTTCCCATAGCATAGCTCCCAGTTGTTGCATGTAGAAAAGCGCTCCACTGATTCTAACTTGAAAGGTGTGTGACTCGTGTGTGCTCAAAGAGCATGTGACGATCAACATAATGAAAAGTCAAACATTGTTTTGTTGTGTTGTTCCCTACCTCTTTCTTGGAGGTCTCTTCATCTTCAATTCCCATGAGCTGGCCTGGTTCACCATCTGGCTGTTGGAAAGGAAACTAAACACATTTTCTTTCTTTCTTTTTTTTTTTTTTTTCATGTGTAATAACCATAGAACAATCCAAGCTCAGGTCCTTGAGCTCAGCCTCGGTATTGAGTTGATTTATAGTTAGGAGCTAATCAAAACAGAAGGGGGAGCTGGATAGGCAGGGGTGACAGGTGACACTTTTACAGGACAAGTCAAAAAGTAAGTTATCTCCTCATCTCTCTCTGGCACATCATTCACCTGAGAGTGACTTCACACAATTATAAATGTGGCAAGGTGGCATTCGTCTACTGCTTGAGTTGACCTTTATTTACAAAATGTAAACAAAGAATGTACTCTGAAAGGTGGAGACAGAAAGACAGAATGAGATGGCTGGCACTTTTAGAACTTACATGTTAATAGTCTAATGAGAAATGCAAAAAACAGAAAAACAAAGACACAAACAAAAAAAAAACCCAGCAACAACAGAAAACTAACCAAACCCAAAACCTCACTTGGAGCAGGGAGAAAAAAAAAAATCTAGGAGGAAAATAAATTTCTAAAATTAAAAGTCGAGGCTTGGTATGGTGGCTCACACCTGTAATCTCAGCACTTTGGGAGGCCAAGGTGGGCAGATCACCTGAGGTCAGGAGTTCAAGACCAGCCTGGCCAACATGGTGAAATCCCATCTCTACTAAAAAATATAAAAGTTAGCTGGGCATGCTGGCAGGCACCTGTAATCCCAGCTACTGGGGAGGCTGAGACAGGAGAATCACTTGAACCCGGGAGGCAGAGGTTGCAGTGAGCCGAGATCATGCCACTGTACTCCAGCTTGGGCGACAGAGTGAGACCCTGTCTCAAAAAACAAAAAACAACAAAAAGAACCCAAAAAACCCAAAACATGTTTTGGGGTACTTATATGTGCCAAGCACTGGGTTGAACATGTTACCCTTTAAAAAAGACTCCAGATTTCTCAAATTGTAACTGCTTCTAGTAGCTGGCCCTCTTTTTGGGGGAATTAAGAAAAAAAGGCCAGGTGCCATGGCTCACACCTGTAATCCCAGCACTTTGGGTGGCTGAGGCGGGCAGATCATCTGAGGTCAGGAGTTCGAGACCCGCCTGACCAACATGGTGAAACCCCGTCTCTACAAAAAATACAAAATTAGTGGGGCGTGGTAGTGCATGCCTGTAATCCCAGCTACTCGGGAGGCTGAGGCAGGAGAATCGCTTGAACCCGGGAGGCGGAGGTTGCAGTGAGACAAGATTGCACCACTGCACTCCAGCCTGCGCAACAAGAGCAAAACTCCGTCTCAATAAAAAAAAGAATATATCCTCTTTTTGAAATACCTCTCCTCTCCTTTGTTCAGGGGCTTCTTTCCCCCAATTTATATTCGTGCCTTCCTTCCAGTCTCTAAATTGCATAAAGGCCACTTAGGACTTGCAGACTTTTCAGCAGAACTCCCAAAGAGAGGCTCAGGTCCATTCTCCTCTTCCTTCCTAAAGAGAACATGATCTTATGCTTAGGGTGACCACAGGCCAGAACAGGAATCTGATGGGAACAAAAGCTCCATTCAGTCTAATTTAATGAAATCTGTGAAGGTGCGTGTTAGGGCCAGAGTCTCCTAGTCCCTATTCCAAGGGGTCAGAGATGGTCAATTAGGCTGCCCAGTGCTTTTAGTTCCCTCCGTTGACTTGTCTTAATTGATGGTGAGGACCTTGTGACATCAATTGGCCCTGTCCCTTCTCTCTTGAAAATTGCTACTCCTCCTGAGAAATTTGATTTTTAAATGGGCAAATGGCGTGAGTGGGTTTGAGAGGAACCTCACATTTGCTACTACAGCTAAAAGAAACCAAGAAGTGTAGAAACGAATTGTTGTTCACTACTGATGTGTCTCCTGAGAGTTATTTAGAGGCATTTGAAGAGCCACAATTTTGCTGGGGTTGGGGGTAAGTTTTATTTGGAGGAAAAACTAACTCTAAAAAGAAGAAGGAGCATGGCTGCCTTTGGGAATTTCAAATCTAGGTTACCTTCTCTAAAAATAAATTTATGTTTTGCTTAATACTAACCTTCCTGGCTGGGCACGGTGGCTCATGCCTGTAATCCCAGCACTTTGGGAGGCCAAGGTGGGCAGATCACCTGAGGTCAGGATTTCCAGACCATCCTGGCCAACATGGTGAAACCCCATCTCTACTAAAAATACAAAAAATTATCCAGGTGTGGTGGTGCATGTCTGTAATCCCAGCTATTCGAGAGGCTGAGGCAGGAGAATCCCTTGAACTGGGAGGCAGAAGTTGCAGTGAGCCGAGATAGTACCACTGCACTCCAGCCTAGGTGACAGAGCGAGACTCCATCTTAAAAACAACAACAACAACAACTAACCTTCCTGCATAAAAGTCAAAGGTGATTTCTAAGACCACGCACTGACTCTTGCTAAATGGAAATTAGCCTGGACTAGAAGTAAGGCATACTTTTAAAAAAAAATCACTACAAAGACTATGGAGCAGAGTTATTTTGATAAGATCATGAGATCCAGACCAGGATTCTAAACATTCTAACGCTATACTTATAATAGAGCTATGCAGAAAAGTAACTGCATTTTATTATTATAATGATTAATTATTATTTAGTGGAAACCTAAACAAGAAGAAAAGCTTTAGACCCTGCAAAAAAACAAAACAAAACAAAACAAAAAAACCAAAAAACTTTTAAAAAAACCTGCATTTAAAAAAAAAAAAAGGAAAACAGTAGCCCAACAAACTAAGACTGCAACGTTGCAGTGCTGGCAGATGAGTTAAAGCAAATGTGTAAATGAAATATTACCAAAGCAATGACAGCCATCTCAGAAATGGGGGAGCTCATGTTTCATGTATACTCAATGGACATTTATAACCAGGGATCTGTGCGTTTTGCTATAATTCAGAAAGTAGCAGACTACTCGACACGTGTCATTTGGCAAGGGATTTTAAGAGCACATAGTATACTTAGAATAATCATGCTTTACATTTAAATAATGCTTTATAGCTTATCATCACATTTCTGGTAAGCATTATCTGAATTTGAAATTTGTGATCCTTTACCTACCTTGCAGTCTTTGAGTAAAAGTGCCTTATGGCCGGGCGCGATGGCTCATGCCTGTAATCCCAGAACTTTGGGAGGCTGAGGCGGGCGGATCACGAGGTCAGGAGTTTGAGACCAGCCTGACCAACATGGTGAAACCCCATCTCTACTAACAATACAAAAATTAGCCGGGCATGGTGCATGCACCTGTAATCCTAGCTACTCAGGAGGCTGAGGCAGGAGAATCGCTTGAACCCAGGAGGCAGAGGTTGTAGTGAGCCAAAATCACACCATCGCACTCCAGCCTGGGCGATAGAGCGAGACTCCTTCTCAAAAAAAAAAAAAAAAGTGTCTGATATTTAATCTCTGAGCTTTTGGTTTATTTGCCTATGAAATGGGGCCCTATCACGTTTTTATTGCCCAGGACTGTTTCAAGAGACAAATATGACTAGATGAAAGGCTTTAAAAAATGTAAAATGTGGCCAGGCACAGTGGCTCATGCCTGTAATCCCAGTACTTTGGGAGGCTGGGTAGATCACTTGAGGTCAGGAGTTCGAGACCAGCTTGAACAACATGGTGAAACCCCATCTCTACTAAAAATACAAACAATTAGCCAGGCATGGTGGCACACGCTTGTAATCCCAGCTACTCTGGAGACTGAGGCAGGTGAATTGCTTGAATCTGGGAGGCAGAGGTTGCAGTGAGCAGAAATCCTGCCATTGCACTCCAGCCTGGGTGACAGAGGGAGACTTTGTTTCAAATCAAACAAACAAAAAATGTAATCAGAATGTGTTATTATTATTACTGGTTACTAATCATACTGAGAGCAGTGAGATTTTCCTTTTCAAGTTAGGAGGATACATACAGTAAGGGGATGACCCCCAATTCTTTTTGCTTAAAACCAGTTTTCCATTGTAAATAATGGGGGTAAATTTTAAACATTAATCTACCTATATGGGAAAATTTTTTTTGAGAGAAATCTGTAAGAATTAAAACCAAGGTAGAATTTCAGACTTTGAGAAGCATGAATCTTACTAGGAGACTGAAAAGAGAAAATAATAAATCTATCTGGACTCCAAAATTTTGTGGCCTGATAAGCCATGTCCTTCCTACCACACCAAAAGCTCAGTGGAGGCATTTAGAATATAAAAAAATGGCTGTATGTTAAAAAAGAGAGAGAGAGAGAGAGAAAAGAAAAATAAAAAGGTGCTTCTGCAAGATGGAATACAATGCATACTGTTGCACTTGGTGGCATAAATAATCATACAATTAATTGTGATTCACTGTATAAATAAAGCATCATAGCAGAATAGCCATTATTATATATAGCATTTGCCTACACAATTTTAATAAATGTGGCAGATACTAAGAAACTCTGATCTATTAGCCCCATTCAGTTCTTAAGGAGGAAATCACACCTAAATGAAGTTTTAAAAAATGTTTAAGCCACCAAAATTATTTAAAAACGTAACAGAAACATGGAAACAGTCTATTGGTGGATAGTGTTGAGTAAGAAAAAGGCTTCTTTAAAAAGAACTCTTTAGATATTTTAGAATTTTAATCATATTACTGATTTCTATCTATCTTTCTCTCTCTCTCTCTCTCTTTGATTTCTTAGGATTCCCTGTAATGAGATTAAATTGTCCCGGCAATAAAAACAGAAAGGATAAGCACATGAACATACATTTTTTCAAGCAACAGATGAATCTGCATGTCACAAATTAGCAACCATATCAAAGGACAGCCATTTGATCTGCATTTTCAGTGGTAGGGATGTATGGATGTCTTGTTTTATATGTTGGGACTAAAAAGTTAGTAAAAAGTCTTGTCCTACATGTGAGTAAGTCCTCATCCTTCCTCCTCTCCCTGTCCCCCATCAATAATTCAGGTCCAGAAGAGGTACGTCACCTCTGCAAAAGGAAGCCTGGTCAAAAACTGTAGCCTGCTTTGACAAACTGCAGTGGTACAGTTTCAGCTAGCAGCTAACACTGGCTATCATATTTCAGGCTTATGTTAGACATGGCCCATGGTTTGCCAGCCCACCTTCTGGACTATGCTGCATCCAAAGGTGTTTGGCTACCAGCACCCGAGAACAAAGCCAGGACAAGGTACAAGGTGACCCCAGCAAATTTCCTTTTCTTAAAGTTAATTTTTACTCCTGGTGACAAAATAAGGGGAGACAAAGGAAACTTCTAATATTCTTAAGACTGGTCCCAAACATGGACAGTTTGCTGCAGGATTGATGGCTGCACAATCTATGGTATAAGTCTCCAGTCCTGATGTAAGTAGACTGTGTCTCCTCCACCCCCCACCTCCAGGAAGAATAGAAGACTCAAATCATGGTGCAAAAGCATTCCTTAGTGGAGATCTGCTAGGAAAGCTTCATTTCACAAAGGAGGCAACTGAGGCCCCGCATGTAAGGCACATCACCAATTTGACAATTAGGGGTCAGGTGCACACTGTCACTTGGGTCTCCTGTCTGTATGCATTTATGTCCTCCCACCCCCAATCTACAGGTTTGCTTCCCAGAGCTGTGCTTGGAATATTGAAATGGGTCTGTTATGGCAAAATCAGTTGTCTGCAGGGAAACCAGTGCATTGTCATTTAATGTTTGGTAGCTTTAGTGTAGTTGAGACATTTGAAATTTAAAACAACGACCATATTATATGTCTTTAGGTAAATGACAATGTCATGATCTACCTGGATGGGCATACACAAAATGATCCTCACATTTAAAATTGTGATTTGTGAGAGCCACATCACAATAGCACAGTTATATGCCAATAATGCCATTAATAAAAAACCATCACACATTCTAACATATTTAACAAATGTAGCGCAGCCTTAAAAACTGTGATCTTGAAATCCCTTGGAAGGTCTTAGAGAAAGTCTTAGAGAATAAAATGTAAAAATTAAGCTTGTGAAGTTTGTTTGGAAGTTTTCATTTAAACCACATATTCAGACCATTGCTAATTGATGCTTTGTTTAAATGTGGCAAAAATATTTAATGCCCCAGATTTGAAGTTAAGAAGTCTTGGGGGGCTGGGGGGAGGGTGGGGAACTGGGAATGGCCAGGGAAAGACTGGGAGATACAGGAGAGGGTCTTGCTGTGGGGTGAGGAGGGGGATCCTGGAGAGGGGAGGGCACCGAGAGGTGGGGAAATGTGAGCAGAGGAGGAGGGGGAAGGTAGAAGGCCACCAAAATACCCTCCTGACAAGAATATCATGATTTTTAACTTCTGTAATCAAAATACCTTTATATATTTTTTGTATCCAGAGCCAATTTGCAGAAGACCTTACCTTTGACAAGCCTCTTTGCCCCCAGCTAAAGCTGCCTGAAAAAATTCACATGCAAACATTTACTTGTTTTCACAAGTCATATTCACGGTTTTGCCATACTTTGTCCACACACTTCAAATACACTCAGAGCATTTTTTGAAAACTTTTATTTTAGTTGCATTTCAAACACAAAGGTGACATTCCACTCACAACACATAACCCCCATCTTTTTAAACCAAGCCCCTCCTACTGTACTCTTTGTAAAAATGATTGGCTTACCTCGGGCTCTTCGCTAGGAAGAAAAATTATTTCATATTTTTTAAACACAGCCACGCCCACCCCCTTGGAACCAGCCCCCAAGTGGTTTGGGATCCGGACTTGCCTACAGCAGGTTGTGTTTCCCCTTTCCCCCATCCCCCGACCAGGCGAGCTGTGTGTGTGCAGAATACCGAACTGAGGTGTGCAGCCCCGGGCGCCCCAGATACCTGTGTGTCTGGTTTTTCAACTGTAAAGGCGGGAGGGTTTGGCGAACGAATGAGAAGTGAGGAAACGCTTAGCGCAAAAGGAAAAAGAGAGAAAGACATACAGAAACAAGGTTACGCGGAGGCCGGCGAAAAGCGATTCCCCGCTCCCCCAGGCCAAGGGCCCCGCTTATTTCCCGGGAGGCCCCGCCACCTTCCCCGCGTGTCCTCCGCACCGCTTGCCGCAGAGCGCCCGGGCGCAGGTACCACCAGAGTGTGCGAACAGCGAAAGTTTTTTGCCCGGGCCATGGCGCAAACCACAACACAGCCCGTTCCCAAGTACAAGTACACAGTCGGCGGGTAATTTGGGGGTGCCGGGATAGGAACAGGGGACACTTCAGCGTATCATGCACAGGCGAACACAGAATATGGACACCAACACACACCAACGACAAGCTGTCTGAGTCCAAGCAGCCGTGCCAGGCGAGGCGGGGCGCGCCTTCCCCAATGACCCCAGCCCACCGTGGACCCCACCAGCCTAGCCAGGGGAGTCCCGGGGCCCCGGGGCCCCTCCCCGGCAGTTCCTGGCTCACCTGAAGCCCCTGCCTGTCCAGCTTACGGTTGCTGGCGCTGGCCTGTCCAGCCGGAAACGACCCTCAGTGTCGCTCGGCACCACTTTTCTCCCTGGAGGGCATATACTTCGGCCACCCGAATCCACCAAAGATCCCCTCCCGCTCCCAGGGCAGTTAGGGTCCCTCCCTGGAACTTTCTAGCAAGTTCTTCCCGCCTTTGGCTGGACCCCCTCCTCCCACTGCGGAGCCCCTAGCCCCACCAGGCAGCCCTGCCACCCCCTCCCCGGTTCCCCGGCGGCCCTGCTGCCCGCAGGCAGAGTCCGCCGCATTACCTAGAAGCAGCAGGCGGTGCGTACACATGTAGCCCATCTTTTCGTCCTGGAGTTGTTTGTCGATGAGCTTACTGCGTTTCTTCTCTGCGCGCTTCTGGGCCCGCTTCTCCAGGGCTTCTTTGCGCATCTGTCTGCGCTTCTCCGCCAGGGGTACCTTCTTGACCTTGAGAGAGCGCGAGGCTTTGGGCTGGGGACTCTCAGATCGACCGAAGCAGCCCCCGAAGGCTTGCACGAGAAAGTTGCGGAGTAAGTTGCGCTGGGGCTTTCGGCGGCGGCGATTTCGCCGATGCTGAAACCAGCGGAGGCATCCGGAGGTCCCATCGTCGGACTCGTCTCCGCTGGAGTCATCGTCGCTGCTGGCCACCCCTTCATCGTAGTACACGCGGCGGCCGCGGCTGCTCTCGGACTTGCCCCGCCAGGCAGACGCGCGAGTAGGCCGCGGAGTAGGCGGATCGGCAGCCTGGATCTCGGGGCTGGGGGGTCTGAGATGGATCTTGCGTCTGGCCCCGGAGGCAGGGGCTGCAGAGGCCGCCCGGCGGACTTGGGCTGCCCGGGTGGCAGAAGCGGCTGGGGCAGTGGGAGCCCCTGCGTCTGGCGCAGCTGGGGCGACATGGGCTGCCCGGGTCTCAGCAGCCGCAGGGGCGGCGGGAGCCTCAGGGGCCGCCCCGGCATCTGGATCGGCTGGGGCGTCAGGGGCCGCCCCGGAGTCGGGATCGGCTGGGGCGTCAGGGGCCGCCCCGGAGTCGGGATCGGCTGGGGCGGCAGGGGCTGCCCCGGAGTCGGGATCGGCTGCGAATGCCCCGGAGTCAGGATCGGCTGGTGCTGTCCCGGAGTCGGGATCTTCTGGGGTTGCCCCGGAGTCAGGATCGGCTGGGGCTGCAGGGGCTGCCCTGGCAGCGGTATCCGCTGAGGCTGCCCCGGCGGCAGGGGATCCGTACCCCGGAGAGGGTACTTTTCCTCCCTCCGCGGCATCAGCGGCTCCTTCCATCTCTGCTGCTTCCTCCTCAACTGGGGGTCTCTCTGCTCGCTCTCTCTTATCTGGGGCTCCGGAGACCTTGATGGGCGGGCCGTCAAGCGCGATTGGGGGGCTGTCCATGTTGACGGGAGTGTCGTCGACCCCAGCGGGGGCGCTGCCAATCTCGAACGGGGGTCCGGAGATCTCCATCCAGGGGCTGCTGCCCGTGAAGTTAGAAGGAGGTCTGACAGCCTCTTGGGATGGGCTGCCGATGGCGCCTGGGACCCAGAGGGGAGGCGCGTTCGCGGCGGGAGTGAGGCGGACCGCACTCGAGGCCGCGACTGCCGCGAACTGGCTGCTGCCGTCGACTTGTGCGATAACTCGGGAAAGCCCCGGGGGTGGGCTGTCGTCCCCAAATCCTTCTCCATCAAGCTCAAATGGCATAGTCTCCTCAGGGGGAGGGCTGTAGCCTCCTCTGGAGCCAGCCTTTGCAGGCCTGAGGGCTTGGGGCTCCTCGGGAGGAGCTCCGGGGACCCCTGCAGCACCTGGGCCTCCTGGAGCAAGGTCTGGGACCTGTAAGAGAAGTTGACTGCAGCCTCTCTGGGCAGGCTGGTCAAACTCAAAGGGCATAGCTTCTTCTGGTGGAGGGCTGTATCCTCCCAGGCCTGGTCTGGCACCACTGAAGGCTCCGGGCTCCATGAGTGCTGGGCCGAAGGCCTCAAGGCCTGCATGGACCCCACTGGGGAATCCAGGCTGCTCCAGTGTAGGCCAGAAGCCTCCCAAGCTGGGCTGTTCAGCCTCGAAGGGCATTGCTTCCTCAGGAGGTGGGCTGTAGCTTCCATGGGCTCCAGCTTCCCTGAATGCCGGGTTGAGGACCTGAAAGTTGGGTCTGGAGACCTCTGGGGGTCCACAGGCCTCGCCATCATTCTCGACGGGGATGGGCTCGTTGTGAGGCGGTTCGGTCTCCATCTCTTCGGCTGGGCTAGGCCCAGCACCGGGGGCAGCTGCCCCTGGGGCCTCCAAAGGTGGTTGCTCGGGCTGTTCCCCGATTTCAGGGGGGATATCGCGTTGTCCTGACATATTATTGCCGTAGAGGCAGTTGCGCACGCCCATAACACGGTGGCGGCCTCTCAAAATAAGTTTGGGGCTCCGTAAGATGGAGCACCCAACCGAACTAGGGTGAAAAAATTATTATTATTATTTTAAAATCAAAGTACCAGCTGGAAAGTTCACCGGCCTCACTTTCCAACCCTTGTGAGGTTGGGGGGTTCAAGGCCTGGAAGGAACCCTAGACTGAGGCTGAAGCAACTCAATTGTTGCTGGTGGAGTCTTGGCTCCTTCCTGGCCACTTTTCATGCCCCCAGGCTGCCCCCCAGCCCCTCTTCCTTGGTCTATCCTTACGCCCTCCTCTCTCTTTCTTTTTGCTCCAGGCCAGTCCCGCCTGCTTGGATCTGACGAGCGTGCCGATTCGGTCCGAAAATCGCCAGTAGCGCTCTCTCTCTGCCACCAGAGGACGCCGGTTCCAGTGCCGAGCTGGCTCCGGCTCCAGGAGCCTGCTCCTGGCGCCAGGGGCCCGGGACTTTGGGTAAGGGGGCTGGTGAGCGCAGGCCTCGCAGGGACGTTTTGGCTCCTTCCACTCCTCTCCCTGACTGATTTGGAGTCTTTCTCCTCGCTTCTCCGCTGGCCAGAGAAAGCGCTCCTGCGTTGCGGGACACGTGACGCAAGACGTGGGCCTCGGAACGCTGGAGTACAGGAGCTGAAACCCTCCCTCCCCAACCCAACCGACTCCTCGGGGGAGGGGGGACTGAAGAAGGATTTCATCACCCCAGGATACCCCTGAAACTCTGAGTCATAGCCCCCAGCCTCCAGGCAGCCCCGGATCTCAAGCCCCTAGTCCGGAGCGCAAGGCTTTTGGTGCCTGGGAAGGGGCGCAGGCACGCGTAGGGATGCGACAGGTGGTCGTGAGCCCACCAAAGAAGCAGAGAGAGGCGAGGGAGAGGGGATGCCGAGTATGCAAGCACGCAATTTGTTTTTTAAATGCCTTGGGTGTACTTTTTGCTGCTTTTGTTTGTCACTTGCTGAGGTTGGCTCCGGTAAAGCACTTTAACAGCCCCCACCCCCATCACACTCTAGGGGTCTCCGCAGTGGCCCACAGCGGCGCAAGCAGGGTGCTCTCTTGTTTATGTGGATGGTGACGCAGGGGAATAAGAAGGTCTCGGGTGCGTACCACCAAGAGCAAAGCCCCCTAGGGAGTAGCTGCGGCGGCACCAAGAGAGGGGTGGGGGGCGTGCTGCGCAGAGGAGGACCTCACAAAGCGGCCTCAGAGTTTCGCAGGTCCTGCTGTTCTAGGGAAGGGTTAAAGGGGATTTTGGTTGGGGTTTAATGCCGGTTTAGGGTGGTTTCGAGACTGGACAACGCTGTGCGCACTGAACCCACAGATAAATACCATGCCGCGCGGCAACCGGAGCTGAGGTGCGCTGCTCGCTGCTTCGGGCACCGGCCGCAGCGCTGGTCAGTCAGCTCCTTTAGCCCCACTACAGCCTGCCTCCAGCACCCTTCTAGCCCCTCTCCTCTCGCTCTGGGTATCTTAGGGTAGTCGCTTTACTTTTCTACTGCTAGAGCCCACTGAGGCGGCACTGAGCCCGCCAACCGGCCACAAACCCGGCGGTTGCCCGCGCAGCTGCGCTCCCGCTACCATGCTGCGGTGAGCTCAGAGCTAGCCAAAGGTAAATGCCCACACCACCTGGTGGCCTTGATGTGTGCACATGCTATGCTCTGGTCTGGGGTCTGCAGAGGGATTGGAACCCGGGAGAAAAGCTGCTGTAAGGGGGTCACATAAAACTCGGCAGGTGCGCATCAGGTCGGTCTCACCAGTGAGACAGATTGGCGAGCCACGTCTAGGCACAGAGCAACTGGGCAGGAGGCAGGGGGTCATCTGACCTGCAGAACCCTGGGGGAGGGGAGGCTGGATGAGTTACACAGGGCGGGCTGCAGCAAGCAGGGCGCACGGCACGGGCTGCTGTATAAGAGCTGCAGGCGGGCGAACCACCGCAAGTTGCGATCCCGTTTAGTCTAATGCATCCCTCTTAGAGCCAGGGTACCACAGGCACCGTGCATCCTTGCACCCCTGCATCCACCATCCATGTGGCCACGCAGCACGGAAGGAGGCGAACACAGTTGGACCCTGGGAAACGTTTGGGATCCCCCAAAGATATATCGCTTTAGCTCTATGGGTCTACACACTTCCAGATGTCAACACTGAACTTTGATTCAAACTTTGGCCAACTACACCCACGCAAGACGGCTTAACCACTTGAGCATCCACTGAATGGCCCAACTGGGTCCCAACACCAACTCACTCCCCTCCGACCCCAGCGCCGGGTCAGCCATTGGGCAGGGGTCATGCCAATCAAGGCTGCCTGGCGAATGAGCAGGGGGCGTCAGACCGGAAACCGGATATGGGTGGGAGGTCCAATAGGGGGCGCCGCGTTGGAACGCCCGAAGAGGTGCTGCTGGGGTGGTTGGAAGCCGGTGGGGGGCGGGTGTATGGCGGCTAGGCCTGGAAGACCACGAGGACCGCTAGCGCCGTGGGGTCACTCTTCCTCATGCCACAGGTTGCCGAGCCTCGGGGGAGAGGTGGGGTCCCAGGGGCCAACCCTTGGGTGTGTTGATGGCGGCAGGCTAACCCAGCCAACGGGGTGCCACTGCCGGGCAAGGTGAGGAGCAAGAAGATTTCCAGGGCTGGGAGGTAGAGGGCCAGGACCCCAAGGAGAGGGCTTACTGCGAGGAGCAGCCCAGGATGGATAAGGAGTTGAGGCCCCAGGGATGCTGAGCCTGCACAAGTGGAAGGTCAGTAGACATTGGGGTTGGAGCCCCAGGGAGGCTGCCATGGGTGCTCCAAAGGGGTTGTTTGCTTTCGTCAGGCCTCGCGCTCACCCCCAAAGTACCATTTGTCGAGGAACGGGTTCAGGGTCTCTGTTCGACACCCTCATGGGTCTGTGGGACCCCTTTGTTCATTCTTTCTGATATCATGAGCTTTGCCAGGGGAGCACATGCATGGAGGTGACTAAAACAAATTTAACAAGTTAGACAAATACCAGTTCCTCATCCTGGAGAGTAGAGCAGCATACAAATGGAAGAAAAGAACTCCACCTGGGGGGACCTTGAAAGTCTTGCTGGAGAAAATGACTTTTTATATGGGCCTCCAAGGAAGGATAGACGCCTTGGCTATGAATAGAAGGTGGTAGTGGGGGATGGGAGACGGTTTGCCCACCACGAACAAAGGATTTAATGGTAGGAAACATGGGGCGTGGCTGGGTAAACACAACTGGCCACCTTGGCTGGCTCTTGGGGAGCAGGGGGAGAAAAGTTAGGAGAAATTAGATAGAATCTCTCTGAGGATGCCATGGAGTATGAGGGCAAGCACTTTTGAGGCTATTTTGGCAGGAAACGGAAAGGATGTTGAAAGTTTTTTGTTCTGCAAGTGAGGATTTGAGCCTACTTTTAGGAAAAGCAGAAGCAGCATGGAGGATGATCCTGATCGAGAACAAAGGAAAGGGGTTATGCACAAAGGAGATGTTTAAAGGAGAGACCTAGCACGGTGAAGGAAGCAGGAAGGCTGAAGGACGGCACTCAAGAGGGGTCCCAAAGGATCCTCCTGGAGCAGCTCTTATGCTAGAAAGACACAAAAGATGGAGGAGCCAAAGTGTGGCACCCAGATGGATGGAACACTGGGAGTGGGACAGGGAAGTCAGTGGGAGGGGCTGGCAAGGTGGCAGTGCTGATTTGGTTTTAGACATGGCAGATTAAGGAACTTTGGGCAGTTGGGATGGAGATTTTTGCAGCCCATTTTCTGGGAGGAAAGGTCTGAAGTTCAGAAAAAGATAAAGATCACACATTCAAATTGGCAATCGTACTTACAAAGATGAATTTATGGAGTCAGAGAAAACTCTTTAGGGGAGAAATACATTTGGTAATAGAATCTTGAACAATTGGCGCACTGGACAGGAAAAAGGGAGACAGTCCAGGAGTGAGTAGGGAGGACTCAGAAGGGAGAGATGGGAGCACACCAGAGGAAGGGGTTTCAGAACCACTCAGCACATCTCATCTAGACTTGGTGTTTTAGCCTCTGCACTGGTGGTATTTGGGGCCAGGCAATTCTTTGTTGTGGTGACTGCCCTGTGCATTGTAGGATGTTGAGCAGCATCCCTAGCCTCTACCCACTAGATGCCAGTAGCATCCCCTTAGTTTTAACAACCAAAAATGTCTCCAGACTTTGCTAAATGTCCTCTGGGGGGCAAAATCTCCCCCAGTTGAAAATCACCACTATAAGCTGAGAAAGGACCCTTAGATTTAAATAGGAATTGCCTTAATTTAAAGATAAATTAAGACTAGGAAGAATAAATCCCAGTATTTAACCCTGATATTCCCCCTTTTTTCCACTCCTGTTATTTCTCTGTAGTGACTGGCTACCAGACTCTGAAAAACCTAAGTCCTTTAGGTGAGTGGAGCTAAGAGCTGAAACATCAGTAATGGGGTCAGGGACCCCAGAAGTGTGGCCAAATGTTCGAGGAGTTGACCCACCTGTGGCACCTGCAAGGCCACAGGGACCTGAGGAATCCGGTATAGTAAGAGCTGGGGGTGATCGGCTAGTGGGTTTACTGGGGTCCACCTTGATTGGCCTGATTGGTTGGCTTGTCTGGTGATCCTCCTGAAGGCTGATAATTTTGCTAGCTCAAGACAGAAACATGGCCTTGATCTGGAGGGAGATGGCCAGTGCTGGATGTTAGTGGGCAGCATCGTCTGGGGCCTAACCTTGCCGGGGCTTTTTTAGGATCTGCCATTATAATTGTATAATAGCAAAGTACCTTAAACATAGCTTTCCAGTGCTGGATGGATTGCCATCATGGGAAAAGATAAATATGTGATAGGACTGAGGAAGGAAAGTCTATTAATGTGTTTATGCAGCTAAGGAAGAGGAAGTCAGGAGAGGCTGGTGCCTGAAAAAAAAGGCCGAGTTGGGATGGATAGACGCTGTGTGCCAGGGTCTTGACCCCTGTCATGAGGGGCTGTGTGCTGGAGTGTAGGGCTGCAGTGAGATGATGTGTCAAGTAGGGGAGGACAGGATTGGCTGTCGAAACCCAGGGATGGTTTACTTGAAAATTGTGTATACTTGGCTACTTAAAAATAATAGCGTCTGCACTTGATGTACTAAGAAAGGCATGGGAAGAATTTCTCATGCTTCCATTAAACTCTGCATGTCTGAGGAAAGCCAAATGGCCCAGGTGCCACAGGTGGCAAACAGTGGCGTTTTGAAAATATGGAACCCCCAATAGAAAGAATGTGTGTATTTCTTTACCATTGACTCTCTGAACAGCACCATTACAGCCCCGTTCCTTGGAAGCCGCACGTGATGCCCTGGGCCTCCCAAACAGTCTCACCTCTCTATTGATGCTTTCATGGCATATGTATTCAACGAGTAATTGTGTTTCTACTTACATTCTGGGATTCTTACTCATTACCAAAAGCATAAGGCATATCTCAAGTTTAGGTAGCTACCTGTCAGCTTTCTGGGTTTATCCCTGTAGCCAACAAAGAGAAGGCAAAGTAGAGAGAGGGAAGGGAGGTGGGTGAAAGGGAAGGGAACAGAAACCACGAAAAACAGTATTTTTTTGGTAGTCATTTTCCTTTTGGTCTGCGGCTTTGCAGGGAGGAGGTGGGTGGTGAAGTTTGCAGAAGTGCCTTCTCTGCAGCCCATTCATGTCATTGGTTGTCAGTGGGTTTCTTTCAATTGAGGAAAAAGTAAAAGCAGAAAGAGAAGGTAGAAAAGAATTTAGGCAACTATGAAGCTTCTCAGCCTCCCAGTGACAAATGTTTTCTGAGTGCTGAGTGAGTAGTAATAGACTTTGAAGCTGTACAATTAATTACTTTTCAATCAAGACTTGCTGCTGCCATCCTTTTCCCTTCAGACTCTCCTCTGCCCGCCTTGGCCGGTGGAGGCAGCAGCATACTGCTATCTGCAGAGGGGTCTGCGTGGCCAGGCTGTTTGAAGCAAATGCCAGCTAAAGGAAAAAAGCCTCAAATGGATGAGGCAAGATACCAGGTTAGAGGCAGATGCAAGGCTGATATTAGAGGTAGTGGAAAAAGTCTTTATGAAAATACTTGATATGCTCAGATTAAAAAGCCCCCATCGTGAGTTCAGACCCCTTCACTCAGCTAATTAGCTGTAGCTCAGCAACCTTCTCAAAAGGTGCCCCAAATTCTGTTTCAGCCAAGGCATGCCACTGTCCTCTGACCACCTGTGCTTGAACAGTGGGTCCAGACATTTGTGGATTCCTTCTCCAGACTAGCTGATGATGCAGCAAAGAATTTCAGGGGAGGAGAGGCCATTCCAGAAAAGATGAACAGCACCATGGGAAAGCAACTAAGAGAGAGGCAAAAGTGGGGGTTGGAGGGGAAAGAGGGAATCTCGGAAGGTAAATTTGGCTTTAGTGGAAGCTCTGCTTAAAATTTCTGCAATTCATAGTGGGAATTCCAGCCACCCTGGGGGCTTCTGGGCATCATTGTTTAAGGGGAATGGTATATTTCACCTTCTAGAACAACCTCAATTACCCAGGGCAAATTTTCCTAATGAAATCTAATTAAGACAGCGACATAAGCCAGGACACTCAGAAACCAGCTCTCACATGGGGTTGAGGGGAGAAGAAACGTGGTCTTCTGCTGGCTGCCGGTCTTTGGCCTGTGCCCCTTGGACCCCTCAAGTTTGAGAGTGGGGACCTTGAAGACCAACCTTGCTGTGAACCAAAACCCAAAGCTTTAGCCTTGGAGCTAGACAGCTAGATTTCTAGGTGTTAAATCTTTCTCTTTGAGTGTAGCAATTGAAGTACTTGTATGAAAACTCCACACCTATGAAATTGGAATTTTTGGACCAGGTCTGTACGAAACTCTCAGGGGGACAGTGATGTTAATGGTGTCGAATCTGTGAGCCTCATTGGTAGCCCTCCAATGCCATATTTGGCTTTTAAAAATGCCCTTCCTAATGTTGAGCTGAAGTCTGTCCCTTGATGCACCTGGTTCTAACCCCCTTAGCCACCAGATACTTGAAGCTGCCCTCAACCTTTCTCTCTTCAAGACTCTCTTTATTCCTTCAAACGACTTTCTTTATAACCGCCAAATTTCCTGGCTTTGTGACCCCCTTCCCCATTTCTAAATCTTCTTTTCTGCTCCTTCCCAGGGGTTCTCTTATCTACCCACATCTTCCTTTTTTTCTGTGATCCCTCAAATTCTTCTTTTCCTTTTGTCTTCCTTAAATCTCTCCCCACTTTACTGTCACCACTTACCCTCTGTCCCTGCTGCCTGGGTTTATGTTGGCCTTTCTCATAGCCATGTGCCCTGCTAATTTGTAACATACTTACCCTAAAATAAACACAAAAAATAAACACACAGGCTATGCCCAGTGGGAGCTGGGAAGGCAGCCTCCCCATTTCTACCCGGGAATAGTTGCAGGCAGAGTCCTGCCTCTGCTGGCTGAGCACTGTCAACAGGTAATGGTGGCCCCGCATTGCAGGCTCTTGGCCTTGGGAGAACTAAGTCACTAGGCTGTTTATTCTGGCTTCTCTGCCCTGTGAATTAATGGCCACTAGTGCTTGGACCAGCATAGCTATTGGAGGCGTTTGAAAAAACTCATGAGATTTTTAAACAAGGGAAAGAAAACAAATACCAGTAAAAAATTTATGCCCCCCACCCCCCACATATGGCCTTTTGATATGTAAGAAAGAAATTATAAAACAAAAATGGGTGCTACATCACTTAATTTGACAGAACCAGATTTTTTTGTTTTTGAAATGCTTGCTTTGTTTATCCCATGCATGTATGATGGAGGCAAAACTGGTTTTGGGGGATGCGGTGCGCAAACAAGTCTTAGCTGTGACAAGGTCCTGCAGTGCATAAACAGACAGTGGGGTCTAGCTGTATGTCCATGGTATTAAAATGTCATGGGGAGGGGCAAGTAAGAAGCATATGTCTGAAGAAGCGAAGAGGGGAGTGATCATGAAAAAAACAAAGGTTGAGAAAACTGGTTTATCTCAAATAGCTGTAGCTTCTATACCATTTTTTTCAGGTCTAGCTTAACCAAAACACTTAAAACTGTTACCAAAAAACTTTCAACAGCACTTGTGGTCACTCAACCAATGTTCCCATCAGTCTGCCGTCCCCCACAGTGGTTAGCCTCTCCAAGCTGCAGTACTAGGTCAGTACTTGCAACCTTGCTGCCTGCTCCTGCTCTGAAAAGCTTGTTCTTAGACACCAAGGTCAGGGACAGAAGGTGGGGAACACACACACACACGTAAAACACACACTAAATACGACTCTCAGGATGGCTAAGTGTTTCCAGTTTAGGGAAAGGACACAGTGGAATTCTGCATTCTCTAAACTGCCTTTTGAGACCATTTTGCAACCAACTGTAAAGCAGATTTGACAAAATTTACATGAAGCCAACACAAAACAGATTTCTTCCTAGCTGGTGCTTTTTTTGTTTTTCGGGGTTTTTTGTTGTTGTTGTTGTTTTGTTTTGTTTTTTTTTTGAGATGGAGTCTCACACTGTAGGCCGGGCTGGAGTGCAATGGCGCGATACCTAGCTGGTGCTTTTTATTTGAGCAACTTTCGATGTTTTTTGGGAGTTCCATTAGGGTTAAATCACTAGTGTAGAGTCAAATTGGACAACCCCAGGCTTCTTAAGCTAATCAATCTAGACATTTGGAGCTGAAAGGGATAAATAGGATCATCTCATTCAGCGATCTCATTTTAGAAGAAACTGAGGCAGAGGGGTGTTGGGTCTGACCTAAGGCCACTTGACCATGGCTAGAAGCAACCTGGGCTGCTAGCCCTGGGCCTTTCGTCTTAGATCCCACTGCTCCAGTTTGGGACATCAAGTTATAGGAAATAGAGTCATTAGTGTCAAAACCCCACAACAGAACAAGAAATTCCATCTCTCATTCTTGAACATGGGGATTAAAGATGTCATTTGAGCATCTCATCCCTCTGCTGGGTGATTTTTTAGAGAAGAGCAGCAGTTGAGCCAGCACATGACATCACTGGCCTGGAAGCTTAATTTTATTTTAGTGATTTGGTTTTTGTGATAGGTCACCTTCCAGGTAAGCAGTTAGGAGACATGCTTTACTCACACCATGGTTTCTGCTCAGTTTCCTCTCAAAAGCTTCCCTCTTCTTGAAGAGCAGTATAATAATAACTGATAATTGAGGTAAATCCATGTAGATTATTAAAAAACCAAAAAACCTCATTCTTACCAACACTGAAGTTTCAGCTTTCTTCCTCCTTAACCTTCCACACAGCTGCAGAAAATGAAGGCTGAAGAGTTAAAGGCTGTAAGCAACTCCAGGGTGAGAAAGGCTTGCAGTGCATTAAAGAAACATCTCAAAACAATCCCAAACTGTAACATTTCTAATTCTTGAATTCTGATGAACATAAAAGAGTTTTGTTTGCAAAACTTTAAACCTACATCAGGTTGACCCCACACAATATTGGAACATTGCAACATAAATTCCCAGCTCAGATAAGTTCAGTTACAAGAGCACCTTTGGGTCGCCCTCCCCTCCCCCACAAAAGCAAATTTCCATTAAGCAAATGATTAATGTACTAAAGGAAACAACTTCAATATTGGGGGCATATCATCATGTTTAGCTAGCTTTATTCTCCTGCTCCTCCTCCTCCCTCACCCTCCATTTGAAATATTAAAAGTGGCTGGTAATTCACCTATGTGGTTCACCATAAGATCTGCTTTTTCTTGGGAGCCTATCCTCACCCCGCAGACCTCACCTATGTAAAAGGGGCAAGTGGGCCTATTCAGATGCTAACCCCAGTTGAGCAGGGTGGGGCAAAGGGCCAGCTGGGAGACTAGTGAGTTGGGAATGCTTGGGGAAGTTGCTAAAAATGGCTCTGGAAAAGGAAGGAGCTGAGTACCAGTCTCTCAGGCAGAGAGAAGGTTTGCGAAGTCTATATAGCAAAATCCTGTCTTCTCAGGGAGGGCCATAGGTGCTTTCCTCGGGGGTTGGTATAGCTCTCAGTTGCTTCATATGGTCTGCACTGGCTTTTCCACCCTTGAATCAGGGTGTAAAGAGGGAAGCTGGGGGAGGGGAATTGAGCGGGGGAGGAGAATTGAGCGGGGGAGGGGAATTGAGCGGGGGAGAGTGTGTGCCGGTAGGTAACAGGTTTTTACAATTGGGCTGTAATGCAGATGGCGAGGCAGTTTGTGGAAGACTGTCTGAAAGACAGTGTGTGTTCCTAGATTGCCCCTCCTCGCTACATGTGAACATGGTACATTGCTTACAGTTCAGGAAACATCCCTATGTTGGGCTTCTGTTTAAAAAACAGCAAGATGGGTGTGAGGTGTGGGCTCGACACGGAGGGCTTTTAAAAAACTTGTTTATTCATCCTGCAACAAGGCAACATGCTCATTTCTCTAATGAATAATTCTCTGTGGGAAAACGGGTCTCCCGGAATACCCAGTCTGAAGATAGCTCCCACACTTGAAAGGCACACCAAAGAAATTCAACACAATCCCTAGTTTTTCTTGCTTGTCCCTAGAGACATTTTGCTTGGTGAACTCAGGCTGAGACATTACCAGAGGAAAAACTGAACACTTAATGTCACAGAAAGCCAACACACCATCATTGTTTACATTAAGCAGGAATTTCGACTTAGGGGCAAGCCAAAAGCGGGGCACGCCTAGCCCTTCCGCAGCCTCCAAACTTCTGAGACTAACATTGCTGTCGCAGAAAACCACTTGCAAATAAACTAGTTTCTCCGTATTTACTAGGGAAGACCACAAAAGCATCCAACCACAGTCTGCGCTGCAGCCCGGCAGAACTAAGTCTTGGGCGCCGCGACGCCTTTCCTACGGAATAGGTCCTGGAAGGAAGACCATTTAAGGTATTTTCCTTCTATCATCATCCTTTTCTTAGGAGTTAAGAACCTGACCGTCATTCATCTCAAGCCCTCAAAACGCTTTACTATTCCTCCAAATCGTTGTCATCCGTATAATTAAGCCGGCGCAAAATGAGACACGCACACCAGGAAAAAAAAAATCAATTTCCAAGTCGGATGAGATTTTTTAAAGACATTTCACTTATCAGTCTTTCCCCCCAGGACTGGCGAGGAGAGCACGCCTTCCCTTCCGAAGGTGCGTTACCAGATTGCTGCCGTTTTTGTGCTGGGTCATCAGAGCAGATTCCCCTCCAGGTTACAGATTAAACTTAACTCTACCCGTGCTGAAAATGGCCGGAGCACGCCGCCTCGCCTCCCCTCCCCAAGGCTGCCGGAGCCGCCGGCCCCTGCCTCCTTTTCGACGACTGATCGTCCAAGGACTGGCGCCGGATCCAACACCTTTCCCCAGCTCTGCGCGTACCGCGCTCTTTGGAAACGAATTGTAAGTTATCCTGATGTTAGACGCGACCCCCGTCTCCAGCCTGTCCCTTGTTCCGCTTTACCTTTCCACTTGCGACGATCTCGAGGGCCTCCAGAGGTCCTGCGCAAACAGCCCAGGACGTCTCCTGCTAAGCCGCATGCAGCCTGGCCACCCGACCAGCTGCGCCAAAAGCTTGGCAATACCCCGACGTGACCATGCCTGTGCGTTCAACCCTGGTAGCCCGTAGGGGCATCCCCAAGGGTCCCCTTACCTCCTCTACCTTTCCCCCAGGTACTTTCCCCTAACCGCCCGCCGCCGGGAGAGGTCAGCTCCGGCGCGCGCGGGCAGGTGCGCACGCTCTTTGAGGCGGTCTCTGTCCCGCGAGCGACGGGAGGCGGGCTGTGGCGGCCAAGGCTGGCGCACGGCAGCTGGAGGCACTGGCGCGGAGGTCCCGCGGCTTAATTGTCAGCTCTGGGACCTGGGCTCCGGCTCTGAGCTGCTTAGGCGCCGCGCGCGCGTGACTTCCCTCCCGGGTGGTCAGTCTCTAGAGTTCTCGCCCATTCCCATTCAGATTACTTTCCGCACATTTCAACGGTGTCTCTACAGCGCGGCTGCTCTCACATCGTGAAAGTTGGCGCGCGCACCTCCGAACCACATTTTGGACACCTGAGAAGGCCAACTTATTTGAGACTAGTCTTTCTAGGAGGAAGAAAAGCGCGCAAAACAAGTGACTTACCAATGCCGTTTGGGTGTGCAGCTCCAAATCTGGGGTGCGTTCGGGATTCAGTCGCGTAGCCGGGGCACCAGCTCGGAGACCTCAGGTTGTCTCCAGCGGGACGCACGGCGTGCGCCCCGCCGTCCAACAAGCCTTTGGCCACCAGGGCGCCCCTGGCATCCTGGGAAGTTTGGGGGAGCCCTCGCCGCCTCACCCTGACCCCCGATCCCAGGCTGACCAGCTGAGCCTCCTCTCTTCCCACTCGCCCCTGACCTGCCTTTCCTTCTCACCTCCTTTCCACCTGCGCTGCTCCCACACCGCCCTCAGGCTCCCCAGTTTAGCGGTGGGCAACTAACCTGAATCCATGAAAACAAGGAGAATCTGGACGGCGTCCTCCATTAGTGACGCCGGATGGGGATGGGTCCCTTTTTGGAAGGGGACTCCGGGGACGCGTCACGGCGGGTGGGCTTCTTTGGCTTGCAGCGACGCCGCTGCTTCTCCTCCTTGGGCTCCTTCGACTCTTCGGGGTCCCTTGGATCTTTGTCCTCGGGCTTGAGCTCCTCCCCTTCCCTGGGGCTCTGGGGCTCCTGAGTGCTGGGCGGCGCGCGACTTGGGGAGGCGTCGGGGCTTCGCAACTTGAGAGCGTGCAGACGCTGGGTGAGGGACTGGCCGAAGGTGGAGTGCTTGGGCACCACCGGGCCGCGATCGTCTTCAGGCTCGGTCTCGGGCTCAGTGGTGGGGGCGGTCTCAGGCTCGGTCTCGAAGTCGGTCTCGGACTCGATTTCGGACTCGGTCTCGCTCTCGGTCTCGTAGTCGAACTCTTCCTCGTACTCTAGGCACTCGGGGAGGGACAGCTCAAGGTCTGCCTCCTCGTGCTCGTGGTCAGATTCCGATTCGGGGGACTCAGGGAATACCTGGGCGCCGGAGCGGTGGTGGGCGTTAAGGAAGCTCCGGCGCTGTTGGGCAGCCGCGCGCTGCTGGGCACGGGCGTTGGAGGTGGCAAGGGCGCGGAGGAGCGCGATGGAGCAGGAGAGCCAGAGGAGCGCGGTGGCTGCCCGGCGGCCTATGGGCGGGCACAGGTCGTTGTAATTATGGCGAGCTCGGCGCCACTGCTGAGCCCGGGACCTCCGATCCATCCTCTTAGGCACACACCGAGAAGCCGGCCTGCCCTCTGGCTCTGCAGAGAGTGGCTCCGAAGCACATTGGCTGCTGGAGCCGGGAAAGGTACACCCTATGAGGTGAGAAGCTGGCCCGGAGGTCCCAGCCTCACCTCCTTGTGAGGAGAAAAAGGGAAGCACCTACCTTCCTGACCACTTAAGAACTTTCTAAAGCTCCGCGCCTTGCTTGCCTCTCTGAGCAAGAAGAAGGGATGGGAAAAAAGGGGAAAGTTCTGTCTCCTCCCGGGCTCCTCTCGCTGAGTCTTAGATTCCGCAGCCTAAGACTCGAGAGAGGTGCCTCCGCCGGTCCTCTTGCCTGGGAGAGGACAGAGGAGACTGAGGCGAGGAGGGACGGGCAGTGAGGTTCTGCGAAGTTGCGCGCCCGGACTTCTGCCGGGCATGTGCAGTAAGGAGGTGGGGGCCACCTCCCCGCGAGCTGCGTGGTGGCGCCGAGCCTGTGGCGCAGACCCTAGTGGGCCGGCAGGTGGCAGGAGGGAACCTTGTTTGAAAGGATTTGGGCGAAGCGATGGGCGGGGGGCCTGGCGGGTGGCAAGGAGCAAGCGGCAAGCTAGCCCCAGGTCCAGTACTTGGGCAGGTGGGCGCAGGCTCCCGTGGGGTCGTGCCCCTCCCCAGTTTCCCCAGTTATTGGGGAAATAAACACAGCCTGGGAGCAGCTAAAAACCCAGAACCCCAAATAGCAAATATTCAGGGGAATGAGGGTCTGTCTATACACGAGTATTAAGCCTCTAGCATTTTCCAATGGCTTAATAGTTTGAGGATGGTAACTTCGGGCAGCCATTAATCATGAAACTACCTTTAGCAGATCTGTTATAGTGACTGTAATTAGAAAAGTTTCCAAACAATACGTGCTCAAACAGTCTGAATTGGCTAATTACCTCATCTTCTTCAACAAGGGCCCCCACGGTTGAGGTAGTAGTTTGCAAGTCTGCAAGCCCATCTGAGGACTGCCCTGAGCTCGATTGAGCTGAGAAGGTGGTGCTGGAAGTGGACTGGAGCTGAGAGCATGGGTAAAGGGAAGTCTTTCCTGCGCTCTCAGTTCACACAACCACTTCTCTCCTGCGGGGCAGTTCAGGGTGACACGGAATCCTCACTGGAGGCCCCTTACAGCCATTTCCTAGGTAGGTTTTTTTTTTTTTTTTTTTTTTTTTGAGACAGAATCTTGCTCTGTCACCCAAGCTGGAGTGCACTGATGTGATCTTGGGTCACTGCAACCTCTGCCTCCTGGCTTCAAGAGATTCTCCTACCTAAGCCTCCTGAGTAGCTGGGATTACAGGCGTGCACCACTACGCTCGGCTAATTTTTGTAGTTTTAGTAGAGAGGGGTTTCGCCATATTGGCCAGGCTGGTTTCAAACTCCTGACCTCAAGTGATCCGCCCGCCTCGGCCTCCCAAAGTGCTGGGATTACAGGCGTGAGCCACCGCGCCCGGCTCCTAGATAGGTTTTTAACAAAGGTAACTCAGCAATACTCATTGGGTGCCTTGCATGTGCCAAGCTGTGTTTTAGGTGCTGAAGGTAGAGTAGTGAACAACAACAACAAAAGTATTGTATTAAGGAAAGGATATTTTGGATTAATTTGCTGTGAATCAGGAGATTGAATCAGTCAGAATCCCTCTGTACCCACCAACATTGTTTAATCTAGCTTGAATTCCACATGAGAAAATGATTGGATCAGGGCTAGGGGGCGGTCAGACACCACTAGATCGTGTTGTTGTACTCTGCAAGGCTGAAGATTTGGAGTAAATAGTGCCGCTCTTTCTTGGCCCTAGAAAATCAAATGATGGCCTACAGGAGGAGATCCCTACAGTGGGAGCTAACCTGGCTGCTGCTTTTGAGGTGTGCGTGTCTTCAGTCTGGCCCTCCATGATGATTATGGGGTGCCTTTTTGGCCATAGTGACAAGTCCAAAGGCGAAACAACTCAGAGCAAAGCCATCATCCTAAAATCCCTGGGAGTATCAAGAAGGTTGTTTCACTTAGGACACATGTCATGGGTTGTGGTCCTTTTCTCCTTCTTGAGTCAGTATGGGGAATCTTAAAAAAAGAGGCTCTACCACTGGGTGGCCCACCAGGCCCTCCTGGTACTGGTACTTCTGCCTGGTGTCTGAAGAGTCAGTCAGGTACCCACAGCCATTCTCACCATGATGGAACTTAACCTCACACCTTCAACACCACACCCGTATTAAAACCACTAAGTGCAGAGTTCATACCCCAGTGAGAGACCAGCAACTGCTTTGGATGTGTTGAGGTTTTCCTTTCTGCATCTTGGCTGTGTCTAGCTTGTATCTTGCACTCTGTGTTAGTTTGTAGCATTAAAATAGTGATTGGGCTGGGCATGGTGGCTCTCACCTATGATCCCAGCACTTTGGGAGGCCGAGGCGGGTGGGTCACTTGAGGCCAGGAGTTCAAGACCAGCCTGACCAACATGGTGAAATCCTGTCTCTACTAAAAATACAAAAATTAGCCAGGCGTGTTGACGCACGCTTGTAGTTCCAGCTACTCGGGTGGCTGAGCCACAAGAATTGCTTGAACCTGGGAGGTTAGTCTGATAAAGTAGGATTGACTTGTCAAACCCCACAAAAGGACAAATGTCTATGTTCCAGTTGTGCCCTGCTCTACCACTTTTCCTGTGGAACAGCAAGGGTTTTATTATCACAGGTGCCTGCGTGGCTGTAGTCACTGTGTGGATATTATCATGGGACACTGGGCAGGGGCATTTAGAGCTGTATATTTCAAATCCTCATCTCCGCTTCTGAGTCCCAACTAATGGGGCACGTTTCCAGAGAGTCTGCCTACACTGACCCACCCACTTTATTTCTTCTAATTAGCACAGCTCCATCGACAGCATATGGAACAGAAATATATTATTCAAGCTGATTTCAGGGCACGTTGGGGGAAAAATCAGGAATATATGGGTGCTAGTAAATGCCCTTTGAATGGAAACTAATGTCAGCTGTCAGCAACGAGGTAGATTATGATTCTTTAGTGTACATAAGAAAGTACTTCATTCTTCAGATGGAGTGCTTTTATGCCTATAAAGGAGATGGCAGCCCAGAGCTGATTCACTAATATAGATACACCGAGATTGCCTGCATTATTAAAAAATGTGCATTACATAATACATATATTTGGACTAGATTCTGCATTAGCAATGCGCTTTCTTTGCAAGATGCATTTTAATCAGCAAACACACATTTAACAAAAGACTGCATTTTTGAGCCCCAGTCCTGTGTAGTTATAAATACATCTCAGTGTACATTCACCACAGGCTCTGGGAGGAAGGAGTGGGGGACTGCACTGAGATGCCATTCCATCTCACACTTAGTGCCGAGGTCGAGCAAATGGAGCCGTACAGCAGATGCTCTTTAAAATGCATTACGTGCGTGACTTTAAAAAGTGCTCGCTGCAGAGTGAATTTCAAAAAGGAGCAAGTGGGTGATGAACCACCTCTGTTGTTACCGGGCTGAGGAACAAGGGGCTCTCTCTGTCTGCTGGTAAATAAAGTATGGGCATATATCACTTGCGGGTCTCTGCTGGAGGGAGGCTCCTAAACCAGTTGGACAGGAAAGCGCAGTTCCCAGCTCACTACAGTATCATACAGTAAGCTTCTGATTCGGATAAATTGTGAAGAATATTGTCTCTAGCTCCTTAAAGGATTTTCATGTGGAAGAGGCCTTAAGATTTATTATATATGGCTCTAGAGGGCAAAATTAGAACCTATCGGTGGTAGTTGTAGCAGAAAGCCTTCAGCGCAACCCAAAGAAGAATCTGACATGGAGTGGGCTGTCAGAAAGTTGGCGCTTTGTCAGAAGCAATGTGAAGTCAAAGGACAGGTAACCACACACTGGAGATGTTTTTCGTGGTGTGCGTGAGCAAGTGGGGTTGGAACTCGGTGCCCACCGCAGTCTTATCAGGTTAGCCTCTGATTCCATTGAAGGCCTCTGTAGGCTGTGGGAGAAGGGTTTGGGGGCTCTACTGATGGACACGATCCTCCCCCCCGCCCCCACTTTTTACTATTTTGGAAGCATTGAAAGTGCAAGTGGCTCAGTGACAGGAAGGAGTGTTGGGGTGGCAGTTTTAAGACAGGGCAAACAGATGTGTGCAATGGACCCAGCGGCCTGTGGAGCTTTCCTCACCAAGGCAGGGCGTGGAGGCTCTTTGCTCCACAACTCATCACTTGTTGAAGCAAAGAAATGAGTCAAGTCCATCTGTTAATTACATTGGTTCTCTTTGCCTCCTCTCCTGGAGCTGTCTCGGAAATTACAAATGAAATTGGCTATTTAGCAATCATAAATTGAGCCACTTCTATGATCAAGACACTATTCCGGGCACTGTGGGGAGATCGAAGTAATTGAGGATGAGCAATTCCTGCCATCCAACATCACACACATTGATGTGAAGTGCCCCCAAATATTAAAACCAGATTGCTGACAGGTGTAGAGTAATACATTCCAGCCCAGATAGACAGGGAGGGAAGTTGAGTAACTGGTTAGAATCAGAGGTACAGTTCATCTTGTGATTTTCAGAAAGAGATGAGTCTTTACCTAGTCTGACTCTGAGATTTTCTTTTGATTTTTAAAAGCCCATGAGAATTGCTTTCAATCCACTTGTTTCTAACCATGTGTCTACCGTGTGCAAAGCCATGTGCCAGTGGCCCTGGGGGAGACAGATGAATCATGGGTTCTCAGAAGGCTTGCAGGCTATTGTCAGAGGTCCCACAGACCTCAATGCATTTTCTAAGATGAAACTCAAGATAATGGATTGGTTCTGCCCTGCCTGGTGAGCGGGTATAATCACTCTTGAAGATATTTTTTGGATAATCATTGGAAAGGACTATTTTTGGAGATGAAGAGCTTTTCCAACTTTCCTTTGGACAGAAATGAATTCAGGGAGTTTGCAGCACTCGCTACCCCTCACTGTGGCAATCAGCCAGTAAGGCTCAACCCCACCGAGAATTTGGTATTGGCCCCTCCCGCCTGTTCCCCAGAGAGGACCAGGTACAATGCAGAAGCATTTGGCTCAGCTCTCTAGGGTGCTATTTTGCTGCTATTCAGACTGCGCTGATATCAATTGGCTCTCACCAGTAGAAATGGTGAAAACCTCGAGCTCCTGATTTTGAGATTTGGGGGAATGCCATCTAGAGCTAAAAGCAAACAATAGAGGGAAATAATCACCTTTTTGACATGGCTGGTTTCTGTCCAGGCCATTTTTGGGATTACAATACTGTATTTGTGCCATTCGTTTTTAAAGGGCGTAGGATCAGAAAGGAGCCTTCGTTCTGTGCGTAGAGATTGCTCGGAGCTGTCTTCCCAGGAGCTCCCTTACTTTCTCTTCACTTCGTGCTCTGTTGAGCTTCTCCTACTGATAAGTGCCTATCTCCCTCTCTCTCCCTCTGCCACAGGAGGAGCAATTTCTAGACTCTGGATCCAACGGGAAGCATCTAGAAGCCCCCTTGCTCAGGCAAAGCATCAGTACCCAAGAGGGGTACAGGCCCTCTTGGACGTGGTGTCTCATTTCTCTCCCGTGGCCCTGGAGCTTGGCATTCTGTATTCTCCGGTTCAGACCCTGGACTCTGACACCCTGCCTTGCTTCATCTTGAGTTCCGGCTGTCTGCCCAGCCGGACCTACACTGAGCTTGTCTGGTTCTTTCCTGCAGCCAGTTGAGACATCATTGTCCCAGGACACCCCCAGTCTACGGGGTTCTGGCCCCAGATGTCCACCTCTGCCCTGCCCACCAGCAGCCATGCCAGCCAGTGAGCTGTGGGTGAAAACACTGCTGATTGCAAAGGACCACTCAACCGTCAGGAAAGCTCTCGGCTCATAGCTTTGTCTTTTGTCCAGCTGTCCTGGACATCCTATCTTTCCTCTAGCCCCTAGCCCTGACAGAGAGCCTCAAAGTTGTTTTCATCTTATCTGCTGAGGATCTGACTCACCCCATCAGACTTCTGGGAGGGAGAGAGCGAGCGCGCCTCGAGCCCGGAGGGGAGAAACCCTTAGTGTTGTCACGGTTTAGGCACACGCTCATAGAAATCCTTGCAGCTCGAGCTCTTCAAAATATGATTAGACCAATTTTACATGTCTAGTCACTGAGGCTCCAGTAGATTGGGACTATTTCTATATGTGCAAAGTGAAGTGGATAATTGAGGCAATTATCTTCAGGCAAATGAATCTGGGCACTGTAATCAGTCCATCCTGATAACTGGGGAGAAATCGGCGTCATTCACTGTAGCATTGCTTTGCGTTAAAGAGAATTCTAAGGTATTTGTTTGTTATTTTCGCTTGGCTTCATTTTTCTAAAAGACAGTCCAGTGAAGATGAGGTCCTGCCTCGTGCTGGTGTTAGGATGTGTGGACCCCTTAGGTCTCAGTCAGGTGTGTGTGGGGTTGATCTGGACGAGTTGATAATCAGATCAGTGCCCTAGCCGGGTGCATCCTTGGCTTCCTTGTGGTGGATACTTGGTTTCCACATCAGGGTTTTCTTTCCACTTCTTCTTTCCTTGTGTATGAGAACCCTGAGGTGTTGGATGGGTTGGTCTACAAGGTCACCTCCACTGCTAGGATGATAGGATTCCTAATAGGGCCCATGAGTGACATACATTGTGCATGATAAAATATCATGGAGCCAGGAGAATGAAAGAAGGGCCTCTCAACGTCAGAAATGAGAATGCACTGGAGGCTGGTGATTACTTCTGGACCCCCGCTTCCCCATCCATTGTTTCGGCTAAAAGTCATCATAAATTGGGAGTCCTTCCCTTTACTGGTCTAGAAGTTCCCTCAGGAAGCAGCCGTCACTTCTCTCCCTGCTCTTCACTGAGGAGGGAGGGAAGAGGAGCAAGAGAAGACTTTCCGGTTTTCCAAATGGCAGATTTGGTTTCAGGCATGTGAGGAGCCACATATAAAAAGAAAAGGCATTGAGGCATGTGAGATTTGACTTAAGTGGAGGAGATCCTCGCCTTTAAGCAATAATCTGTGTATTTAGGGAGCCAATGGCCCAGCAAGAAGTCCAGCAGTGCCTCCTGAGTGCCTGGGCACCTGGTGGAGATGGTGCAGGGTCCCTGGCAAAAGAGCCTCTGGGACAGGAGTTGTAGCCGCCAGCCTGTGTCACACACTCACACTCACAATTAGAGGACAACGGGAATTTAATTAACTTCCAAAGTGTGATTTTTGACCATAAGCATTCTAGGAATGAGGTGCTGTGTGGGGATTGAGATGAACCTTGGAAAATACTTAAGGAGAGGCTTGTTTTATGCTGTCAGGAAATCTTCATCTTGTCACTTCGTAAATTTTTGACCTTGCTCAGTTAGTTAGAAAAACAAAAACAAAAGCTTCCTGTCCACAACTGAGATAAGAGAGTTTTGCAAGACATCTCTCTGTCCTCGGAGTGTTGTGGCCTTCTGTGGGTTCTGTAGTTTTAATTGCTAGTGGTTTCATTCCTGCTCAGTTAGTGAAATTGCGACATTTTCCCAGTATCTTAGCGTGACTGCCCTACAGCCTTAATAATGATGATTTTAGACTGTAGTTTAAGATCTGCTGGGGCAAATGCCTTCTCACTGCACAGTATCTCAGCATTCTCTGATGTTTTGTCCATTTATTTTTCTATATGAATTTAAGAACCATTTTTATCAAGTTTTATAAATGACCTTGGTGATATTTTGACTGGAATGGCGTTCAATTTATAAATTAAGTTGGGAAATATTATCATCTTTTCTGCATTTAGTCTTAAGCCAGAAGTATGGCCTCTCAATCTGTTCAGGTCACTATTTCTCTCATTAAGGATTTGTGTTTTCTTCATGTAATTTTAATATATCCTATGTGAGTTTGATATGTGAATATATATCATATATTTCCCAAGTATTAGATGCTTTTGTTGCATTGTGAGTGGGCACTCTTTTTTTAATTATATTTTCAGGCCTCTTATTATGTATTTATAGAAATGGTATTGATTTTTGTACGTTTTTCTCATCTTCTGCCACTTTCAGAATTGGTTGGTTTTTGAGGCAACCAGCAGCCTACTCAGGCAAACACTCAGAGAAGGTTTCTGGAGGATTTGGTAGAAGAGACTACCTCATCAGGGAAAGAGTTGAACTAAGTCAGCGGTTCCCAAATGCCAGTCCACAGTGAAATGAGAAAACGAAAGATGTTGTAGTGGGGCTTTCATCAAGCCAAATTTATTCAGGGGAGGGACTTTTGATTTTGATTCTTGATTTTGAGGCTATATAAGCTTCCTGCCTTTTAGAATTTTGATATCATTTCTTTCTAGAAGGATTGTAGATGATAATTAGGGGTTTTGTTTTGCTTTAAGATTTTAGAGTCTTTGAAAATAAATAAATCAGAAATCCTTATAATAAATGAATGAATGAATGAATGAATAAAACTGCTTGAATTCTACCCTCCCCAAAAGATTTTAGATCTTTTTTTGTTTTTGTTTTTTTTTGTTTTTGAGACAGAGTCTCGCTCTATCGCCCAGACTGGAATGCAGTGGCTCAATCTCGGCTCACTGCAAGCTCCACCTCCCCGGTTCATGCCATTCTCCCGGCTAATTTTGTTTTTGTATTTTTAGTAGAGACGAGGTTTCACCATGTTAGCCAGGATGGTCTCCATCTCCTGATCTCGTGATCTGCCCGCCTCGGCCTCCCAAAGTTCTGGGATTACAGGCATGAGCCACTGCGCCCGCTGATGTTGTTTTTTAAATTTTGCTTTTATTTAGTTTTCAGTGACTTTATCTAGCAGATTTTTTTAAAAAAAAGCAAAACAGCTGGCAACCCGATGTGAGTGCCACACATTTCTTTTGAAATATTAGCGTGGTCTGGCCGGGCACAGTGGCTTATGCCACTGTTCGTAGATTTTGGTCTAAAATCTCAAAATCTAGGAACCTCCAATTCGATGTCCTTTGGGTTTTACAGTTGTGATATTTGGTAAATCTGGACTTCTTTTTATATTTTAAAATCATTTTTAGTTTATTCTTTTGGGTTCTTCTAGTTAGTAGTGCCAGTTAGATTGATGTTTTTGTTACTTATTTTGGCTTTCTCTGACTTCATCCTTTGTCTATGCCTTGCGTTGTCCTCTGAAAGTGTGTAGGAGAGAGAAGGGTGAAATGGGGGCACCCTCGTTTTATATCTGTTTTTAAAGGGATTTTTCTCTAATGTCTTTTCTCTGACAGTATTTAGGTGGGCTTCAAAGGGAAAATAGATGGTATCTTATGAGAGGGCTCAACAGAAAGTTTGGAGGTGAGAAACCAGAAGCCAGATTTGGGATCACACAGGCCTGGATATAAATCTTGCCTCCTTCTGCTTGCTAGCTGACCAGTGACTATGCCTGGTGGCGGTGATGGTGCTGGTTATGATGGTGGTGTAGCATTGGTGGTGATGGTAGTGGTGGTTGTGATGGTAGTGGTGATGGTGATGGTGGTGGTGGTGATGGTGGTGTGGTGGTGTGGCGGTGGTGGTGATGGTGGTGTGGTGGTGATGGTGGTGGTGGTGATTGTGGTGGTGGTGGTGTGGTGGTGGTGATGGTGGTGGTGATGGTGGTGCTGATGGTATGATGGTGGTGTGGTGGTGATGATGGTGGTGTGGTGGTGATGGTGGTGATGGTGATGATGGTGGTGTGGTGGTGGTGATGGTGGTGGTGGTAATGATGGTGGTGTGGCGGTGGTGGTGATGGTGGTGTGGCAGTGATGGTGGTGGTGATTGTGGTGATGGTGTTGTGGTGGTGGTGATGGTGGTGTGGTGGTGATGGTGGTGGTGATGATGATGGTGTGGTGGTGGTGGTGATGGTGGTGGTGATGGTGGTGTGGCGGTGGTGGTGATGGTGTGGCGTTGATGGTGGTGGTGGTGATTGTGGTGATGGTGGTGTGGTGGTGGTGGTGATGATGGTGATGTGGTGGTGGTGGTTATGATAGTGGTATAGCAGTGGTGGTGGTGGTGGTATGGTGGTGGTAATGGCCAAGAGGTGAGAGAGTGAGGGGGCAGGAGTTTGAGGAGCCCAGCCATGCAGAAAGAGCCTAAAATAAAGTTGGAGTTGGCAGTCGAGTTGGATTTTTCTTTTTAATTTCACTTTCCAGTTCTCTTTTAGTGGATTCTTAATGGAAAGCCTTAGAAGCTGTAGAGTTTGGTCTGCACAACTGCACTGGATGCCCATTCTAGGTCCTGTACTCTGCGAGGCACTGGGAATACAATGGTGAATGCATGCAGTGAGGGGGATCTGGAAATAATGAGTCATCGCGCTAAGGAAGGTCTCCTTATAACCTAAGCTAAGGGCACTGGAAAAGAAAGATGTTCTTTTGTTTTTTTCCCCCTGAGTATACAGCAGAAGAAGCCACCCTATATTTGGGCAAGGCAGGGAATACTTTACTGAAAAAGTGATACGTGCACACTTGAGCTGAGAACTGAAGGGTGAGCATGTGGCAGCAGGGGGTTGGTGCAGTTCCAAGTTGAGGAGTAGCCAGAGGGTGGTGCAGTTCCAAGCGAGGAATAGTGTATTTGCCAGCTCTCTGGCGGAAAGAAGCTAAGCCTGTTAGGGAAACTCACAGGTCAGCAGAGCTGGAGAACAGAGATGAATCTGGAGGGCTGGGCAGGGATCTCTGGGCCCAACAGGTTAAACTGCAGTCTTTCTGTTGTCTTGAACAGCCATAAACCATGGGAAGCCTTTGTCCTGATGGCCATGAGGGACCAAAATCAAGTTGTCTATTTTAAAGACCTCTCTGGCCACAGAGTACGGGGATGGAATTTGAGAGGAAGCTAGAGTTGATAGTAGCTGGGTCTAGGGAGGTGGTTGGTTTTAGAAATACATAAAGCTGAGGATAGTGAGAGTGGCTTTTAGAGTTATTTAGGAGAGTGTCTTACAAGGCTTGGTGATAACATGGATGTGGGGAATTGGCTGTGTCAGGATGACACCCAGGTAGAACTAGATGGAAGCTAGTACTTTTCACTGAGGTAGAGAAGCAGGGAAAGAGGCCCAGGTGTGAGGTAGCAGGAGGCCATGAGTTCTGCCATGTTGAGTGGGGTGGTGGGGCCAAGAGCTCTGCCATGTTGAGTGGGGCGGTGGGGCCAGGAGCTCTGCCATGTTGAGTGGGGCAGTGGGGCCAGGAGCTCTGCCATGTTGAGTGGGGCGGTGGGGCCAGGAGCTCTGCCATGTTGAGTGGGGCGGTGGGGCCAGGAGCTCTGCCATGTTGAGTGGGGCGGTGGGGCCAGGAGCTCTGCCATGTTGAGTGGGGCGGTGGGGCCAGGAGCTCTGCCATGTTGAGTGGGGTGGTGGGGCTAAGAGTTCTGCCTTTGGTCTGTTGAGAACAAGGTGCCTTTAGGCTGCACGTGACAAGGTATCAAGACAAGGTATCAGACAGGTAGAAAGATGTTCTAGGTCTCGGGCACAGTGGAAAGGCTGTCATAGAAGCAGAAAAAGTCTAGTGCTAAGTGGGAGACAAGAGAGGAACACTCCAAATTGAGTTTCCAACCAAAGTCATTATCAACAGGAGTCATCCTGGAGCTGGATGGCACTGGAGAGATCGAGTCTCAGCCCTTTTATTTTACAAGTAAGGAAACTGAGGCTTAGAGAGGTGGGACCAGCTGGTTAGTGGTAAAGCCACTCTTAGACTGAATTTTTCTAGTCCTAGTTCTATCCCTCAATTGTTTACTACACCAAGCAGAGAATCTTCCCGTGAAGGTGGAACATGAGCCAAGGGCTCAGATGTCAGCCCCCTTGATATCAGATCTATTTTTTGTCAGCAACCAAATGGACAGTTCACAGCTTCACATTCTTTTCTTGATCACTTTAGAACTGACATTCCTCCAGCTCCTTATTAAAGAAAGAGCAAAGCAAGAGCTGGCTAGAAGTGGTTTGGAAGGTAGAAATAGACTATACCATGTCTTTAGTAATCAGCCTGGCAAAGTCCACATGGCAGCCGGGAAGGGTTTGGCCAAGGCTAAAGCCAGTAGGACTTGGTGGCACTCTCTTTTTCTCTTGGTTGTTCCAAAAGCACCAGTTATTACTTAAAATTGGCCCCTAAAATAGGAGCATTAAGGTACAAGAAAGGGAAGTTCATTTTTCTCGAGATCCTTTTTCAAGATGTCTACACTGTGACTGATAACATATCAGCAGCTTCTCCCAGCCATGACTTCTTAACTATAATGTGTAACTGCGCATGCAATTATATGAATTACATGTATTATCTAATAGCTTTAAAATATTCGATAAAGCTAAGGCTAATGTCTGCTTTGATGACCCTGCACCAGCCACAGTTTTCATACATCACCTCTCAAATCCCCCAGAGGTTACCAACTTCACAAATAATGGGTTTCCATAGAGGATGTCATCTTGAAAAACACAAACATAGTTTCATGTGTTTCATTGGGCTTCACATTGCAGCCTTTTCATCTATCTACATATCTTGGAGACCCTTTCCTGCTGATTCCTGTAGGATTTGCCTTGTTCTATTTCACCATCACCTCATCGTCTGGGCTGAATAAAGACAGTCAGCAGTCACATCCCTGTCGACGTGCATTCAGCTCTTGCCACTTTGTCCCTGTTAGAAACTGCACTGCTGACCATGTCGTAGTACACACCTCCATGTAAATGTCACAAGTGTTTCTCTGGAGATGATATCAAGCAGTGGAGCTGCTGCTCATAGGCCAACACAGAGCCTTGGCTACACTGCACTTCTCTACGAGGCAACCAGTGTGTCCCCACCAGCAGGGCCTGAGTATTTGTCTCCCATCCCCTGCTAGCACGACCCTCTTCTTTCTGGTAGAGGAGACAGTAAGACCTGTGGCATCCCCAGGCCCTCTATGAGTCAGGAGAGAGGGCATGGAGCTGTTTTCCTGCTCTGCTTGTGGGGCTGGGTTTCTGAGGCCCATGACCTTGGCTTCATCAATATTTTCTCTAGCCTGTCAAGAAAAGTTGAACTTCAGTGAAATATATCTCAGAAATTTGCCACAAGGAGAGGGCTAGGGAAAACCTAACTAAAAGATGTTAGAAAAGAGAGGCCAAGTGTATCCCAGGTTCTGTGTCCAGTTTCTTTTAGTCCTTCATGAAGGTGACTGAGCTGTTTTAGAAATAACATAGTTCAGCCAGGTGCGGTGCCTCACACCTGTAATCCCAGCACTTTGGGAGGCCGAGGCAGGCAGATCACTTGAGGTCAGGAGTTCAAGACCAGCCTGGCAACATGATGAAACACCATCTCTACTAAAAATACAAAAAAAAAAAAAAAAAAAAAGCCAGGCATGGTGGCGCGCGCCTGTAGTCCCAGCTACTCGGGAGGCTGAGGCAGGCGAATTGCTTGAATCCAGGAGCCAGGATCATGCCACTACACTCCAGCCTGGGTGGCAGAGTGAGACTCTGTCTAAAAAAAGAAAAAAAAAGGAAGAAAAGAAAGAAGTAACATAGTTCAAACTGCCATTGGAGAACTCTTAATAGTGCCCCAATTATAAACCATGCATCTCTCCCCGATTATAAATCATGTATCTCTCCCTCACCATCTGATCATTTTAAACCCAGGTCCCCTCTGCTAATCCAGGATCTAAACAGTTTAAGCCGGGAATGGCCACAATTTAAAGAATGCTCTCCAGCCTTTGAAATTCAGGTCCCTGTTCCCCTTTGGCCCCAAACCCTCCCCCTGCCCACTCGTCGTAGGCATAGATGAGTTAGTCATGGTGTATAACTAGGGTTACCATAACATTTGTCATCCACCTGGGACATTTTTATGCATGAAAGGCAGTGCTAACCAGGGGGATGCTGGGATGACAGGGGCAGCAGAGCAGGCTGTTTGGGCCCCCAGCCCTCCCGTCATGACAGCAGCAGTGTTGTTAATAGTAGTATGACAACATTGCAAAAAAATGTATATGTTCAGTCACATAACTCTACAAATAATTCGTATTAATGTTATTATTATTAGCACTTTTAAAAGAGAAGTAACTTCCCTTCTCCCACTATTTTTAAATAGACTTCAGTGTGCTGAAAGTTCTCCCATTGAGAGCACTTATGCAGTTGGGTGAACTATCTGCATGAAAGTGACATTTGCTCATCTGTCTTTCTCGCTGAAGTCATCGTCTAAAGGTAAGCAAAAGAGCAAGCTCAGGAGAAAGAGAATGGCGCACTCTCAGAGACCTTTCTTGGGGCTGCTGATTGAGAGACACAAGGCCTGTGGCCACCAGTTGTCGTGGCTTTGTGCAGCAGCAGCAGTGGCAGGGACTCTGGGCTTCCATGCTCCCCTCTCGTCCATGCCGGGAGCATTGCAGCCTCTCCTAGCAGGGCTAGGATGCCCCACAGCTCTGGGCCTTGAACAGGGTAGGGTCCGTTCAGACTGGGGGTTATGAGTGGCCTTTGTTGGCAGAGACTACAGTTAAAACCATCTAAGCGCAAAAGTACCTTAGAAATTAGAACAAAAATTCCACCCCTTTAGGAATATCGAGGTCATTTTTGCTGACTTCAATTATTTTCGCACCACCTTCACGGTTTTTGCCATATTCCAATACTGAACTGCACTTCACACTTCTCTCTAAGTCAGCTGTTTTTTTATGTAAATACATTGGTTTTTAAAGGAAAATTATACAACTGCTATTGAAAGATTACCAGTATCCCTGGCGTCTGGTTAAGTATTTTAAAAATACTCATGAAGACAAGTGCATGCTCTGGAAATGGCAGCGTGGCTGATGTCCCTCCAGGTGCAGCCCTGAGCACCTCCTTGATCCTGTCCCCATCCACCCAGTCTCTTCATTGACCTGAGAAATGCTCATCTGGACTCTAGGAGAGATGGTGAGAGATGGTCTTCTAGGACACAAAGATTTCCCACCAAAGGGGATAAATGAGGTTTTGCTCCCAGTGTCTGGTCAGGTGCCTCTTAGCTAAGGAGAGGTAGGAAGAGTTCTCATTCCAACCAGCGGAAGCCTGTTGAGTTTCAACGGGGCTAAATTACTTGGGGCACATTTTCTTCCCATGACATTTGTTGTCTAATAATAAGTCAACAGATGGAGTTGTCTTGATCTGCCTTTACCATGACATTTGCTCCCACTTCACGTGTTTATGTTTGCGGACGCAGCCAAGAGACAGTCGGTAGAGCTGTGTCCCAAGCCCCAGCGAGATGAGCCCGGGCACTTCTCACTTCCTGCTGGCATGCTCTGAAGCAGTGTTCCAGCCAGAAGGCCTCTCACAGAACCCATCCACTCACCTCTGTTCTCACTCCCAGCTTTTCTGGGGATTGGGTGAGGGGAGCTGGGTCTGTTCTCCCATAGTGCTCTCAGTTCTTGATAGGATGCCAGAAAGTACAATGCTCTCTTCATCAAGTTCAAAAGCAGGCAAAACCAAGTAATGCATGCATGATAAAATGTTTACAGCGAGCATATGATAAACTCAGCTTCTGCATTTGGTTTCTTCTGGCAGGGGAGACCACAAGGAGTGGGAGAAGGACATTCTGCTAGATGAAGTTCTTGGCTGTGTTCTTTCTCGGGTTGGGCTGCATAGGGTCACAGGGGTTGAATGATAGTATTTTTAAATACTAAATTTTAAAAGTACGTATTCGGACTGCCTCCATGGGTCAGTGGCATGGGACAGCTGAAACCAACCCAGGGCATTTGGGGGTGGGCCTGCTGTGCTATGGCAAAAGGAGGTTGTTTTGAGGCTGAGCTGCTGCTGACCAGCATGGTGGGACTTTGCTCACCTTTCTTCTTTCTATACAAATTAAGAACCCTCAGAAGAGTTCTTAGCACATATTAGGCCCTCAGTAAATATTTGTTGAACAATTTTTCACATGTGTATTTTTAAACTTGTTGTTATGGAAATTTTCAAGCACACCAAGGCAGAGAGGAGGCCAGCGCAGCTGCGCTGCCCGTCAGCTTCTGCTGCTCTGGTTTCCTCTGTCACCACACCTTTTCTTCTGGAGCCCTTCACAGCAAATCCCAGAAATCATAGTGTTTCACCCCTGGCAGTTTTGGACAGTAGACTGGGTTCTTCTCTTCTGGATTTGTGGCTCTGATCCACCTAACAGTTCGTTCTTCATGGGTTCTTTTAGGATATGTTGAAGCCGACCTCTTCCTCCCCAAAGAGAGCGTGTCAGGAAAATGAAGCCTTTCTCTGTATCTCCCTGTGGGGGATTTCCTCGCTGCATAGGTGTGTACTTGGCTGCATGTTTGTGCTGGGCATTGTGCTGGACCTATGTATCGATGATGAGAGAAGAAGCCTGTGGCCTGGGGCCTCCATGCAAATGCAGGCTGATGGCGCGGTTAGGGGAGCAGACCCTTGTTCCTGTGAGCACTAGGAGTGCTCTAAAGCGACCACTCATCTTTTGAGCCCCCTTTCACGACTCCCAAGTTGATCATTGGTGATTTCCCCCATTGCCAAGTCAGAGTGGACATTTTCAGCAGACAGTACCCCAGCGGACTGCAGCTCTGCCCCTTCTGACAGAAGGCACATTGGGAACGTGCAGAGCCCACATCCAGGGTGATGGCAGTTGTCACCATCCATGTGGAAAGACCTGGCCCCGGCCAGCTGCTGGGCCTCTTTGCACTGTATTAATAGCAAGGCCATGGGGCCCACTGGGGTCGGGAGACGGGGGGGATGGAGGACAGCTGTGGCGGACATCACCGCATGCTCCAGGCACGTGCGCCCGTCACAGGCATACAGATGGCCACACCTTGACCTGCCTCTCCAAAGCCCCCCAAGCCCCTGCCAGCCTTCTCCTTGTAGGGGCAGGAACTGGCTCGCACTGATGACCCATTTGACAAAGGAGCCAAATTAAGAATGGCATGATTGGAATAGAGGGTTCCAGTGGCCCCGTGTTCAGGGTCAGTTTCTGCTTTTATTGGACGCACAGGCATGGGGGCCGAATGAGGCAGTGGTATTTAAACAGCTGGGGATATTAGGTTCTATACGCCAAGGCTGGACAGATATTTTTAAATGTCACAGGCCAAATGGAAGCTCAGTTGGCAGCAGGATGGAGGGGCAGGGGGATTTGGAGGCCACTGCATTGCCGTGGCTAGATATGGCCAGGAGAGCTGAGTGGGATTAAGGCTTGGGAAGAAGCCAGCCTGGGAAGTGCCCGTGAAGAGGGAGCAGGGAGGATCATATGAGGAAACAGTAGGCGCCAGGGGTGGCGGGCAGGCAAGAGCGCAGGTGCTGGGGCCAGGGGCGGACAGAACTGTGTGAAAGCACCAAGGACAGGGCCAGAGGAGCCAGGTCAGAGCCCAGCCCTAGGTCGGGAACACGTAGGGAGCAGAGCTGGTGGTTCAGGGCCCTGTTGTGGCATCAGAGAGATGTGAGCGCTAACCTCAGCACCCTGCTTTCCACTCCGGGGCCTTGGGGCGACTTATTTATCTGCCAAGGCAGTTTCCTGACTTCAGGGAAGGGGCCAGGAGAGAATTAAGTAAGAACAAGCAGCACCTGACACTCAGAAAAGTGTCCCTAAATGTTCGCCACCTTTATTAATAGTACAAATTAATGGGTGACCAGCCTCCATTGTGGGATGGAGCCGGAAGCTGCTCTCCAGGCCTGCTCTCACCCAGATACATGGTATGTTTCGACCACACAGGAGTTCTTTTAAGGATGAATGATGATGACCGCCAACGTTTAGGTGTCCGCAGATTTTACAGAAGCCTTTGGCCATTTGACTTCTCCTGGTCTAGTGGAGCCTCTAGTTTTCTGGGGCCTGCCTCTTCCTGTCCATAGACAACCGTAGCTGGGGTGCGGCCGCCCCCTTTCGGCCAGCAGCACACACACCCCTGTGCCTGCCACCACTTGTGCCTGTCACTCATCTCTGAGTGGGGCCTGGCCTCCTTAGGCATTTGCACTTGTTCTCCCTGCAGTAAAGTGGAGCTATTATTATCTTATAAGAAACAAGGGTCATCATCAGAATTGGGCAGGGACCCAGCAACTGAGTTCTGGCCGGGGCCTCCTTGCCTTTGCTGTGACATTGGTCTGGAAGACCTGGGCTGATGGATGAGCATTGAATGGCCGGGTCTGGGGAGCCATCATGGCTGCCTGCCTTCCTCCTGGTGGGCCCCTTAGTAAGCTGAGCAGAAACACAAAATGGCTAGGGCAGTTACCATAGCCACTTAACGTCTGTGCATCCCTCGGCCTCCCTCATTCTCGTCGGGATAGGGATGACTTAGGAAAGCCAGAGGAGGCCCAGGCTGCTATGAAACCTGGGCCTTGCTTTTCAGCACAAGGATTTCAAGAGGAGAGGAGGTGAGGGAGGAGGGGAGTTTCTGTTGGGGCTGTTGTGGGCCTCAGGCGGCCCCTGAGTTAATCCGTATTCGTATTCAGAATTCCCTCCTTTTCCTTAGTGGGTCAGAGTTCTCTCTTGCTCATCCAGGCCTCAGAGAAGAATCCATGGTAGTTGTGACCACAGCTAGGCCTTAACTCCTTCAGAGCCATGTACATGAAGGCTCAGAAGATCCCCTCATCTTCTGAAGAAGTGTGAGTCTCCTCCTGTAGGCTTCCAAGGGACGCTAGGGTTAGCCATACTTGCACAGCCTGCCCCACACTCAGGCTTCTTGGCACAGAGAAGCCCTTCCTCTTACTGATTTATGGTGCCTACCATGTTCTAGGCATTAGAGAAATGCATTAATTTACTCTTCATAGCAAACATATGGGAAAACTGAGGTACGCACAGGTCAGATAGCTTGCCCAAGGCCACACAGCAGGAAAATCGTGGAGTCCGGATTTGAACTCCAGTGGCTGGTCAGGCTCCAGAGGTCGCCTTTCAAATGCTGCCTGGAAAATGATGGAGCTGATGGAGGAGTCCGAGGTGATGGCTCTGGTGAGTCAGGAGCCTGCCAAGTCACAGGAGCTGGGGAAAGAGCACACTGGACAGAGGGGACAGCCAGTGGAAGGGCCCTGAGGTGGGAAAGAGCTGGCCATGAGCTGTAGGGAAGCAGGAAACCAGTCTGGCTGCAGGAAGTGAGCAGGGGCCAGGGAAGGAGCTGGGGTAGCTGAGGAGGCAGCACCATAAGGGCAGCCCACGGCCATGGCACTGGGGTCTGATTGCAAGTGCAGCGGGAAGCCCTGAGGCTTCTGAGCAGGGCCCTGCTGGCTTGAAGGTCTCCCTGACTAGGAGATGGGATTCTTGTGGCAAGAAGAGAGCGGGGAGAGCAGGAGCTGAGCTGCCCCACATTGGGTAGCTGGGGTCTTTTCACTGAAGGGGATCTGATATGGTTTGGCTCTGTGTCCCCACCCAGATCTCATCTTGAATTGTAACTCTCACAATTCCCACGTGTCATGGGAGGAACTGGGTGGGAGGTGATTGAAGTATGGGGGTGGGTCTTTCCTGTGCTGTTCTCATGATAGCGAGTCTCATGAGATCTGATGGTTTTAAAAAACGGGAGTTTGCCTGCGCAAGCGCTCTCTCTCTTTGCCTGCTGCCATCCATGTAAGATGTGACTTGCTCCTCCTTGCCTTCTGCCATGATTGTGGGGCTTCCCCAGTCACATGGAACTGTAAGTCCAATTAAACCTCTTTCTTTTGTAAATTGCCCAGTCTCAGGTTTGTTTTTATCAGCAGTGTGAAAACGGACTAATACAGGGTCCATCTGGGAGAGGCTGCCTTTCTCTGAGGCCTCTGGCTTGGCAGTGTAGAGAAGGTTCACTAGTGCTTCTGGAATCTTCCTTGGCCCTTTGGGACTCAGCCTATAGTCAGAGCTGGTTCCTTAGGCCTTAGGTGGGGCACCCTTGGAGAGCTCCCTCGGGTAGGTGTCCAGGTGCCAGGTATGGCTCCGGTTACTGTGGTGCCTCCCTCCCTTCGTCTACCTGGTGCTTCTAGAGGCTCGGCTCAGCCTCGTCTTGGCAGCTGGGCCAGGAGGCAGGGCTCTGTGGGTTTCCCATGTATATTTCTTGATAGGTGAGAAAGTGAGCCCCACCTGTGTGGCTCAGCGGTCAGCACCTAAGGCCGCATCTCCAGTTCCACGACAGAAACACCAGGTCATGTGCATGGGTGGCTGGCGCACACCATCAACACCGTGAAGGCATCTCTTTGCCATTCCTGGTGCCCCCACTGGAGCGGGCGTCTGAACTCTGGAGATTGAGAACCTGGGGGCTCTGGTGGGGCACAGAGTGCCCAAGCCCCTCCCCACTAGATGGCACGGCCGCAGAGGCAGTACGGATGAGCATTCAGCACCCCTTTTCTGGGAGGGTCACCTGGGGCGGGGTGCGAGGACCCCTTTGCCCTGGGCACCTGTTGGACCTGAGTCCGGGTCCCAGCTGTTCTACCTCACACTGAGGTCGTGGTCACCTGTGTGGGTCTGGGTTTTTTGTCCGTGACAAAGGTTGGGACCAGAGGTAGATGGGTTTGCCTGCTCTATTGTTTCATGATGGAAACAATCCTGGTTGGTTGCCTGGTTTCTGCTTGGGTTCCCATTCCTTGCCCCGGCCCTACAGGATCAGTGGAGCACCATAGCCCTGCCTCCTTTCTCTGGCCAGCCAGAGGGCTTCAGAAAAGGCTTATCTAAGCCTGGCTTCTTGCCCTCTGTTCTTGAGGGCCCTGAAGAATTTGACTCTGGCAGATGGCTTCTCTCAGATCAGACACAAAGGCCTTGGAGATTGGGACTCCACACCCATTTCATTGAAACCTGCTCTCCCCCCATCAGAAAAAGGGCCATGTTTTCAAAACCATAACTGCTTCTCTCTTAAATCAACAATAAACAACAGCCTAAAGATTGCCCGTGAAAGTAAGTTCCACTGATGGCCGTTCTGGCCGTTGGAAGCAAGATATCAAGTTGGAGTGTGACCGCAGGCGATCATGCCGCAGGTGAGTGTGTGTGCGCCTGGTTTCATTTCTGTTGTTAATCCTTTGCCCTGTTTTTCTCTTTGTTTTTATTCCAAACCTGTCTGCTCCCAAGGGTCCCTGTCTGCTTCCAAGGGTCCCTGGAACCTTCTGCAGCTGTGCCTCTCCAGAGCTCCGCCTCATTAGTGCCACGTTCCTGGTTTGAAAACCATAGTACTTCAACCTCTTCTAGATGGGAGTTAACCTTTGCCCTCTGAAAGAAAGGTTTGATAAGCAAAGAGAGTTTGGTGAGCAAGATCCTTGAGGTAAGAGCTGATCTCTGACGTCCGCTGGGAACTGGCTGCTCTGCAGGTTTCTGTATCACATTTTCTGCACATGTCCATTAGAATTGGAGATGGGGCGTATCTAGTGTTGAATAAAGGCCCGGCAGGCCCTCCCAGATGCACCCTGTCAGACAGAGCCTACTGTGGATTCTTTAGAAATGGCTTGACTCATTCTTGGTGGCGACCACACCACCCACAGGCACCTAAAATGAAAGGATTTTTGTTAGCTGGTTACCACCAAACCACCTCAGGCAATACGTGGGAGACTCCAAACCAGCTGCTGTTAAAAAAAAAAAAAAGGCAGCAGAGCAGTCATAGAACAGACCCTTCTTACTGCTGCATACAAGATGATCCCATGGAATGCAGGCAGCCACAGCTTTGTCCACATGTGCTCTGTGTATCTGGGGCTGCTAGGCTGGTTAGATTTGTGGTCTTCTTCCTCCTGTGGAGGACCCTAGAGAGAGCCAGCCTGAGCCCTCACCGTTGTTCCTTCCCCGGCAGCACTTACAGAATGATCCTCTAAGACCTCCCCTCCAGCCCTAGCTGGGTTCCTAATTTTCCAGCTATTTAATATCTTCTTTATGTCTCAGTGAATGTTCCCAGGCAGAGTAGCCAGACAGACTCATACTGACAGTTCTCAACAGCCAGTCCCATCCTCCTAAAGATCTCCAGAATCAGCCACATGGACCTGATGCTAGAGGCCTGTCAGCACTGGGGGACCCGGGAGAAGCAGCTCAGGTCTTCAGCAGAAGCAGGGAGGTTCTCCCAGTGGTTTTCCTTGACTGTGAGGAACTAGCCTGCTGCTTTGCTCAGGAGTGAGCTGCCGGCTCCCCTTTGATGTGCTGCGTCTGTTCAGAACTAGGCAGGGGTGCTTCACCGTGGCAGCACTTGAGTTAGGCAGTGGTTCATGGACTCTTCTCCCAGGGCCCCACACAAAACACTGTTAGCACAGACCTGCCACTCAGATCAAGGTGGCCAGCAGAGCCATCAGAGAATAGCCTTCAGAAGATGAATGGCAAGGCCAGCCGGCAGCACGTGAGGCCAGGGCAGAGACGCAGTGAACCGTTCCATGGCGCCCCGAGCCTGCTGCCAAGGCCTCCTTGGAGCTGAGATGGAGGCGGGGTGGCTGAGAGGCAAGCTGGATGTGCATGTTTGGGAAGAGGGCTCCGTAGAAAGTGCTGTAGGGGCCTTGGCTGGGGACCACGTGAGCCCTTGTGCGGAGAGGGCCTGTGTCTGTGGATCTGGGGTCCACCACAGGCCACTGAGATGGGACAGGGCTGGGAGGATTGAGGAGGGAAGATCCTGAGTGAAATTGTGAAATCAGGCCCAGCCTCATGTGGGAGGTGAGGAGAAAGGACCCTTCCAGAGGGCCCCCCCTCAATCCTGTTGTGCCTAATTCAGAGGGTTGGGTGGAGGCTCTCCTGAAGGGCTCTGAAGAGCGCTGCACCCGCAGCTGTGTGCCAGGAGTGGAGACAGGACAGTCGATACAAGAGGGGCCCCTGTCATGTCAGCTGCTGAGTCCCCTGGGGCGGCCGGGCACTGGGGAATGGTGAACTCGCCGTGCCGCGCCTCTGCCACAGTCTCCCGTGGGTCCCCACTGCCGGGAGTTTTACCTACCTCCCACCCTCAGCCACGAGCACCTGCAGGATGCGGTGCCATCCTCGCCGGTGCCCGCTCCCCTTCCGGAGGCTCTCTCCACCCTCACTGACGCCTCCTCGGGAAAGCCCCCGCTCCTTCCCCGACCTCACAGCATGCCAGGTCTGGGGCTTCCGCTGGGGGGCTTACCTGTTTTCCACCCCTGCTAGACTGGGAGCTCCAGGGCAAGGCCGTAGCTGCCTTGCGGATTGTTACGTTGTCCAGCTTGTCTCCACACGTGATACCCAGCAGGTGCCTAATAAACTTGTGTAGAAAGAGTGGTGGATGTTTGCTCTTGTATTTACTCTTCATAGAGCCCAGCTCTGCTTGCTAGAGTCCTCGAAGCAAGTGCGCAGTGTCTGACGGTCTTGGGTTGCTTCTGACTCATGGTGGCTGCTTGGGGGTCATGCTGGAAACATGGCACCCTCAACTCCTGCGTGGAACCAGTTGCCCCCACTGTGATTCCTCTTGCTGCGGCTGGCCCTGCCTTCATGGCATTAGCGCAGCGGGGAGTTGCGGGCTCACTGTCTTAACACCTGTCTCCCCCACCAGACTAAACCCCAAAGGGCAGAACTCTCTCATACACTTAGGACGGAGCAGGTCTCAGGTTATTGCTGGACGGACCAATGGATGAGTGGATGGACAGAGCAAAAAGATGAAAAGACAGGAAGGCAACTGGGGTGTGACAGGCAGGGTGGCCTGACGCTCCCTGTGTGGACAAGACTTGGTGGGAGGTGCCGGGCATGGCTAGGAGGACTTGGGGTGCAAAGTGTCCCCACATCTGTCCTGAGGGCAGAAGCAAGGGTGAGCCTCCCTCCTGCTAGAGCTGGCGGAGTCTCCAAAATAGAGTCCGGACCTGCAGGAACAGTGGCCCTTCCCAGTGCAAGAACGTCACTCAGAGTTGAAAGTTCTGGGGTCTCAGGGACCCCTGAAGTCCATTCTTGAGCCCTTCCCGTGGCTGTGGCCTCCCCTTAGGCAGGGGAAAGGGGGCCAGTGGGGAGCTTCCCCAGGGGCCTCTCTGCAGGAGGCCGCTGGGCACATGGTGGCCCCGCGCTGGGCGCTGTCAGCAGAAGTGCCTGGATCCAGACCCTGGTGGAGACAGCAGGCCAGGAAACCAGTGGCCCCTCTGCCCCCCACTGGGGCCCCATGAGTTACACCAGCCAGGCCCCACAGCTGAGGTACCAGGCGGAAAAGGCCTTGTGTGAATGGGGCAAGAGGCCAGGGGCGCTGGGGAAGGCCAGGAAGAGAGCAGAGAGGCCTTCACTCACACGCAAGCGCACGCCCCAGGGGCTCAGGCCTTGAGACATAGCTTGAGGTGGGGGTGTGGGGGGCTCCCTGCTTGTTCCCGCTAAGGCTGGCACCCCAGCCCTCTCTTTTGGGTGTCCCCATGCCTGGGCTGTGCCGTAGCACAGTTCATGGGAGCCCTGCCCCCAGGCCCTGCAGCCCTCACTGCCCCCAGCCCTGCTGCAGGGTTGGCCTCCCTTCTGTCACCCCACCTGCCACTCGCCCCTCTGTCTCGGGAAAACCCACTGTGATTCCTTTCCAAGGCTGACCTTCCTTCTGGTGGCTTCTGCCCCATTCCAGCTCCCCTTTCCCCATGGGATCATTAGACACCGAGCCCTCCCGAGGGCCCAGCCATGTGGGTGGAACACGGCAGTCACAGAAGAGGGAAGAGCCCTTTCTGCATGGAGCTTGCTTCTGGAGGGGAGAGACAGACCACCAACAGGAAGTGGGTGGGCTGTGTCGTGTGTGGAAAAGCGGCATGCTGGGAAATGAAGCGGGGCAGGGGAGCAGCAGCGGCTCTCCCAGGCTTCCCTCCTGCGGCATCTGTGCACCCCAGGCCTTCACCCTAGCACTGCTGACCTTCAGGGCTGCTTCCATCCCTGGTGGGGGCCGTCCTGGGGATTATAGAGTGTTCAGCAGCTCCCCGAGCTAGATGCTAGGAGCCACCACCACCAACGCCAAAAAAAGATAGATGCATTTGCCACCTGGCTGGTTGCTCTCTGTAAACGTGAGCTAAACTGCTGGCCCAGGATCGTTGACATAGAGAAAATCTGTGACTTCCCGGGAGTCCTGGTGATGTGTGATGTGTCGCTTAATACAGAGTCTGGTGGATAGAGAAAGACTTGTCTCCATAGGTGTGCAGAGAGGGTTAGTATATGCCCTTTTATTGCCTGGTTCTTTCCAGGGGCTCCCAGAGGACCTTGAAGCAGTGAGGCCACCCAGGCCTTAGTTGGTGGCGCCATTCTCCCATAAAAGGAACCAGGCTTTTGGTGAAAATCGCTTATTCTGGCTGAGCATGGTGGCTCGTGCCTGTAATCCTAGCACTTTGGGAAGCTGAGATGGGCAGATCACTTGAAGCCAGGAGTTCAAGACCAGCCTGGCCAACATGGTGAAACCCCCATCTCTACTAAAAATACAAAAGTTAGCTGGCCGTGGTGGTGCATGCCTGTAGTCCCAGCTACTCGGGAGGCTGAGGCACAAGAATTGCTTGAACCCAGGAAGTGGAGGTTGCAGTGAGCTGGGATTGCACCACTGCACTCCAGCCTGGGTGACAGAGACCCTGTTTCAAAAAAAAAAAAAAGACTTATTCTTTGGTTGGAGCAAAGACTGCGAGGTGAGCCTGGAGCATCATGTGGTGTCAGGAAGGAAGTACCCCAGCAATGGCGGCAGGTTTCAGGGACACAGGAGCTGACAGAAGGAGCTCCCAAGGGTCACAGCTGGGACATGGGACTAGCAAAGCAGAACTGGACTGTGACCCAATGCATAGAATATCCACAGGTCCAGACTGATATAAATCATTCAATAAGTAGATGGAAGAGACAAATCTCTTGCACAGAATAATTCCAAATAATTCCGGTAGATACTTCCCCTCAAGGAGATAGAACGTAGCTCCCCACCCCTGAAGTATGCACAGTGCTTAGTGACTTGCTTCCAAAGAGTACACATTGAAGGTGGGAAACGGTCTTCACTGAGGAGAAACCTGGGCAGCTGTGTCTTAGCCAGCTGGAGGCCCGTGTCATCAGGGATCCTCCTGTGCCTAATACATACCCTGGATACCACATGGTCTTCCTTCCCCAACTGCATCATCCCAATGTAACCATGAACCAAACATCAGATCACCCGAATTGTGGGACAATCTACAAAATACCTGACTGGCACTCCTCAAAATGGTCAAGGTTATCAAAATCAAGGAAAAGCTGAGAGACTCAGCCAAGCCTGGAGGAGCCTCAGGAGATGTGATGATGAAATGTCACGTAGGCTTCTGGATGGAGTCCTGGAGCACAGAGAGGGCATTAGGGAGAAGCCAGTGATGTCTGCACACTGCGCGGGCTTCAGGCAATACTGTTCATTCGTGGTGACAAATCACATGGCAGTATAAGTGGTAGAACCTGGGTGTTGGAGACACAGAAGCTCGGCACTAGCTTTTCAACTTTTCTGTAAATCTAAAAGTTTAAAATAAAAAGTTTATTTAAAGTGTGTGTGTGTGTGTGTGAGATATAAACAGTTGTGACCCAGCACTCATGAGCTAGGAGTGGTGCAGGCAGACTCTAAACAGAGAAACGGAGGCATCACGCCTTCTGGGAGAGATTGGTGCTACAGAAAAAAACAGGGCTGTGAAATTGCAGCCTGCCCCCAACACCCTCACACCTGATGCTCTGATCTCCCACATGTGAGCCAGGGGAAGAGGAGAGCAGCAGGCAAGGTCAGAGAAGGTGAGTCCCCTGTGGGCCATGGGAGGGACACAGAGATAATGCCCCTCCACCTACATGGTGGGGACATTCTGGGATGAAGGGGTATGGGGGAACATAGCTGCATGTGGAGTGTGTGCACACGTGTGCAGCATTTGTGTGCACATGTATTTGTGTGTGTGAGTGCACATAACAGTATGTGTGTACACTTGTAGCATCTGAACTTGTGCAGTGTGTGTGTGTGTGTGTGTGTGTGCGCGCGCGCATGTGGGAGTGACATGACCACGCCCGTAATGGGTGAGCAGAAGCTCCTTTTCCCGGCAGCTGTGGCAGCTCAGGTGAGAGAGGATTACGGGGGGGCGACATGAGGAAGGTGGGGAAGGTGGGTGGGCAGCGCAGGCAGTGAAGGAAGGGTCAGTGTCCAGGAGGCACCTGGGGCTTTGGCTGGAGCCACAGATGTGCAGTGGGTGAGATGGAGGGGGTGGGTGCTGGGTTTGAGTGGGGGTGCAGGCAGGGCATTGTGGGGTGCCCTGGAAGCTGCTGCATGCTCCTGTTTACAGTGTGGGACACGCTGCTAGGGAAGACCCAAGCTGCCTCCAAAACGAAGGCCATGGTCAAGAGACTCGCTGGCCAGCTGGGGCCGCCTAGCAGAGATGTCCTGGGGCCTGAGGCTCTGTCGGTCCCGCCTTCCTGGCTGTTGGCAGTGGTTTCCACAAGTCTAAGAAACCCAGAGCGCACTCCTGGCAGAAGGAGAGCCGGGGAGTCCTGCCTGCCCACAAACATCTTCCCACACTCCCCTGAAATTCTTCACTTTCTCAAAAGGCAAGACGGTCTTGTAATTAGAGGTGAATCTGGGCTGATGCCACCCTCTCAAAAAGAAAATGTGCTCGTGCACCAGGCATTTGCACTTGCCTTTGAATGCAGCCATCTGTGGCCTGCTGTTTCACACCAAATTGGGAGGACTGGCCTGCAGTCCAGGCCGGGTGGAAGGACACACCTGGCCTTGCTGCAATGTCAAGTGAAAGGCAGGGATGAGGGTGGGAATGAGGGTGCCCCCTCCTCAGCTTTCTGAAGGAACAGCTTCCTTCTGGACAGTCCTAGAAAGGCCAGGGGAAGAGGAAGAAAAGAGGGGTCCCTAGCACCATCACCAGCTCCCTGTGGCAAGCCATCATCATCCATGCCTCCAAGCAGACAGTCCACAAGACAAATGCACACCTACTGCATGCCAGACCCTTATCTGGGCCTGGAGGAGGGCAAGATGGACATGAGCCTGTCCTCATGGAGCTTAAAGCCCATGCCTGAGACAGACCCTGGCCAAGTGAATAGCAGGAGCTTAGCAGGAAGGTACAGGGAGGGCTTCCTGGAGGACGTGGCCAGACAGCCAAGCAAAAGGGAAAGGTGCCCACGTGAGGATGACGACCGCTTGGGAAGACCTTGACCTCCTCTCGCCCTCCAGCCTGGATTTTCCCCGGGGGTGCGAGCCATTGTTTCACATAGACAGTGACACACCCCATTTTGCATTTTGTAAAGTTCCTTCTAGAATGCCATTGGAGGCCAGAGTGGAAGTCAAGAGACATGGAAAGTTGGTACTATTGGAGTCTTCCTGGGACAATGTCACAGTACCTGAACCAGGGAGGAGGTGACCGAGGGCAGACAGAAGAGGAACAGGGTCTAAGCAGCCTGGAAGGTGGCTGCCCGCAGCTGTGAGGAGCAGGGAGAGTGGTGGAGGATGTGGGCTGGGCCGCCATGTGGACAGGGATGGGGAGGCTGGGGGGCAGAGGCTTGCTGATGAGTTTGGTGTCTCCCCACTGGTCTTCCAGTGCCCATTTGTAAAATAAAGGAGGTGGATGGACTATTCGCCAAGTCCCCTCCTAGCTCAGGACCCCTCTGAGGTGGCGTAGGTGTATCCTGCGGCCATGGGGAGGGCTCAAACCCCAGCACCTCCAAACTTCAGGAACCACAACCTGTGGCGCAGTCTTGGCTCAGTTTGATTAAACATTCAGCTGTACTCGGCGGCAGCCCACATCCATAGCCGATGCCCTTTCTGCATGGATGACTCACCAGAATTAATGTTCATTTGATTTTTACTATAAATTACGCCTCACATAATTTCTCCATTATGGACAGAGGATGGCTTCTTGGGAAAGGCTAGAGCGGCTATTTGGTCACTCATGCTGGGGAAGTGCTGGGTCATCGCTTCTCCCACGCACCGGCTGGCGGCAGAGGCGGCCACCCGGGCCATGGGCAGGTGGCCTAATGGATGCATCTCCCGAATCCACTAATGGGAGTGGCTCACCTTGGCCCCCAGAAGAGGAAGAGAGGAGTAGGCAGTGAGAGCTCCTGTTTTCCTGAACCACCTGAATATGGAAGATTGCGATGTGGAAGGCAAAAAAACAACAAAAAAAATTCACACTTTTAAAGATGGAAGGATCTCCTTTCTTCCCTACCTCTTTCCTTCAAATATCATGGCCTATCCCCAGAGTCCATACAGTCCTGGGCAAAATGAGTCAGGTTCCAACCCCGGGGTGCTCTCAGGCTTGGGAGGAGACAGGTTGATCAGGTCATCTCTGAAGCCGGCACACTGCAAAGTGTGTGGGAAGAGCTGGGTCTTCCCAGAGGAAGTGGCGCCTGCTGTGGCCGCAAGGCCGAGGGGCAGGCAGCATGCACCAGTGGGGAACAGCATGTGCAAAGGCCCTGGGGAGAGGACCTGGGGACACCAGGTGCCCGAGGGAGAGGGGTAAGCACGGAGCATGGGTGGGGCCAGCTCGCATCCCAGAACTGTGCTCCTTTGTTGGAAAAAAGAGGAAAACACGAGGAGGGTCTGATGTCGTCCTTAAGGAGGGAACAGGCACCATCATCATTCCGCAGATGTCCCTTCCACATGAGGACCTGGCCCACAGTGGGCCTGGGGGCCTGACTCAACCACCTCAGGCTGTGAGGTAGGGCATGTCATAGAAATGGAGGCAGGGTTTGGGAGAGGGGACAACAGCAAGAGAGGCTGCCGTCTTCTTTCTTTTCACCGGTTTTGAAACCACAGGCTACTTTGTAAAAATCCGACAAAACCAGGATTGTGACTCATCAACCCCGACTCCCCACCCAGTGGAATAAACCAATTTGCTTAAGCCTCCCACTGATCTTGTACATTTGTCTTTTTTTTTCTTAATATCTGAAGCTCAAAAGAAACTAAAGTTTACATGAAAAAACACCCCAAAAACCTAGCATACTAGATTGAAGCAGACTCGTGCTTATCTGTTTTCCAAAAGAATTGAATTAAAAAACAAAGCCCACAAACAGAACGTCACGACTTTTGCCTTCGTCAGCCCCACCACTGCTGCTCAGCCATGGTGCCCAGAATCGCTCAGCCTGGGGTGCCCTCCCCTGCCCAGTCCCCACCACAGGAACAGGAAGCCAGGCGCACAGTGGGACCCACCAGGCAGGGTTTCGATGGGCCCCACAGGAATCCCCTCCCACACATCGTTTCTGGGACGCGGTTCAACGACCTGTGGCACAGGCATTGTCCCGTCACTGTCCCTGTTTGCAGATGTGGAAACTGAGGCTCAGGGCGGTCATTTACGTAAAGTTCTTCCCTTGTAAATATCAGAGTGGACCTTGACCCTGGACTCTGCTGCCAAAAAACCAAAGGACACAAAAGTCCTAAGACAAAGCCTTACTCTTTTCTTCCTCCAGACATCGGGTTCATACCGAACAGTAGGTACATGATTCCATTTATCTCAGTGGTTCTCAACTGGGGCAATTTTGCCCCCCAGGGGAGCATTTGGCAATGTCTGGAGACATTTTTAGTTGTCATGACTGGGGTGGGTAGCGTCTACTGGGTAGAGGCTGGGGTGCAGCTAACATCCTACAACGCACAAGAAGGCCCCCACCGCAGAGAACAATCCAGCGACAAATGTCAATAGTGGTCCTGGAACCCTGATGTAGGTAAAACGGTGTTGGTAAAATATGTGTATGCCTGCACGCAGAGAAAGAGCTAGAAAGACATGTACCCAAATGTCTACATTTGTTTATCTCTTGGTGAAAGGATTTGGGTGATTTTTTATTTTTCTATGTTTTTCTGTACTGTTTGAATTTTTTAAGAAACAATGTCCATGTATCATTTTTATAATCAGGAAAAAAAAGCTGTTTTCATTTTGTAAAAATAAAAAAGGGCTTCAGGACTTATCGATTCTGATCCAGCCCCCTCACTAACTAGCTGTCAGGAGCAGCTCTCCGGGAAATATGTCTATCTGGAAGTGAGAAGAGCAATCCTTCTTGCATTATATTATGGGAATATAAAGTAACATTGTCCTGGAAAAGCTCTCTGAGCTCAGAGGAGAAAAATCGTTGAGAATCCTGAGATATTACTTCCCTCACATATTTCCCCTCCGAGATGCTGTGTGGGTTTTTGCAGCATAGTGACTTAGGAGACCCGGCCTCGGTGAGGGCCCCCTATTTGCCAGGTACCTGGCCTGAGAAGGAGGAGCACGGATAGGCCCGGCGAACCTCCTGTCCTGAGGGTGTGTGGAATGGGCACTCCCACCTTGCAAAGATAGCATTTAGTCCCGGGGTGATTTTGATTTTGTCTGGTTTTTCCAGCCAGGGTGTAACTGTCATTTGGGGTGGGATCATTCTGTATTGTGAGGGCCGTGGACTGGACATTGTAGGATGTGTAACAGCAACCCTGGCCTCTACCTGTGAGATGCGATACCTGCCTTGCAATGGAATTACCGTGTAGTGCTAAAAAAGAAGCAGAAGGCTCATTGTAGAGGGATCAGAGCACCTCCGCCACCAAATCCAAACAACTGAACGTGTCTACAGACAAGGGCACGTGCTAGTGTGGGAGTGACAAAGTCACACGGGTGCAGACCCCTTGGCTCCAGCCTGCTGGGTGTTCTGACGAGTGGACTTTGTAGTGATAACGCAGGCTCCTGAGTCAGGATACTGGTTTGCTGCATTTCTGAGTCACTGCTCATGTTTTCCATCTTCAAAAATTTTCCATTTGTGTCTACCCCCTCCAAGACAGCCTACTGCCCAGACAGGACCCCTAGTGGTCTGGACACCCCCAAGTCCCCCAGACAAGCCTCACTAGGCCGTGTGAGGTGTGGGACCGGGGCTCCAGTTTTCCTACAAATAATGACATGACAGGTAGGCTGTGTTCCAGCAGCCAGGGTGACAGGAACCACAGAAATGAGCCCACGAACGCTGAAAAAACAAATCCCTCGCTTCCTGGGATCGCATAAAGCCAAGGACTAATTGTGAGAAGGCCCACAGAGAGGCTTCTGCGGCCACCCTGCACACCAGTGCCTGACATCAGAATGAGAAGACGAACTTCAAATTGAGCAAGATAAAACCAGTTTGGGGAATGCAATATCTCACCTCGCTTCCTGTCTTTTAAAAAATCCATAATTCATAGAGAACCCAGTCAGGGGTGTGCAGCCCCAACTGAATTATCCTTTTTTCTAAAGACTGAGGCTGGGAGAGACATTTTCTTGACATGGAGAAAATAAAAAGCAACTCTTTTGAGCCCATGTCCCCTGATCTTGACTTCCTTGCTACAGAACCTTCATCCCACGGGGATGGGAACATTATAAACACATGCTAAATGACATTCTAAGACGCATGCTAATGACACGGCTAGGAATTTATCCTGCTGCTGTCCTCACGCAGGCCCAAAGGATGAATATACTGGTTTATTCATTGTGGAGCCGTTGGTAATAGCAACAGACTAGAAACAACGCAGGTACCATCACAGGATTGGTTAAATAAACCCCATTTCTCCCTTGTGATGGAATTACCACGTAGCACTAAAAAAAAGAAGCAGGAGGCTCATTGTATAGTGATCGGAGACGCGTCATTGCACTGGTGAAGCAAGGTGCAGAACAATATCGTATGCTACCATCTGTGTTTATTTTAAAAAGGGGAAAAAAATACATGTGTGCACTGGCATGTGTATACCCTGTGCATCCCCAGGCTAGCTGGTTCCCAGGAGGAGTGGGTGGCAAGAGAGAGGCTACAAAGACAAAGATGCCTCCCGCCCCACACTTTTGTAGGTTTTGCTTTTTGAACCAGAAATAAGTGCTCAGAAATCAATGTATAAGATTGAACTTTCTTAAAAACAAAAACAAAACCAGAAACATACTGTGATAATTTGTTATATACAAAAAAAAAAACATCATAGGGGAGGGAAAATGAATTCCTACGAAACAAACCTGAGCGCGTTGCCTTAGGGAAGCCCGGCCTGTGCTCTGGACCTCAGCATTCTCCATGCAGAGGTCGTTTTCTAAGGCTCCCCTGCTTTTCTAGTATTTTGTGACGCTTTGGTGTCTTCCAAATAACAACATGGGGCCGGGCCTGGTGGCCCACGTCTGTAATCCCAGCACTTTGGGAGGCCGAGGTGGGCGGATCACGAGGTCAGGAGTTTGAGACCAGACTGGCTAACATGTTGAAACCCCGTCTCTACTAAAAATGCAAAAATCAGCCAGGCGTGGTGATGTGCATCTGTAATCCCAGCTACTCGGGAGGCTGAGGCAGGAGAATTGCTTGAACCCAGGAGGTGGAGGTTGCAGTGAGCTGAGATCACGCGCTGCACTCCAGCCTGGGTGACAGAGCGAGTCTCTGTCTCAAAAACAAACAGAAAAACACAAAAAACCCCCACAAATAACAACACGGCCATCCGCGTCCTCCAGTCGTGGGCCAAAACTTATTCCAAAGCTCTTGTCCCTTTAACCTTCATTTCCCAAAGCAAAGTAGAGATGGTTTTGGTTGATACATGGACAATTATTATGCTAATGTGTCTGCACCCATTATGATGGATATTTCCTATTTGTGGCAAGTGATAGAGATTTTTCCATTCACTATGGGAGAGTAAAATTTCCTTGTCAAATCACGCATGTAAATAATGAAAGAGCAAAACAATACTAAGAAAATCATAGCACTAGGCCTGCAGATGCAAAAATTCAGAGAGCTGAGTCCCTGCTCGCTGAAATTTGGGGTCCATGGCTCTGCACACACCACCCCGTCTCCCCAGAAAATCTACTTGACTTTCAGTGACCAGGCCTTTTGGATTCCCTGAATCAGTATGATGAACAGAAGAGAAAAAAACTAAGCATTTGCTGTGAGCTTTCAATTTCTCTGCAGAGCAGCAGATCCAGGTGTCCAGTCATCAGCTGTGGAGTGGGGAGACGGTCTCCTCAAAGAACAGGGTGCTTTTTACTTGGTCTGTCCATCTCTGAATAGCAATGATGACCTTCACTTTCTACTGCATTTGAGAGCGTATTTTCCATTCCACTTTTTGTCCATTCTCTGATGTCTATTATGGCTTAAGTGCTGCAAATCCTACACTGGTAAGAGAGGCCCTAATGAGTCCTGGGTTTGGCTGGATCGACACTTGCCTGCAGCCCTTTCTCAGAGACATTGCGAACAGTGCCAGGGATGGGTTAGGGGAGAAAGCTCTCCCTCTGAAGAGCTGTGGTCTGAGAACTGGTTAATAGATGAGATGGTGATGTTGTTTATGGGATACTTAAATGCAAGTGATCTCCAAATTACATTGCAGAAAAACACAGGAGGGGTTCCAGTGGAGCGGGACATAATGGCTTCTCCTAATTGGGGCAAAGAGAATTCCAGCCGTGCGGGCTGAGGGTGATATTTGCAGAGTCACTGTCACGGAGAAGCAGCATCTCACAAGCCCCCGGCTCTCCCATTTGCCTTGGAAATACCCAAAGTGCCTATTTATTTGGAGCTGGCTACAGCATGGCCCTCCTTGCATGCACTCTTTGAAAGACATCTCATTTGTTAATTTTCCTCTTCTAGAAAGCTTGTTAGTCTTTCTACTTTCATGGAGGCTGTGAACCTGGAGCTGGGGAAAGGCAAGCTCCTGGGGAACCTGAGTTTCTGGCTGGTCTGTAGAAATGTTTCTGGAAGGTCAGGAGTGGGCCATCTTTTTGAGGGTTTAAGACAATCCTGAAAATAGTGCTGGAGACTGCTAGAGGTAGAACAGACATGAGTGGACTTTGCTTCAGGGAACCACCTGCAGCTACCCTACGGAAGACAAAAAAGAACCCAAACTATTTGACGTGGTTTGAATGCTGACTGTGCACACCTCATCTCATTGGATCATACAAGGAAAGTGCTGGCATGATCCCCCTTCACAGGTGGGCAGAGAGAGGCTCTGAGAGCTTGGGCGACCCACCCACAGCTACACAGACATGGGACCTTGCAGATGGGGACTCAACCCCAGGTCTGACTCCAGAGGCAGGTTGCCACCCCGAGAGGCATGAGGGACTCTAGAGGGGCCAGAACCAGCCCCAGGGTGCCTGAGGAGGGGCGAGGGCTGTCCACAGCTGATTCCAGAAGACACTGCCCATGACGGCTTGTTCAGAATGCACGGCCACATTGGAGAGGGGCCTGGGCATGTCCAAACTGGGGGTCATTTTATGTCTCATCAGAGGAGAGGGTAGTGTGGTGGGAGGAAGCTGGAGAGGAGGCTCATGGAGATAGAGCCCTGCCTCTGTTGTCCAGCGACTCAGTTCTGGCCCAAGCCTGCACCAGCCACTACAAAGCAAACAAAAGCATCCATCCAGGGAGGGGCTGGGCTCCCTCAGGGGACTTCTCCAAGCTCTCCTGGGTGCAGACGGAGACTCCCAGGGAGGTATTCTGGAAAAGGCAATCTGCTCGTCTTCTGGTGTCGTGGTTTTGCCTCCTCAGCTGGGCCAGCACCTGTTCCTGCAGGTGGTTGGGATCCACCGCACACTCCTGCCCTCTCCCCCTTCTCTGCGCAGAAGCCCCTGGCCCTGCTCTCCTTCCACTGCAGCACTTAGTTCTATAACACATTCCTGGCCTTTGCTTATCATCTCTTTGTTTGCCTGCAGTGGATTAAGTCTAACTAAATGAAATCGCTGCTCTTGCAGGTCAAAGACAGCCACATACTGGCGATTGTGCGTGTGTTCTTCCGTATTCCATTCTGCGAGGATGGGGCTCTCCTTGATGCCCTGCTGAAGTCTGACAGCTAACACAGCGACTGCCCCCAGAGTGGCCCTTCAAGAAGCGCTGTGGGACGAGTGGATACAACTGGCCATTTGGGGGCTTGGAATGTCAACTTCCTGGGCTGTCAGCCCCAGAGACAGAACATATTCTAGGTGATTCTGGGAAGACAGGAAGCCTGCAGACTCTAAGGTACTCCAGCTGTCCTGCAGGGTCCCTCGTGATCCAACCACGCATGGTCCCAGGCACAAGAAGGGGCGATTGTCAAGCCTTCACACTGCCCTGCTAATGGTGGGCGTCCAGGCAGCAGAGGCAGAAGCCTAGGAACAGTGTGAGGCCATCTGCCCCAGCCCCCCAGGACGCTTCCTCCTGCACATGCGTGGGAGCCTGGAACCCTTGCCCACTGCCCACACTGGAGGGAGTGGGTGTGGAGTGAAGGGCTGGGGGCAGGCGCCAGTGACGCAGTGGGCCCAGTTGGCTGCGTATACCCAAAGATGACCGTTTTATATATACATCAGTGTCTAATGAAGATCGCAGGTGAATGTGAATGGAACTAATGAGAAAATAATTATCCAAGCCGCGAAGCCATCCAGGCTCTGGATGTTGTGATTTTGGTGCTAATGGAAATGTGGCAAGGAGGGCGGTGACTGGAAGGAGCGGCCACTTGTGCTTCTCTGCACTTGAAGTTTCTGGTCCCAGAAAGTTCCCCAGTGGGGGAGAGTAGAGGGCCAGCCATGGAAATTCACCCCAGCCTGGCCCATCCCCAGCCCCAGCCCCACTCCCTTTAATCCTAAGTGGAGCAAATGGAAAGAAGTTCACCTGGGGGTCGACACTGGTGCCTCCTGAACTCAGCAGACCAGGAAGGGCTGCGGTCGGAGGGGAGAAGGGCCTGTGGGGGATCAATTCCTTCCACTGTCCAGGCACTTTAGGATCAGGTTGAAACCCCCTCCTTTCAGAATCTGAAAAGCGCTTGGTCGGGGAGATCGCCCGAGGAGGACCGGCAGGAGGCAGCCGGGGCCATGGCCTCGGAGGTGACGTCTGGGTTCCTCTTCCGAGCCCTGCCGCCATGTTCCTTGCTCTCAGGTAAGGCCACTCGATTGTCTTCCGAGAGAAAGGGACATTCCACCAACCGAACCACCATCCATGCCCAGAGATTTCAATACCTCCAGCCTACTTGGCGGGTTCACCTATTGTTTCCCGTCCATTTTGATGAGGCTGCAGGGGAAGATAAGGCTATAGGCCCGCCCCCTCCCAGCCCCCTTCCCATTTCCTGGAAGCCAGGACAATTATGGGATAGAAGAACTGTACCCTGGTGACCTCCCAGCATTTCTAGGGGCTGGTGGAGTAACACAGATTGCAAATTCAGGTCATTTCCAAAGACCCCAGGTACATTTCTTGGGGATCTAAATTGCAACTGAACTTGTGTTACCAGAGAGGAAAACCCATCTTCTTGTTCACTCTTAGCTCCAGCCTTCAGGTTCAGCCTTGGGTCTACAAATTACCCCCTGTGAGGCAGCAGCTAAGTTAACGGGCCTAATTTAGCATTTTCTTCTCCTTGGCGGGTGGAGAGCGGGGAGTGTAAACCTGGCCATTCTGCTACATAAACTTGAACAACACAGGGTGCCAAGCCCTGTCCCAGACTTGCTGGTTTTGAGCTTCCAGGAATGGGGTTCCGGCATCTGTATTCTTACTAAAGCACCCCATCCTCCAAACCAGCCTTGGAAACGCTGGCTTAAGGATAATTCCAAAATGGATTATTCATTCAAAAGGTTTCAGGGGAGATTTGAGGTTGAATGGTGAGCAACCGACTTGATTTGCATGAGGGTGGGGGGTGAGAAGTTTTCGACTACCTTGAGACTTGCTCTCCAAACGACTTGAGGCTGTAATTATACATGCAAAATGAAGCTAACGTTTCAGAGAAATATCTGGAGAATTGAAGTCGGAAGAAGCACATTCCTCTGAAATACCTAGATAATGAAAGAAAAAAATATATTCATTGCATAAATTGCTCATTAATTCACTCCTCTGTGGGGGCACACAGCTTAAAAGCAGACGCTTTGATTAATCCAAGCTGTATTAAATCCTCAAGATGCTTTTTTTTCCCTCTGTGCCTGGATCTACATATTTCTTTCCTCTAAAAAATCATAATAAAGCTGTCCTTTTGCAAAAAATGCATTTCAGATTTGGCTTGGCAGAATGAGCCCTGTAGTTGGTACAATCAATTTGGGTGCACCTTTTTTAAGTACACATTTTAAAATCAGATGCATTCTTTTCAGTTCACTGGAAATGCTCATTTTTTTTTCCATCGCATTTCAAAGTTACATTATGTGTGGCTAAGCGAATAACATCCAACACAATAGCACTTCAGAAAGACTGAGGAGGGGCGCGGTCCCAATCAGGGAGAAAGCCAGGGAAATGGTTAATTTCAAAGACAGGCAACTGATTGGGGAAAAGAATCTATAGAATTATTTATTTCGTTAAAAAAAAAAACCCCGAAAATTCAAAAACCACTTGGAAATAACAAGCATCTAATCCTTGCAAGTTGATTTTTCAAGGCCCTCTTAATGAAATCTCAGCATATCTGTTCCTCGCTCATGGACTGCGGGGCTGTCTATGGGATCGTAGACTCAGCGCACTTTCTCTTACTCCCTTAGCTGTTTGATGCAGGTGCGATGGATGATCAATTGTCTACCTGGCTTTTCTGCTTCTGATTCCTCTGCTCCCCAGACCTTTGGCCAGTTCCATGAGAGGCCAACCCCACGTGGAAAGCCTCTTACAGGTGAACAAAATCATACAAGGAACTTCCATTATCTAGTGATTTTACAAAAGAGCCTTTTTATGTCGCTGGCTTGATCCAGTAAGAGTTTCCGCAGTATCTTCCCAGAGCTCAGTAGTATACACTTTGTAATGTCTTGTTTTACAAAGCTTATGGAGGAGAATGGAAACGTTCTGTATTAAAATAAACAAACAAACAAAAAACCACAAAAGTCTCTGTAGTAAATAGGAAAGAGGATAAACATGAACGATTTTGGGGTACTTCAGGGATATCCTTTCCATTCAGTGAACACACTGACCTATTGTTCTAATCTGTTCATTTATGGAAATGGGCCTCAGATTTGGGATTTTGCAGACCAGTAAAAACAAAACAAAACCAAATCAGGAGATTGCCACTTTTTTTTTATTTTTTATTTTAAACAGAGTCTTACTCTGTTGCCCCGACTGGAGTCCAGTGGCATGATCTCAGCTCACTGCAATCTCTGCCTTCCGGGTTCAAGCGATTATCCTGCCTCAGCCTCCTGAGTCGGTGGGACTACAGGCATGCGCCACCACGCCTGGCTAATTTTTGTATTTTTAGTAGAGATGGGGTTTCGCCATGTTCACCAGGCTGGTCTTGAAGTCCCGACGTCAGGTGATCCACCAGCCTTGGCCTCCCAAAGTGCTGGAATTACAGGTGTGAGCCACTGTGCCCAGCTGCCACTTTTTATTTTATCAAGAAAGGGCATAAAAAAGCAACCACATATCATAAAAAGAAGAGCATTTGAATTCCCTAAGAGCAACATAAGCAAGAAGGAGCGAATGTCAGGAGCGATTAATGAATGTATTTATTCCACCAATGTTTTCTGGATGCCTCCCTGTGCCGGTGGCATCCCAGGCGCGTGGGTGCTCAAGGTCCTGCCCGGGGACAGCCTTTCCGCTGTGTGAGTGTAGCTTTGTAATAGGCTTGCTCTCTGCTTACCACTTGGCTGGCTTCCCTGTGGAATGAGTGACCAGGGCCAGTCCCGTCCTGAGCCGGCGTGGGGGCCCTGGCCTGGGGAGGTCTTGCTGTGCTTGATAGCGCTTTGGCAACCACGTGCGTGTTCCTCCCTGTGTCAGGAAGTCACGCATATTCTCTGGGCGATGGTGTGACCGCGCCACAAATCCAGCATGGCTTCCGCCATGGAACCTGACAGCAAATAGGCAGTGAGTTCCACCACAGCACACGAGCGGCGAATGAGCAGACAGTGGACGGAGAGGGGAGTGATGGGAAGCAAAACCGGACCCACTTCTCTTCCTAAGCACCCCAAGAAAGTCACTACCCATCTGGAAATCCTGACCCAATGACCCAGTTGGTGCCCACAACAGGGCCTGGCCTCAGAAACCCCTCCCATGCTGCATGGACCCCCTGATCGTTCATTCCCCCTCTTTTTCCAGGAAGCACCAAGCACCTCCTGCAAGCCGTCCTGGCATCCTCTTCCCCAGAGGGCCTTTGGCTCCGAGCCCTCGTCCGCAATGACCACTTTCACTGCCCTCTACCACAGCTTTGGTGCACAGACCAGTGAGCTGGAGGGCTGTTCTGACTAAATCATCAGAAAAGGACCGTGCCAGTACCAGCCCTGTTCCTTCCAGGAAAAATGTCTTCTTAAAAAACAGCACCCCGCCCCCGCCACTGACCTCAGGGATTCCTCAGCCGCTTATGCAAACTCACTTGAAAGGAGGTCTCTGGGCTGTAGCAGCAGAGAGGGTGGCTGGTGCAGGGGGATTCATGATGCGAGGATTTTGTAGAAAGATGTTCTAGATCGGGGTGGGCAAACTCGGGCTTTTGGACAAATCTGGCCTGTCTGCTAAGAAAGAAAAAAACATACATATTCCTTTTCTCATAGATATATATTTCTTTTTCTTATATATATTTATACACATATATATGTGTGTATATAGAATATACATATATATACTTTTTCATACACACACACGTATGTTTTGAGACGAGGTCTCATTGTGTTTCTCAGGCTGGAGTGCAGGGGTACAATCATAGCTCACCTTAACCTCAAACTTTTGAACTCAAGTGATCCTCCTGCCTCAGCCCCCTGAGTAGCTGGGACTATTGGTGTGTGCCACAGTGACTGGCTAATTTTGTAATTTTCTGTAGAGGTGGGATCTTGCTATGTTACCCAGACTGGTCCCTAACTCCTGGCCTCAAGCCATCCTCCCTCCTTGGCCTCCCAAAGCATTGGTGTCAGCCACCACGCCCGGACAAGAATATCTTTCTTAGTACGCAGAAATGACTCTGGGAACCCAGATTTGAGCTTCTCATAATATTTTCTTGGGACCCAGCCACGTCTGCTTGTGTAGTTTTCATCTACAGCTGCTTCTGCTGAAAATATGTACTATCAGTTGGGTTCAGTGGCTCATGCCTGTAATCCCAACACTTTGGGAGGCTGAGATGGGTGGACCACCTGAGGTCAGGAGTTCCAGACCAGTCTGGCCAGCATGGTGAAACCCCATCTCTACTAAAATACAAAAAATTAGCCTGGCGTGGTGGTAGGCACTTGTAATCCCAGCTACTTGGGAGGCTGAGGCAGGAGAATTATTTGAACCTAGGAGGTGGAGACTGCAGTGAGCCGAGATCACGCCATTGCACTCCAGCCTGGGCAACAGAGCAAGACTCTGTCTCAACAACAACAACAACGACAAATGTGTACTATCAGGTGCTTTACGGAACAAGTTTTCCAAGTCCTGGTCTAAATTCACTGATGGACTTTCAGAGGGCTCCTTGAATTCTCTGGGATTGTTTACAAAGTGGGACTTTTCCAGAAGAAAGTCCACAGTTTTCATCAAGCTCTCAAAGGGGCCCCAGTCCGCAAAGCACAGGGCTGCTAGACTGAGCAAATACAAATTCAGGACCCCGACCTCCCCACCGCCCCCACCCCCCGGTTCACTGGAACTTCAGATAACTGGATGACTTTTTAGTACAAGTATATCCTATTAGATATTTGGGACACACTTATACTAAAAAAAATAAATAAGCCGGGTGCAGTGGCTCATGCCCAGCACTTTGGGAGGCCAAGGAGGGTGGATCACTTGAGGTCAGGAGTTCAAGACCAGCCTGGCAAACATGGCAAAACCCTGTCTCTACTAAAAATACAAAAATTAGCCGGGCGTGGTGGCGCGCCTGTAGTCCTAGCTACTCAGGAGGCTGAGGCAGGAGAATTGCTTGAACTCAGAGGGACTCAGAGGGTGGAGGTCGCAATGAGCCAAGATTGAACCACTGCACTCCAGCCTGGGCCACAGAGTGAGACTCTGTCTCAAAAAAAAAAAAAAAAAAAGGAAATTCATGGCTTATCTGAAATGTCCAGTGTAACTGAGTGTCTTGTATTTCATCTGCAACACAACCAGAAGAGTAAGAAGGATGAATTCCTAAGTGTCCCCTTCTCATGACCCTGCTTGCACTCTTGGGCTGACCCCCCTTTCAACAAGGTGATGGAACTCCCCGCTCACTCCTCCTGGGCCCCTCCCTCCAATGTTTCTTGAACCATTTGGTGGTCTAGTAAGGAACATGAAGTTATACTTATTTCCTCTAAACTTATGTTTGTATATTTTTATGGCATAAGTGCTTTTCTGATTGCAATTGAAATCCATGCTTATTCTAAAAATGGAAATCCTGGCCGAAATGGACAATAAAGGAAGGGAAAGTATTCCATGGAGGAGCTGCCGGCTGCCACCTGATGGCCATAGACTGTTTGGGATGGGGCTGGGTTCTCCCGTGTCTCCCCAGCGCGGGATGTCTTTCTGAGCACGCTGGCTTCATTGTCTTCTCCGTGTAATGATGTATTGTAGACATCTCTCCAGAGCAGAGCACGAGCTCCTCCTCATTCTTCTTAACTGCTGTGTCCTATTCAATTGATGGCTGCACCATCGTTGACCTACAGGTGAACCTGACACGATCCATCTCCGCACCATTGAGGCACTGGTCCTCTTACTCTGATCAGAGGAGTTAAGAAAATCTAGTATTGCATTGTTATTCTTTTTATCAAAGTAAGACATGTACATAATTTAAAAGCCAAAGAGCTCTGTAGGTTGAGGATGACAAATCCAATCCTCAGCCCCACCCTCTCCAGCGGCTCCTCCTTGCTGCCTTCCCAGCTGCCGCCTGTGTCATCTGCCAGCATGTTTCTAAGAACGTGCTTCGGTGGCTGTCTCTCGATTTATCCGTCCCGGACATTCTGCACTGAGCTCCTTCCCTGGCAGTGAGGGGTTTGCCTCCTTAGACCCCATGAAGAGCCTCCCTCTGAAGCTCTTGTCCTCTGCTGTCCTCAGGACTCAGCTGAGAGGCTGCTCTCTGGCCTCCCCAGCCTCAGGGGCTCCCTTCCCAGGACCCAGTCACACTCGCCCTGCTACAGGGCTTGTTCTTGGCTGGCCATCCTTGCAGAGGGCGGGGGCTGCCTCTGCCCTCAGTGGGGCGTGGCCTGAGGGTTCGAGGAGGCCGAGGAGGAAGGCAAGTGGGCAGGCAGGAGTGAGGACACGGGGCTCTCTGACCTGCCGATGGCCAGCCAGGTGGACGGAGGCCCTTCCCACCTCCTGCAGAGAGCTGTGGGCCTCTGCCTCTCTCAGTGTGGACCTAACAGACCTGAGACCACAGCACGGCTTCTCTTGCTTGGGAAAACCCGAATTTGCTCAAATAATTCCGCCACTGTCTGCTGAGTGCCAGGCACAGTGCTGGGGCTGGGACGAGAAAGGCCCTGCCCACAGCCTCGCCCTGCGGCCCAGAAAACACTTGTAAGGCCGGAGCCCAAGCCGCCATCTTTTCTGCAGGTGCTGTTTGGGAGAAGGTTCTAGGACATCTTGGAATCGTTAGGTAAGCAGGGAGCCTCGGGAATGAGGGTGGGCCCTGGACAGGTTACTGTGGGTGGGTGTTGGGTGCATTCAGACCCACTCAGCTCCTATTTCTTGAGAAGCTCAGGGTTGCCCAGTCCCAAGTGAGCAGAGCAAGACCTGGCTTTCCCCAGGGAGGCTGACACCTGGGCAAAGAGGCAGGACCCACGTGGGAAAGACCAGGGCAGTGCCGCAGCCCCCAGTGTCATGAAAGTGCCAGAGGAGTCACAGAAAGGCCAAGAAGGGGCTCAGAAAGTGACCACCATGATACGGAAAACACATAGCCAGCATCCTCTGTGGCCTGCCACACAGCCCTCACAAATCTACCCATTTAATCTCACAACAGTGCTCCTGATGGGGAAAACGAGGTGTGGAAGGGGCAGGTGTCTGGCCAGGCTCTCACACCTTGTAAGTGGCAGAGCTGGGAGTCAAACATGCCAGGGGGCTCCAGGACACATGCTCTGCTAACTGCACGCCGTGCTGTTCTGCTGTCATTAGGAGGAAATTATAACAGGCACGTTGACGATAATAGTGTTGATAATGCTAATTTATCTACAGAATTCTCAGCATACCCACAGGAGGGAGGGAGAGAGGAAGAGATAGGAGGAGAGGAGAGGAGAGAGGAGAGAGAACGAGCCATGGTGGGAGGGAGAGCACCAGGCTGCATAGCCCCCACACAGACAGGCAGCCTCTCCCGGGAGGCTCACAGGTGTGTGCCTCTGTCCCGTCAGGCTCAGCCACGTGGATGCAGGGAATGCTGTGCACCTGCGGCCTCCAGACCCCGGAACGGCTCTTGTGGGCCTCATCATCTCCAGGCTGAGCCATAAGCTGTGTCCTCCTGGGAACACAGACTTTCTCTTCCAACATCATGGGCCATGAGGAGCAAGAGGTGGACGGAGAGGTGGAGATGGCACAGGTAGGTGGGGTGGCGGGACAGCCTTTTATTCCCGAGGCGTGTGGGGACTACATGCTCCACAGAGTGCTAGGAGGTGTTTGTAGGTGGAAAAAAAAGGGAGAGAGAGAAATGTCAAGTTCTTCAAAGTTAAAAAAGAGTTCTTCCGGCAGGCCTTGTCAGGGCCTTTGCAGGGTTGATGGGCAACGAGACTCCCTCCACCCCCTGCCAGCAGGGGAATGTTGCTCCTGCAGGTGGTAGTTTTGTCTATTTCTGTTTGTGTCCTGGGCACCTGAGCCCAGGCCTGTAGTAGCTACTCGATACATGTAACAGGAAGAAAACCTGGCCAGTGTGCGGATAGGGTTCCAGTACATGGTGAGGATTGAGCTCCAGGGACTCTGCCACAGCTGGCCATGCCCACGCATTGGGCGCACGGTCCTGAGAGCCAGGGTCAAGGGAAGGGACTGTCCCTGTGCTGCCAAGGTGCCCAGAACACTCCACACACTGGTGCCTGAGGCTCTGCCATCTGAGATTCAGACCTTCAGCCGAAACGTACACACGTATGCACATAGGCCATTTAAATGCAGAGACCCATCAAAGGACCAGGGAGATTTTTGTTGGTCTTCCTTAGTTTGAGGTGGAAATAGAGATCCAGATAGAGGATAGATCTTTCCAGAGTTCCCAAGTCCACCCTCCGGTTCGGCATTTTGCTGGAGTCCTCTCAGAACTCAGTAGCACTGCTGTGCTCACTGCGGTTCCTCCAGCGAAGGTCGCAGCGTGAGGTCGGCCCGGGGAAGGGCGTGTGGGGCAGGGGCCAGGAGGACTCCAGTTGTGAGTTCCAGCTCTCCTCTCTCAGGGAAGTGGCATGGACACCACTTACCCACATGATGTGTGACTGCACACAAGTGCTGCTAGAACTGGAAGTATCCACTGGGGCTCTGCCACATAGACGTGGCTGCCCACCCACATGGCTGACCTCCGTCTCCAGCCCTCTGGGATTTGAGCCCAAGGCCCCCGCCATAAAGCATATTGTCAGCATAAGCGATCCGGGATGGCCCAAGACCCTCAGTTAAACAAAGACACTCTTATCAGGCAGGACATCCCAAGGGCTTAGCGGTCACCTGCCGGGAGCAGAGGCCAGCTCTCTCTGGGCAAGGTTAATGCTTCACCACACAGTCACCCGCTGTCCCGAGTTTAGAATCCTGTAACCGTCAGCAGCTGACCCAGCCTGGGAGGTTCTGCCTGAACACTTTGATGGCTACCTGGGCCCAGGAGGGGCCCCTGGGGAAGGAGGCTGCTGCAGGACAGCCGCGGGCTGGGGGGCAGGATGCCAGCAACAGGCTCGGGTGACCTTACGGCATCCAGAGGCCCAGCCTGGGCTAGAGGGACAATGACAATCTGGTTTGATTTGTCAAGTGCTGAGATTTGCGCCCTGGAAGTGTAGACTCTCCTCTGGGCCCACAGGACCAGGGAGGCCGAGAGTGTGCTCTGTGACCTCAGCGAGCCGTTCCCCCTCTCTGGGCTACACAGTCTGCTCCCCTACGAGGCTGAGGCTGGGCTGGCTCCGGGCAGATGCTCACTGCCATTAAGCAGTGAACTGTTGATCCTTCGGGGTTCATCTCCAGATTCCAAAATGATCTGCCCCCCGTTTTTCAGGCCGGGGAAAGGCATGGGGACTCTTTCTGGCTATTTTTCACTTCTGACTTTTCCCAGGTTGGTGAGAGTGACTCTGAGGATGATGTCACCAGCTCTTGGTCGGAGAACGCTAGGAGGCTGAGGGCATGGGCAAGGACTTTGTCCTAAAGGTCACTGCCTTCATTTTGGGCTTGGAAACCATCGTGGAGCCTTTCTTCCCACCACGTGGGAGGGCCTGGTGACCCTTCTCCTGGGCTGGGCGGGTGCCAAGAAGGTTCCTGTGGTGGGGCCAGCGTTGGGCTACATGATGGGAGGGACAGACACCCGAGCGGCTGGAGCAGGTCTGGGCACTGTGGGGAGGCATTGAGGGAAGGGGCCGCAGCTGCAGCGAGTCCAGCCGAGGCCTGCAGGCTGAGTTCCCCGGGCACAGCGGTGATGCCGAGTCACAGTGAGGAGAAGGGGAGGGAGAGTGCACTTCTGCTCAGTGCTGCCGAGATGGGGTGCCACCTGCCATTAGGTCTTGTTGCTCTTCAGAAGGAGGGACAAGGAGCTCCTGGAAGTGGCTCAGGCCATCCCAGGGAAGCCCAGGCTGACCTGCAGGGTCAGCCTTGTCCCGGAGCAGGAGGCTGCAGTGCTCCTGGGTGTGTGTCAGTGGTCACCAGTCTGTGCAGGCTGTTTTCAGAGCCAGCTTTTCCTGGCTGGGTCTCAGGGCGCATGGTCAGGGTGCGGGGTGGGGAGGGCTGCCAGTCACATGGGTGGAAGCTGTCTCCCCAGCGATGGGCTCCCGTTCTGTGGCCTCAGCCTAGGCTCCTGGTAGACGTGCCATCGGTCTCTGAGCGTCGTGGCTGTTGGTAGTCTCTGTGTCTTCATAGCCATCTTCACCACCTGGCGTGCTTGTTCCTCTACCAGCTCCCCTTCTTCCAGGACCTCGTGCCTCGCAGTGACATTGCCACCCTGCAAAGTCCCCTTGGTCATTACCGCCATGGACAGTGCTGGGCTCGGCCCCCCTAGTGGTCTGCGGCTCACTAGGAGGCCAGGGCCGCATTGGATATCCCACAGAGGGGTTAGCCAAGCCCTCTTCTCCTGATAGTTCTTGACCGCCTGAGTGGATGGGTGTGGGCGACTGGTGTATACCCCTTCCCATGTCTCAAAAGCTAGGACAGAGGTGTAGACAGCTCAGGAGGGGGTTAGCTTTGGGGATAAAATTCAACCCATACAAACCTCAATTCTGTGCCCATCATCACGTTCTGCCAGAAGGAGAGAAGGCAGCGTATACCTCCATGCTTGGCCACCCGTTGTCATTCATTCATCGATCTACTACACAGTCTGTCACTAAGGCCCAGGTGGCTGGGGACATAGAATGCACAGGAAACACGCGGCCTGGTTTGGACTTTTTCTCCTCCAGGCTGGCACCTGACACCTTTCCGAAGGTAAGGGAACTAACAGTTGGGTGCCAGGCACTGAGGATGCAGCAATAACCAGGACAGACGGGGCTTGCAGCCTGATGATGGGGGAGAAGACGGGGCTTGCAGCCTGATGATGGGGGAGAAGACGGGGCTTGCAGCCTGATGATGCGGGAGAAGACGGGGCTTGCAGCCTGATGATGGGGGAGAAGACGGGGCTTGCAGCCTGATGATGGGGGAGAAGACGGGGCTTGCAGCCTGATGATGGGGGAGAAGACGGGGCTTGCAGCCTGATGATGCGGGAGAAGACGGGGCTTGCAGCCTGATGATGGGGGAGAAGATGGGGCTTGCAGCCTGATGGGGAGACAGGAGTTAACTGGATGATGCAATGAGTCCCATAGCAGAGAAGGGGCAGAGACCACACAGACAGCCCCGAAGCTGGCCCCGGGGTGTGTTGGGGGAAATGGCCATCTGAGGAGGGCTTTGGTCTGAGACAGCCAGGGGGATCCATAGTGTGCCCTTGCCCCATCTCCATTCCCCTTCCCCGTGCCTGGCCATCTCCCCTACCCAGGCAACGGGTGGGCTAGGGCACACAAGGCTCAAGTGATGCTGCTGCCACCAGGATGGGTGCCAGACCTGAGGTGTTCATGGTGGCATCTGTGACTTCCTGGTTGGCCTTCTGCGCACAGGCTGCTGGAGATGATCGCATGCATCAGGACCAACCGCAGTGTCCTGGAAACTCCACTGCCATCCAGGCTCTGGCTGGCAGAGATGATAAACCCTTTGATTCTGCTGCTGTCCTATTACACACTGGTCCTCCTGCTGCCTCTGTGGGCCCCAGATAGCTGGGAGCATCTGTTCACCTTCCCAGCCCTGCAGAGGAAAGCAAGTTGATGGGCCAATTTCTACTAAAGTGTGAAGGACTGATACTTGCTTCCTAGGTTTCTCTTCCTGTGGGTACTAAACAGATCGAGTGTGATGGTTTGGAGTGGGAGAGGGGAAGGCTAGGGAAGTGTGAGAGTTGCCTTAGAATTTTGAAGAGCTGTCGCACAGCTGAGGCAGCCAACTTGCCTTCACTTGGCTCTGGGGAACAAAAGGAAGGTAGGAGGGTGTAAGTTACAAAGAGGCAGGTTTTGGCTTAATGTGTGAAGGAATTGCAAAAAAAAAATTACAGCTGCTCACTGACAGAGGCATAGGTTCCTGGGCATTCGACCCATGCGAGGCCTGGGACGGCCTCTCTGGGAGGTTGTCTTGTGATGAATTCAGAAGCCCCTGGGAGGTTTTACCAGGTGTGGCTTATATCAGGGCTTGAGCTTGGACCGCAGTGGTGGGAGCCAGCACGGCCGAGGAGCAGAGGTGTCCTTTTACTTAATTAAAATGAAAAAAAAAAAGTAACACCTGATTCAGTTATTGGAAAACTTTAATGCTTGTTTGGAACAGCCCAAATGTATGAATCTGTCTTCCACTTTACATTTTACGAAATCTAAGTACAGATCAAGTGTTTCTGATGAAAATGCAGCATCTGAATTGAGATATGCTGTAAGAGCAAAAACACACACCAGATTTTGAAAACATGGTATAGAAAAAAAGACTAAATATTGCAATATTTTTTGTCTCCACGTTGAAGTAATCATGTTTTGGATGTTTTAAATAGCCACACGTGGCTCAGGGTCCCGCCCCTATGGCGGTGAGCCTCTCTGCTGGGAATCCTGGAACACAGCTGAGATGTTGGAGAAGCGCTTCCTGCTCAATGGCCCAGAGACTTGCAGCCTCAGAGGCAGAGACCCAGAGGCAGGGTTTTCTGGAGGCAAGTAGCCTCAATTTAAAATATTCTACTCTGCGGTCTCTTCTTCCTGTGGAGGGCTTTTTTATACGCCAGTCAGTCTCACAGGGGACTCTAGAGAAGGCGGAAGATTTAAAAATCTGTGTTTTCCTCGAGGAACAGGGGGAGATGGGGGTGCACCTCCCAAAGTCACAAAGCAAAAGTGAAGACCGCGAGCTGCGCTCTGTGCCGTGGGCCTCAGGCAGGGAGGAAGGCCAACTGAGTACACCCTCACCTGGCTCTGCACAGCCACGTGCCACGGCAAGCACACACTTTCTTTTAAAAATAGCGTAATAGTAACAGCAACAGGAGGTCAGTTTATTGAGAGTATCCTCCGCATCAGTGCTTGACATGATCATGCCCTTCATTCCATCGAGGGAGTGTCGCCTGCTCACATTACAGCATTCAGTGGCAAACTGGGATTTGAACCCATGCAGTGTGACACCAGAGTTTCCGCCTTCACCATCTGCTGCGTTGTCTCCTTAGCAAGTGGAGGGTGGGGAGCCTGCTGTGAAACGTGTGCAGGGTTGAGTTAAACCACCATGGAAATTCCAAGCTCAGCGAGCCAAAGTGGTGCCGGTCGGCAGCGTACCTGCAGTGCTGTGCTGTGGCCAGCACACTCCTAGTACTCAGCAAGTGCTCAGTAAATGCTTGCTCAATGAATGAGGCTTGCCCCGAGGAGCTAAGCAAGAAGCCTGCCTCCCAGTGCAGGGCATCTGGCACCCGTGCATCATTCATTGCTTTGCCCAATAAACGTCATGCGGAAGTGGTGGAAGTGGTTCGGGCTCACAAATGCACCCTGGGGACTGGTTGGCAGGCACTACTCATCTGCAGATAGGGGGGGCTGGGGTTTCCAGAAGCAAATAACTTGCCCAAGGTCACAAACCCAGCTTCCCTGAGCCTTGATGAGAAGCTGTCCATCTTGGAAGAAACAGTCTGTATGAATAATTGTCCAAACCACTCACGCCAGGGTGATTATACACCTGCTCACCTTGGTGGCGTGGAGCCCATGCTTCATCTTGTATCTGTTTCTGTGCACAGCCCCATGATGACACCAACACCCAGGCCCAGAGGGACCCTGGGATGGTTTGTAATACAGAGAAAGGAAGTCTGCAGACAGCCAACTCTGCTCCCCAAAGTGAGTGTAAACTGAAAACATGGCTCACCTGGGAAACCTCTCTTCTCTTAGCCCATCACAGTGGGATGCCTTCACCTTCCCAGTTCAGCTGCTCAGAGTGGAGTCATTGCTTTGCACTTAGCTCCAGAATTGCTCCAGAGCTGCCTTGCATCTGTATGCAGAGCCCTGGAGCAGCAGAAGGGCTTCTGCAGGTCTTTAATCCCTCCCTCCAACCCCCCCACAGTGCCTACCACGGTGCACTGGACATGGGGCATATTTAATCATGGCTTGCTAACAGCTTGTTCTACTGTTAATTTCACAGCTGGCTCTAAGAGGAGTGGGCACAGAAGGATATAATTAGTATATTATAGATGACCTCAACTAATTTCCTCCCCCATTAAGCCAGGTTAGGACCTGTCTTCGTAGTGCCACCCAGCATAGAAAAGTTAAAAAATAAAATCTGCTAGATTCGTTTTTTAAAAAAAACCCAACAACAATCACACCTGTTTGTTCCTGCCTTCAGGTCACTTCCCAGGTGTTTGCTCTCAGCGTAGGAGCCACCTTCACACCCAAGCAAGTCCAAGTAGGACTGTGACCCTGAGTCATGCCATCCCGGAGACCCTGTCCTCCATAATGGGTATGGGGGGGGGCCCCCCTCCCCACAGCTGTGACTGTTTTCATATTTTATCCGAATAAGAACCTTATTGTATGATATTCTGATGAGCTGGGAACTGTGTTTTCCTGTCCAATAGGTTTAAGAGTCTCCCTCCGGCAAAGCCCTGTAGGTGATATATGTCCACACTTTATTTACAGGCAGGCAGACAGAGCTCCTTGTTTCTTAGCCTTGTAACAACCTGAGGTCATTCATCACCGGCTTGCTCCTGTTTTAAATTCACTGAGCAGCAGGCGTCTCTTTAAACTCATGAGCATAATGCATTTTAAAGAGCATTTTCTGCGCAGATCCATTTGCTCGACCTCGGCTCTGAGCACAAGATGGAATGGTGTTTCAGCAAGCACCTCCTGCGGCCTATTTGGAACGCATATACTGGGATGTAAATGTGGCTGTGCACCACCGGGGCTTGGAGGGGAAGCTGTGGTTCAATGCCGGTGCTGGGTGATGGCTCAATGCAAGACCCTGGGCGTGGGGTTGTGGAGGCTACAAAGACTACAAGGCAGGGTTTCTGTCCTCCAGGCAGGGCGCCAGGATGTGCATGTGAATAACTAGGGTAAAAGGCAAAGAGAAGCAGAGCTGGAACCTCTTTTTTGTGCGGGGAAGCGCTTCTTGCAGGCTTCGGTCTTGCAAGATGGTAACTGGGTACCTGGGTCTCTCATCACTGCTTCAGTGAGGGGTGCTGGACCAAAGCTGGTTTATCCGGTAGGACTTCCTGGAGGAAGAGCTTGCCTTGAATGAAGGGTTGGGTCTAGGGAGAGGGGGCAGGAAGTTCACTCCTGGCTGGAGAACTATCCCTGGTTAAGTCCATGGATTGTAGTGTGGAGTGAGCAGCTCTCGGTTGGAAAGGAGCGTGGGCTCACATGGAGAATGGCCCTGGATGGCCTAGAGGTCCTCAGACCTCACCAGCTCCAAACCAGGCCCAGGACTTCTCCCTCCAAGTCTGGTCTCCCAGTTTTCTGCCTTGGCGAATGGTGTCTCATCCATCCAAAATCTGTAAGCAAGTTTCCTTCCTCACCCTCAAGTCTTACCTAATCCACAGTAAGGGTGTTTTTGATTGTCCTAGATTTCTCTGGAATCACCCATTTTCCTCGCTACTCCACCTCACCCTCCCAGTGCATGAATCCCTAATTTTCCCTGCACCTCTCCAATGCCCTCCAACTGATCTGTCCAAATATGCTCGTCCCCTGTAGTCTATTCTCTACATCGCAGCTAGAAACATCCTTTCCAGTCAATCTAACCTTGTCCCTCCTCTGCCTAAAACCTTCCCTATGGCCTCCTTCTCCTGTCTTCAATCATATCACAATCTTTGCTTTCTGGGCTCCAGCTCCCCTGGCTTCCTCCTCAATCCCTCTCTCTGGGAGTCAAGCTCATGTCAGGCTCATTTTTGCTCCCTCCTTGACTCAGGTGGCCCTCATTATTCCTTCCCAAGGCCCAGTCCTCACCTTCTCTGGGGAGCCTCCCCTGGCCTCTCTGACTAGTCCCTCAATTTCAGGCTCTGTCACCACTGTGTACCTCTTGTCACAGTTCTGATCACAGCTGTAATTTTATATTTGTGTGTGTGCACAATTCTCAAATGTCTCTATTACAGCTGGTATTATACAGCTACCAGGCTGCACGCAGCATGGATGCATGCACAGGGGTTGGTTTTGTTCATAGTTGTATGCATGATACATCACGTATTACTGAGCGGATGGACGTGGGAGACCTTGAAGCGGCTGGAGCGTTTAAACACCCCGCGGTCTGGCCCACAGAGGCCGCTGAGTGCCGCTGATGTGTGGAGGCTGCTGTTGCCGCGGGTGGGGGCTGCTGGGTCTGGGGAAGGGAAGTAGAATGCAAACACCCCCGGATGATTCTCCAAAAAACCTAAACAAAGAATGGGCCAGACAGAAGGCTGGGTAAGAGGCAGCAAGGGCAGCCGAGGTCGCCGCAGCCCTGCCACTGAGGTCAAGTTCAGGCTTCTGGAAGGAAGGAAAGGAAAAGACGTGCAGAGGACTCTGGATCTGCAACAGGCTTTTGGGGAACCACAGCTCCGACGAAAGCGAGGCTTCCACGGGCCTGGTGGCGTTTGTACAAATTGTTACCAGAGAGTTAACCAACAACAGCCTTCCCTGCTGGCTTCCAGCTGGCAGGCCCAAGTCCCCGAGTCCCAGCTCAGCATCCTGGTCATGCCACAAGGAACATGCGTCAGAGAGCTCTTGGCCAGGCCAGCCCTGAGCAGCCCTCCTCCCCTGCCAGGTGATGCTGTCCCCTAATGGGAGTTGGTGGGACCTGCCCCTTCTGCACTGCAGGGAGCCCCAGGGGCAGAGCTTGGAGCTGGACTCATCAGCTTTTTTCCTGCTGGAACAGAGAAAGACCGTCTCTGGTTCAAGCCCCTTGGCATCCCCAGGAAGGCCTCCAAACCCCACACCGTCCCAAACCCTAGGCTTGTACATGAAAACCCTTCATCCCTAAGACAACAATAGGAGTGAGAGGGAATGGACACTTGTCTTCTAGAGGGGATGAGTCAGCTTGGGGCCCTGTCCACACATCTCACCCCCCAAAGGTGGGGCCGGCTGGCCATAGGGATCCCGAGAGCTGGTTGCATACATCTGGGAGCAGCACCAAGGCAGATCCCAAGACAAGCCAAGCTGCGCCTTGCACTTTCTTGGGGAGTGTTCCATGAGCAAGAAAAACCTGGGTTGAGGAGCAAAAAGCTCACGAGTTTCTGTCCTAGTTTGGCAGTTTGCAGGTTTTTAATAACGGTGAGAACAAACACTTGAAATGCGTGAGCCAGGCACTGCCCTCAAGCCTTCTCTGTGAACCATCTCATTCCATTCTCACAATCATCATCCTCAATCTACTGATGAGGAGACAGAAGAGGCCAGCAGTGAAGTACCAGGCCCACATGCAATCACGTCTGGGGGACTTTAAACCCGTGCTTTTTTTTTTTTTTTTTTGAGACCGAGTCTCTTGTTGCCCAGGCTGGAGTGCAGTGGTGCAATCTCAGCTCACTGCAACCTCCACCTCCTGGGTTCAAGCGATTCTACTACCTCAGCCTCCCGAGTAGCTGGGCTTACAGGTGCCTGCCACCATGCCTGCCTAACTTTTTGTATTTTTTAGTAGAGACAGGGTTTCACCATGTTGGCCAGGCTCCAGGCTGGTCTCGAACTCCTGACCTCAGGTAATCCACCTGCCTTGGACTCCCAAAGGGCTGGTATTACAGGCGTGAGTCATCATGCCCGGCCAAACCCGTGCTCTTAGCTGCAGTGCCAGAGCTGGTTTTCCCAATCTCAGCACCACTGGCATCTGGGGCTGGATAATTCTGTGTTGTGGGCCTGTCCTGTGCATTTTGGAATGTTCATCAGCATCCCTGGACTCTCTACCCATTAGATGCCAGTAGCATTTCCCCACATCCCTAGTAATCAACAATCCAAAAGAAATATTTCTAGACTTGCCAAATGTCCCCGGGGGGGGGGGGGGGGGGGGCGGGGGGTGGAGGTGGGTGGTGCAAAACTGCCCGTGGCTGCGAGTCCCTGTGCTAGACTTTTTCATGTGGCGGCCCGAGGAAGTGAGGGTGGTCCACGTTGCCATCTCCCCATCCTCATCCCTGCTGGGAATGAGAGAGGATACACATCCAACATCATGTGCCCTCTTCTTTGGGTTCCAGCAATTTCTTTGGATCATTTATGTCCAACTACATTTTGATTCCTTGGAGGACAGAGCTAATGCCTCCAGCTCTTTAGTGGCCTCTGCAATGCCTAGCATGAGCTGGGCATACAGGTGGCACCTAATAATGACTTCCTGAAAGACCGAATGCCACGGAGTACTTAGAATTTTTTTTCCTTCCCCTCTGTCTCTCTCTTTCTCTTTTCCTTCCCTTCCCCCCTTCCCTCCTCTCTTTCTTTCCTTCTTTCTTTCCTTCTTTCTTTCTCTCTCTCTCTTTCCCTCCCCTCCCCTCCTCTCTCTCTCTCTTTCCTTCTTTGTCTTTCTCTCTCTTGCTTGCTCTTTTTCTTCAGGTGGCTCTCAGGAGACACACAGTGAGTGGTCCTACGTGACCCAGGACACGACCAGAAGCTCAGGGCAGGGCCACCACAATCCAGGGAAATGCCCACACTGGGGGCAGAGCTCTTCCATGCTGGCCTTTGTTGTTGGGTCTGGAATTCTCTGGTCATAGGTGGGATGTCAGCCACGTCTCCTATCTGAAGACAGCCCTTGCTCAGGGTGGTGGAGACCATGAGAGGGCTTTGGAGGAGGCCTCTCTGTCCCCTTAGCTTTGACTCTCTTGTTGGTTCTTATCTTTTCCTCCTGGGGTTCTAAGAATGCACCCCTGGGTGCACCACTCAACTGGAGAGGAGTTAGGGAGAGGGTGAAGATGGTGGGAGAAAGCGTGCTCTCTTCACACTGGGGGCCCAGCCAAACAGAGCCGACCCTGACGGCCTCCTCCCCGCTTTCCTCCCCCAAAACCCAGGCGAGGCCCACCAGCATCTTGCTCTGGGCTCCTTCCTCCAAGTTCTCCTGGATTCACAGCCACAGAGCCCTGCTGTGGTTGACAGCTCCAGTAGCTGGGTGTGCCCTACAGGAGCATCCACCTCTTTCTCTTCCTGCCCTGGGTGGCCTTGCACAGGTGAATGCACAGCTCCAAGCTCCTGCTGTGCTGCTCTGCTGAGCCTGGAGCCCCTGCCTCCTGCACTACCGACTCTGGCCCTGTGCAGTGCCTATGGGCAAACGGCTGTGGGGAAGCCTCGGTGCCTGCCCTGTGCCCGGTGCTGTCTCCATGGGTTGGGGGAGGCCGTGCTGCTCCTGGGGCTCCTGCACGCAGTCACTCAGCTAAGTATCTGACCCCAGCTCAAGCAAAAGTCACAGGACCTGCATTAGGCATGGTTGGCCGACATTTCCTGATGGCTGCAGCCACAGATGAGGAGAAGTGGGGGGATCAGCTCTGTAAAAGGGAAGAGGTGAGCCACGTCCAGAGGCTGCACATCTGGGTGACCCTGGGGACCAGACAGAAGGCGAGACCCAGGCCAAAGCCCAGTGACTTCACGTCCTTCCTGAACACCTCCGTGTTGGCATTGCCAGCATTCTCAGGGGACACGGCTTAGAAAGCATAGCCCCACGCTGGCTGGGGAGCTGGACTTGCAGGGCTGGCCCCAGCCCTCCTCTGTCCCGTCTGCCTTCTGGTTCCTGCTCTCACACAGGGTGGGCAGCTCCTAGCATCACAGGGTGATGGTAGAGGTCCCAGGAGAAACCGCTGGGAGACCACTTGCATTTATCAATAAGGTCACATGGCCTCATCCACACCACACACTCCAACCCTTCCCTCCGGATAACCCTGAAGTTCCCACACACAGATAGAGAGAGTGGGTGTGTGTGAGAGAGGCCCAGAGAGAGGGAGAGATTGATTTCCAATACCACCCAAATCGCTCAATAAACAGACAAAATTCCCAGCCCCGGGGCTTCCTGGCTTCCCAGGTGGTTCACTTCCTCCAGCTCTGAGCTTGCTTTTTCTGCAGGCAACTAAGCCAAAGGCCCAAACTCCAACTTCATTTTGGAGTCTCATAAAAACTGGCGCAGACCCTCCTATGAGAATGAGCTTGGGCTTTCTCCAGCAAAGATTTCCGATGGAAAATATGATTCTGCACGGGGGTGTTTGTACTTCCAAACTCATGCTTGGCCCTTCCAGGTTGCAGCCGGCTCCCGCCCTGCTGGCTCCAGCTCTTTTCATTTCTCCAATAACCCGCAGTGCGTTTTATCAGGGGCTCTGCCTGAATTGCAGATACAAAACAATAATTGGAGGAGCGTCCTGAAGCGCTTTTGGACGGTCATGGTGTCTCGTTCAGTGGTGGCCCTTAGGGCTGTCTACACTTAGCAGTTCCAAAGCTTTGATGGATTTGTCAACCAAACTCTGGGGCTGTCTGAAAAAGGATAAGAATTTGGCTTCTCAGACTCATGGGTCATAGCTCCTGCAGTTCAATTTGCTAAAAGACCCTTAGTTCTGCCAGAATTGACGGGCTTCTGGGATCAGAAGCAGATGTAGTTGCAGACTGAAGCCAGCCCCCCGGCTTCCTGTGTGGAAACTTGTAGAGGAAATAGAGCAGTTATTTGCTAGAACCTGCATCTGCCAAAGGAGCTGCTTATGGTGGCCCCGTGGCCTTCTCAGGTTCCCCATGGGGCCATCATAAGCACAGAATGTGATAGAGAGGGACTCTTCTAGTTAGTTCTGTCCATGTGGGATGCCTCTGCAAGGCTCCCAGCTGCTCAAGGTCTTTGAAGACGCATTTTCCATTTTCCAGCTCCAAGGCTTCAAGGTTGGAGCTCCAACATCAAGGGTAGGGAGGACATGGCAAGAACCCATCAGCATCTTGCTGCCTGGACACTTCTGCTCTGTTGGGGTCTGCTCTGTTGCTCTGCTGTGATGTGGGCCTGGAGCCCACAAACTGAAGCCCCACAGTGCTCTAACTCCCTTCTAGCGGCTCCATCAGACTCTCACCAAAGCCCATCCTCAGCTTGCACCCCTCAACTTGGCTGTTGAGTCCAAGCCAAAAGCACTAGATGGTGTTCTAGATGGTTCTCTGAAAATGCTGCACTTTCTCAGGTCACGTGAGCTTAAAGGACCATGGGTGGGCCCCACCTCAGCCGCTCACAACCAAATCCCATTTAGATATCAAAAGAAAGGGCTGTGGGACCTGTCAAGGCAGGTGTCTTTGTTGGTAGGACCCAGGTAGAGATCTGCTTCTCAACCATGGCTCTCTCCCCTGTAGCCCATTCCACATTCCGTGATGCAGGCCTGGAGCCGTTTGACATGGTGCCGCCGTTCGCTAAGATTCTATTGCCTGCTGTTTTTCTGCTAGCACGCATCCTTCAACTTCATTACTTTAATGAAGACTTTCTGAAGACCACCAGCCTGCATAAATATTCCTGTTCAACAGAGAGGCACACCTGACAGGTACTGCTGTCCCTGGGGTAGCATTTGGAGATTCTGCTAATAGACTCAGAGAATGTGCTCAGCTCAGGAGACAGGAATGAGATTTACTTTCCATTTGCCGAGTCACCCATTTGTAGGTGTTCTTTGGAAGGTGCTGGGAGAAGATAGAGCCTCGAGCCTCGTGTGTCTTCGCAGGGTGAGCAGACAGGACAGGGGCCTTTGGTTCCCCTGCAGGTGCCCGTGGTTGCCCTCTGTTGAGCTGTCACTTTGCTTTTGCTGGGATTCCTTTACTGAGCATCTCCAAGAGCCTCTCAGGGGCAGAGCCTCTGCTTCGTGGATGTTCTACACGCCTAGGGACTTGTTTTCATTTTTACCATTTTGTACTTTAACTAAATTAACATGCTGGCCATGAAACCTGGCTTTTAAACATT